>NC_000009.12:111970552-112595552 GCF_000001405.40 Homo sapiens
CCACGCCCCGCCTGATTTTTCTGTTTTGGAGATGGGGTCTCGTTATGTTGCCCAGTCTGGTCTCAAACTCCTGGCCTCCCAAAGTGCTGGGATTACAGGCGTGTGCCACCATGCCTGGCTAATTTTTGTATTTTTGGTGGAGACAGGGTTTGGCCATGTTGGCCAGTCTGGTCTCAAACTCTTGGCCTCAAGTGATCTGCCCGCCTTGGCCTCCCAAAGTGCTGGGATTACAGGCATGAGCTGCTGCGCAGGGTCTTCATTCAGTTGATTCCTTTCTACATCTTTCCTCTCTTTGGCTTCTAGAGGTCACATGCACTTTCTTTTTTGTGTAAGTGCAAGGCATGTGTTATCTGAAAGTCCCTGCTGTTTTCACAAATGCTTTCTCCACCTGTGGGGGTGGCCATGAGCCTGTGGCTTCAGCTTCTGGGAAAGCTGAGGTGGGAAGATCGCTTAAGGCCAAGAGTTGGATGAATGTTTTCTCCAAGTCTTCTCTTTGACCCTCAGGGTGAATAGTTTCTCCCTGACCGCTCTCCTCCTTGTAGTTGGTATTTGTGAATTTCCTCTACTATCTCCCTCTGGAATTCTGCCCTGGTAGGTCAAGTTTGGTCCTGCAGGCATACCCTCAGCTTTTAGATTCTTCTCATTTTCAGATGAGTCTTTGCAGGTATTGGTGCAGCTAAACACAGGGAAGGTAGTGTGCTGCCCTATGACATTATGATGGCTACAGCTACAACATCACTAGGTGATAGCAATTTTTCAGCTCCATTATACTCTTATGAGACCACTATTGTATATGTATCCATTATTGAACAAAACATTGCTATGTAACACATGACTGTATTCACCTAAATATTCTTCTAGTAAGTACAAAGTGACTCCAATTTTTTTTCCAAATGACTAGCCAACGTTTCCAATGTCGTTTGTTCAACTATCCAAACTTTTCTCAGTTATATGATATATGGAAGAGTATTTATATGTACAGTGTATATAATATAATAAATAATGTATAGATAAAGCTTTTCTAGACTTTTCTTTCAGTCTTATTGATATAGCTCTTCTAGTTATATCTATTTTCAGAATACTAATGTATATCCATAAACATACTACATTATATTATCATACATAATTTTTTTTTGAGATGGAGATTTTCGCTTTTGTTGCCTAGGCTGGAGTGCAATGGTGCGATCTTGGCTCACTGCAACCTCTGCCTCCTGGGTTCAAGCAATTCTCCTGCTTCAGCCTCTCAAGTAGCTGGGATTATAGGAATGCACCACCACGCCCGACTAATTTTGTATTCTTTTTGTAGAGATGGGGTTTCTCCATGTTGGTCAGGCTGGTCTCAAACCTCTGACCTCAGTTGGTCTACCCACCTCAGCCTCCCAAAGTGCTGAGATTACAGGCATGAGCCACCGCGCCCAGCCTCTCATACATAATACATATAAAAATTTACTTTTATACTACTGGTAACTCAAAAGTTGTATGAGTAATATAAAAGTGACCATTTTTCAGCCTGGGCGAAATGGTGAAACCCCCTCTTTACTAAAAATACAAAAATTAGCCGGGCATGGTGGCATGCACCTGTAGTCCCAAGCTACTCAGGAGGCTGAGGCGGGAGGATTGCTTGAGCCCAGGACTTCAAGGCTGCAGGGAGCCATGATCGCGCCACTGCATTCCAACCTGGGTGACAAAGTGAGACCATATATATATACATATTACATATATATATATTTAAATTTTTTTAAAAAGCCTATTTCCCTTTCCTCCTACTGAGACCCCTATGTACAAGGCCTAGTCTTAACGCTGACTTGTCAAAGCACAATGGCTATGCCGCAAATAAGAAAACTGAGACTACCTCTCTTCCTTCAAGGTTAGGCTGCCTAGCAGGGCCCAGGAACCCATGGTGAGTTACAAATTTGTCCGAAGTTATCAAATCTTTATTTTAATGTAAGAAAGGGGGGAAAGTCTTATGTAAATATTATCTCAACAGGTGGCCCTAAAGTTTATCTTTGGGAAGGAGCATTCTTGGTTCTACCAAAAAATACTTTCATAATTCTTCTAGACATATAAGGTTGATTCTCAAGTTGTAAAGCCTGGTTGTGAAGTGTAGAAAGAGAGAAAACAGAAATGAGACAGGAAGAGAGAAAAGGTAGAGAGCAGTGATACAGTAAAATTCCCAATGATGAAACAGCTAAAAGAACTTTTAAGAGGAATCTAGGCTGGGCACAGTGGCTCATGCCTGTAATCCCAGCACTTTGGGAGGCCGAGGTGGGCAGATCACGAGGTCAGGAAATCGAGATCATCCTGGCTAACAGGTGAAACCCCATCTCTACTAAAAATACAAAAATCACCTGGGTGTGGTGGTGCGAGCCTGTAATCCCAGCTACTCAGGAGGCTGAGGCAGGAGAATCGCTTGAACCCGGGAGGCGGAGGTTGCAGTGAGCCGAGATCGCGCCACTGCACTCCAGCCTGCGCAACAGAGTGAGACTCCCTCTCAAAAAAAAAAAAAAAAAAAAAAAAGGAATCTAATATTTAAGCTGAATTCTTAGGGCTTGTATTGTATGGATGTAAATTCCTTCATCTCTCCAAGTTTTCAGCATCATCTCCTCAAATGAAGGCCATGTTGGCTGGGGCAGGTGGGGGCCGTTGAGGAGAATGGGGAAGTAGCTGTGTTCTGTATCTAGGTCCATGGACTGTTGTGCGATGGGTCATGATCTAAACTTACTAGCAGAAACACAATCTTAGAGCAGAAGCAACTGTGAGAAGTTAAGTCCCCCAGACATTTGCAAAAATTTGGAGAGCATTGATTTCTGCAAGTTATAGAATGGGGACTTTATTTTTTATTTCTTTATTTTTTTGAGGCAGAGTCTCACTCTGTCACCCAGGCTGGAGTGCAGCGGCATGATCTCGGCTCACTGCAACCTCCGCCTCCTGGGTTCAAGCAATTCTCCTGCCTCAGCCTCCCGGGTAGCTGGAATTACAGGCGTGCACCACCACACCTGGCTAATCCTTTTGTATTTTTAGTAGAGATGGGGTTTCACCATGTTGGCCAGGCTGGTCTCTAACTCCTGACCTCGAGTGAACCACCTGCCTCGGCCTCCCAAAGTGTTGGGATTACAGGCGTGAGCCACTGCGCCCGGCCAAGGGGACTTTAAATTATACTAAATCTAGTGAGCAGGGTGATCTCAGCTAACACCTTGCAGTTATCTAAAATGTCACTAAATCTGTGTTTGTCTTTCCAAGGAGCTGGCTTCCTTCATATCTTTGAGGAAATGTCTCTCCATATTGTTCAATTCACCTTCCAGAAACTGGTGGGAAGAGACAGAAACTCAGTTTCAAAGCCTCTGCCAGTTCTTCCAATGGTCCTTTTTTAAGCCAAGCAAATTAGATATGATTAAGGCTTTTGTAATCTGTAAAATGTGTTTAATCACAATAGCTTTTTCACAGGATTGTGGTGAAGATTAAACAATTAATATGTATACAGTGCTTTAGGAGTGCCTGGCACAAAAGTAAATTCTATATGCCTTGCCACACAGTAATCTCACCTGGAGAAGCTCTGAAACTACTGATGCCGGGGATCGGGTTGACGGGGGCCCTGACCAATTAAGTCATAAACTCTGGAGTGGGGCTGACATGTCAGCATTTTTCAAAGCCTCCTAGATAATTCTAATGTGCAGTCAGCATTAACAACCACTGCTTTACGGGCTATTATTTTACCAAAATGATACACTAAATGTTGATTTCTTAGGAACAAAACTCTTCACGCAAGTTGTTTGTTAAGAGATTCGATATTCCCGCATTCATCCCCTTAGGGGACCGGAGGTGGCAGGTGCAATTTGCATTTAGATTTTCCGTAAGGAATGTTAATTGCTTAAGCTGTCATAAAAGAGTGGACATTTTATGTTTTCCTGGTGGAAGCGAGAGAAGAGTGAGCACAGTGTGGCTGAACTCTGATCTGTATGTCTCTTTGGGAGGTTCTCCAAACCCAGCAAAGCAAGAGATCCTGCTTACTTGCTGGACTTGTGTGCTGCTAGAAATGCAAGACTGAGTCAGCTAAGAGCAGTGCCAAAAAGTCACCAAGCCACCGCATGTAGCCTGAGATCACGAGGAAACAAAAAGTCTTTCTAAGGTCAAAAAGTTCTGCCTATATTTCCAGATCTTCTTCTTGGTTTCTAAGCAGCCAGCCACCTGCTCTCAGCTTTCACCTAGGACTCAACAATTTCAGGAAGGAAAAAGATTATTCTAGGTCAGAAGGATTCTGGGAAATGTTAAATAACCTTGCCTGTGGAGAGTACCTTTTTTTTGGCCTCTTTCTGACCTTGGCAGACATGTCCATCTTCTGGGAGCCATAGAAGACAGCCCTTCATCTTTTCCTAGTTGGTGCCTTCTTCTAGACCTAAATTCCTGATCTCATGCTGAAACCCAGATTAACAACTTTTTGGGGGGGAGGGGAGTTGTTTGAGATTAGAGCGGTAAAAATTAGCCTGGTCGGGGAGGGGGGATCGGTTTCTAGATTCATTCATTTATGTGTCCATAGTGCCTGCCTGGTGCCAATCTGTAAAGGGCCTATGGAAATATAAGTTATTGAGGTAGAAATATACAGAACATCTCAGGTAGGGGCCAGGGACGGTGGCTCATGCCTGTAATCCCAGTACTTTGGTAGGCTGAGGTAGGAGGACCACTTGAGCCCAAGAACTCAAGACCAGTCTAGACAACATACTGAGACCCTCTCTCTACAAAAAAAAAAAAAAAAAAAATTTAAAAATTAGCCCAGTGTGGTGGCATGCACCTGTAGTCCTAGCTCCTTGGGAGGCTGAGGCAGGAGGACCGCTTGTGGCCAGGAGTTCAAGGCTGCAGTGAGCTATGATTGAGCCACTGTACTCCAGCCTGGGCAACAGAATAAGACCAAAAAAACAAAAACAAAGAAAATCCCCAGAACATCTTGTCTTTATAGATATGTATGAAGGCTACCCTTCAAGGACAAGGGCAAGTTGCACATGCAGTGGTTTGATTAAGGAGTTTAAAGGCAGAACCTGTCTGCTCAATATGGACAAGAATATCCTTGTTTACAGTGCCTATCACAGACCACTGGGCTCCATGTGGAATTCGAGCAAATGCTAGGAAACCACACACTATGCAGACTAAGCATTACACATAAAAGTAGAGTTAGCGCAGGAAGCATGGAAGGAAAAAGTAAGAAGTCTCACTGTGGTCCAGGACAGGTTGAGGACCCTCTCTCCTAGAGAGTGAACGTCCCAGGGCACTGGGGTAAGAGTGAGCCCAGGCTGGCCCAGCTGGCTGTGTGGGAAGGGCAGAAGCTGCCCTGGCCTTTGGCGTCAGCCACGTGCACTTTGTCAGACTGCCATCTGCTGAGCACTTGTTAGCAATTCCCTCTGCTTTTATGTCACACACCTGGAGTCCCCTCACTGTTAGAGATCTTCTGAGCCCCAAAGTGAGGCCCTTATTAGGAAGCAAAAGCGATAGAAACAAGAAGCCCTGGAGCCTGTGACTGAGGACACTACTCTTTTTTTTTTTTTTTTTTTTTTAATGAGACAGAATCTCACTCTGTCACCCAGGCTGGAGTGCGGGGTCGTTATCTAGGCTAACTGCAACCTCCATCTCTCGGGTTCAAGCGATTCTTGTGCCTCAGCCTCCCAAGTAGCTGGGATTACAGGCACACGCCACCACACCTGGCTAATTTTTGTATTTTGAGTAGAGACAGGGTTGCACCATGTTGGCCAGGCTGGTCTCGAACTCCCGACCTCAAGTGATCTCCACCCACCTAGGCCTCCCAAAGTGCTGGGATTACAGGCATGAGCCACTGTGCCCGGCCGACACTACTCTTTTCTTCTCTGAACCTCATTCCTGTATTTTATAAAGGAGCAGAAGGCTCTAGATTTTCTTTCCTCCCATCTACGCACATTTACAGCACCCTCTACCTCCCCCATCATAGCAACTATATAGTGACTGCTTCGTGTGTCTGCCTGACCAGATTGTGAGCTCAACATGAAAGGGGTTGTGTCTGTCTTGTTCATCCTGTGTCCTCAATGGTATGTACACAGATACTCAAAAAAGTATCTGTTGAATGAGAGAGGAAAGGAGAAAGGAAGGAAGTGAGGGAGGGAGGAAGGAAGGAATGGAGAGAAGGAGGGTAAGATATCCCAGCAGGTCACTACAGCCTATTTGTGAGAAAGCTGCTAGGAGCCTTGAAATTCCCTGCAAATGAGGAAGGGAGAAAGCTATTTCTCTCCCATCCCCACGAAGAGAAAATAAACGAGGCAAGCTGCAAATGGCGAAACAAGATGTGGTCTAGATTTCTAACAGAAGACTCTGTACACCTGATAAAGCAAAGCTACTTGTGGGGACCCAAATTTTGTGACATACCAGGCTGGTCCTGGAGGGTGGGTAATAGAACAGGGGGTAGAAGGGTTTTCTTCCAATGGTATCAGAGAGGTCTGAAGCTTTGCAAGAGCCGGAAAATGGAACTTTGTTAAAGCTTTGCAGTTTACACGCATTGTCTTATTGTCAAAAGAACTGCATAGAATAGAGAGGTCACGGGCCAGTCACGGTGGCTCACATCTGTAATCCCAGCAGTTTGGGAGGCCAAGGCAGGTGGATCAGCTGAGGTCAGGAGCTCGAGACCAGCCTGGCCAACATGGCGAGACCCCATTTCTACTAAAAATACCAAAAAAAGAAAATTAGCCAGGCATGGCGGTGTGTGCCTGTAATGCCCCCTAAGTGGGAGGCTGAGGCAGGAGAATTGCTTGAACCCGGAAGGCAGAGGTTGCAGTGAGCTGAGACTGTGCCACTACACTCCAGCCTGGGTGACATGGCGAGACTCCCTCTCAAAAAAAAAAAAAAAAAAGATCACCTGAGGACTGGGGAAGAACAGTGACATTAGCACAGGCTAGGAATAGACCTCATAGCCCCAGAATTCTTCCTCTACCTGGAGTAATTTGGAGGAGACTCTAATGTGTGCCCTTAACTCATGTGGCCTCAGAGAACAAGGTGAAGGGAAAGCTGGTGGACTTGAAAGCTCAGGGGGTCTGGGTCATGACAAAAAGCTCTGAGTGTAAACTGGGCTCTTGATTTTTCTAAAAAAAAAAAAAAATTGAATACTGAGAGATAGATATTTCTCATTAGATTATTTTTTACGGTAACCCTGACTTCATGCTCAAAGCATGGAATCACGGAATCACAGGCCTTGCCCACCAGCCCATCTCAACTTCTGTAGAGAGTCTCCCTAACCCCTGACTTTCTATAACTCCAACATCAATAGCAGCTGTCATTTTATTCAGCTTCTTTCTGCCCACAAAGCCAGGACTAGGGGGAGGCAAGTGATGCCTCCCTTGGGTGCAAAATTCGAAAGGTGCCAAAAACCTCAGTAATCATCATAAAGAACATTTCTAAAATTCAAAATTAATGCAATAAAAATCCATGGTGAATAAAATATCTTTTTTTTTTTTTTTTTTTGAGACGGAGTCTTACTCTGTCGCCCAGGCTGGAGTGCAGTGGCACAATCTTGGCTCACTGCAACCTCTGCCTCCTGGGTTGGAGCAATTCTCCTGCCTCAGCCTCTCAAGTAGCTGGGATTACAGGTGTGCACCACCACGCCCAGCTAATTTTTGTATTTTTAGTAGAGATGGGGTTTCGCCATGTTGGCCAGGCTGGTCTTGAACTCCTGACCTCAGGTGATCCAACCACCTCAGCCTCCCCGAGTGTTGGGATTACAGGTGTGAGCCACCACGCCTGGCCCAAAATTTTAAATAAAGACACAATCTAACTTTGCTCCAGCTCCACCTTGAGAGCCAGTCCCATCTCAGCTCTGACGAAACTCATTCTCATTTTAGGGCCTTTATCCTTGCTGTCCTCTCTGGAATATTCCTCTCAGTTCCCTACATACTTGGCTCCTCATTGTTTAGGTTTCTGTTCTAACATTATCCTCTCAGGAAAGCCTTCTCTTATCTGACTTCACTATCTAAAATTCCCCACTCCCCACCCTCCCTACCCCTGTACAGGTCCTCCCTATTCTACTAATGCTTTGTGGTTTCAGAGCACTTACAACTATAATAATATTCTGTTACTTGTTTATGTCTCTGCTGATATCTCTCCAGTGTTCAACACATAGTATGTGCTCAAAAAATATTACTTGCGCAAATGAAGGGAATGAGTGAAGCACCTATTAGAGATGGTGCTCAGGGCTTTACATGTATTATCTCATTTAATCCTCTCAATAATCCCCTGAGAGAGATTCAATCACCACAGTTTTAAAGTGAGTAATCTGAGGTTTAGAGAGGTTAAGAGACATCTTCAAGGTCACATAGCTAGTAAACGAGGGAAGGCTAAACTCATCCAGAATCCTGTTTCTTTCCGCCACCTCTCCTGTTGCCAGGCAGGTGCAAGCCTCATCAACTCCCTCTCGAATGACTGCAGTGGCCTCCTGGTCAGTGTCCTGGCCTGCATCCTTGGCCCCCAGCAGTCCTTCTGCAACACAACAACTGTTTAAATGTTTTATTTTATTTTATTTTATTTTATTTTATTTTATTTTATTTTTATTATTTTTAGACAGAGTTTCACTCTTATTGTCCAGGCTGCAGTGTAATGGCATGATCTCGGCTCACTGCAACCTCCGCCTCCTGGGTTCAAGCGATTGTCCTTCCTCAGCCTCCTGAGCCCCGCCTGTTTAAAGGTTTTCAATTGTAAGTCAGCGCACCTCTCCCCTCAGCTTAACTCTCTTCAGTGCTGGCTGGGTGTGGTGGCTCACGCCTGTAATCCCAGCACTTTGGGAGGCCGAGGTGGGTGTATCACTTGAGCTCAGGAGTTTGAGACCGGCCTGGCCAATATGGTGAAACTCCGTCTCTACTAAAAATACAAAAATTAGCTAGGCATGGTGGCAGGCACCTGTAATCCCAGCTACTCAGGAGGCTGAGGCAGGAGAATCACTTGAACCCGGGAGGTGGAGGTTGCAGTGAGCCAAGTTGCACCACTGCACTCCAGCCTGGGTGACAGAGCAAGACTCTGTCTCAAAAAAATAAAAAAAGAAATCTCTCCAGTGCTGTCCCTTGCTCTCAGACCATAAGCCAGAAAAACCTCCTGGTTACTATGTGATCCATTCCCCATGACCTGTCACTCGCTCACTCTGCTCAGCCACTCTGGCCTCCTTGCCATTCCTTGAACACACAGGGCATACTTCCACCTTGCTTGTCTCCCATTCTCAGACTGCTGTCCCTCAGGCAGCCACATGGCTCACTTGCTCACCTTCCAGCTTTTGTTGAAATGCTGTCATCTCTATAAATCCTGCCTTGAACTTAGCCAAGGACGGTGGCTCATACCTACAATCCCAGCACTTTGGAAGGCCAAGGCGGGAGGATTGCTTGAGGCCAGGAATTCAAGACCAGCCTGGGCAACATAGTTGGACCCAGTCTCTACAAATAATAATAATAATAATGATAATAATAATAAATACATACATACATAAAAATAGTTGGGCGCGGTGGCTTTAGCCCAGGAGTTTGAGACTGCAATGAGCCCTGATCGTGCCACTGCCCTCCAGCCTGGGTGACACAGTGAGACCCTGTCTCTAAAAATAAATAAATAAAATAAAAATAAAAACTAGAACCCAGCCTCGTACTACTGCTCCATCACACCAGCCTTTCCTCCTATATAGCATTTAGCTATCCCCTTCTAAGATATCTTGTCATTTGGCTTATTAATACTATTTGGTTTACTGACTGTCTTCCACCCACTCAAATGCAAGTTCCATTAGGGCAGAGATCCTATCTGTTTTGTTTGCTGGTGTGTCCTGCCACTACACAAATGCTCAATCAATATTTTCTGAGTGAATGAATAAGATAATCCTTGGAGCAAGGATTTGAAACCAGGTGAACATCCTTCAAATCTCATGCTCTTAACTAAATCAGGAAGCGTGTCTCTAAGGATGAGCGAGGCAGGGCTGTGTGGCTCAGAACTGCCTCTGGACCCCTATCTGTCCTGTCATCCCCAATCTTGAAGGCCCAGCACTGCACAGCTGGCCTTTTGCTTGAAGGCATCTAACTTCATTGCATTTACTTCCCAGGCCTCTGTCCTTTCACCCTTGGTTTTCTTATCTCTCTCGTCCAAGGGCAGATTTAACTCTTTTATCTCTAACGCTACCTCTGCCTCCTTCACAGAGCCATTGTTGTGAAAACAGTGAAGTCTCAACCCTTTCCTCTATAAAAGCCCTGCCAACTGCATGCCAAGGAGGCTGTGCTAGGATATGTGCAAGGAGGGGACCGTGCTTGCCAGGCAGCCTGAGGCTGGGGCTGATTCCTCCCCACCTGTCCTGCCTGTAGCCACGTAGAGTATAACTCAACTCATCTGTCTTCCACTTTCTTTACCCAACACCATTTGTGTGACTTTGAGGCTATGAACTGTCCAACTATCCAATCAGGTTTCATGAGAAAGCAGCAGCTCTGGAAAACAGATTCTACTTGTGCTTGGCATAATGCTCTCTTTGGCTTTGTATAAAAGGGGCTATGCGGCCAGCTGGAATGCAGTGGCTCAATCTTGGCTCACTGCGACCTTCACCTCCTGGATTCAAGCGATTCTCCTGCCTCAGCCTCCCAAGCAATTTTTGTATGTTTTGTACAGACGATCTTTCACCATGTCGGTCAGGCTGGTCTCGAACCTGAGACCTTAACCACTTGCCTCGGCCTCCCAAAGTGCTGGGTTTACAGGCGTGAGCCACCCACCACGTCCAGTGCCCCCAGTTCTTTCATCTTCTCCTTTCCCCTCTCTTCCCTTTCTTTTCTCATCCTCCCCCTCCTTTCCACTCCTCCCTAAGTCCATGGATTACTGGAATTGTGAAGCTGCTTTAGAGTTTTGGTAAAAAATGATGTTCACGCAATGCTTAAGGGTGTTACTATCTCAGTGGAAGGACTTGACATGTTTTAGAAATGAGCTCCAGAGACCTTGCACTGTTTTTTGTTTGTTTGTTTGTTTGCTTTTTGAGACAGAGTCTCGCTCTGTAGCCCAGGCTGGAGTGCAGTGGCGTAATCCCGACTCACTGCAACCTCTGCCTCCTGGGTTCAAGCGGTTCTCCTGCCTCAGCCTCCTGAGTAGCTAGGACTACAGGCGCCTGCCACCATGCCCGGATAATTTTTGTAGTTTTAGTAGAGATGGGGTTTCACCATGTTGGCCAGGCTGGTCTCGAACACGTGACCTCAAATGATCCACTCGCCTTGGCCTCCCAAAGTGCTAAGATTACAGGCATGAGCCACCGTGCCTCGCCTGAACTCAGTTTTGATATTGCTGAGAGAGTGTAAAATGTGTTTAATTTGATTTGTATAACCGAAGTCCCAGAGAGGTATTGATTGATTGTATCAATTTTTGTACTTTTTGTCAATTAATTAACTTGTTAATCTTTTTGTTAATTAAAAGATTTAGAGATTTCATATTATAATCTGTGAATTTCTGACTTCTCTGGAAAAAAATATCAGAAGATCTGGCAATTAGGGTTCATGCTTGCAAGGACAGGTGTGCTTCTGATGGCCTCAGTCCACATGGGTTTTCTCCTGCTCTGAAAATTAGGGTTGGTTTTTCTTCACTCGCACTCATATACACCACCTGCCTGGCCCCCAAGGCACTTGAATCTGTGTCCCTTTGAAAGGTGACACTCAAAGATGATCATCCCTGGAGGTACAAAAGTTTAACAACGGGATGTTACTCAGAGATTGCAAAGTGTCCACCTGGGGTGAGGGAACTGTCACCTGCCTTCATTTCATCTTTATATCCACTGTAGGATGTAGATGCTAAGAAGAGCTTGGGGTCAGGAGTGGGCTGGTTCATCTTGGTCTTAACTTTCTGCTGGGGTCTAGAAAGGATAGGTTTGGTTCCTTTCTATGCTTAAGAGCAGATGTCCTGCCAACGCTTTACCATTTAATGTGAGACCGACCATATATGGAAAGTGCCTGCCTTGGTGGCTGGCACAGTCACAGTAAGCACTCAATACACACTTGATGACAAGGATTATTGTTGTTGTTACCATCATTAACCCTTGATTTCCTGCCACTCAACCAGCTCCCAGCAAGATAGATTTCCAAAACCCTTGCCTTTCTCTCATCCTGACCCATTAGTGGCCACCTCCCTTGCCCTCCTCCTCCCAACCCCTTCCTAATGTCTGGACCCATTCGTTTGCAGCCCTGAGCTCACTCCTTAACAAATGACACTGCCCCTTTGGCCCTGACTTCTGGCTTCCCCTCCTCTACCAGGACTAGCACATCCACCCCTGGCTGCACTGCTTCTGGCTGTGCAGGGCAACCACTCAGACTGTCTATTCTTGCCTTTGCCCTAAAATGTGGGCTCTTGTAGGCACTGTCTTCAGCTCCTACATGGGATGAGGACTTCAGAGCGCAGAAGTCGACAGGCTCCCATGATTGTGTCAAGGCAAGAGTCAAGACCCACTGGAGGGCAGGGACCATGTCTGCATCTGTCTTTTTCACTGCTGCATCCTCACGGCTCAGGACACTCCCTGGTACAAAGCAGATGCTTAATAAATACTCATTGGATGGACAAATGAATGGATGGACAGATGAATGAATGAATGAATGAATACACAAATGAATCAGATCAGAGATCAGAGAGGAAAAAACTGCTTACGTTTTTAACACGTAGATGTGTTGCTTTTTGTGATCTTTTCTACTTCTCTTTAGTGAGTAGCAATAAAATCAGTAAGGAGAAGAGGGTCTGTGTGTTGGTTTTCTGGAGGAGGAAGATGGGAAGATTTCCCTCTGCCCTGTGATCAGGCTCTGAATGGGGAGAGTTGTCCCAGGACACAGAGCAAGTGGTGATAGCATGTGATGGAGGGAGGAAAGGAACACCTGCAGCATAGGGAGGAAAGGAACATAGAGCTGGCTGGAGACTGAGAAACCACTACTTGTTCTATGTCCTGAGAGAGAGGGGGGTTGAGCAGGAGAAAGGGCTGCTGGGGTTTTCCACCTGCAGGCACCACGGCTGAAAGGCCTCCTGCCCAGGTCCTACCTCTGACTCAGTACCGACCTTAGGTAAGGCCCTTTCCCCATTTATGGCCAAGTCAGAAGATGTGGCCCAGTCTGAGGTTATCAAAAGGCAGAAGCCTCATGAATACACCTGGTTATTAGCTCTGGCAGTGTAAAACCAACAGCAGCACCAACCACATGGTGTGAGCTTCCTCCTCCACTTCTCTGTTCAGTTTCTCTTCCTGCCTGTTTTCTCTGCTGGGTGGGCAGTTCAGAAGGCTTGGGCCTACCATGCCCCAAACAGAAGAGGCTGCTTTCCTTCCCTTCTGAGCAGCCACAGCAGTGTGAACCCAGATGTGTATCTGTCACCTTTTCCTCACTCCCATCCCGAGCCCATGTGTCCCATGAAAATGAGCCATGAACCCCCCTTTGGACGGTGGGAAACTTGATGACAGGTCCAGGTCCCCGATTTGCAAAACAAATTGCCTCTTCTCTTTCTTCCAGCCCATGCGTCTCTCTTTGGGCAAAAGTTAATTCTCACCAACCTCTATCAACCTCCTCGGGTTGACTTCGCTATGCTTTTTCTGGAAATTTGTGCTTCCCCATTTCTTAGAGCACAGCAAACTTGGGGTGCCCTGAAGGCTGAGACAGGGGCAGGGTGTGAGCAGCACTGGGCCTCTAAGGATGCTCCTCCTTGTACATTCCTGCCACATTGTGGGGACACAATCCCCATCAGCGTGATGATGTCATAATTGGGGTGGGCGAGATAGGGAAGTTCATTGCCTGTTGCATCCTTCCTGGCACCATCTTGGGACTCTTCCCACTCATTTGCTACTCAGGATCCAGGGTTTTCCCAGACCAAGACACAGAGGATCAGATGTTCAGCCATACCTACTCCCTTGTGGAGGTGCCAATCATAACTAAGGTGTACTGAGCATTGACCTTGTTTAACCAGACATTGTTGTATCAAACACTTTATCTTCATTAACTCGTTTGATGCTCATAACAATCCTACAAGGCTTGTCACATTATTCTTTTCACCTTTAAAATGAAAAAAAAAAAAAAAAAAAAACAAGCTTAGGAAGGTAATTTGCCCAAAGTTACCCAGCCACTAAGTGGTAGAGGCCCCACACACCCCTCCCACCATGACCACATCTTCTTTTTTTTTTTTTTTTTTTTTTTACAGAGTGATAGAGTCTCACTCTCACTCTGTCACCCAGGCTGGAGAGCAGTGGTGTGATCTCGGCTCACTGCAACCTCTGCTTCCCAGGTTCAAGTGATTCTCCTGCCTTGGCCTCCTGAGTAGCTGAGATTACAGGCATGCACAACCACGCCTGGCTAATTTTTGTATTTTTAGTAGAGACAGGGTTTCACCATGTTGGCCAGGCTGGTCTCGAACTCCCGACGTCAGGTGATCCACCCACCTCGGCCTCCCAAAGTGCTGGGATTACAGGTGCGAGCCACCGTGCCCAGCCAGCCACATCCTCTTATAAAGTGGAGGGGTGGAGGAAGGAAGGAGGTCTCTACAAGGGTTTCCTTTTGGGTCTAACGATTAGTGAGCCCTCTCTAGGGAAGGAAAACCAACATCTGTGCAGAACTTCAGGCTGGTGAGGAAGATGTTGATCCCAATTAGAATCTGGCATCTGGCACTTGCAATAAATACCAGGGCACCTGCTTGTGTCCGCAGAATCACCCCAGCCTTTGTGCCAGAAAGAAAACACTCTTCACTGGATCCTCAAAGGAGTCCAGTCTCTGGCCCAGCTCTCAGGGAGCTCATGGTCTGGTGGAGGTAATGAACTCCTCTCCCTCACTCCACGTCTCCCTAATTCACACCTCCTTCCTCTGAAAAGACTCCCTTCCAGGCCTTGACTAAAAGGGTCCCTGTCCTGAAGAACAACCACTGAGCTACAGACTCAAGGAACAAGTCCTCATGATCCATCAGTCCCCTGTCCCCCCGTCAGCCTTGATACCATATGACCTCAACCACTCTGCCTCCAGGGAACTCACAGGTCACCTGAAACTGATACCACCTGGCTGAACTCCGCCCTCCAGTTTATGTGCCTGTATGAAGTCTGATTTGACTGCAACAAGCCTTTTGACTAAAATTGGGATGTATATGTGTGCAGACTGCACATATCAATTCTCGGAAGTTTTTTTTTTTTTTTCTCTCGGCTGGGCGAGGTGGCTTATACCCGTAATCCCAGCACTTTGGGAGACTGAGGTGGGTGGATCACTTGAGGTCAGGAGTTCAAGACCAGCCTGGTCAACATGATGAAACCCCATCTCTACTAAAATACAAAAATGAGCTGGGTGTGGTGGCGGGTGCCTGTAATCCCAGCTACTCGGGAGGCTGAAGCAGGAGAATCGCTTGAACCTGGGAAGCAGAGGTTGCAATGAGCCGAGATCGCACCAATGCACTCCAGCCTGGGCAACAGAGTGAGACTCCATCTCAAAAAAAAAAAAAAAAGAAGTTTTTTTCTTGTGGCAGAGCAAGAGTGGAAAATATTGTGTATTTTAAAAGTCAGCTTTATTCCCCGTTTTAAAATCCTGAGACCTAAACTTTTGTTCCTACGCAGTCAAACCTTTAACCTCCACTTCCTGTGTTCTTTAGCCTTCTTCAATAGAAAAGCTGCTAGCGAATTGCCCCCATGCACTACACACAGGTTTATTTTTTCTATGTAAAGTATGTCCTTGTGGTTTGAGATGCCTTATGAAGATGGAACTGACTGACCTCACTGATGGCCTGAATGTGGAGAGTGAGAGAAAGGGAGGAATCAGGAATGATACTGAGATTTTTGGCCTGAGCTTATGGATATAAAAAGGATTAATGGAAGGGAGTTTCCAGTAAGCAACTCACAATTCCACTTCCTGAAAAAGGAGTACTCTATCCAAGAAATTATAAGCGGGAAACTTGGGAAGGATTCCCCATCTCCTTAATATGGAGGAGAGGTCAGGAGGCAGGGGCAGGCTGTGAGACTCTTGGGACCCGCTGTGCTTGTGTCACTTTTTTTTTTTTTTTTTTTTGATACGGAGTCTGGCTCTGTTGCAGAGGCTGGAGTGCAGTGGCGCGATCTCGGCTCATTGCAACCTCCACCTCCCGGGTTCAAGTGATTCTCCTGCCTCAACCTCCCAAGTAGCTGGGACTACAGGCACCTGCCACCACACCAAGCTAATTTTTCTTATATTTTTGGTAGAGATGGGGCTTCACTATGTTGGCCAGGCTGGTCTCAAACTCCTGACCTCAGGAGATCCGCCTGCCTTGGCCTCCCAAAGTGTTGGGATTACAGGCATGAGCCGCGGCGCCCGGCCTTCTGTCACCTTTTGCTAATGCAGATCAATAGCGGTCAGGAGCAGTTTCCGTGGTAGGAAAAGATTCTGGGGTGCAGAGGAGGCAGAGGCCCCCGGAAGGAAGCTGCACACCACCACACCATGTGCTTTGAGGGGCAGTTAAGCCAAAACTGGCCTCTGACGTGGTTGTTTTACCAAATGCAGAAAAGAGACCACAAAGAGCAAAGTCTCCTAATTAGGACTGCTCTTGGTCCAGCTCCTTGCAGTCTGCCATGCCAGTCAGGTCATGGGGGTTAAAGGTTTCCTCTTTAAGGAAATACCTGAAGTACAGGAATAATGCTAATGACAAAAATGCCAGGCAAAGATGAGGTGGTAGGGGAGCTATGTGGGGGCAATGGGAACCTTCTATTGGGTTCTTCAAGTTAGACCACAGAGCTCCCCCTTCTGAACACCTGAACATGGGCAGTTTTTAGAAACCAGCATAACTGATGTGAGTTTTACTGCACTGTACTCAGGTTAAAAAATGTCACATTTATTTCTACAAGTAAGAGAAATGTAGCCAGGTGTGGTGGCTCACGCCTGTAATCCCAGCACTTTGGGAAGCCGAGGCAGGTGGGTCACTTGAAGTCAGGCGTTCAAGACCAGCCTGCCCAACACGGTGAAACCCTGTCTCTACTAAAAATACAAAAATTAGCCAGCGGACACCTGTAATCCCAGCGACTCGAGAGGCTGAGGCAAGATAATCGCTTGAACCGGGGAGGTGGAGGTTGCAGTGAGCCAAGATTGTGCCCCTGCACTCCAGCCTGGGCGACAGAGAGACTGTCTCAAAAAAAAGAGAGAGAAATTTGCACAGAGCCCTCACCCACTTGGTGAGTGGAATATTCCATCTCAGTCATAATTCTGTTGTCCTGTCTTTCTTTTCCTTTTTTTTTTTTTTTAGATGGAGTTTCACTCTTTTTGCCCAGACTGGAGTGCAATGGCACGATCTAGGCTCACTGGCAACCTCTGCCTCCCGGGCTCAAGTGATTCTCCTGCCTCAGCCTGCTGAGTAGCTGGGATTACAGGCATGTACTACCATGCCTGGCTAATTTTTTATATTTTTAGTAGAGACAGGGTTTTGCCATGTTGGCCAGGCTGGTCTCGAACTCCTGACCTCAAGTGATCAGCCCACCTTGGCCTCCCAAAGTGCTGGGATTACAGGCGTAAGCCACTGCACCTGGCCAATGATGAATCGTTTAGCTATAGAGACTCAAGGCCCTTCACAACGGAAGGCATGGCAGAAGCTCTCACCCACATTGCACGTGAAAGAGGCCCTGCTCAGAATGGCCTCTCCCTGCTCCTTCACAAACCTAGCGTCACCCTTCTAGCTTCTGAAGAGAAGGCCAGAAACCCTCAGGAATATTCATGCAGTTCTGGCCCCAGAATGGCTCATGCCAAACTTTAGTATGCTTGAGAGACGGCAATTCTAACCAGGCCACTGAACGCTCAACCACAAGAGAGGTGAACTCTCCACCGCCATCATCCATCACTCCTCTCTTTACCTCCATCCTCTTTCTACTCTGCGCCCCTACCTGCCCTCAGTCTGGACCTAAGACTTCTTAGGCTCTTCAGTAAGCCCTGGAGATCTCTCGTTTAGCAAAAAGACTGACCCCAGCCTTGGGTTGACTAGGTCCCCAGTTCAGGCAGCTGAGTGACACAAGATCATGAAGGAAGGGCCATCTGGCTCAGGCCTGCTTTCCCGTTGCCACCAACTGTCCCTGACATTTCACAGTTCCCATTTGGCAGCCACCAGTACCAAACGAATGTGAGAAAAAGAAGCCCCTGGTCCACACAAAACCCACAGTAGCTTATTTTCAGGCCACAGCTGAGGCCTGTTAAGCCTAAGTGGCAAAACCTGCCATGTCTCATATCCTTATTTTTATTTTATTTATTTATTTATTTTTTTTGAGACAGAGTTTCGCTTGCCCAGGCTGGAGTGCAATGGCACAATCTTGGCTCACCGCAACCTCTGCCTCCCAGGTTCAAGCGATTCTCCTGCCTCAACCCCCCGAATAGCTAGGACTACAGGCATGCGCCAGCCCGCCAGGCTAATTTTGTATTTTTTAGTAGAGACAGGGTTTCTCTATGTTGGTCAGGCTGTTCTGGAACTCCCTACCTCAGGTGATCTGCCCACCTCGGCCTCCCAAAGTGCTGGGATTACAGGCGTGAGCCACCGCGCCTGGCCTCATATCCTTATTTTTATCTCTCCTTTTCCATTGCTGCCAGCCAATATGGCCTAGAAGATTTTTTGCTTTGGGGAATGTATGATCATATTTTTCTGGCCAAATAATTGGTGTCTTTAATATTTCATGGGCAAGGGATTCCAATTAATAAAGCAGATTGAATGCATAAATGTATTGCTCTTCTTTAAAAAAAAAACACTAAAATGATGTTAAGGAAAGTTTTTCAAAAGGCATAAACCAACAAAGAAAATTGAAGAGAAAATTATAGTAGATTCAGATGATAGTAATATTTTTTAAAATTGAAAGCAGATAGAAGAGGGGTAACTGACCTAGAAGATAAAAGAAGGAAGAAACTGACCAGGTGCGGTGGCTCACGCCTGTAATCCCCGCACTTTGGGAGGCCAAGGCGGGAGGATCACAAGGTCAGGAGTTCGAGACCAGCTCGGCCAACATGGTGAAACCCAGTCTCCACTAAAAATACAAAAATTAGCTGGGCGTGGTGGTGCATGCCTGTAGTCCCAGCTACTCAGGAGGCTGAGGCAGGAGAATCGCTTGAACCAGGGAGGTAGAGGCTGCAGTCAGCCGGTATTCCTCCACTGCACTCCAGCCTGGCGACAGAGCAAGACTCCATCTCAAAAAAAAGAAAAAATTTCAGTTAGACTAGATGAATACATTCTACAGAGCTATTGTATAGCATGGTGACTAAAGTTAATAATAATGTATTGTTTACTTGAAAATTGCTAAGAGTAATTTTTTTTTTTTTTTTGAGATGGAGTCTCGCTCTGTTGCCAGGCTGGAGTGCAGTGGCGTGATCTTGGCTCACTGAAATCTCCGCCACCCAGGTTCAAGCGATTCTCTTCCTTCAGCCTCCTGAGTAGCTGGGATTATAGGCATCCGCCACCATGCCCGGCTAATTTTTGTATTTTTAGTAGAGATGGGTTTTCACCATGTTGGCCAAGCTGGTCTCGAACTCCTGACCTCATGATCTGCCCACCTTGGCCTCTCAAAGTGCTGGGATTACAGGTGTGAGCCACTGCGAATGGCCAATTTTTTAAATTCTCATACAAAAAATAAGTATGTGAAGTGATGGATATGTCAACTAGATGGACTTAATCAGTTCACAATATATACACATATCAAAACATCAAGTTGTACACCATAAATATATGCAAGTTTTATTTGTCAATTTTACCTTTAATAAAGCTTTGGGGAGAGGGAGAATAGAAAGGAAAACAAATAAGAGAAATGTTCCTTCCTGCTAAATGTGTTAAATACTGTTTCCGTAGAAGGAAACACATTACTTGTATTTCCCTTAAGATTGTGAGGGAGTTGTGTATACAGAATGAGCCCACATTTTCTCACTAGTAAATAGGCCTGTGATAAATTATTTCACTAGCTTTAAAATATTTTGTCCAGATTTTGGTAGGAAGCTGGTTTCTGATAACCTCTTTTAGTACTGGCAGTAAATGCTACATTATAAATTAATGTTGATATGAATTTACAAATAGGTAGAGTATTGGGTACACATTTTAATGCTAAGTTTAAACTGAATGTCTGTGTAATGGATTTTTTAAAAATAGATTTGGAAGTTTTTTGGTTTTTTGTTCTGTTTTGTTTTGAGACAAGGTCTCACTCTGTCCCCCAGGCTGGAGTGGGTGACAGAATAGTTGCTGCAGCCTTGATCTCTCAGGCTCAGGTGATGCTCCCACCTCAGTCTCTTGGTTAGGTGAGACTACAGGTGTGCACTGCCTCGCCTGGGTAATTTTTTGTATTTTTTGTAGAGACAGCATTTCGCCATGTTGCCCAGGCTGGTCTCAAACTCCTGGGCTCAAGTGATCCACCCGCCTCAACCTTACAAAATGCTGGAATTACAGGCATGAGCCACCATGCCCGGCCTGGAAGTATTTTTAAACAGGTTTTTAACCTTACATAAAATTACTTTTATACTTCTGTTAATGTTTCATCTGTGCCTTTGGGTAATTTATTTTTTATTATTAATTTCTAATGCCCCAAAGCTAGCTATCACCTGAAAGGTGCCTTTAGGTGAATATACTGTTTCCAAAAATGCATCAGTGACACTTTCCTATCCTCATACTTTCAATATTGCCTCTTCTCTGTTCTTTTTGGATGTAACTTCAATGATTGTGTTATTCATGAAGATTTTAAAATTTCAACACCTCCAACACTCCTTGGCTGTGTTCACAGCTTCTAACTTTATAGCTGTAGGTATTTTTGAATGCCAGATGTCTGGCCTGTTTGATGTAAATAAAATTTATTTATAAGATATTAAGGGCAAATAAATAATAGAACTTTAAATTTTAATCTATTTGTCTTTTAATAGGATAATTTTACCCATTTACATTTATTGTCAGAATTGATTAATTTGACCTCTGGTCTTTACTTTTATGTTTTGAATTTTTTCTTATGCTTTGTTTTTTTCCTTTTGTTTTCTATTTTCTGCTATTTAGCTTAAAGTTTTATTACTTAGACCTTTAGTAGTGTTTGGAAAATAAATGTTTCTAACTCTATTAGTACTTGTCTTTATTTCTTTGCATAATAAGAAAAAGGTTTTTAAAATTTTGACTAGCCTACCTTTTTTTCCCTTCACTGTTCAGTATTGGTTACTGAGCAACTAGTGTGTGTAAGACATGGAGTACTCAATGGTAAAGAAAAGAGACAATCTCTTCCCTCATAAAGCCTACAGGTTAGCAGAGAAGATAATGACAGAAAAAGAATAAAATAGTGCAAGTATAGGTTTTTTCGTTTGTTTGGTTGGTTTGGTTTTTTTTTTTTTTTTTTGGACGGAGTCTCACTCTGTAGCCAGGCTGGAGTGCAGTGGCGCCATTTTGGCTTACTGCAACCTCCGACTCCCAGTTTCAAGCGATTCTCCTGCCTCAGCCTCCCGAGTAGCTGAGATTACAAGGGCGTGCCACCAGCCTGGTTAATTTTTGTATTTTTAGTAGAGACGGGGTTTCACCGTCTTGGCCAGGATGGTATCAATCTCCAGACCTCGTGATCTCCCGCCTTGGCCTCCCAAAGTGCTGGGATTACAGGCGTGAGCCACCATGCCCAGCCGCAAGTATAGGTTTTACACTCAGGTTATTTTTGTACACATTTGGCATACTATCAATTTTTTTTTTCCCCTGGAAATGGAGTCTCGCTCTATTCCCCAGGCTGGGGTGCAGTGGCACAATCGCGATCTTGGCTCTCTGCAACCTCCGCCTCCCAGATTCAAGAGATTCTCCTGCCTCAGCCTCCCAAATAGGATTAAAGGCATGTGCCACCATGCCTGGCTAATTTTTGTATTTTTAGTAGAGACGGGGTTTCACCATGTGGCCAAGCTGGTCTCGACCTCCTGACCTCAGGTGATCCACCTGCCTCGGCCTCCCAAAGTGCTGGAATTACACGCGTGAGCCACTGTGCCTGGCCCATACTACCAACTTCAGTAATAATCTTTGATTTTTGCAGTCACTTTAGAACTACATTTCCAGTTATTGTATATAATAAGTAAGTGAGTTTCAGTGCTGCCATGATATTCCCATTCCTGAGTTCTTTCTCTAGCTCACCTAGGCTATTATACGTCTTTCAGGGAGCTGGGTAAAGGCATTCTTCAATGGGCCTTTCAAGAGCCAGATAGCAAGGCAGAACACCTCAGTACTATGCAAAACTGACACGTTGATGATTCACCACCAACAGGAGAACATGACACATGGAACAAGGCTGTGGTTTAAAAATATGAAACTTTTGCCAGGTTAGAGAGAGCACTGCTAGGTTTTAAAAGAGACATGTTTCTAAGACTGATTAGAGGTGTTTTTTAATATAGCTCTGCAGAAAACTCTAGGGAAAATTATAGAGTGGCTGAATAAGGATGATTTCTGCATTCCCATATTCCTGGATATAAATATTACTATTACTGAGAGGTGTTACAAAAATTCCATCTTGATTTCTAATATCAACCAACTGGAAACTAGAAAAGACTTCACACCTCCCCCCACCAAATTAAAATACTATTGCAAATTATTTATAAAATACAACTTATAAATATTAATGGAATACTGTCATTTAATAATGCTTTTATTACAAAACAGAATAACAAAAATGTTTAACATTTAATGACAAGGATTTAAACAAAATTCATCCTAAGAAAACCAAGAAGATTAAAATGATAAAGATGAAAGTGAAAGCTTACTAATTAGGAAACAAAAATGGATAGAACAGATAAATCAACTCGAGCTGTTTCTTTGGGAAAACAAAAACCAATTAAAGAGATAAATCTCTGGCAAACCTAATTATTAAATAAATAAAGCAACGGAAATAACTATATTTATCCTGAGTTTCAAAAGAATGTAATTACTGACATAAAGATTTAGAAAATGTTAACAAATACCATAAACTGCTTGATATGAAAATCTCTAATACACAGTTCTCCATTTCTACCAAGATCTCTACTAACCCAATACACTTCAAAGCTTTACTCCTCACTGTAGCAGCCCTAAAGCAAAAAAATTACCTTACAACAAGGCCATAGGTCAACTCTTCAGATGTGGCAAGGCTGTTTGACCCCTTTCTCCACCTAAAAATGCAAAAAGTTCAGGTTATACTGCAAACCTCATAATACATGCCCTTTCCTTTCAAGTAATATAAGCTTGTCTCTTTTCAAGCTAAACTGCAGTCCCATACTCAGTCCTATAAGAAACCTAAATGAAAAATAAGCTTAGAGAATGTGGAGACTAGAGGGCAGAGAACCCAGAGTTTGACCTTGGAAAATACTAAACTAAGGACTTTGTTATAAGAGAAAGCAAATGGCGGAGTGGGTTGGGTGGGGAGGGGATGACAAATATTTCATGTAAAAAGTTAAACAACTTTGTACCAGGCGAATCAGTGGGCTTAAAATATTCAGTAAACCATGCTATAAGTAGATGTGCTGTCATTCAGGCTTTGCTGTTCCATTTATAGAGCACAAGCAGAGTAGATTTAGTGTAATTTTTTTTTTTTTTTTTTTAGACAGAGTCTCGCTCTGTTGCCCAGGCTGGAGTGCAGTGGTGTGGTCTCGGGTCACTGCAACCTCCACCTCCCGGGTTCAAGCGATTCTCCTGCCTCAGCCTCCCGAGTAGCTGGGACTACAGGCACACACCGCCACGCCTGGCTAATTTTTTTGTATTTTAGTAGAGATGTGGTTTCACTGTGTTGCCCAGGCTGGTCTCAAACTCCTGAGCTCAGGCAATCATCCCACCTTGGCCTCCCAAAGCGCTGGGATTACAGGCATGAGATTTAGTGTAATTCTTAAGGGCCCTAGGATTTTGGGAATGGTAAATGAGCATTGGCTTCAACTTAAAGTTACCAGCTGCATTTGCCCCTAAAAAGACAGTCGACCTGTCCTTTGAAGCTTTGAAGGAAGACATTGACTTCTAACTATGAAAGTCCTAGATGGCATCTTCTTCTACTAGAAGGCTATTTCATCTACATTGGAAATCTGTTGTTTAGTGTAGCCACCTTCATCAATTATCTTAACTAAATCCTCTGGATAACTTGTAGCTTCTACATCAGAACTTGCTACTTCATTGTGTACTTTTATGTTATAGAGATGGCTTCTTTCCTTAAACCTCATGAACCAGCCTTTCCTGGCTTCAAACTTTCCTTCTGCAGCTTCCTCACTTCTCTCTTCCTTCATAGAAGTGAAAAGAGTTAGGGCCTTGCTCTGGATTAAGCTTTGGCTTCAGAGAATGTTGTGGCTGTTTTGATCTTGTATCTAGACCATTAAAACTTTTCCCATATCAGCAATAAGGCTGTTTTGCTTTCTGATCATTTGTATGTTCACTGGAGTAGCTCTTTTAATTTCTTTCAAGAACTCTTCCTTTGCATTCATAACTTGGCTGTTTGGCATGAGAAGCCTAGCTTTGAAAGCTTATCTTGGCTTTCATCTGGCTTCCTCACTAAGCTTAATCATTTCTAGTTTTTGAGTGAAAGTGAGAAACATGTGACTCTTCCTTTCACTGGAACACTTAGAGGCCATTGTAGGGTTATTCATTGACATGATTTCAATATTATTGTGTCTCAGGGAATAGAGAGGCTCAAGGAGACGAAGCCAGATAAGGAACAGCCAGTGAGTGGAGCAGTCAGAACACACGCAGCATTTATCAATTAAGTTTGTTGTCTTTGTGGGTGCAGTGGCTCATGCCTGTAATCCCAGAGTTTTGGGAGGCCGAGGCAGGTGGATCGTTTGAAGTCAGAAGTTTGAGACCAGCCTGGCCAACATGGCGAAACCCCGTCTCTACTAAAAACACAAAAATTAGCCGTGTGTGGTGGCATACACCTGTAGTCCTGGCTACTCGGGAGGCTGAGGCAGGAAAATCACCTGAACCCGGGAAGCAAGATTACAGTGAGCCGATATTGTGCCACTGCACTCCAGCCTGGGTGACAGAGTGAAACCCTTCTCAAAAAAAAAAAAAAAAAAAAAGTTTGCTGTCTTATATTGGCGTGATCCATAGCACCCCAAAACAATGACAATAGTAACATCAAAGATCACCGATCACAGATCACCATAATGATGGAAAAGTTTAAAATATCACATGAGTTATCAAAATATGACACAGAGACACAAAGTGAGCACATACTGTTAAGAAAAAGGCACCAAGAGATTTGCTTCATGCAGGGTTGCCACAAACCTCCAATTTGGAAAAAATGCAGTATCTGTGAAGCGCAATAAAGTGAAGTGTAACAAAACAAGGTGTGCCTATATGTAGGTGAATATTCATATAATATTGGCATGCGAAAAACCTTTAGAGGCCAGGCATGGTGGCTCATGCCTATAATCCCAGCACTTCGGGAGGCCGAGGGGGGCGTATCACCTGAGGTTAGGAGTCCGAGACCAGCCTGGCCAACATGGTGAAACTCCGTCTCTACTAAAAATGCAAAAATCAGCCTGGCGTGATGGCAGGCACCTGTAAACTCAGCTACTCAGGAGGCTAAAGCAGGAAAATTGCTTGAACCTGGGAGACGGAGGTTGCAGTGAGCCAAGATCCTGCCACGGCACTCCAGCCTGGGCAACAGGGCGAGACTCCCAACTCAAAAAAAAAAAAAAAAAAAAGAAAGAAAGAAAAGCCCTTAGAAGCATAGCATAAAAATCAGAAACTACAAAGGAAAATATTAATAAGACTAAAGGTCATATAAAAGTAAATACTCCTGTAAAGCAGCGACAATAAAAACAATAACAAAGAATAAATAAAAGACAAATATCAAACTGGAAAAATAGTGACAGCACAAATATTTTTCAAATATCAAATGCATTTTGAATATATATATATATTTTTATGTTTCTTACAAATTAAAAATGAAAAAATTAAAATTCCAACAGAAAAGTGGACAAAGGACCAAAACAGATATTTTTTAAAAATATTTTTTAATTTAAATTTTTATTTCAATAGTTTTTGGGGTACAGGTAGTTTTGGGTAACATGGATAAGTTCTTTAGTGGTGAGTTTTGAGATTGTAGCATACCCATCACCCAAGCATTGCACACTGTACCCAATATGTAGTCTTTTATCCTCCACTCCCCATTCAACCTTCACCCCCAGTCCCGAAAGTTCATTGTATCATTCTTATGAAAATATGGAACTCTTCAAAATTTGCATGTCATCTTATACAGGAGTCACGGTAATTTTCTCTGTATTATTCCAATTTTTGTATATGTGCCGCCAAAGCAAGCACCAAAACACACAATTTACAAATGAAATTATACAAATAGCCACGAATTTGGGTTGAAAAAATATTCATTTCACAATGATCAAACAAATGCAAATTAAAACAAAGCAGTGTCATTTTGTTTACTAGATTGACAAAGATACAAAATAATTACAATTTCTAATGTTGTTGACCGTATAAGGAAATTACTATTATTCTCCAAGAATGACAATGTAAATTGGCACACATTTTCTAAAATAATTTGGTTATACAAATTAAAAGTCTTCCAAATTGCATTTACTTGGCCCAGCAATGTGACTTTCAGGAATTTATCTACCCTAAAAAAGAAGTAGAAGTTTTTAATAATAGAGAAAAATATTAAACCCCCTAAATGGCCAAAAATAAGAAGTAGGTTAAATAAACAATAGTACATATATACATTATTATATTGTTAATAATAAATAATATTTATTGTCTTTGAAAAATGTTCATAGTTTCTTACAAAATGGTTTATAGAGTATGGTCCAATTTTCATTACATGTTATATATTCACACATATCCACAGATAGAGAAAATCTGAAAGAATTTAAGAGTTAAACTTTTTGTTTGTGATAAACCAAGGCTGATATAGCCAACTTAAAGAAAAAAGAGGGAATGA
Organism: Homo sapiens; assembly: GCF_000001405.40. Classification (NCBI taxonomy): domain Eukaryota; kingdom Metazoa; phylum Chordata; class Mammalia; order Primates; family Hominidae; genus Homo; species Homo sapiens. The sequence goes on from NC_000009.12 coordinate 111,997,371, forward strand.
ATTTATTGGAAAAATGCGGAATATCTCATGAAATTGCAGGAAGTGTTATACTTTTTTTTTTTTTTTTTTTGAGACAGAGTATAGCTCTGTCACCCAGGCTGGAGTGCAGTGGCACAATCTCAGCTCACTGCAACCTCCGCCTCTCAGGTTCACACGATTCTCCTGCCTCAGCCTCCTGAGTAGCTGGGATACAGGCGCGTGCCACCATGCCTGGCTAATTTTTGTATTTTTAGTGGAGATGGGGGTTTCACCATGTTTGTCAGTCTGGTCTTGAACTCCTGACCTTGTGATCTGCCTGCTTTGGCCTCCCAAAGTGATGCGATTACAGGCGTAAGCCACCGCACCTGGCCAGGAAGTGTTATACTTTTAAGATATGATCAGATAAGGAACAATAATGCCAGGATTCTTCTCAACAGATGGATTTGAGGAACTTCTCCCTCTACAACTCTGATGAACTGATTCCCATCTAGTCCCTGTGTCCTTATAGTCCAAAGGTAAAATTTTAGGAATTTTTCTGATAGTCCCAATATGGGCCAGAAGTGAATGTCTGGATTAATAAACTATGGCCACATGAGTAGGAATAAGTGTATTCACATGGCACCTGGAGGTCACTCTCTGTGAATTGGGGCCATGATCAGGATGACGGACCCGGACAGGTGCTTTAAGCGATGCTACTGGGAGAATATACACCACGATGTGAAGATGGGTGATCTCTGAGGGTGGGATAGTGGGTGCCTGTTTGCTTTGTCTGTATCATTCAAGGATGATTTGGCTGCAAGTGACAGAAACACAACTCTAACCATTAGGCAGAAAGTGGAAATTATTAAAACGTTAACAGAAATGCAGCAAGAGCAGGGTGCACTGGTCTGGGGACAGCTGGAAACAGCATCTTGGACACTGCTGCCAGGCTCCTCTCTGCATCTCTCACTTCCAACTTTCTCTTAATGTCAGGCTTACTTTCCTCTGAATTTCTCCACATGACAGGAAACATGACGGCAAGAGGTTGCCTGGTCTTGCATCTCCCTGTTTCATTACCAGAAGGAGACTGATATTTCCCCTATCTGATTCCAAATTGTACAACCCCAGCAGGGTGCAGTGGCTCTTTACACTGTAATCCCAGCACTTTGGGAGGCCAAGGTGGGCAGATAACTTGAGGTCAGGATTTCAAAACCAGCCTGGCCAACATGGTGAAACCCTGTCTCTACTAAAAACACAAAAATTAGCCAGGGGTGGTGGTGGGCGCCTGTAATCCCAGCTGCTTGGGAGGCTGAGGCAGGAGAATTGCTTGAACCCGAGAGGCAGAGGTTGCAGTGAGCTGAGATCACGCCACTGCACTCCAGCCTGGGCAACAGAGCGAGACTCTGTCTCAATAAATAAATACAAATTGTACAACCCCAGAGAAGACTCTCATTGCCTTAACTTGGGCAGGAATTTTTACTGTCTTATTTGCCATTGTACCCATACTACCTGGCACGTGGCAGAGCCTCAACAAACACATTAAATGGATGTGAGAGGAATGAAGACTAGTCAAGATGACTACTGAGTTTGGGGACCAGTGAGTGGTGACATCATTAACTCAAGCAGGCTTCAGAGCAGTAACAGTAGGCTTGGAGGGCCCAGAAGCATTGCTTAGCATTAGGAAGGTAACTATCAGAGTCAGACTGTTTGGATTTGAATTCCAGTTCTACCACTTACCAGCTGTGTAACTGTGAACAAGTTACCTCAACCCTCAAAGCTTCAGTTTCCCAATCCATAAAAATGGGGATAATAGTAATATCCAGTTTGTAGGGCTCATTGTGAAAATTAACTAAAATACATTGTGCAAGGTGCTAAATAATCGACTGATATTATTATATTCCTCTTTCAACCGTGCTGCACTATGCTTTCAAATTCATTTTCACGATCTTTGCAGTTAGGACTGATTTTTTTCTAATGGTAGTGTAAGTTTCATGTTTCAATATTTCATGCCAGTTGATCAGTCTGTTTCTCCAGTAAACAGAGCAAGGATATGTGCTCAATCATACTTGCCTCACTGGGAAGAAATAATTTTGCAGTGTCTACCTTTGCTCTGGTCCATGTCATAGCAGAGCCTGTGCTATAAGAAGAGTTTGTAGGTTGCACAAGATGTCACCAGGAATGCTCTTGGCAGGCTTTCAGAGGGCAGTAGCTGGAAGATAGGAGCTGCCATGTTACCAAATATTCAGAGAGCACAGGCCCGACCCAGCAGATGCTGGGAGTGTACGGGGACAAGTATACAGTCATGCTCCCTCATTACTGCTACCCACCCGAAGATGGGATACCCAGAAAGGTTTGGCCTCTCTAAATCTTAAGATTGAAGCTAATTTTCCCCTTCTCTAAGTTTTTAAGTATCAGGTAAGGGATTGAAATACATTTTTTAATGTAGAGAGTATGTAAGTTTGAAAGCAGAAATTACTTATATGGTCTTTTTAATTTCTCTGTATATGAGAACTATGGCTTTGGAGCCACCTGCTCGAGATAGGTGATGCTTGGAAGGTATAAGTGGAACCCAGATAAGAAGGAAATTTTGTGAGTAAATTTTACTCTCTTTTTATTGGTAGAACATATTTTAAAATCTTATATAAAGGTCCTAATTTTTGTAACATCTTCAAATATGTTGGAGCAAATTATATTTTCCAAAGTTGGCCTCACTAATGTATAGCATGACTCACAAGCTCTGATTATAGATATATGCAAATAACAATATGTTGATTACATCCCAGTAGCTATTGACCTTTGAGTTATGACCCAAAATTCAGACCCTAACACTTGACTGAAAGTCTTTTCCTATACTCTATTCTGCCCTAATGCAATGTTAAAAGCCCAGGAGGTAGAGTTAAACACCCTGGGTTTGATTCTCGGTTTACCACTAACCAGTTGTATGACCTTGAATGAGTGATTTGACCTTTCGGTGCCTCTGTTTCTTTATTTGTAAGATAGAGAAATAATTGTCTCAAATTCACGGAGTTGTTGCTAATTGAGTTAATACAGTTAACACCCTAAATATCCTAGAACAGTTCTAAAAACACAGTGTATGTTTAATATATGCTAGCTGATATTCTTCTTCTTTTTTTTTTGAGACAATCTCACTCTGTTGCCCAGGCTGCAGTGCAGTGACACGATCTCGGCTCATTGCAACCTCTGCCTCCCGGGTTCAAGCAATTCTCATACCTCAGCCTCCCCAGTAGCAGGGATTACAGGCGTGCACTACCACGCCGGGCTAATTTTTGTATTTATAGTAAAGATGAGGTTTTGCCATGCTGTCCAGGCCGGTCTCGATCTCCCGACCTCAGGGAATCCACCCACCTTGGCCTCCCAAAGTGCTGGGATTACAGGCATGAGCCATTTCACTTGGCCTATTATTCTGGGTGGTATCATTCAAATGGCTGATACAGAAGGAAATATAGAAGGAAATTGAGAAATACTGTAATCCAAGTACCAAGCTGATTTCTTTATTCTGGTTAATAAGTGAAGCAAGGAATTATCTGTTGACTCTCTCTACTGATACCCGCTCCACTGGTCATTTCTTGAGCAACTGAGAGCATGCTGTGGTGGGACTGAGGCTACCGCTGGAGGGAGCTGGCCTGATTCACACACTTTCTGGAAGCTGAGGGTTGGGAATGGGTGTGTGTGTGTGGAGGGGACTATGGAAAGGAGAGATCAGGGTACTTCGAGGGAAAGCTTACCCTAAGGAGAGAAAGGACTAAATTCAGTACATTAGTTGCACCAAGAACAAACCACATATTTTATTATTTTTCCCAATTTTAGGCCCCACACACTTACAGCAAGCCATGCCAACCCTCGGCCTTGGTGCAGGAGAAGGGGCAAAGCCTATAAAGTAAGGGGCTGGGTTGAAGGTGCTGGGCCAGGAGCGAACTCTGGAAGAGAGAAGAAGAAAGGCGGAGTCCTGAAACCGTCCTGCTTCACTCAAGGAGGAAGAAGCAGGGCCCTGCCTCCCCCTATTTCCACCTGAACCCCACTTTTTTTTTTTTTGATCCAGAGTCTTGCTCTGTCACCCAGGCTGGAGGGCAGTGGCATGATCTTAGCTCACTGCAACCTCCACCTTCCAGGTTCAAGCGATTGTCTGCCTCAGCCTCCCAAGTAGCTGGGATTACAGGCGCCCGCCACCACGCCCAGCTCATTTTTGTATTTTTACTAGAGATGGGGTTTCATCTTGTTGGCCAGGCTGGTCTCAAACCCCTGACCTCAAGTGATCCGCCTGCCTCGGCCTCCCAAAGTGCTGAGATTACAGGCATGAGCCACCGCGCCCAGACTGAACCCCATATTCTTAATAAGTTACTACATTTATCCCATCCTGTTCACCATGAGCACCATCATATATTGAGTCTTTTCCAATTATTTTATTTAGGCCTCATGAATTACTCTGAGATATATGCGTGTGTGTGTGTGTGTGTGTGTGTGTGTGTGTGTATACATATATATATATTTTTTTTTTTGAGACGGAGTCTCGCTTTGTCACCCAGGCTGGAGTGCAGTGGCATGATCTCGGCTCACTGCAACCTCTGCCTCCCTGGTTCAAGGGATTCTCCTGCCTCAGCCTCCCAAGTAGCTAGGACTACAAGCCCACACCACCACGCCCGGCGAATTTTTGTAGTTTTAGTAGAGACTTGGTTTCACCATGCTGACTAGGCTGGTCTTGAACTCCTGACCTTAGGTGATCCACCCACCTCAGCCTCCAAAAGCGCTGGGATTACAGGTGTGAGCTACCATGCCTGGCCTGAGTTCAATATTTTTCCGTCCAGGTAAGGATGGGAAATTCAGTTTCCTGTTAAAACTAGAATTTAAATCCAGTGCCAGTTCCAAGACTCATGAATTACACCACACTGACTCCCACAGTGAAAAGTTGAATTCTTTTCTGAGACAGAGTCTCACTCTATTGCCCAGGCTGGAATGTAGTAGCATGATCATGGCTTAACTGCAGCCTCGGCCTCCCAGGCTCAAGAAATCGTCATACCTCAGCCTCCCAAGTAGCTGGGACTACAGGCATGCTCCACCACACCCAGCTAATTTTTGTATTTTTTGTACAGATGAGGTTTCATCATGTTGCCCAGGCTGGAAAATTTAAATTTTTATCCCCATAAATCCAATCCCTCCCCTAACTACAGTTCCGGGAAAAGGAGGGAAAATTGGACGGTAGATATCAAAGCAGACTGGAGGCCTATAATAACAGGATATGCTGAGCACAGCAGAGCTCTTGGGTTATCATAAGTGCCAGTCACCTGCTCTCATCCTGCCTGTTTACAAGTCAGGAAATGAAGTGAGGGGGAAATTGACAAGTAAGCAAACTCTAGAAGTTTTGTTCATCCGCGAGACAGAAAAACGTCAAGGTTCCAGACAGGCTGAGCATGTAGCTCACGTCTCCTGCAGCCACACCAGACTGGAGGCCCAGTAAGATAAATGCCATCATGAATGCGCTCGCATCCACAAGCAGAACCCCTAGGGCACCAGCAGCTTCTTCTCCTGGCCAGTTCTGGTTGATGGACTCACGTAGGCTCACAGACTCATAAATACTTAGTTCAGATCCCAGCTGTCCTGTGTCCCCTCATAGGGTTGCTGTGAGAAATACAATGAGACAACATCTGTTAAGGACTCGCACAGTGCAGTGTTCACTCACCTCACTTGTCAAGGGTAATTCTAGACTTCTCCAAAAGGTTACAGAGTCCTGACAGTTCAAGGCCTTAGATATTTCAAATTAGCTTTCTTCCTCAGCCTCAGTTCAGGCTATCAGAACGCTCCACCAAAACGTTAAATCTGACCTCATCATAGTCACATAAATACCAGTTTGAAAGAAAAAATAGTTTATAAAACAACTGGCCGGGCGTGGTGACTCACGCCTGTAATCCTAGCACTTTGGGAGGCTGAGGCAAGTGGATCACGTGAGGTCAGGAGTTCCAGACCAGCCTGGCCCACATGGTGAAACCATATCTCTACTAAAAATACAAAAATTAGCTGGACGTGGTGACGCATGCTTGTAATCCCAGCTACTCAGGAGGCTGAGGCAGGAGAATCGCTTGAACCTAAGAAGCTGAGGTTGCAGTGAGCCAGGATTGCACCACTGCACTCCAGCCTGGGCAACAGAGCGAGATTATGTCTCAAAAACAAAAACAAAAAGCAACTGTAAGCGTGTATTCTATGGTCACACCACACAGTTCACTGTTAATTAATATAATTTAGAAGTCCTCTTACGGCTATCTTATGGAATAGCACATTCTGTATTATGGGAAAGTGTGGTTTCCAATTGTTTTGGTGGGAAGAGTCATTTCCAGGTTAGAGTTCCTTATCTCCTCATCATGGTTGACCTTGAGTGCATCGCTGGTCTAGGTGACTTAATTCAGCAGTGGTGGTTCCTCTTCAGGGGTAAACCCCAGATGATTTTTTTTTTTTTTTTTTTGAGACGGAGTTTCAATCTTTTTGCCCAGGCTGGAGTGCAATGGCGCAATTTTGGCTCACTGCAACCTCCACCTCCCAGGTTCAAGCCATTCACCTGCCTCAGCCTCCCAAATAGCTGGGATTACAGGCATGCACCACCACGCCCAGCTAATTTTGTAGTTTTAGTAGAGACGGGGTTTTGCCATATTGACCAGGCTCGTTTCAAACCCCTGACATCAGGAGATCCACCCACCTCAGCCGCCCAAAGTGCTGGGATTACAGATATGAGCCACCACACCTGGTCATGATTTTTTTTTTTAGACATTAGTTAACACCTGGTACATTCACAATGCTGTATAACCATCACTACTATTTCATTGCAGAAATCTTCATTACCTTGAAAGGAAACTTCATACCCATTAAGCAGTCATTTCCCACTCTCTCTTCCAGAACTTGGAAACCACTGATTTGCTTTCTATCTCTATGATTTGCCTATTCTCGATATTTCACATAAATGGAATCATTCAGATCATTTTTTTAAGAGGTGAGGTCTTACTATGTTGCCCAGGCTGCAGTGCAGTGGTCCATGGGTGCACTCGTAGTACACGATAGCCCAGAAATTCCTGGGCTCAAGCAATCCTCCTGCCTCAGCCTTTCGAGTAGCTGAGACTACAGGTATGCACCACCACTCCTGGGCAAATAATGTATTTTGAGAGCCAAAGCTAACCCATCTGACTGAGAGATCCCCACTTGGGGGGGCCCTGGGCCAATCAAGGATCCCCAGTTCACAGACCCCGTCACAGTCTATCCCCCTTCGACAGCCCCCAATGAGTGGCTTTCTCAGATGAGAAAAGAGGGTTGGTTGAGCTGCTTCTTCAGTGATTCCCATGGGCTGAAAACCCAGTTTTCCTCTTCCCTGGGCTTATCCTGACCCAACCTGGCCTTACACATCAGAGCCAACTGCTCCCACACTGCGAAGAGCCATTCTGTTGTAAGAAGTGTGCTCTCTGATGGCATATAAAGCCAAGGAATTAGAGACTAAGAAAAAGTGGCCAGAGAAGTAAGAGAAAAACCCAGGATTGTGAGATGTCATGGGGCCCAAAGGAAAGCAGACTGAAAAAAACAAGAGAGGAATCAACAGTGATCAAATAAGGTGAGAACTGCAAGAAAGCAAGCTTCAGGAGAGAAGTTTTGATGGCAAGAAGCCTCAGCTAGAAACCACACTGCTATGGGTTGCAGGTGGAATAGGAGGCAGAGTGGGTGGGGTGGAGGCAGTCAGGGTAACTGACACTCTCAAGAAGTTTGGCTGAAAAGGAGAATAGAGAAAATGAGTCGCATCCAAAGAGGAGCATTCACTGGGCATGGTGGCTCACACCTGTAATCCCAGCACTTTCAGGGGCCAAGGCAGGCGGATCACCTGAGGTCAGGAGTTCGAGACCAGCCTGGCCAACATGGTGAAACCCTGTCTCTACTAAAAATACAAAAATTAGCTAGGGTGATGGTGGGCAGCTGTAATCCCAGCTACTCTGGAGGCTGAGACAGGAGAATCGCTTGAACCTGGGGGGCAGAGGTTGCAGTGAGCAGAGATCACGCCACTGCACTCCAGCCTGGGTGATGAGTGAGACTCTGTCTCAAAAAAAAAAAAAAAAAAAAAAAAAAAGAGGAACATGGGCTCTAAGGCGGGTTATTTGAGTTTTTTTTCGTTTTATGTCGTTTTTAGAAAGGGTCTCACTCTGTTGCCCAGGCTGGAGTGCAGGGGCACAATCATAGCTCACTGCAGCTTCAACCTCTCCAGGATCAAGTGATCCTCTCACCTCAGCCTCCCGAGTAGCTGGGACCCCAGGCACGCACCACCACACACAGCTAATGTTTTTGTATTTCTGTAGAGACGGGGTTTCGCCAAGTTGCCCAGGGTGGTCTTTAACTCCTGGGCTCAAGCAATTCTCCCGCCTCAGCTTCCCAAAGTGCTGGGATTACAGGCATGAGCCACTGCACTCAGCCTATTCTGGGTTTTTATGTGTTTGTTTTTGGACCTGGAAGCAGAGAGCATGTTTTCATGTTGATAAAAATGCTCTCTTGGAGGAGAGATTGCAGGTGCAGGAGGGAGGATAACCACCTATTGTGCCTCAGAACGCTGAGGATGGATCCACTACAAAGATCCTTTAAAGGGGGACCTGCCCCAGCCATGAAGGCCTCACGGGATGATTCCACCGGCACACAGTCTGTCAAACATGCCTGGAAGCAGGGAGACTCTTGGCGGAGACTCTTGGCAGAGACTGCGATGGAGAAGAAAATGGCAGTGCAAGGTGCAGGCTGGGGCTCCAGGGTGAACTCAGCCTCTTCCCCAAAGTAGCCTCTTCTCACGCCAGAACGACTTCCTGTAAGTGTCTTAGACGAGGAATTGGTACAAGGTCAGCCTGGCTCCTGTCAACGTACCTCCCCAGGGACTTCCTCACAGCAATCTTAGAGGTGGACAATGCCTCTATTTCAGTCTTTCATTGTGGAAAAGGAACAGAAAAGAGTATAAAAGCAGGATTAGGGCAAAGCCAGAAAACAAGATTTCTGACTCCCAGCCTCTGATCCTGCCCCATCCGATGGAGGCGACATCCCTCCGAAGGAGCTGGTTCAGAGAGGTGAAGCAGCTAAGTGGTTGAAGGAGGTAATCAAAGTAACTGCACAGAGCACATTTCACGGGAAGAAGTACAAATAATATCTCCTTTTTTTAAAAAAAATAAATAAACTTGGAGGGTTGTGAAATTAGCCTGTCTCTGCAGGATGTACATCCTGAGATTTGTTTGGCCTCTCAAGGATAATCGGCTCTCTTTCCAATGAGATTACACAAAAGCCAGGGCCAAGCAGGAGCAGAGAGGCAACTGTCACATCTCACGCAAAGTCACATTATCAGCCATGGCACTGGTGGCTGGGTGGCAGATACCAGTGTACTCCAAAAGGGTTGGGGGCTCCGAGTGTGCATCAGCTTGCAGCATCAGTGGAAGCATCGGTCAGCTCTGCTCCTCTTCCTGGCCTTGGGGCCTCTCCAGGCCGCCCCCCACTCTGACATCTGATCCCATTCAGACTCTCCCCCCGCTGTTCTCTTGGGTATTCCCATCACAGCTATGATCATGAGATTATGCTGTGTTTGTTAGAGGCACAGTGGGAGGGTGAGAGAATGGTATTAATTCTCAGGACTAGTTACAACCCTCCAAAGAAGGGGAAAATGCGTGGTGCAAAGTGTTTTTTCCAAAGCTAGGCCTTATCTTGCCCGCAGTGTGGTAGCCACAGACAGGAGCGTCAGCAATTTTGTATGCCTCCTGCGTTGGACCGCAAAGGAGACAGAGGTGGTCCTAAAATGCACTTTCAGGCACTATCTCATTTAATTCTCACACTTCTGGAGGCATAGGGGTTGTTGCTGGAATTTTGCAGATGAGGAAATGAAGGCTTGAAAATGTTAATGATCGGCAGTGGTCATACAGCCAGTGGAAGAACCAGAGTTCGAACCCGGGTCGTGCTGATTCTTGTCCAGTATGGCTCACCTACCTGAGATTCAGTCCCTGAACTCAGAAACTCACAAGAAATGTATAAGTGTATCTCATTCTATTGTGCTTTGCTTGAGTGTACTTTACAGATATTGTGTTTTTTACAAATTGAAGTCTTGTGGCAACCCTGAGTCCAGCAGGCTATCGGTGCCAGTTTTCCAATGGCATGTGCTCACTTCATGTCTCAGTGTCACATTTTGATAATTTTGAAATATTTCAAACTTTTCCATTATTATGTCTGTTACAGTGATTTATGATCTGTGATCTTTGACGTTGCTATTGTAACTGTTTTGGGGTGCCACAAACCATGCCCATATAAGATGGTAAACATACTTGATAAATGTGTGTGTACTGACTGCCCCACCAACTGGCCATTTCTCTGTCTCTCTCACTCTCCTTGGCCTTCATAGGGAATAGGGATCCCCTGAGACACAACGATACTGAAATTAAATCAATTAATAACCCCACATCCGTCTGTAAGTGTTCAAGTCAAGGGGAGAGTCACACATTTCTCCCTTTAAATAAACACTAGAAATGATTAAGCTTAGTGAGGAAGGCATGTCAAAAACCAAAAAAGGCTCATAGCTAAGCCTCATGCGCCAGACAACCAAGTTGTGAATGCAAAGGAAAAGTTCTTGAAAGAAATTAAAAGTGCTACTCAGTGAACACACGAATGATAAGAAAGCAAAACAGCCTTATTGCTGATATAGAGAAAGTTCAAACGGTCTGTATAGAAGATCAAACCAGCCACAACATTCCCTTAAGCCACAGGCTAATCCAGAACAAGGGCCTAAGACTCTTCAGTTCTATGAGGCTAAGAGAGGTGAGGAAGCTTCAGAAGAAAAGCTTGAAACAAGCAGAGATTTGTTCATGAGGTTTAAGGGAAGAAGCTGGCCAAGCACAGTGGCTCATGCCTGTAATCCTAGCACTTTGATAGGCCAAGATGGGAGGATCACTTGTGCTCAAAAGTTCAAGACCAGCCTGGGCAATATAACAAGACCTCATCTCTATGAAAAATGATTTTTTTAAAATTGGCTGGGCATGGTGGTGCTCACCTATAGTCCCAGCTGCTTGGGAGGCTGAAATGGGAAGATCACTTGAGCCTGGAAGGTCAAGGCTGTAGTGAGCCATGATCATGCCACTGCACTCCAGCCTAGGTGACAGAGCAAACCCCTGTCTAAAAAAACAAACAAACCAAACAAGCAAACAAACAAACAAACAAACAAACAAACACAAGGAAAGAGGCTGTCTCCATAACATAAAAAAGTACAAGTTGAGGCAGTGCTGATACAGAAGCTATAGCAAGTTATCCAGAAGATGTAGAAGATGTAGCTAAGATCATTGATGAAGGTGGCTACACTAAACAACATATTTTGTAGATGAAACAACCTTCTATTGGAAGAAGATGCCATCTAGGACTTTCACAGCTAGAGAGAAGTCAATGCCTGACTTCAAAGCTTCAGAAGACAGGTTGACTCTCTCATTAGAAGCTAATACAGCTGTTGACTTTAAGTTAAAACCGATGCTCATTTACCATTCCCCAAATTCTAGGGTCTTAAGAATTATACAAAATGTACTCTGCCTGTAGAGAGTGCTAGATCACAAAACATCTGTTTACAGACTGGTTTGCTGAATGTTTTAAGCCCACTCTTGAGACCTATTGCTCAGGAAAAAAGATCCCTTTCAAAAGATAACTGCTCACTGACAACGTAACTAGTCACCCAAGAGTTCCCAAGAGTTCTGATTGAGATATAAAAGGAAATTAATGTCATTTTTATGCCTACTAACACAACATCCATTCTGCAGCCCATGGATCAAGGAGTCATTCTGACTTTCAAATCTTATTATTTAAGAAATACATTTCATAAGGTTGGATCTGTCATACGTTTCATAAGGCCAGACAGTGATTCCTCTGATGGATCTGGGCAAAGTAAATTGAAAAACTTCTGGTAAGGATTCATCATTCTAAATGCCTTTAAGAGCATTTGTGGGCCGGGTGCGGTGGCTCACGCCTGTAATCCCAGCACTTTGGGAGGCTGAGGTGGGTGGATCACCTGAGATCAGGAGTTCGAGACCAGCCTGGCCAACATGGTGAAACCCTGTCTTTACTAAAAATACAAAAATTAGCTGGGCGTGGTGGCAGGCACCTATAATCCCTGCTACTCAGGAGGTTGAGGCAGGAGAATTGCTTGACCTCGGGAGGTGGAGGTTGCAGTGAGCCCAGATTGCTTCATTGCACTCCAGTCTGGGCGACAGGAGTGAAACTCTGTCTCAATTAAGAAAAAAAAAAAAGCTTTTGTGATTCATAGGAAGAGGTCAAAATATCAATATTAACAGGAGTTTGGAAGAAACTGATTCTAACCCTCATGGATGACTTTGAGGGGTTCAATACATTAGTGGGGGGAAGTCACTGCAGATGTGGTGGAAATAACAAGAGAACTAGAATTAGAAGTGGCGCCTGAAGATGTGACTGAATTACTGCAATCTCATGATAAAACGTGAATGAATGAGGAATTGCTTCATATGTATGAGTAAAGAAAGTGGTTTCTTGAGATGAAATTGACATGTGGTGAATTTTCTGTGAACACTGTTGAAATGATAACAAAGGATTTAGAATATTACATAAACTTAGTTGAAGAAGTACTGGCAGGGTTTGCAAGGATTGACTCCATTTTTGAAAGAAGCTCTACTGTTAGTAAAATGCTATTAAACAGCATTGCACGCTACCAAGAAATCTTTCATGAAAGGAAGAATCAACCAATGCAACAAACTTCATTGTTGTCTTAGTTAAGAAATTTTCCCAGCCACCGCAACCTTTAGCAATCCCCACCCTGATGGGTCAGCAGTCAGCAACATTGAGGCAAGACCCCCCTCACCAGCAAAAATATTATGACTTGCTAAATGGCTCAGATGATCATTAGGCTCACATGATCATTAGCATTTTTAGCAATAAGGTATTTTTAAATTAAGATAAGTCCATATTTTAGACATAATGTGATAGCACACTTAATAGACTCCAGTATAGTGTAAACATAACTCATAACTTTTTTTTATTTTAGAGACAGGGTCTTGCTCTGTCACCCAGACTGGAGGGAAATTGTGCAATCGTCTCGCACTGCAGCCTCAAAGTCCAGGGCTCAAGCGATCCTCCGGCCTCAGCCTCCCAAGTAACTAGGACCAGAGGCATGCACCACCACACCCAGCTAATTTTTAAAATTTCATCACCTGGAGGAAATGCCAATGCATAAAAATGACACTTTTTTTTTCTTTTTCATGAGATAGGGGGTCTCACCATATTGTCAGGCTGGTTCTGAACTCCTGACCTCAAGTGATCTTCCCTCCTTGGCCTCCCAAAGTGCTAGAATTACAGATAAGAGACACCACACCCTTGTAAACATAACTTTATATGCACTAAGAAACCAAAAACTTGTATGGCTCACTTTATTGCCATATTTGCCTTATTGGAGTGGTATGGAATTGAACTACAATATCTCTGAGGTATGCCTGTAAATGAATTACCATAATGTGATGTGGGCAACAGAATCCAGGGAAGATTCAGAGGGTGGAGACATCCCATCAAAACTTTCTAATTTGGGAGAAATTGTCCAAGACTCTGAGGAAAACCAGTCATAATATCTGAAAGTAAGTTTATGCCGAAAAATCTTAGGTGGACCTGCAAGTCGAAAAAGCAGGTCAAGACTACTAGGGGCAGAGAGGAGGGAGAATGTTTAAGTTGGGCTCTAATGGTAGGATTTGGACACGCTGAGATTGAGGAGACCTAAGGGTGTTACTTCCATAATGGAACCAGTAAAACAAAAGCCATGATTGTCTAATAGAAAGTCTTTGCCAGGGAGGCTTATGAGATAAAGCATGATAGGAATCAATTTGCAACACAAACCTGAATGTTCCAGAAAGTTCATATGGCTTTACTTACTTTAAATTATGGTAGGCATGACACTGAGCTTCCTTTCTGCTCAGCTAGTGGGAAATTTAATTTCAGAGGTTGAGAGGATTGCCTTCTCTTCCCCACCTCCAAATCCCATGCCCAGTCCCAGAGCTAATGGCCAGGAGTGTTTATGTGAAGCCAAACATTCATGCGGTATGTCTGGTCATTGGTTTACATCAGAGATCCACAAACTTTTTCTGTAGAGAACAGATAGTCAATATTTTAGGCTTTGCAATCCAAGCAGCTCTCTGTCACAACCACTCAACTCTACCATTGTTGCTTAAAAGCAGCCGTAGACAGTAGGAAAATGAATGAACTTGACTGTATCCCAGGAAGACTTTATTTATGGACACTGAAATTTGAATTTCATATAATTGCATGGGTCATAAAATATGATTTTTTTTCCCAAACACTTTAAAATGTCACCATTCTAAGCTCATAGGTTATACAAAAACAGACGACGGCCCAGATTTGACCTATGGGCCAACCCCTTATCTACGAGGTTTCCACCAAGTTGCCTGCTGGCCAAGCTTATAGAGTGAAGTTGGACATCCCTGTTGTTCCCCTGGAAATCTTTGCCAGAGCTGAGAGCCTCCATACCCAGAGTCAGAAAGACCTTTCTAGGCTCAACATGCAGTCATGGCTCCCGGACACCCTGTCATCTTCCTGAGATTCTATGGAGGGTGGGCCACAGAGCCCCATTATTTTAAAAACTGTGCATATCCTTTCCTTCCCTTGGGGAATAATCTTAAGGACTGTGTCTCTCAAAAACACTCTACCACTTCTTCTCCTAGCGCAGCATGCTCAAATCCCTCAGAGTGAAGGAGGAAAAAGTCAGGACGGAAAGTGATGTGCAGGCTTCTTCTTTGGGCCCTGAAAGCTCAAAGTCCTGGCTACCTGCCCTGAAGGCTGAGTAATGTACAAAGAAAACAAAGACAAATAACTCAGTAAATTATCCGGCCTAGGATCAGAGCTTTCTAGCCCCAGAGCAAGCTCAGGCCTCAACATTCTAAGCTTAAGAGGTCAGGCTGTCCCTCCATATTTCAATGGGTACAGGTCTTGAGTTTCCTCAGAAAACCTCTGAAGGGAGGTCACAGTTATGGGGACAAAGAAGGAAAGTGTTGGATTCAGGACACCAGGCTCCACTGAAGGTGACTCATGGTTTTGGCTTGCAAGCAACGTTGCTGATCACTTTGACCAACCACAGGTCCCTGCCAGCTGCACTCCTCTCCAGGAGCACTCCTATTTTTATATGTGTGGTACAAAGAACTCCTACCAGCTAATTTCCACTTCCCCCACAAAAGCCTGTTTTACTTCTGCTTTGAGTAAAAAGCTTTCCTCTTTCTGGTCTCAAAGCACACACTCAACAGTGCCTGTAATTCACAGTCATCTGGTACCCTTGGCTTATCTCAGGCCCCTGTAGTAACAACTGGCTCCAAGCATGTCTCCTACAGCCACAAGCTCCAGTGGGGTAGCCAGGTTCACTGGAAGAGAATGTTCCCTACACAAGGGAATCTGAGACAGAAAAAGTCATCCTCAGAAAGTAGGGACTGGTGGACATGTGAGCCTGGGAAATGAGAACAATTTGTGCTGGGAAGTTGCTCATGTAAAGAGTTCACAGAGCAGGTATCTGCTGCCCAGGCTTAAACTCTCAAGTGGAAAATGGAAACCATCATTCCAGATTGGCTTCTTACCCTGTATCTGTGCATTCATCAACCTTTGACAATAAGGTCATTTCTTAGCCCCACACATAGCATATAGGAAAGATTTATCCAAGCCCTGCTATTATAGATGAATAAATGAAACACATTCAGGAGGTTGCCCATACAGTATTTGCCTCATTTTCCCCACAGCTCTAGAGAAAGGACATTTTATAAGTTCTGTCATTCCACAGAGCTGTACAAAGCCGCCTGGCTTAACTGACTTAATTTCTTTTTTTTTTTTTTTTTAGAGACAGGATCTTGCTCTGTCACCCAGGCTGGAGTGCAATGGTGCAGTCATAACTCACTCCAGCCTGCAGCTCCTGGGCTCCAGCAATCCTTCCACCTTGGCCTTCCAAAGCACTAGGATTACAGGTATGAGCCACCATACCCGGCCTTCACTTTTTTTTTTAACTTGACAAAATGGTTCTTAAGTTCAAGATGGTTAGCATACATCTGCTTTCAAGACAGAAAGAGGGGGAAAAAGAAGGAACAGCCACAGTTGTTCACGGTATCAGCGAAGTAAAAACTTTCCCAGAAACTCCCCTAGTAGACCTCACTTCTGCTTAATTAACTGGAACTGTACTTTCTGTCTGCCCAGAGCAACAAAGGAGATTGGGAACTTGAGTGTTCAGCTTCTTCAGCCCCTAGTGAGGAAGAGGAGAGGGATTTGGATGGTATAGAAGGAGTCAGTCTGAATTCTGCTTCAAATAGCTAAACAATTTTGAAAACTAAAAGCCCAACAGGGAAAACTAGCTCTGCTCTCTATTAAAATTATAAAATTATAGAACTATGGGATATAGTTTCATACAATATCATAAAACTATAAGAATAAAATCAAAGTTGAACACACAGGATTTGGCAGAGATTAATAGGAGAGACAAATTAGCCCAGAAACAGATCCTAATACTCAATATAAGGGTTTTTCTGTTTGTTTTGTTTTGTTTGTTTGTTTGTTTTTTGAGACAGAGCTTCACTCTGTTGCCCAGACTGGAGTGCAGTGGCGTGATCTCGGCTCACTGAAACCTCTGCCTTCTGGGTTCAAGCGATTCTCCCGCCTCAGCCTCCCGACTAGCTGGGATTACAGGTGCCTGCCATCACATCCGGCTAATTTTTGTATTTTTAGTGGAGATAGGGTTTCGCCACATTGGCCAGGTTGGTCTCAAACTCCTAACCTCCAGTGATCCACCCACCTCGGCCT
This sequence comes from Homo sapiens, assembly GCF_000001405.40. NCBI lineage: Eukaryota > Metazoa > Chordata > Mammalia > Primates > Hominidae > Homo > Homo sapiens. The sequence continues at coordinate 112,014,162 of NC_000009.12, forward strand.
CCCAAAGTGCTGGGATTGCAGGCAGGAGCCACCGCGCCTGACCAATATAAGACTTCTTTAAAAGCCATCACAGATTTCCCAGGAAGAAAACTTCCATTCAATATAATAAACATTGGTGCTATTGTGCTGGAATAATTGGGAAGAGAATATATTCTCACCATATCAACCGTTCTTACCATGACATATATAAAAACTAAATCCATAAAGAATAAAATAAAGGAGAATAATTTTGTACTCTTCAGTCAAAAGACAAGAACTGAGCAGAAAGCTTGGCAGGTAGGAGGGAAGGACTGGGTATGGTTATGAGACCACCAGGGCTGTGGCCCCCACAAGTAGGATACTGAAAAAGGTCAGCAAGGCAGGACCAAACACCGCTTAGTGATGTGGCTGTATCTGTGTCAGTGAACAAACAGCCTATGGGCCAATTCCAGTTTGCCAGCTGTTTTGGTGTGCTCGCAAGCTAAGAATGGTTTTTATACTTTTACATGATTGAGGAGAAAATCAGCAGAATAATATTTCATGACATGAAAATCATATGAAATTCACATTTCAGTGTCCATAAATAAAGTTATTGAGACACAGCCACACCCATTCATTTAGGTATCATCTGTGGCTACTTTTGTGCAACATGGCAGACTTGAGGACTTACAACAGAGAACACCTGGCCTACAAAATCGAAAATATTTATTATCTGGCTCTTGCCAGAAGAAGTTTGCCAATTCCTCAGCTCCATGATGAAGTGAGTTTGCTGCGTAAGGAACTTGTGAGACTGAATCAGCCATGGCTGTTGTTGGAGGGAAAATTAATCCAGAGGGGAATTCATCATCTACCCCGACTGATGGGCCAGGGTCCCTTCCTCTCTTTGAAGCTGATGGTCTGAGCAGAGGATGCCTGCACTAGCAGTCAGGTGAAGTTAAATTTGCATTTTGAAGTTCCCAGGGGCACAACTTCTATCTCCCCTAGAACGAGGCTGAGTTTTCCAGGAAATTTGAAGTGAGAACTGGGAAATGTGGAGACTTCTGAGAGGGCTGTAGAAGGAAGAGGGAAGATGAGCTATAGAGAGATTAGGGAAAGAGGGCTCTGCACGGAGCACCTTATTTCTGGAGGTGGTTAGAACTTGACCTTTATGATATATAAGGGGAATGAGTAAACAGAACAAAGTCTCAGTTTCCACTCTGTCGATAATACACGTACTCTTCATTAACTGATCTGTGATTGTCCTATTATTAGCTAGCGTGTGTTTGGTCTGTGGAAACATTGTGAGCAGAAAGTTCTAGGGCAGGAGAGAGCAAACATTGTTATGCCACTTTGTTGGGCTCTGGCAGAAATGATTCTATAAATTCATCAATCCCCTTTCATAGATGATGATGATGATGATGATGATAAAAATAAAAAGAGCAGTTAGCATTTAATGAGCATTTACTATGTGCCAGGAGTATGGATTATATAATTTAAACCTCAAAATCATCCTTTGGAATTATGCTATTGCCATCCCAATTTATTCAGATGAGGAAGCAAAACATGTTAGGTGAATCATCCAAAGCCACCCAACTGGTAAGTGATGAAGTCAGGGTGCAACCTTAGTGGAGGGACCCCAGAGATCACGCTCTTAACCCCTATCTTGTCCTGTCTACTTTGCCAAAGAGTCACAAATCTACCAGACTGGTTGCTACAGTGAGAGACCTGAGACCAAAAGCAGTAAAGATGGTTCTCCCTGGAATGAGAGAGCATGCAGCTAAGTAGCCTAATTTCCTGCCCTCCTTCCACCCTGTAGATTAATAAGAAACACCTTCATACCACAAAAATGAAGACCACTGCCACATGCAGGGTTCATCCAGAATTGCTGTTTCAAGTGCTCTTTCAAAAGCAAAGGGAGCAAATGCTTTCTAAATGCCTCATATTAAATAAGGAAAGCAAATTCTCCTTTTTATTTATATTTATTTTTATTTTTATTTTGGAGATGGAGTCTCGCTCTTGTTGCCCAGGCTGAAGTGCAGTGGTGCGTGCGATCTTGGCTCACTGCAACCTCTGCCTCCCGGGTTCAAGCAATTCTCCTGCCTCAGCCTCCAGAGTAGCTGGGATTACAGGCGCCCGCCACCACGCCTAGCTAATTTTTTGTATTTTTAGTATAGACAGGGTTTTACCATGTTGGTCAGGCTGGTCTCCAACTCTTGACCTCAGGTGATCCGCCTGCCTCAGCCTCCCAAAATGCTGGGATTACAGGCATGAGCCACAGCACCCAGCCACAAATTCTTCTTTTTAAATCCCATCATTGACAAATAGAGAATTATAACTTAAATAATGCTTTTAAAAATCTTAAAGGAAACCATAAGTAGAATTTAAAATGTGATTGATTACATAAGAACACAAAAGTGGCACAGAATAATAAAAAGATGGACAGATATATATGAGGAAAATGCAAACTAAAAAGTGAGGATTGTGGTTGTTATTTTAGATGAATTCAGGGAAAATAATTAAATTTTTAGAAGACACATACTTTATAATTGATATTTAAGAGCTGTTATCTTTTATGCATCAAATAACATGACATCAACATATAGAAAATAAAAACTTCTGGAAATAAGGGGGAAATGACAAAAATATAATCAAAGTGAGAGATTTTTTAATATTCATATCACTATTTGCAAACATACAATAAGAGAAAAAGAAGCAAGGACAAAGAGGAGCTGATTAATAAATAATAAGACGAGGATCAACTTAGAAAAGAGTATGTTGTCTGTAAGGGTTTTCTCTGGACCCAGCTCCCCAAATCTAAGTGACAGACCCCATGCACAGTTCTCTCTGACATTTCAGACAAGCATAGTTGCAGTAAAGATCCTTGTATATGTATGCTTACATACTGGTGTTGTTATTTTCTTGACGGTTGGTTATCAGGTGAGATTTCAAGGCCAAAGCTAAGTATGCTTTTGATTTTCAGAGATGATGAGACCGATTGCCTTTCTAAAGACTATAAAAATTCATATTCCTACCACATCATCACTGCTGTTTTACGTTCTGCCAAAAGGCATTTCATAATTACCTTAATTTTTATTCCTCCGTCTTCCACATTTATTGGAGAGTTGGATTTCCTTTTCTATAAATGGTCTATTTATATCTCTGCCCCCTTCCCCCCACCTTTTTTTTTTTTTGTCTATTTATATCTCTGTCCCCTTTGCTCCTTTTTTTGAAAGCTCTGTCGCCCAGGCTGGAGTGTAGTGGCATGATCACAGCTCACTGCAGCCTCAGCCTCCCAGGCTCAATTGATCCTCCCACATCAGCCTCCTGAGTAGCTAAGACTACAGGTGCACACCACTATACCTGACTTATTTTTTTTTTTTTTTTTTTTTTGTAGAGACAGGGTTTTGCCATGTTGCCCAGGCTGGTCTTGAACTCCTGGGATCAAGCGATCCACCTGCCTCAGCCTCCCAAAGTGCTGGGATTACAGGCATGAGCCACTCTTTCTATTATACTTGGTACTAGTGTTTTTTTCCCTATCATTTGTCTTTTGATATCTGTTGGTGTTTTTCAATAGGTATACACAAACTTTATTGTAGCCAATTATATCTATATTTTCCTTTATAAATTCTGGCTTTCCTGATTTGCTTATGAATTCCCTTCTTACCCAAGTTTGTGCCCATATTCTCCTAAATTTTCTTCTTTTTTTTACATTATATCTTTAATCCATTTGAGATTTACTTTTCATAGGTGATACATGAGGAAAAGATCCCACTTCATTTTCTTAATTTTCTTCTCCAGCACTAGTGATGAAATAGAAGACGCTTTGCCTACTTACAGTTCACCTTTATTGTATATTAATTACCCACATAGATCCAAGATTATTTCTGGACTCAGTTATGTTTCTCTGATCTATATATCCTTATGTCGAGATCGAATTGTTTTTATTACCATTGCTTCATATAATTTAATTTTATTTATTTATTGAGATGGGATCTCATTCTGTCCCCAGGCTGAAGTACAGTGGCATGATCTCAGCTCACTGCAACCTCTGCTTCCCGGGCTCAAGTGATCCTCCCACCTCAGCTTCCCAAGCAGTCGGAACCACAAGCTCTTGCCTTTACATCTGGCTAATTTTTGTATTTTTTGTAGAGACAGGGTTTCACCACGTTGTCCAGGCTGGTCTCAAACTCCTGGGCTCGAGCAATTCTCCCTCCTCGGCCTCCCAAAATGCTGGGGTTATAGGCATGAGCTACTGCATCTGGCCTCATAGAATTTTATTTTATATTATTTTATTTTATTTATTTATTTTTTGAAACAATCTCACTTTGTCACTCAGGCTGGAGTGCAGTGGGGTGATCTCAGCTCACTGCAACCTCTACCTCCCTGGTTCAAGTGATTCTCCTGCCTCAGCCTCCCGAGTAGCTGGGATTACAGGTGCCCACCACCATGCCCAGCTAATTTTTGTATTTTTAGTAGAGACAAGGTTTCACCATGTTGGCCAGGCTGGTCTCAAACTCCTGACCTCAAGTGATCCACCCGCCTTGGCCTTCCAAAGTGCTGGGATTATAGGCGCGAGCCATAGCACCTGGCCTGAATTTTAAATGGTGTTGAATAACTAGTAAAATGAAGTGAGAAGCTATTGGATTTTGTTAGTAGGAAACCATTCATCATCTTTGAGGGTAGAGTTTCCATGGGGCCATACAGATGGAAGCTAGATTTGGGGCTGCTTGGTGATTAGTGGAAGGTATAGATTGTTCTCTTGAAGAATTTGGCAGTAAGACAGTGGAAGGTGATATGGTGGATTGAGTGGGAAGCAGGAAAAAGGAAAATATTTTAAAGCCCAGGCAAGATGTGTATGTGTGTGGCCTAAGACAAAGGAGTCAATTGAAAGCAAATAAACGACAACTGAAGACCCACATCCCATAAATGAGTTCTACGCACCCATAATCTTCTTCCCAATATAACTAAAATGATGTGATTGTCATAAAATAGTGTTACTTAGTAATAGGCTCTACACAACAAGTATTGCCATTAAAGCTTGGCATAGTCTCAATTCAACATTAAGTGCTGGATTAAAAAAATAATACAATTGGCCAAGCGTGGTGGCTTTCACCAGTAATCTGGGCACTTTGGGAGGCCAAGGCAGGTGAATCAGAAGAATCCCTTGAGCCCAGGAGGTTGAGGCAGTGAGCCAGGATCGTGCTACTGTGCTCCGGCCTGGATGAGAGAGAGAGACCTTGTCTCAATAATAATAATAATAAAATCAACTACATCCTCTCCATTGGTAAAAACAATGATGAGGTTTCTCTGGCAAGTATGATGACCCTGGGAGACAGACACCAAGAAAGAACACTGGCGGAAGCTACCATCACTGGATTCCAAGGACTCCAGGGGATGTGCTTCCTGAGACCCAAGGTAGTCACCATGGTTTTGCCTGGAATGAACATTTTCCCTTTTGCTCTACTCCCAACAGGACCATGGCTAAACTTGCACCTGGGACTGTGAGGCAGTGGTTTCCAAATTTGGCTGCACATGAGAATTACCTGGGGAGGTTTTTTAAAATCTCCATGACCATGTGGCACTCCAGACCAATGAAATCAGAATCTCTGCTTGTGACACCTGAGCATCAGTAGTTTTTAATGCTTCCCAGGTGATTATAATGTGCACTGATTTTGGGCGTCTGAATCAGTTGACAATGTAATACAGCTTTTTGAAACTGGGACATGTGGTGGCTCACGCCTGTAATCCCAGCACTTTGGGAGGCCGAGGAGGGTGGATCACGAGGTCAGGAGATCGAGACCATCCTGGCTAACACGGTGAAACCCCGTCTCTACTAAAAGAAAAATACAAAAAAATTAGCCAGGCGCGGTGGCTGCCGCCTGTAATCCCAGCTACTCCGGAGGCTGAGGTGGGAGAATGGTGTGAACCCGGGAGGCGGAGCTTACAGTGAGCCGAGATCGTGCCACTGCACTCCAGCCAGGGCGACAGAGCGAGACTCTGTCTCAAAAAAAGAAAAAAAAAAAAAAAAAAGAAACTGGGACATGTGCATTTTTACCAGGTCTGGTGTGAAGAAATATCAGGGACAGGCAACGAAGATGCCTTCAGATGACAGAGCGTATTCTCTGTGAGCCAGTTTACTTAGAATGTCCTTTCAGGAAAATGCCATTGATACCTTGAATTGGGGTATTTTCCAGTCTGCTAAAGGATACCCAGGGGGTTTCTAACATGGCCAAGAATTAGTAAAGCACAAGAGTGCAGAGTGGGGTTCTTTAGTAGTTGTGCAGAAAAAAATGAAAATAAAAATTTAAATATCACGAGACATGAAAGAGAAGCTACTTCCAGTATGCAGTCGAGTGTGAAAATTCAATTACAAGAAGCAAGAAAGTAAGCCGGTGGCTCACGCCTGTAATCCCAGCACTTTGGGAGGTCGAGGCAGCAGGATGGTTTGAGGCCAGGAGTTCAAGACCAGCCTGGGCAACATAGCAAGTCCCTGTCTCTACAAAAAAAAAAAAAACTTTTTAAAGAAAAATACAAAAAAGAAAGAAAGTAGTCATTCATTTAGTAGTTTCCTAGGAGGCAAAATTATTTACTTCTCAACTCTGCCAGTAGTTATAATAATGTTTAAACCGGCTGCCAGGAGGCATTTAAAAATTAACTATCCTACAAATTGTTTTGACATACAGGCACCTACGACACATATTCTCATCCACCCTAAAATCAAAGTTTGCAAGACTGGGAATATGTTTAGCAGGAAACAAAGTGAATCATACTGAAACTTGAAAAATAGCACACTAATGTGTCACCTTTACATTGAGAAGCAAAGTGAATCATTTGCTAATGTTTGATTTTTAGTACCAGAGGTCAGGTAATTTTTATCTGAGGTCAGTCTTTTTTTGATCTCTTAACTAGAAAATAGCAAGTTGAGTTTACCACCCAGAGGATCTTTTAATAATGAAGCAAATTTCTGCCTTCACGTAATTTTTTTGTTGTTTTTTTTTGAGACAGAGTTTCACTCTTGTTGCCCAGGCTGGAGTACAATGGCATGATCTCGGCTCACTGCAACCTCCGCCACCCAGGTTCAAGCGGTTCTCCTGCCTCAGCCTCCCGAGAAGCTGGGATTACAGACGTGCATCACCATGCCCAGCTACTTTTTGTATTTTTAGTAGAGGCAGGGTTTCTTTCACCATGTTGGCCAGGCTGGTCTAACTCCTGACCTCGGGTGATCCACCCGCCTCGGCCTCCCAAAGTGCTGAGATTACAGGCAGGAACCACGGAGCCCAGCCTCATATAATTCTGTATACACATAAACTTTCCAAGCTCAGGTTGTAGGGCACAAAGCCTTAGGTTAGAAGCCCTGGGTTGGGATCCTAGCTCTGCTAGGTACTGGTAGGTGACCCTGGATAATGACTTAACCTCCCTACACCTCAGTTTTATCAAGTTTAATATAGGATTGATGATGGTGGTGGTGATGATAATGATGATGATGAAGATAATTGTTTCCAAAGTACTTAGCTCTATTCCTGCCATAGGTAAACATTCAATAGATGATAATCATTCCTCTAGCCATATTCTCTTTATAAATTGCCTAAAAGACTCAAAGAAAGGGCAGGCATGTTGGCTTATGCCTGTAACCCCAGCACTTTGGGAGGCAAGGGGATCACTTGAGCCCAGGAATTTGAGACCAACCTGGGCAACATGGAGAAACCCCGTCTCTACAAAAAATGCAAAAATTAGCTGGATATGGTGGTGTGTGCCTGTAGTCCCAGCTACTCAGGAGGCTGAAGTGAGAGGATTATCTAAGCCTGGGAGGTTGAGGCTGCTGAGAGCCATGATCACGCCTCTGCACTCTACCCTGGGTGACAGACCAAGAACCTGTCTCAAAAAAAAGACCCAAAGAAATATCCCTGCTTATGATCACTTGTTATGTAAAGATTGCATAGAAATAGATTAAATGTTTGGGCATTAATTTAAAAACATGTGGTTTCATTTGGAAATGCACTATTCTGAATCTTAATTCTTGATTTTGATCCCTCAGCTGGGCCTGCTCTCCTTCCAAAGTTGGACTCCTCTCTCTCAGTTACTCTCGTGCCCTTTCTCTGGTAAAAAATTAAAAATACACAGAGTAAACAGAGTACAAATTATTGGTTTATTTTTAAACTTTACAGGTTCCCTCGGAGACATAATCATTTCCCGTAAGCATGTCAGCTCAAGCTTGCTTTTCCTGGCTCTCTGCTGCCACCACCATTCCCACAATCCAAGCTCCTTGGAACCTCACACTTCCCCATTTTCAGTGCCATCGGGGGCTGCCCTCTGGGACAGTCATTATTTCAGTTCCATTTCTCAGTCTTTCTGTCTGCCTCCTACTCCTCCATCAATTCGTGGTGCTGACATTTCAAATAGTTTTGTACATGTCCAAATACAGGGAGGCCCCCTCGTTAGTAAATTTTATTTTATGTTTTTTGTTTGTTTGTTTGTTTGTTTGAGACGGAGTCTCGCTCTGTCGCCCAGGCTGGAGTACAGTGGCGTGATCTCCACTCACTGCAAGCTCCACCTCCCGGGTTCATGCCATTCTCCTGCCTCAGCCTTCCGAGTAGCTGGGACTACAGGCGCCCGCCACCACGCCCGGCTAATTTTTTTGTATTTTTAGTAGAGATGGGGTTTCACTGTGTTAGCCAGGATGGTCTCGATCTCCTGACCTCGTGATCCGCCTGCCTCAGCCTCCCAAAGTGCTGGGATTACAGGCGTGAGCCACCGCACCCGGCTTATTTTATGTTTTAATTTATTTTTTTGAGATAGAGTCTTACTTTGTTGCCTAGGCTGGAGTGCAGTGGCCACGATCTCAGCTCACTGCAATCTTTGCCTCCTGCATTCAAGCCATCCTCCAGCCTCAGCCTCCCAAGTAACTGGGATTGCAAGCATGTGCCATCATGCCCAGCTAATTTTTGTATTTTTATTAGAGATGGGGTTTCACCATGTTGCCCAGGCTGGTCTTGAACTCCTGACCTCAAGTGATCCACCTGCCTCAGCCTCCCAAAGTGCTGGGATTACAGGCATGAGCCACCGTCTCTGGCCTCATTACTAAATTTTAATCACTCTCTCGTACACTAGAAGAGACATACCTAGGACTTTATAAACACCTAAATCTCAAAGTTTTCAAATATTGCCTTTCCTCATTTCTCCCTGTTCTCTTTTCTGAAAACCTAATTATATGTATTTCTAATTTTCACCTTCTATCCTCCATATCTCAACCTCTCTTTTATATTTTGCACAATCTTCTCTGTTTATTCTTCATTGTGGGTAATTTGGTAATTTCTTTAGATCTGTCTTCCTAGTTGATAAATTCTCTCTCCATCTAACACTAGGTCTTATTTCCATCAAACTGTGTATTTGCACTCACTGATCAACTTGAGAAAGGTTTTGTAAAAAGTATTTGTGTTTGGGCCAGGCAAGATGGCTCATGCTTGTAATCCCAGCACTTCGGAAGGCTGAGGCAGGCGGATCACTTGAGGTCAGGAGCTTGAGACCAGCCTGGCCAACATGGTGAAACCCTGTCTCTACTAAAAATACAAAAATTAGCTGGGTGTGATGACACATGCCTGTAGTCCCAGCTACTCGGGAAGCTGAGGCAGGAGAATCATTTGAAACTGAGAGGCAGAGGTTGCAGTGAGCCAAGATCATGTCACTGCACTCCAGCCTAGGCAACGGAATGAGCCTCTTAAAAAAAAAAAGTATTTGTGCTTCATTTCTGGAAATTCTATTTGATTCTTTTTAAATTATAGTTTTTGAGCAGATAATAAAGCCACATTCAAAAATTATGTGGCTTTATTATCTGCTCAAAAACTAAATGTATACGTTTAAAAGGTATAAATTGAGAAGTTTTAGTCCTACTCCATCCCTGCCCACCCCCCATAGATAATCAGTTTAATTAGTTTCTTGTATATGCTTCCAGCGTTTCCTCATGCAGGAAACATATATGTATTTTTATCTTTCTCTTTTTCTTACACAAAAGTTAGCATAATATATATGCCGTTATCCGTTTAATTTTTTTTCACTTTAAAAGTATAACTAGGAGATGATTCAATTTGGTTATTTTTAAATCTTCCCAGTCACAGACAATACTGTCTGATTACTTATCCATTTTTAAATTCAACCTTTTTTTTTTTTTTTTTTTTTTTTGAGACAGGGTCTCACTTTTGCCCAGGCTGGAGTGCAGTGGCAGGATCTCAGCTCACTGCAACCTTTGCCTCCCAGGCTCAAGTGATTCTCCTGCCTCAGCCTCCAGAGTAGCTGGGATTATAGGTGCCCACCACCACACCTGGCTAATTTTTTTATTTTTTAGTAGAGACGGGGTTTCACCATGTTGGCCAGGCTGATCTCAAACTCCTGACCTCAGGTGATCCACCCGCCTCGGCTTCCCAAAGTGTTGGGATTATAGGCATGAGCCACTGTGGCCAGGCTTTTTTTTTTTTTTTTCAATCTTATTTATATAAATATCCCATGCATAGTTATTTTATATTCTGTGTCTAATAATTCCAATATCTGAAGTCCCTGGAGTTTCCATGTGATTAGTTAAAGATTCGGCTAACTCTCACAGTGACTCGTTTCCTTGAATGTTTGGTGGTCTTTGAGATCTAGTTCATAATAATTAATGGGATCCTGATGATCCAAATTAAAGATGTTTTCCTCCAGAAAGAATTTGCATTGGCTTCTGCCAGGAGCTAGGGACAAGGGGTGTTACTAACCTGCAATAAGCAAACACCATTCAAGGGTCTTCTGCTTAATCTCAGTCTCTCGTTTAGTATCCCCTGTTCCACCCACTGGGGACTGCATAATTACAAAATTTAGGCCTTCGTTGAAACGTTGACACCAGTGTTTGCCTGGTGTACTTTCATTTCATTTGTACGTTCATTTAATTGTTCTATTTCAGCACCAGTACCAAGTTATTTACTGCAAGCCTTATGGTACAGTTTAATATCTGATAGGGAAAGTCTTTTCGTTTTCAAAATTTACTAGGTTCTCATAATAATTTATTTTCCCAAATGATCTTTTAAATTATTTGCTCATTGATACAGTTTCGATATTTGTCCCCACTGAAGTCTCATGTTGAAATATAATCCCCAATGTTGGGGTGGGGCCTGGTGGGAGATGTTTGGATCATGGGGACAGATCCCTCATGAATGGCTTGGGCCATCCCCTTGGTGATAAGTGAGCTCTCGCTCTGAGTTCACATGAGATCTGGTTGTTTAAAAGTGTGTGGCATCTCCCCCTCACTCTCTGTCTCTTTCTCACTTGCTCTTGCTTTTGCCACATGACATGCCTGCTCCCCCTTTGCCTTCTGCCATGATTGTAAGCTTCCTGAGGCCTCTCTAGAAGCCAAGCAGGTGCCAACACCATGCTTCCTATAAAGCCAGCAGAACTGTAAGCCAGTTAAAACCTCTTTTCTTTATAATTTATCCAGTCCTGGGTATTTCTCTATAGCAATGCAAGAGTGGCCTAATACACTCATGGACTTTTCCAAAGTGAAACAATCTGTGAGGACTTATAAGGAAAATGATGGCAGAAGTGTATGTTAACCTCCAAACCCTATGTCAATGCAAACAAGAATGAATAAAAAGAACTGAAAATTAAGAAAAGGACTCTATATTGCAGTGAGGAAAGCCCCCAACATTAAACCACACACTCTGAAGATGAAGAATGCCAAATATAATGTCATGTGGAGCAAGTTGACAGAGTCCCATGATCAAACACAAATCTCCAGTTCATGAGCACAGTGCAGTATGGCAGGTCCTAAGTGTAAGAAATTCCAAAAGATCCCACCAATATAAGTGCTAGGGGCATGAGCAAGCTGCTGGAAAAATAAGGAACACTCTTCCTTGGAGCCCACTGACCCATTATTGATTACTAAGGAATGTGGTGTTGCAAGACATTCTGCCCTGCTGAGCGCAGTTTTTCCTCCATCATCATTTTCTATCAGATTGGGGCAGTATCTGGAGGCAAAGTCTACTTCACGATCACAGGGAGCATTGAACAATCCCTTGATGACACAACTGGAAAACCAAATGAAAAAAAGATAAATAATTTCTTTTATTATTATTATAATTATAATACTTTAAGTTCTGAGATACACGTGCAGAACGTGCAGGTTTGTTACATAGGTATACGTGTGCCATGGTGGCTTGCTGCACCCATCAACCCATCATCTAGGTTTTAATCCCCGCATACATTAGTTATTTGTCCTAATGCTCTCCCTCCTTTTGCCCCCATCCCCCCAACAGGCCCCAGTGTGTGATGTTTCCCTCCCTGTGTCCATGTGTTCTCGTTGTTCAACTCCCACTTCTGAGTGAGAACATGAGGTGTTTGATTTTCTGTTCCTGTGTTAGTTTGCTGAGAATGATGGTTTCCAGGGGATAAATAATTTCTATACTAAACTGTTCTAGGGCAGAGAAAGAAGAAATTCTTGCCAATTAACAAAAACCAATGTAAGACTGTTTTATATAGATAATACACAGGAGAAAGCTAGAAATATCTCAAAATTGATTTTTAAAAATTCTTAATAAAGTATCAGCAAATATAATCTAGGAGCAGATTTGGTTAAAGAGCAATACACCATGACTGCAACTTTTATTCCAAGAATGCATAGGTGGCTAAATATTAGGAAATCTATTAATACTGATGAAAGGAAGATAAAAGTATATGATCCTATGGTAGGTATCAACAAAACGTTTCATAAAACTTCGTGTCCATACCTGATAAATGCTCTTTGTAAAATGGGATTCGGTGAATATTTCTTTACATCAAAACATCTCTTAAACCAAAAGTTGATATCATGCTTAGTGATTTTCATCTTATAATCTACATAAGATTATGTGATGGACATTGCAAATAGACAAGAGAACAAAATAAGAAATTTAAAAATTAGAATGAAGAAGACAAAATTATCATCATTTGTAGATAATAGAAAGTCTAAGAGATTCAGCTGAAAACTATTAAAAAGTAAAAGAGTAAAAGAGAGCTCAGAAAGTTTTCAGGATATAATGTTAATATTCAAAAATCAAACATCTTATAATGCATTAAAACATAATCTAAAATAAATCCATTTGTGAAAGTATAAAATACATACAAATAAATTTGAATTATATGGAAAAAAAACAGAAAAAAAATGTGATTAAGTGAAAAGGCATACCCTGTGAGGGAACAGAAATATTTAGTATGGTATAAAATATAAATTCTTCCAAAATAATCTGGGAAATCATCATCATTTTGGTCAAAATTCTAACATGATAATGTGGAAGGGAGCTTTTTTTTTTTCTTTTGAGACACGGTCTTACTCTGTTGCCCAGGCTGGAGTGCAGTGGCATGATCACTGCAAGCTCTGCCTCCTGGGTTCATGGCACTCTCCTGCCTCAGCCTCCTGAGTAGCTGGGACTACAGGTGCCCGCCACCACATCCAGCTAATTTTTTGTATTTTTAGTACAGACGGGGTTTCACTGTGTTAGCCAGGATGGTCTCAATCTCCTCACATCGTGATCCGTCAGCCTCGGCCTCCCAAAGTGCTGGGATTAAAGGCGTGAGCCACCGCGCCCCACCCTGGAGCATTTTAAAAAATATTTAAATGCATGATACAAAGGTGGCATCTCAATGGTGATTGGGTAAAGATAATCATATAAATAATTGTGCTATTATAATTATGATGAATGGTATTAAGAAAAAATACAGATTGGTGTGAAATGTTTTAAATACAATGCGGGTTCTTGTTTCATTCATTACACCAAATACATTCCAAATGCAACAAATGTTTTAAAGTACGGCTAAAATTGCATGAGAGCTAGGAAAGAAATGGATAAATATTTTTAAATCTTGGGTGGAAAGTCTTTCTGAGCACATCATGAAATTCAGTAATCACAAACAAAAGATCAGTAACCTGGACTAAGTAACAATGAAAACTTTCCCATGGCAAAAACAAGCAAAAGTCTTATAAATAAAGTTGCAAGACAAAGAGCAAATATGGAGAAATATGTGCAATATAGATAACAAGCAGCTTGTGGCTTCCCTAATATAAAAAGAGTTGTGTAGTTATTTAGAATAAATCACCCCCTTCCCAAATAAAAAAGTATAGGTCTTCAGCTGAGGAAACGTTTTCTCCTGTCTCTACTGAACTACTCTCCCATACTCTGAAGTTGAAGGAAGGAGGTATAACCAATGGCAGTTGCTATTACTCACTCTTACCAGGAGTAAGGGCCAGTGCCCTTCACACACACACCCCCCACACACAACACACACAAATGTACACACAAACATAGACACAATGCACTCAGCTCTCACACACACACCACATACACACCACACACACACATACGCACACACATGTATATACAAACATGCACCCAATGCACTCAACTCAAATACACACAACACATATACAACACATATCTTGGGCAGTTTATTGTAGGGTCATACCTGCCTGCACGGTATGATCTGTACCTGTACCCCCTCTGCGTACCACTCAGCTGTTTCTAAGTTTTGCACTCTATCTGGATCCAGAAAGATGCCAGTGAACGTGGTCACAAAGGGGACATGTTCTGCCTGCTCCCCAAGGTGGAATCAGTGCATAGAGTCCCGTGGCTGCCTATTTTCTGGTTCGGGTCATGAGAAAGTCACTTCCTCCCTTTGCAAAAGGGTACTGTTTTTGTGAAATGAAGCCAGGGTACGCTGCGTGCATATCTGAAGTCAGATCCTTCTGAGGTTCTGCCGTTAGCTTGTCCATCTTCATTGTCAATGGTATCGGGAAATTCCCCTCCTTTCCCCAGCTTTGTTGGGTCTTCAAGGGTGACTGAAGGAGAGGTTCTTATGAGTCATTGCATTGAAGGCCACCAGCCAGACACCACTGTGAGCCATAAACTGTCATATAAAAGCTTTTCCAACCACCACCACAACAACAAAATATTCTCAGAACATAGATATACACAGAATACGGTCCCTGTGTCAACAGTCACTTGTGTGGGCTCAGTGCTGACAACGGTGCTGTGGCTACTCCAGGTATGCTGCAATCCCTCTTTGAAGATTGCCATCAGGGCTGGAAACACATATTTTTGGTATTCTGAGTCCACAAGTGTAATATTTTTACATCGTGTTTGATTTTCGGAAATGGTTAAAAGTCATTCGCCACATACTTCAGTTTATAAAAGAAATGTCCAACTGGCTGGAAAGAGTGGTGGAAGGGCAGAGGGGTGGGAATGGTTAATGGGTACCAAAAATTTAGAAAGACTGAATAAGACCTAGTATTTGATAGCACAACAGGGTGACTATAGTCAATCATAATTGAATCGTACATTAAAAAATAACTAAAAGAGTATAATTGGATTGTTTATAATACAAAGTATAAATGCTTGAGGGGATAGATACCCCATTCTCCATGTTGTGATTATCACACATTGCACACCTGTATCAAAACATCTCATGCATTCCATGAATATGTACACCATGTACCCACAAAAGTTACAATTAAAAATAAAAAAAGAAATGTCCAACAGGCTAAGTTTTAATGATATATATTTTATATGGATATATAATGTTTTTACCCTACATAGACAGAGAAAACTGTAAAGTAATAAGACTAATTGATGTTCTTTTGCAGCTCATAAACACTCCGAAGGCAATTCCCAAAGGTAACTTCTGAAAAAAAAAATGTTAATACTAATAGTGTCACTGGAATATGCATTTAGTCTTTCAAAGAAACTACTTAGAAGGACAACTATAATTCCGTTGAATATCTAGTATGTTTTGGGGAAGTCTCATTAGAGTTACGGTTTGTCTAGAAGATGTTTTTTTAAATGTTGTTTTGAAAGACTTCATAAGCAAATTGTCCCCTTCCTTTACCCACTTCCTTGCACCGCCCCCCAACAGTCAGCCAATCCAATGCACTGTCAAATTCTTTATTTTTATTTTGATAACATCTCCTTTTCATTAGAACCTTCCTCTCTAGTCCCTCTATTTCAATCTTTAATGTTGTTCTTTGTGCTGTTTCATGCCTTTGTTTACATTCTTACACACACACACCCCATTCCTGGAATTTCCCTCCTAGTCGTCTCTGCCTGAAAAAAAACCCTACTAACCCTTTGAGGCCAGCTCAGACTTCACCTGTGTGGCCCTTGCTGGCCTCTTGTACTTAATCACTCTGTTGTTATGCTTGTCACTCTGAACCACTGTGTAGTATAAAAACTCCATCACTGAAGGAGCTGGGTAAGGTGTTGCTGGATGTTGTGAAATGAAGGTTAAACTGATTTCTCAATCACAGGGGAAATTCAGCATCAAAATTAAAGCAAATGATATCAGTTTATTTCTGTCAGAGGTCCAATCTGCTAATAAATAATGCTACATTAACAACAGGAAGGACTGAATTTTATGCTTCCAGTCTCACTCCTTTGAAACCATACTGGGAGGCTTCCTGGATACACTCAATATAGAGAATACACATCTAGTTCTCCTTTGAGTTTAAGAAATATGACTAAATAGATGGGATCAATTAGAAGCCATCAATTAGAGAACAGGAGTATTACTCAAGAAAAGACAAAATTAGTACTTGGTAATAGAAAAGTTGAAGATACATAGGACAGGCGTGGTGGCTCATGCCTGTAATCCCAGCACTTTGAGAGGCCGAGGCGGGGGAACCACCTGAGGTCTGGAGTTTGAGACCAGCCTGGCCAAAATGGTGAAACCCCGTCTCTACTAAAAATACAAAAATTAGCCAGGCATGATGGTGCATGCCTGTAATCCCAGCTACTTGAGAGGCTGAGGCAGGAGAATCGCTTGAACCCGGGAGGTGGAGGTTGTGGTGAGCCAAGATCACACCATTGCACTCCAACCTGGGCAACAGAGCAAGACTCGGTCTCAAAAAAAAAAGAAAAGGTTGAAGATGTTGTGATAACTAGTATATAAAAAAAAATCTCACCTGCCATTTTGATAGTGAAAATTTTGGTCAGCTGTCTGATGCCCACCCAGCTTTCTACTCCAGTGTTCTCATGTTCCTCATTTGTTGCTTCACTTTCTCTGGTACAAAAACAAAAACAAAAATACAGGTGTGACAGCAGAAGCCCAGACAGCAAAAGCAAGAAAAGACAAATGGGATTATATCAAACTAAAAGTTTCTGCAGAGCAAAGGAAACAATCAACAAAATAAAAAAGCAATCTATAGAATGGGAAAAAATATTTTTAAACCATATATCAATAAAAAGTTAATATCCAAAATATTATATGTAAGGAACTAATACCACTCAACAGCAAAAAAAAAAGCAAGTTACCTGATTTTTTAAAAATGGGCAAAGAACCTGAATAGATTTTTTTCAAAGAAGATATATAAGTGACCAACAGGTATATGAAAAGGTGTATGACATCACTAATCATCAGGGAAATGCAAATCAAAACCACAATGAGCTTTCACTTCACATCCGTTAGAATGGCTATTAACAAAAAGTCAAAAGATAACAAGTGTTGATGAAGATATGGAGAAATGAAACCCTTGCACACTGTTGGTGGGAATGTAAGTGGGTACAGCCACTACGAAAAACAGTATGGTAGTTCCTCAAAAAATTAAAAATAGAACTACGGTATGATCCAGCAACCCCACTTCTGGGTATATACCCAAAAGAAATAAAATCAGTATGTGGAAGAGGTTATCTGCACTCCCATATGTATTACACAGTCGTTCACAATAGCCAAGACACGGTATCAACCTGAGTGCCTGTAGACAAATGAATGGATAAAGAAAATATTCATACACACACATGAATATCATTCAGCCAAAAATGAAGGCGGCTAGGCATGGTGGTGCATGCGTGCAGACCCAGCCCCAGCTAGTTGGTAGGCTGAGGCAGGAGGATTGCTTGAGCCCAGGAGTTCAAGACCAGCCTTATCTCAAAAACAAACACAAAACAAAGCAAAAACAGAAAGAAGGGGAAGAAGGGGAAGAAGAAGGGGAAGGAGAAGGAGAAGGAGGAGGAAGAAGGAAGAAGAGGCAGAGGAGGAAATCCCTGTCATTTGCAACAACATGCATGAACCTAGAGGACATAATGCTAAGTGAAATAAGCCAGACACAGAAAGGCAAAGGCAAACACTGCATGATCTCACTTGCAGGTGGAACCGAAACAGAAGAACTCATAGAAACAGAGAGCAAAAGGGTGGTTACCAAAGTTAGGGGTTGGGGAGGAATGGCGAATGTTGGTCAAAGAGTACAAACTTTCAGTTACAAGATGAATAAGTTTTGGAGATCTAATGTATAGCATGGTGACTAGAGTTAATAATGTATACCTGAAATGGGCTATAGGAGTAAATCTAAGTGTTCTCACCACACACAAAAAAGGTGAGGTGATGGATGTGTTAATTAGCTTGATTGAGGTAATCATGTCACAGTGTATAGGTGTATCATATCATCACATTGTATGCCTTAAATACATAAAACTTTTATTTGCCAATTATACTCCAATAATGCAGGACAAAGTATACAGGTCTGACATCCAGAGAAAAATATCAGCAGACTTAAAATATCTGATCATTTTCCCCCGGAGGAGGATTGTACAGTTTTTTTAATTGATGAGTAACAATTTTATGTAGTAAGCCTATTCACTCTCTGTTAACCACATTTATTGCAAACAAGTTTTTCCCAAATGTTTAGACATTTATTCCTACTTATTCTCACACTTCCCTGATAATTCACTGAAATTGCGATCAAGGCTTTATTCTCAGCAGGAAGTACTTGTACTTCTCTAAGTGACAGACAGGCTTAAAGAGTGGGCTCAAGGGTGGACCAAGGGCAACTGCAGATAGGCCAATTAGACAAAAACATTCAGGAAACTGGTAGTTAAAATAAATAAATTAAGCCTGTGGTGATTCAGCAAGCTTATTTCTGGAAATAGTTTTTTTTTAATCTACATACTTTGGTTTTAGAGTATGTGGCATAAATATTGAATGTGGAGCATTTCCAAAATACAATATAACTCAGACTAACTTAAATAATGATTCCTTTTACTGTGCATCAAACCTCACTTTTTTGTGTTATGGATGACTAAAAAACAAGTTTTCTTTCTTTATAAGCATTAGTTTTATTAAAGCAGTTGTAAATGGTTCTATAACCACCCTTGCAATGGGGCTCCTGAGGGACTTCCTTGAAATTAGATTGGAAATTCACTGAGATCAGAGGACATTGGAGCTTTCCAGTTGGAAAACACTTGAAAGTTCAGTCTGGCTGGGCATCCTCTCTTTTGGACCCAATCTCCGGTTCTCATTTCACTTGGAAAGTACCTGCTTAAAAGTTTACTTTCTTGTTGCTCAATTTAGACCATTTATTTTCCTTTCAGCTCACCAGAAAGCAGCATGATGGGTGACCAAGCTAGCGATCATGCAAAGCAGAAGTCATAGAGTAAAAATGGTCAATGCGTTTGAAAAGTGTTTATTTGAGTTTCCCAAAAGTCAGGTTAACATGCAACAGCAAACTACAGGTGGTACCAACCATATCTTTTTGGGAAATTAGTGAGGCCCCAGGATTGAGGGCAAACTGAACAAGTTGGGTGGGAAATCAAGGGCCAGTTGGCAACCTAGTTGCAGGCAGGGACTGAGGACGATGACCTGGTTAGCCTTAGAAAGCTAAGCGTGTGATACAATCAATACAGACCATCACAGGTCAAGTGTAGAGTAAACATGGTTAGCTCTCCCAGGCACACAATCAACTGCCCAGAGCTGTTCAACAATATGTATCTCTCCAATAAAGGCAGACTGCCTCATTCCCTCCAGAAGTGGCTTTTCATTTATTTTATCTCATGCGGTGACAAACTTTAGTCATTCTATGCCTAGCTCTCCTAAGATTCACAAGCTCTCCAAGCTAGATCTCCTAGGTGGGTTTCAGCTCTGCATCTAGCTCCACCCCCATCTGAGTAGCATCTCTACAGAAGCCTACAAGGGTCTGAGGCAGGGCAGCAGCAGCCTGCAGGTTGAAAGAGAGGAAGCCACAGGAGTGGCCACAGAAATGAGGGAAAGTAAAGGAACGTGGCTAACACCAGAGACGAACAGATAGAGACTCTGAGAAGTGGTCTCTGGGGGTCGAGATGGGGACCTGTCCTTTTGCCTTTGTGAAGTTTCTTCATTCTCCATCTAATCCAGAGAATTGTTTTGGAGACACCAAACTCAGACACATTCAGACCAAATAGTTGTGTATTCATTTTCCATGAGAACTCTAGTAAGAATGTTCATGAATGCAGATCACAGGAAGCCAAGTCAGATTCAGAAAGCTGATTTGTGCCCTTGGAAGCCAGCCAGAGTGGTGGTGGGGTACTTAGGCTAGAGTCTCCAAGGCTGACAGCCCCCTACATCATCTCCTCGATAGGGCTACATGCAGTGTGGACATTGACATTCTCTAGCCAGGACCTTGTCCAATGCAGGAGTTGCACTGCCCAGCCGCTGCTCTCTGACTATCCATTCCTAGGCTCCATAATGACAGCTCCCCTTTTGTGGGCACTGCCTGTGTTTAGGCAGAAGGCGGCATTGTAGAGGGCCTCACTGCTGTCCCTGACCATCATCAGCAGAGCAAAACCCATGCAAACTATCAGGGGTACTGGAGCTCATCTGTTGCACACCAATTCTGGTGTTCATCTCCGTGACATCCCAAGCCACAGTCATTATCCCAAAACAACCCAAGTTCCCTCTGATCCTTGGAACTGAGTCCCCTTTCATGTCCTTGGGTCTCCCTTGGATGGAGGGAGTCATAACTCATGGCTAAGAGCTATAGGTGCCCCTCACCTCCTCTCCCTATCTCTGCTTCTCACAGCTACTGCCAAGTTCTTGGCTTGGAAGGGTCATGGGGGCCAAGAAGGACCTTTGTACTCTCCATTACTCGGCCCTGGAGTTCTCACCACCTCTGGAAGCTTTGAATCTGGTCAATGTCTCCTTACTTGCCAAGCCCACCAAGACTCAAGATGGCCACTCCCAGGGACTAAAGCACAGAGCTAACCCTTCAGGTCCACACACTAGGTTCTCCCCCATCTGGTAGAGGTAGACTTTTGCAGACCACACTCATAAATTCTGAATCCTGCTAACCCCAAGGCTAGGGGATGGGACACAAGCCCACGGACCCAAAGAAACAGTGCCCTTTCACTCCCCCAAATCTCTGTGCCGCTCAAGTGAATGCATCTGGTCAGAGGTGAGAAAGTCAATTTACAGACCCAGCATATGACAGCTCTTGGCAGCTTTGACACCACGTGGTAGAGGGTCCAGAGGTCCCTCAGTACAAGCCTGGAAAGAGGAGCTTCAGAGAGATCTCCACTCAGAGAATATGACTTGTGTCCTCTACAGCAACAGAAGACACAGGGCCTCGTATCTGATTCCAAGGATAAGAAACCCAAGGGTCAAGAGGTGGAGGCTGCCAGACTAGTGGCAGGCAAAACAAAAAGAAGCAAGCTCCATTTCCACCAGTCAGAGGACAAAGGCTCTAACAGGTAAGAAAACTGAAGTCTGTGGCTGGAGCCAGCAGTGACGGCAGGAAAACCCTCTGTTTGGCATGCCAAAAATCTATGAGTTTCCATGCATCAAGCAGACACTCTAGGAAGTAATTGTGCTGGAAAAGCCATCTTGATATGATTTCCCAAAAAAGGCCGACTGGCAGAGCAAAAGCACTCCTGCACTTTCAGGGGCTGGAGCTGAGATAGAGGCCAAGAGTTCAGAATAACAAAATATAAAATAGCTAGACAAGCACAACAACATATACATATGAATGACCTTGTAAGTTATAAACTAGAATACTCAGGCCAGCCTCGGTGGCTCATGCCAGTAATTCCAGCACTTTGGGAGGCGGAGACGGGAGGATCACGTGAGGTCACGAGCTCGAGACTAGCCTGGCCAACACGGTGAAACCCCCCTCTCTACTAAAAATATAAAGATTAGTCAGGTGTGGTGGCACGCATCTGTAGTCCCAGTTACTCGGGAGGATGAGGTGGGAGAATAGCTTGAAGCAGGGAGGCAGAGGTTACAGTGAGCTGAGATCATGCCACTGCACTCCAGCCTGGGCAACAGAGTGACAGAGTGAGACCTTGTCTCAAAAAAAAAAAAAAAAATTAATGGAAAAATAATGGTAACTTATTCTTACTTGGTATAAACAAAAACCTATTTTAAAGTTACAGTAGGTGGTATTGGCACAGAAATAGATCAGTAGAACAAAAGAAGAAGTTCAGAAATAGACTTCAGCATATGATTCAGTATATGATTTCAAATCACTAACAGAAAAAAACAGTCAATGAATTTTTTTTTTTTTTTTTGGAAACAGGGTCTTGCTCTGTCACCCAGCTGGAGTACAGGGCATGACCATGGCTCACTGCAGCCTCAACCTCCCCTGTTCAAGGGGTCCTCCCACTTCAGCCTCCCAAGTAGCTAGGACTACATGTGCACACCACCACGCCTGGCTAATTTTTGTATTTTTAGTAAAGACAGGGTTTCACCATGTTGGCCAGGCTGGTCTTGAACACATGGCCTCAAGTGATCCACCCACCTTGGCCTCCCAAAGGTTACAGGCGTGAGCCACTGAGCCTGGCCTCTGTTAATTCTTATTTTTTGTAAAGATTGTGTGTCGCCATGTTGCCCAGGCTAGTCTCGAACTCCTGACCTCAAGTGATCCTCCCACCTCAGCCTCCCACAGTGCTGGGATTACAGGGGTGAACCACCGCTCCTGGTCTCAATGACTATTAATAGGACAACTAGCCAACCATTTAGCAACGATTTTTATTTAAAAAGATACCTTCCCCTGCCTCACTCCCTATCCTAAAATAAATTATAGATGGATTAAAAATTTTTAATGTTTAAAAAAATGCTAGATTATATTTAGTACCTTGAGATTAGAAGGTCCAACATAAGGAAAAAGACTGATAAATTTGACTATACAAATTTAAAATTTTTGTGTGGCAAAATATAATACAAACAAGATTGAAAAATTATGAACTCGAAAAATTGTTTACAAAACATATGACAGGAATTAAAATGACTACAACATAAAGAGCTTTTTCAAATCAAAGACAAATAGGCCAAGTACTGAGAAAAAGACAACTCACAAAGACAGAATTAACAACTGGCCAATCAACAAGCAAAATAATCAGAGAGACACAGACAAAACATTGAAACATCCTTCTTCACATACCAGATTAATCAAGATTAACAATACAACAGCACTCAGTGGCGCTGAGGCTTTCTGCTGGTAAGAGTGTAAATTTTTGTATAAGTTTTTGCATAAAACTCTTCCAGCAATCTGCACTGTAAAATGTACATAGTTTCCATTCCAACAATTTTACTTCCAGGAATGTGGCCTAAGTGATAATTGCATACCTTCATACTGACTTTTATAAGGACAATAAACATCTGAAAATATTCTAAATGCACAACAGAGTATTGGTTAAATGAATTATGGTACAAACTTATAATGCAGTCATGAGTGACATGAAAAATGTGGCCTGGAAATGATGACTGAAAGAATCATGTTACAAAACCACACACAAAATTTGACTCCATTTAGGTAATCCTGAGTTGAGTTTGACTCTATTTTGGTAACCCTGAGTTGAGCCCAAAAAGTATGGATCTAGATGTGCATGCCCCACCCCCCACCCACCACACACACACACATACTCCACCACCACCACCCAAAGGATTCACTCTCTCTGAAACAAGAGCACACACTGCCTTTTAAATTGACTTGCTTCATGGACTCACCCTCCCACAAACTGGGGCACAGAAAAGGCCACATCCTTCCTCCCCAGAAGCAGGCACTGCTTTGTTGGTTCAGTCTAACCAACAAAGGATGTGGTAGGTAAAAGGTTCTTACAACGCTATTTGATTGACTTCTATGAGACCATTGAGTTCCTCTTAGAAGAAAAGAATGGGAAAACAAAAGGTTTAGAAAATCAGAAAATGTGAGATTAGCAATGAAAAGGGAACACTGAATGTTCTTTTTTATTTCCTTTAAAATCAATTTAAATATTAATTTTATTCCAAGCTAAAGTGGAATTTCAAGATAATCACTTCTGCTCTGGTCTTACCTTACGTGCCCCACTGCAATTTCAGGTCTCGAGTCAGAGAACAGACTATTTCCTCTTCCCCTTAATTAACCTCCATCCATTTGCTTGATTGTTTGTGGCTCCTTCTATAAGGGATGGGTGGAGGTGCCTTACAGTGAAAAGACAGGTATACATACACACACACTGTATATATATAGATTGGAAATTCAAAGGCATGACATTCCTGGGAACCAAAAAGCCTGTCCAAAGATTAGCTCCATAGCTAGCTCAAGGGCTTTCAAATGCCAGAAAAGAGAACTAGGGCAGCCAGAAGACTTGGCCCCACAATTCAAGTATTAACACTGAGCAATTCTGTGTTATAATTTGCAGCAGTTAGAGGAAATCCCAAAGTCCACGTTTTTGTTATTTCAGTAAATTTTTTTGGATCTCACTCTGTCACCCAGGCGGGAGTGCAGTGGTGTCACCACGGCTCACTGCAACCTCAGACTCCTGGGCTCAAGCGATCCTCCTGCCTCAGCCTCCTGAGTAGCTGGGACTACAAGTGCACGCCACCATGCCCGGCTAATTTTTAAAACTTTTTTTGCAGACATGGGGTCTCGCTATGTTGCCAGGGCTGGTCTTGAAGACCTCCCAAAGTTTAGTAATCTTATATGAACTGCTTTTACTTTTCTGCATTGTACCCAGAAGGTGATGTTTTACTTAATATTTAGTCAGTTATTTTAACCAGAAACTTTTAATACTAAGCAAGGGGGATTTCTTCCTTTCTATCACAATTATACTACATTCCATGTGGACAACTGTATCTCTGGCAGTTAATTCTAGAGGTGGAAATTAGGGAAGGGGGTAGTATGGAAGCATACAGCATTTACAAAACTGGCAAAAAATAAAATAAGTCAAGGGGAGGCTCAGATTCTTTCTTTGGACAAAGGTGGGCTTTGAGGAAAGATCCTCACTCATCAGAGGCCGAGCCCTACACTAACCACAGTAATTTGTATTGATACCCAATTTAGTTCAGGAGCTATAAAAATGTATGTTTGCGGCCAGGCGTGGTGGTTCATGCCTGTAATACCAGCACTTTGGGAGGCCAAGGCGGGTGGATCACGAGGTCATGAGATCGAGACCATCCTGGCTAACACGGTGAAACCCCATCTCTACTAAAAATACAAAAAATTAGCTGGGCACGGTGGCGGATACCTGTAGTCCCAGCTACTCCAGAGGCTGAGGCAGGAGAATGGCGTGAACCCGGGAGGCGGAGCTTGCAGTGAGTCGAGATAGCGCCACTACACTCCCGCCTGGGAGAAAGAGTGAGACTCCGTCTCAAAAAAAAAAAAAAGTATGTTTGCATTATTGCACATAAAAATTAAAAATTGAGAGCTATTTGTATTCATCTATTGAGAGAAACGGTCTCTGGGGGTTAGGATGGGGACCTGTCCCCATTATAGACCCGTTCTGGTCTATAATTTACCTAAGACGAGAGCAGAAAGGGTTTTAAATGCTGATCCTAAGTTGTCGTCGGAGGGCAGTACCCCAGAGGACAGGGGAATCATTCCTAACACTGGCAGGGGCCAGAGGCTGACAGCTGGCATTGAACACCTGAATGTCAGGATATTACTCGCCTCTCTCTAATTCTTCCCAATAGAGCGGATACACTCTGGACTCCCTGGGGTGGAGCAGCTACATGGGCAGTTTGTACTTGTTCCTCTTGTCTCTTCATCTGCCCATAAGCCCAAGGCACTCAGAGTCTTCCCTCACTGACACCCAGCAAGCCGGTGAACACACCGGCCCACTGCATTGGGAAGCCCTTTCCTTTTGCTAAGGACTGCATTCGTCTATGCTGCATCTTGAGGCTGTGCAGTATCACCTCCCCTCCTCCATGGTTTTTCTTCTCTAGGCCTAGCAGGCAAGGGAGAAGGAGAGATGCCAGAAGCCTCTGTCTTTCCTTCCCCATTCGTTTCTTACTGAGTCTTGGAGTTAAATTGTTAGTTAGTGCCGGGCGTGTGGCTCACACCTGTAATCTCAGCACTTTGGGAGGCAAAGGTGGGCGAATCAACTGAGATCAGGAGTTTGAAACCACCCTGGCCAACATGGTGAAACTCCATCTCTACTAAACATACAAAAATTACCTGGGCGTGGTGGGGGGGCCCTGTGGTCCCAGCTACATGGGAGGCTGAGGCAGGAGAATCACTTGAACCCGGGAGGCAGAGGTTGCAGTGAGCTGAGATCACGCCACTTCCCTCCAGCCTGGGCAACAGAGTGGGAGTCCATCTCAAAAAAAAAAAAAAAAAAAAGAGGAAAGAATGCCAATTCATGATTTAAAAGTAAAATCAAATAGACTCCAGCTGTCAACTTAGCATATTCACAGTAGGTCCAGCACCGCTTATATCTAATGTTTCATAGTTCATAATGGAGTAACATTCATAGTTACTGAAGTTTAGATAAAAGAAGTGTCACCCTCTATGGCAACCCCTCCCCTGAAACACACATGGACTCTAGTCTAGCCATGGGCTCAATACTGTTTTAAGCATTGCTACTACACTACCACCAAATCTCAGTTTCTAACAGGGGGCAAAGAGCATTTTTAGAAGACGCTTAGTAACAGAAAAATTAACCAAGGGAAGAACAATCTTAATTACGGGATATTTTTACTGGAATGTAGACATTACTTTTGAATATATAGGACAATAGAAATTGCATCAAAGCAATGCTGCCTAACAGACACAGCAGGAAACTTATTGGCATGGCCAGGCTAGTATATTTTCTCATTAGTATATCAACTAATTATAGGAAAAGTACTGTTTCTAAAGTGCTTGAAACATTTGCCTACGTCACTGTTCTCTTTTTCAATGACCTCCTTCATAAAGTCAAACTCTAGCCCAAACTTAAGCCCATCTCACTGCATATTGTAAAGAATGGATTCTGAATGAATTAACAGAAATGCTTTTATATAGGAGGTTGCAGAGATTCTCTTGCAGTCAATGTCTAGAGGAGCTGACCCTCAGGCATCACTCAGAGGAAGTCCCAGCCAAGATTCACAGATCTGTATGTAGCCTTCGGTCAATATCACAGTGTACATCAGGAGTCTCAAGTTCATTGCACAGAACTGGTCCTGTAGCAGGGAAGACTCAGAATTCCTGAGTTTTCTCCTTATGGTGACTCCTCAGGGATAGCCACCATCTTAAATCCAGGAATGGGGCCCAGCTGGGAATGGAGAAAGTTGCAGGCCCACATGCTCCCTGGACGGAAGTCACACGGAGCCTCTGTGCGGGCACCTGAGAAGCTGCCAGAACACCTGCCCAGCAGCAGTGCATCCTCCCCACTCAGTGTCCATCTGCCATCTAGACATGGAGGAGGAAAAGAAAAGAGACAAATATGAACACACTTTGGTTTTCCCACTGTGCATCTCTATGCACAGCTCACACGCACACCCATGGGAGGAGGCGAGGGGGAGCAGCATGGAAGCTCAGCCACCCCTCTGTGTGTGGCCAGGGCAGCCATCACTGGTCCTGCTCTTTTCCTGGGAAGGCATCCCCCATGCTACCTGGAGGTACAGGGTTAGTCATGCCTTTCACCGCTGAGTGTGCTCTGCTGAGCCAAGGACAACCTCCACCCACACTCCCTTTGACTCCCCTCATCCCCAGCTGTTCTTCGTGACTCTGACCCATCCTCCCCTCCATTCCAGTCATTTCTCAAAAATGACACCCTCACATACCACACCGCTGAGAAGGAGAGGAATGTGAGAATGATCACAACAGCCAGGGAACCCAGTCCAACACCCGCCATCTGCAGCAGCATGAGTGACGAATCTGTGGGACAAAACCACAGGCTTAGCCCAGAGTGCACGGCATCACCACCTCCCAGGAGGCACACACCCCACTGTGCTCAATCCATTTTAACCCAGAGCTTGGCCCCATTTAACAAAGAATCCCAAGAATGCCCAACATGCCTGTGTGTCCCCTGAGTTGGCCCTGTGGATATGCAGCCTCAGGAAATTACAGTTACAAGGTATTTCTGAAAAGGAAGTGTAAAGCCAGACCATGTTAAAGTTACAAGGGAGAAAACAGCTAATCTTGTTGAGCACACAAATACTATGCAACGTGTTACATTTTTTGTTGGTCCTCTCACAATCAATTACATTTGATAGATTTTTATGGGCCGTTTTCTTTTGCATGGAGGGACAAGTCATTATGATATTATTTGAATTTGGTTTCCAAAACTGATAGCCCTGATGGTCAGATAGAGCAAAGGAATATCCTTTGTTGAGTCACCTGTCATTTTCTCCATACCTCAACAAGGGTCATACTTCCCTGCTCAGGTCAGCAGGTTTACTGAGAGGATAAAAGTACTTTGAAAGACATACTTTCTATTTGGGGACCATCACATGCCAACTCCAGGGAGATCCCCGATTATAAACTAAAAAACACTCACAGTTGAGTTGCACATGTGGGCCAAGTGACTGACTTAGAGAATCATGTTCTAGATTAGAGCAAAAATTTCATTTTAATTTGCAAACACTTACTTAGCACTTACTATGTGCCAGACACTGTTCCAAGCACCTCACAAATATTCACTCATTTAGGCTTCTAACCAGCCTTCACATTGGGTACTATTATTATTCCCTTAAGGAACCAAGGTGGGAGTGGCTAAGTACAACTCAGGTCTTTACAGCCAGGTTAAGAGGAGTGCATTTCTATTGGAAACTCAGTACAGTACCTGGCACTAGTAAAACCAGCCATAGAATACACCTTGTGTTAAACAGCCCTGCAGAACTTGAAACCGCCTTTTTAAAAATTATAACCGAGAAAATTATAACCGTGAAAAAGATCTGACCTGACTGACTCCATCTTGCTTCTAACCTCCAAGTTGCCCCTGTTCATTCCTGGGCGTAGGCTGAACTAACTTTGGGAGGAACTCAGTTTATAGTTTAACTTTGAAACAAAGACGATAATAGCCCTTTCCCCAAACAAATCCCCATCCTGTCTGGGGACTAGACTGCCTTTGCAAGACTAACAAATTAGCCATGAGATTAGAAATTATGGTTTAGGGGTCCTACAGCTGGAAGCTGCAAGATTCTGAACTGCTCAAATTGCTCCTAGGGCTAACATCACTATTGTAAAACCTAAGATCAGTGCTTGAGATATTTTCCAGACCCTGCACTCCATGGATCGGCTGGCATCACCCAGATCCATAAACTGGTTCATCTGATCTTGTGGCCCCCAACCAGAAATTGACTCAGTGCAAGAGGACAGCTTCGACTCTGTGATTTCATCTCCAACCCAACCAATCAGCACTTCTGACTCACTGACCCCCCCATCCCCTACCCCCTACCCACTAAGTAATCCTTAAAAACCCCATCCCTGAATTTTCAGGGAGACTGATTTGAGTAATAATAAAACTCCAGTCTCCCATACAGTTGGCTCTGTGTGAATTAAGCTCTTTATTGCAATTCCTCTGTCTTGATAAATCAGCTCTGTCTAGGCAGCAGGCAAGGAAAACTCATTGGGCGGTTACTAATTCTCAAAAAATGCTGCCAAGAGCCTTTCTAGAAAACATGGCTTATATTATTTGGTTGCTTTTAGTCTATAGAAGAAAAATGGCCTTGACACTTTAAGAAGCTAGATTACTTATTTTGTTTTATTTTATTTTTATTTATTATTATTTTTTGAGACAGAGTCTTGCTCTGTCACCCAGGCTGGAGTGCAGTGGCATGATCTCGGCTCACTGCAACCTCCACCTCCCGGATTCAAGCGATTCTCCTGCCCCAGTCTCCCTAGTAGCTGGGACTACAGGTGTACTCCACCACGCCCGGCTAGTTTTTGTATTTTAGTAGAGACAGGGCTTCACCATGTTGGCCAGGCTGGTCTCGAACTCTTGACCTCAGGCGATCTGCCCATCTTGGCCTCCCAAAGTGCTAGAATTATAGGCATGAGCCACCATGCCCAGCCAAGAAACTAGATTATAAAATGGAAGGAGAAACAGTGATTAAGTGAAGAATTAGTAAAGAAAAAATATTAGGAGAGTGACTTGAATTGCAAGACAGTAAAACAGTGCAGTATTAGAATAGGAATGAATACATTGGAACAAAATAGCCTAGAAACAAATCCAAGCATATCAAATACTTTCAAAGTTTGAATACTGGAGTCAGATGTCCAAGTCTTTATCTGAACACCACCACTGCCTGTGTGACTTTGTGCAAGTTATTCATCCATTCTGTGTCTCAGTCCCCACACTGAGGGATGCTGTAATAACATGGGAATGATAGCAATACTACCCACCTCTAGGTAGTGGGAGAAGTCAGTGAGTTAGTACAGGTTGAAACAGTGCCTGGCACAGAATAAGCAATAAGCAAATGTTAGCTATTGTTAATTATTATTGTTTTTGTTGTTTTGATACTGTTTCAGATCATTGGGGAAATGATAAATTTTTCATAACCAGTGCTGAGAAAATTGGCTAACCATTTAGAATCAAATAATTTTGATCACTAGAGCTTACACCATATATCAAAATAAAATCCAGATGGATTACAGACTTAAATTGAAACCTAAAAGGATTAGGAAATGTTAGTGAATATTTACCTAATATTAAAGGGGGTAAGAAATTTCTAAGCATATTCGTTAACACAGAAACCTTAAGAGAATGAGAGATTTAACCACTTTAAAAAGCATGCACTTCTTATACCAAAAACTACCATAAGCAAGATTAAAAGGCAAATGGCAAGCTGGATAAAATATCTAGAATAATGGGCAAGAAGTTAACATACAGAGAGTGTTACAGATTAATAAAGACATACCTCAATAGCGAAATGAGAAAATTCTACGAAAAGGTAAATCACATGAAAAACATGATTACAGATGATCAATAAAACTTTGAGCAAATGCTCTCTTACAAGTAATAAAAATGCAAATTAAGGCATTAAGATGCCATCTTTGTGCATGACTCAGAAACATTTTTTTAAATGCCATCTTGGTGGACTAATTAACTAGATTTGTTTTGTTTTGTTTTGTTTTTAAGAGAAAATACAATTCTGGAGATGAACGGGGGAGCTGGTACTTTACTGCACTGGCATTTCATCCGATCTACCCAGTATTCCTTCCAACTTCTGACATCAAGTTTTTTTCTGTGTATTTTTTCCTCTACACTTTAACCCTCTGTATATTTTAATCACTGATTGATGAATATGTTGAACTGAAGATGACTGTGGACAGAAATCCATATCATGCATATTCTTGGGTTTGATTTCAACTCATCAATAATTGTTAATGAGTTGATATCAACTGTGCATAGCCATTCAGCTTGTTTCTAAGCCCACATACAGCTCTCATGTCCCCACATTGTCCACAAGGACATTATTGTTATTATGCGTGCCATATTTCCCTGACCAATTACTGACTCTGTGCAAGAAGAAATGGAAAGCAATCTGACCTAATCTGCTCTTAAAGCTCCTGACTCCCGGGAACTGCTGTTTTTTCTACCAGGGATACACAAGCCATCACTTGAAGACCTTGCTTTGCCTTGACTTCAAGTTACCATCATCTACACTTCTGGTGGTTCTTCCTTTGTACAAAGTTCCTTGTTCTTTGCTCATCTCTAGTCCTCTTACATCTCTCCATTTTCTTCAAGGTTTATTGAAGATCATTTGCAATGGTTTATCCATCTCATGTGAAAATTGTATGAACCTGCCAGAATACGCTACATCCATGTTGGAAGACTTGAACCTATGTAGGGTAGCAAGCTCTTTTCTTTCTTCTAACTATCCCCTCACAAACGAAGAGGACAAAAGCTAAGTAGGAGTTAAGGAAGCTGACTTTCACTTGACCATCCACCAGCAGGATCTACCTGGGCACAACTATTCCTTACTCTAGACATAGTATTGGAAAATGATCTTTATTTATTCTGCATAGCACAATTTGGGTTTGGCTCCAGGAATGATTCTTGCTGGTAGATCAGTTCCTGGTTATATGTCTTTTTGTCTACTTTGCATATATACTCTAAAAATCTGAGTCAATCTAATCAAGAGTGCTCACAAGTGTTGCCACACAAGCTTCTTTAGAGACTTTCCTCATTAATTCCTTAATAAGAAAATTTACAACTGGCAAATTTGAATTGTATTTTTTATAGCCTCACCATCCTTTGGTTACCCTACCTTTCCATGGTCTCATGCCAGAGAACCATGTTTATTTTTCTTCTGAATCACTTGTAGAATATTTTTTTACAAACCCAAGTGAATCACTCATGTGTTATATCCCACATCAGTTACTCAATCTTGGAGAAAGTAAGTCCATTAAGACTAAACTTCACCATTCTCTTTATGGTGGCTCCCTCAAGAGAGCTAGTGCTCAGGAGGAGTGATGGGGCCTTGCTGGACTTATCTTTAACCCCTTCCCTGATAGAAATATCACATGCTGAAGAGGAAGTTAGAAAGGCCCTATTTCTACTCTCAGACTTTGTGACAGCTTGAGGACGCTCCATGGGTGTGGACATTTTTTCATGAATATACACGGGCATGGTCACTTCCTGAAAGCACCAATTCTGTTCTCCAAATGGTAAATAATAATAAAAATAATAATTAGCACAGTGACTTCTATTTACTGTGTTAAATTTCTCTTTGCTATTCTAGGGTCTTCTCACTTGAATTCCATTCAGAGCCAAAGATGGCAAAGGAAATCAAAGTGGAAAACTAATTTAAAGATAAGTTTAAAGATTAATTTAAAGATTAATGCTTGATACATTAGCAACACTGTTATATTCCATTTTTATTGCAGTTTAACAAATCACCACAAACTTAGGTAGCTTTAACCCATTTATGAGCTCAGAATTCTGTGGGTGGTAAGTTCAGGCACATTGTGGCTGGTTCTCTGCTCAGGGCCTGTATTAGTCCCTTCTCACACTGCTATAAAGAACTACCTGAGACTGGGTAATTTAAAAGAAAAGAGGTTTAATTGACTCACAGTTCCACAGGGTGTACAGGAGGCAAGGCTAGGGAGGCCCCAAGAAATGTACCATCAAGGCAGAAGGTGAAGGGGAAGCAGGCACAGTCTTCACATGGCCAGAGCAGGAGAGAGAGAGAGTAAAGGAGGAAGTGCTACACACGTTCAAACAACCAAATCTCATGAGAACTCTATCACGAGAACAGCAAGGGGGTAATTCATTCCCATGATTCAGTCATCTCCCACCAGGCCCCTCCTTCAATACATGGGGATTACAATTCGACATGAGATTTGGGTGGGTACATAGAAGAAAACCGTATTAGGGCCTTACGAGGCTAGAATCAAGGTCTCAGGTGGACTGAACTTCTTTCTGGAGGCTCTGGAGAAGAAGCTGCTTCCAAGCTCATTCAGGTTATTGGCTACATTCAGTTCCTTGCTGCTATGGTTTGAGTTTATATCCTCTGAAACTCACTTGAAATTTAATCCTCAATGTGGTGGTGTCAGGAGTTGGGACCTAGTGGGAACTATTTGGGTCATGGGGTTGGAGCCCTCATGAACAGATTAATGCCCTCTCTCAGAGGTGAGTGAGTTCTTGCTCTGGAGGGGCTGTATTACCAGGGAGCTAGTTGTTATAAAAATGAGTCAACTTCCTAGACTCTTTCTTGCTTCCTGTGTCATCACATGATCTCTTTGTATATACCTGCTGGCTTTTCCACTTCTCTACCATTGTTCTGGTGAGCATGTAGCCCTCACCAGAAGCAGGCCAGATGCAGTACTATGCTCTTGAACTTCCCAGCCTACAGACTCATGAGCTAAATAAACCTCTTTTCTTAATAAGTTACCCAGCCTCCAGTATTCTGTTATAGCAACACAAAACAGACTAAGACACTTGCAGTTATAGGACTAGGGTCCCCATTTTCTTACTGGCTGCAGCCAGGCCTTGCTCAGCTCCTTCTGTTAAGCTGCACTCCTTGCCATGTGGACCCCTCCATCTTCAAGCTGCAGGAGAATTTCCCTATGTCAAATCCATCTCATTCTTTGAAGCTCCAACTTCCCCTATCTCTGACCTCTAGATCCAGATTTAAAGGGCTCCTGTGATTAGGTCAAGCCTATCTGGATAATCTCCCTATTCGGGAGCTTAAGTACATCTCCAAAATCCCTTCACAGCAATACCTAGAACAGTCTTTGAATGAATAACTGAGAGAAGGTAGATGTATACCAAAGACAAGGAATTTGGGAACCATATTAGAATTCTTCCCATCACAACTATAAAGGTTTAAAATGATTGTGTGCATGTATATATGTACATATATACACATATATGTACATATACAGTAAATACATATGTATACATACACACTAGGTTTATATCCTGATGTAAGTCTTCTCTGGCTTATTTGATAAGTATTGCACCTCCTATGCTTCAT
Organism: Homo sapiens; assembly: GCF_000001405.40. NCBI lineage: Eukaryota > Metazoa > Chordata > Mammalia > Primates > Hominidae > Homo > Homo sapiens. Next base: position 112,048,509 of record NC_000009.12, read on the forward strand.
TTCCCATAAAACTAACTGCTGCTTCCTCAGTAATCATTCAGCCCAATTCAGTGCATTCTGATTGAACACCTAATGCATGCCAGGCTCTGTTCCTCCTCTTCAAATGCCCTTCAAGGGTGTAAAATCTAGTAGTAGAAGACAGACAAAACAAGTGCACACCCATTGCTCTAAAATATAGCAGAATAGCCAAAGAAGGGCAGATCCTGCCCTGTTGAGAAAATTTAAAAAGCTTCAGGGAAGAAAGGGCATTTGATTTTAATCTTGAAAAACAGGTGGGATAAGCAGAGATTCACAGGTGGGTGATCAGGAAATCCAGATGGAAGTCGTCAAGTAATTATATGAGCAAGGACATTAAGAGGAGAAAGCATGGGCCATAGCCAGAAAACAGCTGGAACATTGGTTTGAATGGAGAAGAATAAAAGATGTAATTAGAAGGGTATGTTTGTGTCAAATAGAGGACTTGGAAGCCAAACTGAAAAATAATGGAGGACCACAGAAGCAGAGGAAACAAAATCAGTTCTGAGTTTAGAAACAAGTCAGGTGGTGGTGTGTAGGCTGGAATGACGAGGGAAATTCTGAACTCTTGTGATGGGAGATGAGGAAGGAGGATTTGCCCGTCATCCCTGCTACAGGTAGGAAGGCCTATGCTCAGGGAGTGAACACAGAAATGAAAATCAGAGAGGCGTGCCCAAGGTGCTAAATGTGGGCTGAAAGAGAAAAAGGAGTAGTCCCGAATAACTCAGAGGTTTCATGCTTACGACTGGAGAATGTTCCCCGATTACAGCTTATTATCATCTCACATATATCAAATGACCTTGCTTTGTGACTCAAGAAATCACAGACTCATAATACTCTGTGGCTGGAAAGCATCTCAGAGATCCCAGAGAGAGGGCGACTGAGAACTGGCCAAGTTAAATACTATTTCAAAGACACTTGGCTGATTAGTAGCAGAAGACTCAGGCAAGTAAGCCCAGGCCTCTGCATCTTCCATCAAACCGACTGCTGGTTTCCTGATCATCTTTACAAAGCTCTTCTAGGGGCAATATGCAAAAGGTAAATAGCATAATTTGTCACTGGGCAAAGGCCAGAATGGGGCTGAGCCTTGGCACGAGTGAACTGGCACGATTTCAGGACTAATTTAGATCTCGGTTCTCTGCAAATTACTTTCTGAAATGGCAGTCTCCAAACTTTTTTGAAAAAGTAGACTGCCCAAGATGGGTGCACAACACAGGTAAATGTTATACATAAAAAAGTATTGCTAGAATTGCCTTCAGAATTTCCACAGAACAGTGTTTTTCCTATTATCTTCCAGAGATTTCCAGTGGTTTAATTTCAAAGGCTCAAACTCTCCTTCAATATTGGTTCTCAAGCTGAGGGGAAACCAGAGCACTGCCAAAGCCACTTAGATATTTTCAAAGCAAAATCCTCCCTGTTAATTTAATCATAGCAGAATGACTGCAGCCAGCTCTTTGGCGATTTCTTCTACCCAGTTTGAATGTCTTCCAATCATAGCAAACAGCTGCTGAGTAGAGTGGATTCTGGAAGCTATTATTTTTGTGTCTGGAAGCTTTGTCATCTTAATTATTCTGATAAAAGCATCTCTTTTCCTCGTGAGAACGCCATGCCCAATCCTAGAGCTTCAGGGGATGGACTGGCAAAAAAAAATTTATGAATGTTGGAATGTGTGGCCTTTATTAAAGTCCTACAAGTAAAGGGACTTGGCCCATCTGCACACAGAAACAGGACAGCACCCATCTTTGTCAAGAGGGGCCCTCACTGCCTGGTCATCAGCAATCCAAGATGGCTGACAGTCAGGTAACCCGCCTTGCACCCTGCTGAAAAGCCAAGTCCTCTACCCTTGTTGCAGTTGGTTTGAGCAGAGGTAAAAAGATGAAAATAAGATCAGGAGAGAAGCAGACAAATGGAGGAAGCCTAATTCCCCAGGCCCCTCCCAGATATTTCCTGCACAGTATTCTCTACTGACAGGATAAAAAATTCCCCATTAAAAAGTGCTATCCAGTGGAATCCTTAGGGAAGCAAGTTTATGCTGGCACTTCCTCACCATGCCAGTTGATTGTTTTATGCTGCTCTGAGGCGGGGAGAGGAGGTAAAGGGTTAAACTGATACTGTGGGCTAAGGGCAGAACTTGACAGCCTGTTGCTAGGACCCACAAACCACACGGAAAAGGTCCAGATTCCAAGGTCATAAACTCAACAAGATTTCTGGTATTAGCTACAAACTAATGGAATTCCTGGGAATCAAATCCACTGGCTGGCTGCCTGTTGGTTTTAAAGAAATGTACTGTACTGCCAGGGAAATCCCGAGCCTGGAAAACAAAGACCTGTGATTGCTCAAACCCTAAGGCAATTTCCCCGCCTGGATAACTCTTCCAAGGCAAAGGTTTAAGCTATACAGCGCTCAGCAGAAATGTTCCCACTGCATCTCTAAGGAAAGGCTTTGGAGGAAATGGACAAGGGGTCCCATCAGGCAGACCCAAACTGACCACCCAAGTGACCCATTCTGCTGCCAGGGCAGGGGATGCTTGCTTGTCCTGCCCAGCAAGAGGTGATCACTGCTACAGGGCCCCCTGACCACTGTACATTGCTTTATCTTTTCCTCCTTTCTAAATGAGCGTATTTATTGTGCTATTCAGTTTTCCCTCTCATATTATGTATTATGGTTTGAGATTGGTTAAATTTGCCATTTAGTCATAGATTACTTAAATAGAGCACAAGAAACACATCTGGACTTGACCAAGAGGAAGATGCTATCCCCAGGATTCCTGGTCTTGGAGCTGGATGCAGTAACGGACCCAGCTTTCAGTTGTCTTCCACTAGGGTTCCATGTGGGATCATGCATAGGATAGTTCCATTTTGTTAAGGGAAGAAGTTTTTCTTTTCTTTTTTTTTTTTTTTTTTTTTTTTTGTTGTTGTTGTTGTTGAGATGGAGTTTTGCCTTTGTTGCCCAGGCTGGAGTACAATGGCGCGATCTCGGCTCACCGCAACCTTTGCCTCCCGGGTTCAAGTGATTCTCCTGCCTCAGCCTCCCGAGTAGCTGAGATTACAGGCATGTGCCACCATGCCTGGCTAATTTTGTATTTTTAGTAGAGACAGGGTTTCTCCATGTTGGTCAGGCTGGTCTCGAACTCCCAACCTCAGGTGATTCACCTGCCTCGGCCTCCCAAAGTGCTGGGATTACAGTTTTTCTTAATATTATATGTGTATGTGCACAAGCTACACAGCCGAATGGTAGTGGACTGTTGTAGCTCTTGTATTGGCTTTTCGGCATCTTTTCCTGTGCCCCATTTCTTGATAGGGATTTTGTCTCCCTTTCATTGCAAACCTAGTGGACCTATTGTTCACACTGCTCTGCCTCCAACCAGCCATGAGGAGACATAAAACCCAAGGGAGGCCAATCATCCTAGCCCATCTCCTAGTAACAGTGATTCATCCAATGGGCAGTCACTTAACCTAGCAGGAAAGAATCTTTCCCCGAATTGAAAAGCTATGTTTTCCCAGTGAAATCGGTAAGCTGCGGGAGCTTGCCATCACTCCCTCTCACATGTCCTACAGTAGAAGAAAACGAAGCCAAGTGACTCTTAGAAACAGAGAACTGAAACAAGAGAAAAATAGAAAGTCCCACTCACGGTGTTGAGTCCCCAGTCCCAGTTCCTGGAGCCTTCTTGGTGGGGTAGCTCTTTGTATAATTCCATAAGCTCCCATCCACTCACCCTCCTCCCATTTTTTTTCAGCTATGAAGCTCTTTGCTTAAAGTAGTATGAATTGGGTTCTGGTCACCAGTGACAATTATATAAACAGATCTCATCAATATGAACTTGATGCTGCAGAAAAGAAATAAGGACAGCATTCATAGGCAGAAAATAATTTTACCTTTCACCTGAGCCCAAACTGCACAGGAGTGTCTTCTCACCTATAAAGGAAAACATAGCAATGCATTTAGCTAGGTGGCACACAGTGTCAGTTTAAATATAGTTTGGAGGCTGAAGCCCTCTGAGTTTCAGCTTTTTCAATCTCTTAATCTGAACTAGACCTTTAAAGTCCAATCTAGCTCTAATATCTTGTGATATCACTAAGTGTTCAAGGGACCGGCGTGGGTTGCATGGACAGAAGTGACCCTACAGATCACTTCTATAGGTTTCCAACAGGTCTTGGAAAGCATATATGATAGGCCAACAACAGGAGTGACAAAAAGGACCATTCCCCTGACCAGCTCTGAGCAACTGGCATGGACCGCCTAGAGAATTATGCTGAAAAGGATTCTGAGGTCACACGTTCAGAAGGTTCAGCAAGAAGTAGTGATGCATGTTAGAGGCAAAGCTATGAGAAGTCCCAGTATATAATACTTCATCTATCTAGATGTCACTTAGCAACGTCAGTTACCCAAAATGTGTCCATGAACCGGGAAGAAAGCAACAGGAACATATATGAAAGCTCATCCATAGTAGAAGAAATCTATAGATTCAGTGGAATGAATATCTCTTCCCCCCTGTCATTATGATATGCTTATTTACCTGTTACAAATGCTGGGGACTTGCTCTATATAAGACTTGAAAATATTCCCCAGAGGAAGCTGCACGGTGAGGGTTAGAGGAGGATCCTTCCAATGTCATTAGGAGAGTCTCTTTCAAATGACAGCCTTGGGCATTCTGGTTTGGATTTTATTAATTTTTTTTTTAATTTAAGCTTAAAAATTCTGAGAAAAGCTGCTGGGCACAGTGGCTCACACCTGTAATCCCAGCACTTTGGGAGGCTGAGATGAGCAGATCACCTGAGGTCAGGGGTTCGAGACCAGCCTGGCCAACATGGTGAAACCCCATCCCTACTGAAAATATAAAAATTAGCTAGGTGTGGTGGTGGGCGCCTGTACTCCCAGCTACTTGGAAGGCTGAGGCAGGAGAATCACTTGAACCCAGGAGGCGGAGGTGCAGTGAGCCAAGACCACACCATTGCACTCCAGCCTGGGCAACAGAATGAGACTTCGTCTCAAAAAAAAAAAAAAAAAAAAAAAAATCTGAGAAAAGCTTAAAATAGCCATAAGCGTTTGAATGTGACTAACATTTGCTTTGATGCTAAGTGCAGATATTAGAAATGGAAGGTAATGTGCAAGAATAACCAGTAAAGAACATATTTCAAGACACTGGAGAATGGAAGGGACTTCAAATAGCAAGGCCATTTGGGGGAATGGAGTATATCAAAGGAGAGAAACTGGCAGGGGCCAGGTGAAGAAGGGAGCTTATTAAACTGAAATGCCTGGATCATACTTGCATTTTATAAAACTCATGCTGGCAGTGGTATGAAGCAAGGAGACGGGTAGAATAAGAGACAGAAAGATGTGGTAGAAAAGTGATGTTCAGGCAAGAGATGACAAAGTCTGAGCAGTGCAGACAAAGGAGAGGAAAGAATGATTTTAAACAGAATTAAGTTGGTAGAATTGACATGATTTGCTGATGATCTGGATAAGAAGGTAAGAAAGAAGGAAGAGACAAGAACTATTTACAGGTTTCTGTCTTAGCAATGGGAGGCATGGCAATGCTATTTACTGGGACAGATACACAAAGGGAAAAACAAAATGGGGCATTGGAAGACTCACACTCCCTGATTTCAAAATTTACTACAAAACTACAGTAAACAAAACAGTGTGGTAGTGACATAAAGACAGACATATAGGCCAATGGAACAGCATAGAGAACCTAGAAATAAACCCTTGCATATATGTCAAATAATAGTTAACAAGAGTGCCAAGACCATTCAATAGGGAAAAGACAGTTTTTTCAGGCTGGGCACACTGGCTCACACCTGTAATCCCAGTACTTTGGGAGGCTGAGATAGGAGAAGCGCTTAAGCCCAGGAGTTTGAGACCAGCCTGGGCAACACAGGGAGACCCCATCTCTACAAATAATTTTTAAATATTAGCCAGGCATGGTGGTGCACAGCTGTAGTCCCAGCTACTTGAGAGGCTGAGGCAGGAGGATCACCTGAGCCCAGGAGGTCGAGGCTGCAGTGAGCCATGATTGCACCACTGCACTCCAGCCTGGGTGACAAACTGAAACACTGTCTCAAAAAAAAAAAAAGTTTTTTCAACAAATGGTACTAGGAAAACTGGATATCTACATATAAAAGAATGAATATGGACCCTTACCTAATATCATATAAAAAATTAACTCAAAATGGATCAAAAACCTAAATATAAGACCTCAAATTATAAAACTCTTAGAAGACAACAAAAAGCTTCCTGAAACCGGATTTCTCAATGACTTCTTGGATATGACAAGACACAGGCAACAAAAGAAAAAATAGACAGACTGATCATCATCAAAATTTCAAGCTTTTATGCATCTAAGGACACTATGTATAGTAAAAGTGCAACCCACAGAATGGGCGAAAATATTTGCAAATCACGTATTTCACAAGGGATTACAGTAATATCCAGAATGTATGGAGAACTCTTAAAATTTAACAAAAACAAAAACAACCCAATTCAAAAATGAGCAAAGGACTTAAATAGACATTTCTCTAAAGAAGACACACAAATGGCCGATTAGCCCATGAAAACATGGTCAGCATCACTTGTCATTAGGGAAATGCAAACCAAAACCACAATAAGATGCCATCTCATGCTGGGAGTGGTGGCTCATGCCTATAATCCCAGCACTTTGGGAAGCCAAGGCAGGTGGATCGCTTGAGCCCAAGAGTTCAAGACCATCCTGGGAAACATGGCAAAATCCTGTCTCTATGAAAAATGGAAAAATTAGTCGGGTGTGATGGCATGCACCTGTAGTCCCAGCTACTCAGGTGGCTGAGGTGAGAGGATCATCTGACCCCAGGGAGGTCAAGGCTGCAGTGACCTGTGATTGGGCCACTGCACTTCAGCCTGGTAAACAAAGTGAGACCCCATCCCCCACTTCCAAAACAAAAGATGTCACCTCACACCCTACCTTATAATAGGATGCCTATTATAAGAAAAGAAAACAGAAAACAGTAAGTGTTAGCAGGGACATGGACAAATTGGAAGCCCTACGCACTGCTGGTGGGAATGGAAAATGGTATAGCACTATGGAAAACAGTATGGTAGTTCCTCAAAAAATTAAACATAGAATTATCATTTGATCAAGCAATTCCACTTCAGGTATATACACAAAAGAACTGAAAGCAGGGGCTGAAACAGATATTTGCATACCAATGTTCACAGCAGCATTATTCGTAATAGCCAAAAGGTGGAAAATATCCCATTATTCATCCATGAATAAATGAATAAGCAAACGTGGTATACTCATATAATGGAATATTATTCAGTCTTAAAAAGGAAGGAAATTCTGACACATGCCACAACATGGGTGAACCTAGAAGACTTTAGGCTAAATGAAATAAGCCAGTCACAAAAAGAAAATACTGAATGATCCTACTTATATGAGGTACCTAGAGTAGTCAAATTCATAAAGATGGAAAGTAGGGCTGGGCGTGATGGCTCATGCCTGTAATCCCAACACTTTGGGAGGTCAAGGTGGGAGGATCACTTGAGCCTGGGAGTTTGGAACCAGCCTGGGCAACATGGAGAGACTCTATCTCTACAAGAAATAAAAATTAAAAATTAGCCAGTCATGATGGTGCACACCTGTGGTCCAAGTTAACTCAGGCAGCTGAAGCACCAGTATTGTTTGAGCCCCGGGGGTTGAGGCTGCAGTGAGCTATGATCGTGCCACTGCACTCCAGCCTGGGCAACAGAGCAAGACTCTGCCTCAAAAAAAAAAAAGACAGAAAGTAGAATGTTGGTTGCCAAGGGCTGTGGAAGGAAGGAATGGGGAGTCATTTAATGGGTATAAAGTTTGTTCTGCAAGATAAAAAGAGTTTTGGACGCTGGTTGCACAACAATGTGAATGAACTTAATGCCACTGAACTACACTTTAAAATGGTTAAGACAGTAAATTTTATATTGTATATGTTTTATCACAATTAAAAATTAAAATTAAATCACTACTGATTTTATTGTAATTGTCACACAAATACAGTTGAAACCCATGGGAAAGTCATCGCAATTTAAATATGTAGATCCAAATATAAATGTTTTCAAAGCCCTTTCATCTCCTTTAACATCCTAAAGAATAACCACATATTCTTCTGTTCAGCTACATGAAAGAGAGTATCAATGACATCACAGGAAAGTTTCCTATGAACCAGAATTCTTTGTGTGTGTGTGTGTGTGTGTGTGTGAGACAGGGTCTCACTCTGTTGCCCAGGCTGGAGTGCAGTGGCATGATCTCAGCTCAGTGCAACATCTGCCTCCCAGGCTCAAGAAATCTCCTGCCTCAGCCTCCCAAGTAGCTAGGACTATGGGTACATACCACCATGCCTGGCTAATAAACCGGAATTCTTGTCCTAACCTCCAACTTCATTCCCTCTGTTATGAATTAAATGTCTATGCCCCTTGCTCACCACCCAACCCCTGCCCCAAATTCAAATGTCGAAGCCCTAACCTACAATGTGATGGTATTTGGAGGCAGGATCTTTGGGAGAGAAATAGATTCAGAAGAGATTATAAGCCTGGAGCCCTCACGATGGGATAAGTGTCCTAATAAATAGAGGAAGAGCAATCAGAGCTCTCCCCTCCCCACTCCATCCCCACCACGTGAGGACACTGTAAGAAGGCAGCTGTCCACAAGCCAGGAAGAGAGTCCTCACTGGGGAACTGAATCAGCTGGCACCTTGATCTTGGGCTTCCCAGCACAGACTGTGAGAAATAAATGTCTGTTGCCTAAGCTACCCAGTCTACCATATTTCACTATAGCAGCCCAAGTTGACTAATATACCCTCCCCAACCAAAGTCTTAATCTAGGACAGTAGATCTCTGAACCATCTCTAAATTGCACTCATGTTGTACTGCCAGTGTTTTGTCTATGGCTAAAAACTCCAAGTCAGAAACCCCAAGTAATTTTCTAATGAAAAGGCCTTGTCTAAGCTGTAAATACCTTTTTGGTAAGTTCAGGGCAATATATTTCTGGGCTTTAACTTTCCTTTCTTTATTCCTCCATTATTGTCACAAAGCGCTGCTAGACATCTTTGATACTTGAACATTCTTACAAGTAACTATTGGTTTCATAGCAAGCATGTTCATGACACATTACATTTGCATCCCACACAGAATTTAATAGAGTGTCTCAGTTTTAAATATGTGATAAACCTTACACTCAAGATGATAACATACTTTTATCTCAAATTCATCAGTCAAGAGCTGCTTGTATTAGTATTAATATAATCCTTCTAGTTTTCATTACTGGCCCATATGAATTTACAACAAGCTTAGGGTTCTCCTAGGTCAACCATCACAATGGTTCTTCCAGATCTTCCATCCCTGACTGATTAATGCAGCTCCATGATGTTTCCTAATTATCTAATGAATATTGAGTTCCACGTCTCAGGAAAGAACCACTGCTGGAAGAGCTTTCTAAGGACTGTAGAAGGGAAAGTGGGACCTATGCCATAGCTGCGGAAGGGATGTAAGCAAAAAACAGCCGAGTGCTGTGCTTAATCTTCGGCTTCCCAGGAGAATGAGAGAAGCAGCAGCCTGGCAGGGGCACAAGGAAGTTAACAGAGAATCTAGATGTTTCTTTCCAACTTAGACTTCAGCAGTGCAATAGAATGAGGGCATCTGTAAAGCTTAAGAGTAAAAACAAAACCAGGTCAGTCCAAATGTTGATTCAGCAAGGTCCCCAGGTGGTTCAGAATCCATATCATCTGTAAGGGTTTCACCTGTCCCTTCTTCATAAAGGCAAAGTATTCACAAACATTTTGTGATTGTTACATGCAGTGACCCTCTCATATACTTGGAAAATAAATGTTCAAACATTTAAATGTCATACGAAGAAGAAAATACAGAGTTCACAAGAGCTTGGAAAGAAAGATACCTTATTCCATTCACTTGTGATTCGTAATATAATGCAGTAATCACTCCCTCTTTTCAAGGGTGCATTATAATATTCCCCATAGTACAGCCTGTCTCCTATAGGTATCTCCATGGCATCATCTGGAACATCTTTGGCCAGTAGTTCTGCAGCCACGTATCCATCAGCATCAGAGGCGTTGCTAAAGAAGGAGGAAGCGCCTTCAGAATCACAAGAAAATGTGCTTTGGAGGGCCAGGGGAAGCACTAACACCTGATATGAACTGGAAGAAAAAAGGAGAAGTGTCCATCAGACCCTTGCATGGGGAGTTCATTCATTCATTCATATTTATTGAGCACCTGCTATGAGACAAACCTCTTTCTTTGTTTTTTTGTTTTTTGTTTTTTTTGAGATGGAGTCTTGCTCTGTCACTAGGCTGGAGTACAGTGGTGCAATCTCGGCTCACTGCAACCTCCATCTCCCAGGTTCAAGCAATTCTCCTGCCTCAGCCTCCCAAGTAGCTGGGACTACAGGTGCATGCCACCACGCCCAACTAACTTTTGTATTTTTAGTAGAGATGGGGTTTCACCATGTTGGCCAGGCTTGTCTCGATCTCTTGACCTCATGATCCACCCGCCTCGGCCTCCCAGAGTGCTGGGATTACAGGCGTGAGCCACTGCGCCCAGCTGAAATAAGCCTCTTTCTAGGCACTGGAGACACGACACTAGGCAAGAAAAAGTCCGGGCCCATGTGGGATTTACAGTCTGATGGCTCCAACCATCATGGAATTCCAGTTTGAACCTAAAGGGTTAATGCCAGACGACACAGGGCAAGGGACCTCTCCAAGTTCTGGCTGCAGAGAGATGCCAAGTACATCCTCTTTCGCTGGGAGAAGTTGTTGCAAGTATCACTGCCCTGTGTGTGTGTCATAAAATTGACCTGATCAGTGATTTTCACGTGGGCAAATAAAGCCCAACTGTGGAAAGGGTTAGCAGTCACATGGAGACCGAGTGCCTACCACAGTGAATGTACTAAGTCCGGAAAAAAGGCTGCAGACAGTCATGCGGTGACCTGAAACAGAACTCATGTGATTTACATCCCCTACAGTTCATGGGCTGATACCAAAGTTCATGTGAAATAAATGAGACGCCAAGAGTGCAGAGTCACCATGAGTTAATCTAGTCTGACAACACCCTGAAACAGCCAGAACAGTAATATGTCATGTATGCACTGTAAAAACTGTTCCCCAATTGTGGACAGAAAAACACACTAACAAATGGGTATTGTTTTTGTTATGTGTTTCATTATTTGTCCCATCAAATAGAAAGCCTGGCAGTGAAAGGACGTGTGAGAATAAAAATGCACTGAGAATGAATCACACTTCCCTTCTATTCCCATCTATCTGGTACTTAGCTCCTGCCTCTAGTACCATGTTGAGCATCTGCTGTCTCTGTCAGGCTTGATAGCAGGGATCTGAACGACTGACTTGTATTCTTGCAAATCCTTGCACAGTTCTTTGGAAATGATAGCTCCCCAACCCCCGCCCTGCCCCGCCCCTCCGCCACCAGCAATGAATGATTCTTGAGTTGAAATTTCGGAAAAGAGGAAAAGCATACATCAGCGTGAAATATAATTAGGGTAATTTCCAAAACTCATTAGGCCATGTAATTCTATTTTACCAGTAAATTTGAACTTCCTGCTTCACATGTCAAACGCCCTATCTCCTGCTTCCTAAGAGCCCATGAATCACTAGGTTAAGAAGAGGGAGCCCTCCTCCACAGTGGGTGTTGGATATGGAAAGTCTCCCCCCACCAGGTTCCCAAACATCCTAGGTATCCTCAGGGCCCTGATTTTCTTTCTTTTCTTTTCTTTTTTAAGAAGGGAGTCTTGCTCTGCTGCCCAGGCTGGAGTGCAGTGGTGTGATCTCAGCTCACTGCAACCTTTACCTCCCAGGTTCAAGCGATTCTTCTGCTTCAGCCTCCTGAGTAGCCAAGACTACAGGCACTCGCCACTATGCCCGGTTAATTTTTTTTGTATTTTTAGTAGAGATGGTGTTCCACCATGTTGGCCAGGCTGGTCTTGAACTCCTGACCTCTTTAGCTGGGGGAAGTTGTTGCACGTATCACTGCCCTGTGTGCCCACCTCTGCCTCCCAATGGGCTGGGATTACAGGCGTAAGCCACTGTGCCTGGCCCAGGGTCCTGATTTTCATAAAGTCTTGGCTCACTTTCAGCCAAGGGCTTTCTACAAAAGAGATAAAGTAAAACCCACAGGGCAATAAGTTGTCACCACCAGTAAACATTTATTAAGCATCCACTGCCTATGGGGAACACCTGTAACAACAAACTTGCCGGGAGACTTGAAGACATCCCTACATCATAGCCACAGGTAAGAAAGTAAATGTTGCAGCACCTCCATGCGGTCCATAAGTACATCTTTAAATCCCTCTCATCTTTCCATGCAGGTGGTGGTGGTCAAGAGCAAGGTCGAGGCTCACCTGTGCCCATTTGGTTCCGTACATTGCTCACTAGAGGCATCATCGACAGAGTATGAATCAGCTCCCCAATTAGCCTGACCGTAATCACCTGTGTTGCTTGATTATTATACAAATTCCCCGACCTCATACCGACCTACTGAATCGAAATCTCTAGGAGTAGATTCTGGGAATCTGTATCGCTGGTAAAGCTCCCAGGTGATTCCTATAATCTGGCAATGTGGGAGACACGAGCATTAAGGGAACCCAGCAACAGGCTCCATCCTCTGCCTAACATCAGCAACCTCAGCAGAGACTTGGTCCCAGGGACCTTGCTCCATTATGTACCCCAAGACACTGTCCCTAAATGGTGCACAAAGCAGACTCAGGCCTGTCTCACACACTGGCAAAGCTGCTGCCCCCCAGCTCAAACCAGGTAGTCAGGCTTAGGAAAACCACCCTGCCTGCTGGTAATTAGCCATGTGATGTTAAAGAAGCAGCTGTGGCTGTTTGGAATATGACTGTTCTGGAAGGACTTTTCTCCTCTTTTTCACCACCACACTCCCTCGAATGACTCACAGTTCTCCACTTCCTGTTTTGGAGGCGCTGGCCGGCATATAGCCACAAGGGTAAGCTGTCATTTGGCTTTTCTTTTGCATTATGTCATTATTTGACATAAATATCACATTTGTTCTTGCAAATGCTCTCAGGAAGTGACATCACAACTTCTGTTCTCTTTATAATGACAGAATTACAATGCCTTCTGGTAACTTGTCAAGAATCAGAACAATTTATACAATGTCCATCCCTGGAAAGATCTTTGCACATTTACTGAACTTAAATGAATATAAAAGCAGGAAAACCCTAAGTTTTATTATAAATGGATATACAGATAATATCGCCAGACTTTCTTTTTTGTAATTTTATAATATCTCACTTTTTTTTTTTTAACCTTGATTTTACCGAAGGGTCAGCAGAGACAAAGGCAATGTTGGTGAGGCCATGTACATTTTCATCTCCTTGAGCTGGTACTGTGAGCAAGCTGTTCATCTCTCCACGCCAACCTCAATCTTCCTCTCTAAAAAAGGGACTGATGCTACTTTCCTAATCCTGCCATGACCTTTGCAAATAAAACACTTAACTGAACACACTGTAGTCCTCCAACTGAGGTAAATTAATTCCATCCTAATGCCATCTGGAATCCCAGAAGCAGTCATTAATTATACAGTGTCTTGCCTGTAACTCAATACATGAAAAGACAAAAAGATTTACCTAAATGATCTTTTCAGAAACCACTGCACACCCCCCAAGATCAACCTTACATAAAGGGCAACATATTCTGCCTTTGGGAAATGAAACGATGCCCCTGACCCACCATCCATAAAGGATGTACTATGAGACATGAGTGCAAAGGACAATCCTGACATGTCCTAACATGCAACCGACGTTTACCCAGGGACCAAAGGAATGGATGTAATTTCTTGAGCTAAACTGCCCAAATGCTTGTATATAGGGTCCTTTAGAAGTCTCTCTATGTGGCCGGGTGTGGTGGTTCAAGCCTGTAATCCTAGCACTTTGGGAGGTTGAGGCTGGTGGATCACCTGAGGTCAGGAGTTCAAGACCAGCCTGACCAACATGGCAAAACCTCGTCTCAACTAAAAATACAAAAATTAGCCAGGTGTGGTGGTGCACACCTATAATCCCAGCTACTCAGGAGGCAGTGGAAGGAGAATCACTTGCACCCAGCAGGTGGAGGTTGCAGTGAGCTGAGATCGCAACACTGTACTCCGGCCTGTATGATGGGAGTGACACTCCATCTCAAAAAAATAAAAAATAAAATTTAAATTTTAAAAAAAAGAAGTCTCTCTCACCATTAGAAAGGATGCTGGTTGGGATTAAAGGCCAGTCTGTACCCAAGGAAACAAAAGAGGCCCCAACTGCATTGTTCTAACCACCCAAGTGCAGCCACCAACACAGAAGTCTTCTCCTCACCAAAATCAAAGTTTCCAAAACACTCCATGGGGATCACTGGGCAACCGTGGAGAAAGGACAGCTACTGACCTGATTGGTCCATTTTTCTCCTTGGCTTTCCTCAGTCTGAGGCGTGGTAGAGGTCCTCTGTGCACCGTAAAAAATTCTACTTCCGGGAGGGGAGGCTCTGAAAACATGTTGAAAAGAAGAAAAGGGGTATGATTGGAACAAGTAAACAGCAGGACAAAAGAGGTCCTCGTGAGGGCTATCAAAAAGAAAGTTTTAATTTCAGAAGCGAGGAGCCTATTCTGTACATGCCACAATGTGGAAGAACATGCTAAGTGAAATACACCAGGCACAAAAGGACAGATTCTCTATCATTCCACTTAGATGAAAAATCTAACATAGGCAAATTCATAGAGACAGAAGAAGTTGCTGGGGGTGGAGGGGGCATGTAGGGAATGGGAACATATTGCTTAATGGTCACAGAGGTTCTCCTTGGGGTGATGAAAAAATTTTGGAAATACACAGTGGTGAGGGTTGCACAACATGCCAATAAACTGTGTGCTTCAAGATGTTAAAATGGCACATTTTATGTGATGTGTATTTTGCCACAATAAAAAGAAGTGATGAGTATATCATGGCACTGGCAGAGGATAGATGTGGTGAGTATTACAGTTTGCTTGGTGGGTAGATTCCTACTTGGTAGGGAAGACCACCACATCAGCCTTCAATATCCTTTATAATCACAGAGCTCTCTGTCCTTATTTTCCCGCCCCCAGCAACAAGATTTCCCAAATAGGTTTTCCATCCGGAGGAAACTACACTGACTGGCTGACACCAGCGTTCTTGCTCACTGGTAGTTACAGTCATGGTATAAATGTGCTAACTGCCATTCTGCCTTGTGGGTAACACGCTAAGTAAGACATACTGGGCACTAACCATTCACACTAGAGATGTTCTACATATGCCCCATCTTACTTAATCTTCTCAACAGGGCTACCAAGTGGATGATGTTTATAGAAGCAATCATTTGCTTCCTCTCTTGGGGTTCCTACCCATGCAATGTAGGAACTTCTTCCCTCTCCAAAGTATTAGGAAAAGAGCTTCCACCTGGCCTTCTATCCATCCCTGTGATTTGTGAAACAGCTAGTTCCCATGTAGCCCCATCCTTATTTTTTTATTTTTCTTTCTTTTTTTGGGGGGGGGGCGGGTGGGGGCTGCCTGAATGCAGGACAGGTGATTTCCCACCTCCCAGTCCTACTGTCCATCTCTAGGCAAACCTGAGTCACCTGCCTGAAGCCTGGTCTACATTTGCCCTATAGCCGGGGTTCCCAACCCCAGGTGGTGGGCCAGTACCAGTCTGTGGCCTGTTAGGAACCAGGCCACACAGCAGGAGGTGAGCAGCAGGTGGACAAGCATTCCTGCCTGAGCTCCACCTCCTGTCAGATCAGTGGCAGCATTAGATTCTCATAAGAGCATGAACCCTATTGTGAACTGTGCATACAAGGGATCTAGATTGTGCACTCCTTATGAGAATCTAATGCCTGATGATCTGAGGTGGAACAATTTTATCCCGAAACCATCCCCCTACCCACCCCAGTCCGTTGGAAAACTGTCTCTGATGAAACCAGTCCCTGGCACCAACAAGGCTGGGGACCACTGCATTATAGCTTCCACTTCCCCATAGGTGGGGCACAAAGTGTAGGCGTGGGAGGAAGTTCAAGAAGCTTCATTTTGGCCGGGTGCGGGGGTGCGGTGGCTCACGCCTGTAATCCCAGCACTTTGGAAGGCCAAGGCAGGCGGATCACCGGAGGCCAGGAGTTTGAGACCAGCCTGGCCAACATGGTGAGACTCTGTCTCTACTAAAGATGCAAAAATTAGCCAGGCGTGGTGGCGGGCACCTGTAATCCCAGCTACTCAGGAGGCAGAGGCAGGAGAATCGCTTGAACCGGGCAGGCAGAGGTTGCAGTGAGCCAAGATCATGCCACTGCACTCCAGCCTGGGTGACAGAGTGAGACTCTGTCTCAGAAAAAAAAAAAAAAAAAGAAGCCTCAGACCCAAACCAGTTTTACCAGCAATAAAACTGATTACTTTGATCCCTTTCTAACGCTTATGTATCTTCTTCAATTTCCCTAATCTCAGAGGTGGAACAAGTACAGTTATTATCTCAGAAAAACTCATTTTATAGATGAGGAAATTGATACATGACAGATTGTTACTTGTCCAAAGGCCACACGATTAGCAAGTCGTAGAGTCAGAATGTGAACTCACGCTCTGCTTACACACCCCTCTCATTCACCTTGGGGTATCTTAAACATTTGGTTCTACCAATTGATCTGGCAAATTTTCATCCCCTTTGAGTGAACTAACAAACTCTACTTTAAAAACACCGGCCAGGGACAGTGGCTCATGCCTGTAATCCCAGCACTTTGGGAGGCAGAGGTGGGCGGATCACTTGAGGTCAGGAGTTTGAGACTAGCCTGGGCAACATGGTGAAATCCCATCTCTAGTAAAAAAATACAAAAATTAGCCAGGCATGGTGGCACACCTCTGTAATCCCAGCTACTCAGGAGTCTGAGGCAGGTGAATTGCTTGAAGCTGGGAGGCAGAGGTTGCAGTGAGCCGAGATTGTGCCACTGCACTCCAGCCTGGGCGAAAAAGTGAGACTCTGTCTCAAAAAGTAAAAATAAAAACACTGAATCCCCAAAGATTTTACAAACACATCAGCTCCAATAAAATGATCCACTTGCCACAATTACTGCAGAGTTAGAGGTCTACCCAGTGTGGCTCACATCAGAGAAGCTAGACTACAGTTAAACTGCAGAAATAATACGATGTAGTGGGTAGGAACACAGGACTTGGGTTGCTATCCTGGTTCTATCACTTATACCTCCAGCAGCCTCATCTGTTAAATAGGGGTAGAAACAACCTCTACCTGTTAGGCCTGTTGAGGGAATTAATGAGCCAATTCATAATGATTAACAATAATAGTTAATGAGTCAACACAAGTAAAGAGAATAAAACAGTGCCTGGAACACAGCAGCCGTCAGCGCCTGTTGGCACCTGTATGATATCACTTGAGCTACTAGTTGCCAATTCTATGCTAGGAACTTTGCCTCTGCTGTTTCAACAAATACTCACAGCAGCTCTGCGTGACAATCATCTCTATCTTATCAGTGAGGAAATCAAGGCTCAGGCAGGCCGAGTCACACCACTAGAAGACGGCCGGCCGAGCCAAGTGTGGAACTCAGTAATTTGACTCCAAAGTCTCCTTCGCTACATTGCCAGGCCATGACAATGCTTGCGTTCACTTTACCTGAGATTAAACCATGACCTAGAAGTAGAAACCTGGAATTACAAATCCCTGAGGAATGAGAGACCTCTGTGCCTGAGACCGTAAGGAACAGAGCTTGGGGGTCCTGGGGTGTCAAACACCAAGGATCTCTTAATTAGCAAGTTCAAAGGGAAGGGATGAATAGAAAAGAAAAAACTCAGAAATGACCCCAGGAGGGAGACCATAGGGACAGGTTTAGCTCCTTCCCAGCTTGAGTACACAGGAAATGTCATTCAGGGAACTGTGACTTGTAATATAGAAAGAGGGTTCCTTACAGCACAGAGAGTGGCAACAGAAGCCAGGCGAAATAGGCAGTGTTCCTAAGTCAGGTCTGGAGTGGCATTCTGCTGAATGAACGGGGCTTGAAAGAAAACAAACCTGGAAGAGACCATGGAAAGCTGCAACCCTGTAATCGCGAAACTCCCAAAGATGGGACACCTTGTGCCTGAGATTCTCCGAGTCCGTACGTGTTGTCTTTTCATATGTTACATACTTTATATGTAAGTGCTCAGCATCCCTTTTTCTGTGGAGAGCGGCCCTTCTCCTTCCCATATGGTTCTTATGGGGCCAGCATTCCCAGTACTCCAAATCCCCACTGGCCCAGGGCCCAGTGATTATGGATTGCCATTCCCCAGTCAGAAGATGGCTCAAAAAGAGCAATCTGTTTAGGAGATTGGAGGTTTTATTTTTTGTTGTTTATCTGTTTTTTTGAGATGGAGTCTCACTCTGTCACCCAGGCTGGAGTACAGTGGCATGATCTTGGCTCACTGCAATCTCTGCCTCCCAGGTTCAAGCTCTTCTTCTACCTCAGCCTCCCGAGTAGCTGGGACTACAAGGCATACACCACCATGCACAGCTAATTTTTGTATTTTTAGTAGAGATGGGGTTTCACCATGTTGGCCAGGCTGGTCTCAACACTCCTCACCTCAGGTGATCCGCCCACCTCTGCCTCCCAAAGTGCTGGGATTACAGGCGTGAGCCACCACACCAGGCCTAGAAGATTGGAGGGTTTTATTCTTCTTCTTAGATTGTAGCTGTAAGTACCAGGTAGGCCAATAGTACAATGTCCATCCTCCCAGGTCTGGCTGGAAGAATTTGGCAGAAAGAGGGCCTCATGGCTGGAAGAGCAACGGGCCTGTGGTGACACCACGTGTGACTGAAGCTTGCTGTCTCCAAACAAGATCCATCCTGGGCCTTCCCAGTTCTGTGATCCCACAGATTCCACATGCTTAAGCTGGTTGGAGTTGGGTTTCTGTCACTTGCAACCAAAAGAGCCCTGACTATAGAATGCATCCAGCGCCTTGGTATTCTGTGGAAAGGCAGAACCCTCAGCTGTGTACTGGCAGGAACTCTGGTGCTAGGCCAAGTGAACACGGTAGGGAAGTGGTCCTTATGCATTTGTGCAAGAAGAATTGCTGTGAATTCCAGGCAAATGCTAAACCCCTTGGGTGGTGGAGACAGTGAGGACAGCAGGAAGAACTGCCTTAAGAATCCCCTTTAGACCCTGGACTAAACCACCCCTCCTTCAAAGTCTATCACTGCATCAGCTCAGTAGGGCAAGGGAGGAAGGGCATGATGGAAGGAAAGAGAAAGAGCTATTAAAAACATATGTATGAATGCCTCCCCCCCAATCCCCCCACCCTAGCCCTAAACCCTGCCACTGTGAACTGAAGGACTCTGAGGCCAAAATAGATTCTCAAGACTGTATTTACCAGATTAGAAAATAGCTTTGGGGTAGAAACCCTCAATCTCAAATTATAATAAATAAAAACTTAGACCTGCCTGGACCTTTACAGTTGTTAAAGCACTACTATATATATTATTCATATATCTGCATTCAACAAACACCCATTAGCCACCTCTGCCGCAGGCTCTGTGCTAGGCTGGGGGAGACAAGCACAGAAGACATGCTTTCTGCTTTCTGGGAGCTTGGAGTGTAATCATGGAGACAGTTTTGTAAAGGTAGTGCCCAGAGCTGTGATGGAGTTATATACAGAGCACTGTGGATGTGAGGAGGAACATCTAACTGAAGGCAGGGAGCTGAGCCTATCAAACACGGAAATAGACATCTGCAGAGGCATGAGGTGGTGGCAGGGAGGGATAGAACTACATGGAGTTCCTGGCTGAAAGGTTGAGGTCTGGCAGAGTAGAAGTAGGTGGTCAAGTTAGAGGGGTAGGTGTGGGTCAGATCTGAGAGATCTGAGGTTCCAGAAGTAATAAGAAGCCATTGAAAGATTTTTAGCAGGCTGGGTGCACTGGCTCATGCCTGTAATCCCAGCACTTGAGGCAAGCAGGTTGTTTGAGGCCAAGAGTTCAAGACCAGCTTGGGCAACATGGTGAAACCTTGTCTCTACAAAAAATGTTTTAAATTAGTCAGGCACAGTGGTGTACACCTGTGATCCCAGCTACTCATGAGGCCAAGGTGGGAGGATTGCTTGAGCCCGGGAGGCAGAGGTTGCAGTGAGCCAAGATTGCACCACTGCACTCCAGCCTGGGCAACAGCTAGACCCTGTCTCAAAAAAAAAAAAAAAAAATATTTTTAGCCGTTCTGCACTTCAAAAATACAACTTAGAGAGCTGATCAAAGGATGAATAGAAAAAGGGCAAAAATACAGGTTGTCCAATAATCCAGGTCGGAAGTGCTCGAGGTCTGCTGCAAGTGAGAGCACTGAGAATGGAGAAGAGGGAACAAACGGAAACCTTGCTCAGGGGAGAGACGGCAGGAATCTGGCAACCAAGTCAGCAGTGATGTCATTTACCAAGTCTGGGGGAAGACGAGAAGCAGCTCACTTCTAGGTCTGTTCAGGTTGAAGTGTATAAGGAATCCTCCAGCAGGCAGTTAGAAACATAGGTCTGGAGCCTAGGAGCAAACCCCATGGTGGAGATACAGAGGCAGCTCACAGGGAGGAGTGAACGTGGCCACCAGGGAGCCAGTATCAAAGTATGTGAGGAGAGATGGGGGCCAAGGGCGGACCACCGAGAAACCCAGGCTCTAAGACCAGGTGGAAGAGTAAGAGAACTCTGTGGCCTTTATGAAACAGTGTTAGGTCTAGAATTTCTCCCAGAGTCTCTTAGACACTGCAATATAGATCATGTTTTTCCTAAACCTGCGGCATTGCCAGGTGTCCCAGGAGGTCACCTGGAAAAGCCTCTGCTTAGAGTCTAGGCCTCACATCACTCATTTGTTGAAATGAAGGTCTATGCTATTTTCAAGAGCAGTCCAGAGAGAGATTCTGTAGGATACAGCTGAGAAGACAACAGCTGGATTCCTGTGGCAGTGATGGAGGAGAGAGGAAAAGCCCACACATGTCCCCTGGGAACGTACCCCTTCCCCTTTGAGATCGAACTGCCCTCAGGCCCTTTGCTATCACCGAAATGCCCTTTCACTTGTGACGTTTTGTTGTCACAGTAAAATTAACTTTTTTTATTACGTGTCTCCTCTTCTCAGCCAAGGTGGAGATTAACTGGTCACTCTTTTCTGTGTGAGAACTCCGCCCCACCCCACCCCGCCCCGCCCCCACCAGCTCTTTACTCCAAGAGTAATAATTCTAGTTCCTCTAATCTCTTGGCTAACATTTTAAAACCACACAGGAGAAGCAGAACAAAGTACTCACTGAGCTCAGAAGAGGCAACTGCAGACCGAGCAGGAAGGCCATCCCCCTGCTTGGTCCAGGTGATGTCACTCTTTCCCAATCTAGAGTCACAGTTTTCAAGGCACCACAGTCATCTGGTTCAATCAACATGTGACTTTGAGACCATTTTCTGCTCTGTTTGCCTAAGGTCTCCCTGCCCTATATTTTATTTTATTTGTTTTTGTTTTTGTTTTTGCTTTTGCTTTTTGAGATGGAGTTTCGCTCTTGTCGCCCAGGCTGGAGTGCAATGGTGTGATCTCAGCTCACTGCAGCCTCCGCCTCCCGGGCTCAAGCAATTCTCCTGCCACAGCCTCCCGAGTAGCTGGGATTACAGGCATGCACCACCACACACGGCTGATTTTTGTATTTTTAGTAGAGACGGGGTTTCTCCATGTTGGCCAGGCTGGTCCCGAACTCCTGACCCCAGGTGATTCCACCTGCCTCGGCCTCCCAAAGTGCTGGCATTACAGGCATGAGCCACCACGCCCAGCCGCTGCCTTATATTTTAAACAGTCTACTTTTTCTCTCCAATGTACAAGCCTAAGCCTCGTCAGGCTGGTTCTCAGCCACATTTCGAGGTGGAACAAACTTGACTTTCAGCTGAATTTTCCAAGGTGCTCTTCCTTGTCTCCCAAACTGATGTCCTGGGTAGACCTGCTCTCCTTTCCATCAACCTCGTTACTGATTTAAACTGATTTAGACCCAAGGCAAGAAATGGGTCCTGCCTGTGCTGGAAAATATAGCTCTTTCACCTTGGGTGTGTGAGATGGGAGAGGAACCAGAACAGAGACCTTCATTACCATCCTCGGATGTCAGGAATATCCCTCCTCTGCTAGAAGCAAATGGCAAAAGAAATCCTCACATGGAGGGAAATGTGGGGAAAAGTAATGAAGGAGAATTTGCTCTGCAAAAAAAAATATTAAATGTATCATAAAATTACAGCAATTGAAATAGTAAAGTACACGCACAGGACAGACAAACAGTGAAAAAAAGCTAGACAGTCTGGAAAGAGACCCAAAGAAATGCACCAGGTGGCATGGATGGTCAGTAGTTCCAAAGGTGATAGGGAACTGGCTTACAGCTGGGGAGAAAAATTACAATGTAAATTTAGCCTCATATCAGACATCAAAATAAATTCCAAATGAACCTAAGTGGTTTTGTTTTGGTTTTGTTTGTTTGTTTGTTGTAGAAAAGTGGTCTCACTGTGTCGCCCAGGCTGGGGTGCACTGGCATGATCATAGTTCACTGCAGCTTTGAACTCCTGGACTCAAGCAGTCCTCTCTCCTCAGCCTCCTAGAGCGCTGGAATTATAGGAATGTGCCACTGTGCCCAGCCTGAAACTAAATTTTAAGTGCAAAAAAGTAGGTCAGGTGCAGTGGCTCCCACCTATAATCCTGGCTTTTTGGGAGGCCTAGGCAAAAATGATTGCTTGGGCTCAGGAGTTTGAGACCAGCCTGGGCAACATAGTAAGACCTCATCTTTACAAAAAGAAAAAATTAGCAGGGTGTGGTGACATGCACCTGTAGTCTCAGCTACTTGGGAGGCTGAGGCAGGAGGACTGCTTGAGCCCAGGAGTTTGAGGCTGCAGTAAGCTATGATTGTGCCACAGCACTCCAGCCAGGGCAACATAATGAAACTCAGTCTCAAAAAAAATTGAAAAGAAAACAAAAGAGTAAATAGCCTTGGAGTAGGAATTTGTAATATTTATCAAAATATTAATATCACTAATGAAGGTAAACTATTAAATCAACCAAAGAAAAAGGGTAGTATAAGTACAAATGTGTTAAAATGTCTCTATGTAAAACCCATCAAAATGAACAAAAAGAACCAAAAATGGAAGAAAATTTTATCTGCATCAAAACTAAGCAACGTCTCCAACTTTGTACTGCAAACTTCAAGTAAACACAAACAATTGAATTAAAACACAACTCCACCGCCCAAAAACCCAGTACAATGCTACTTTTCTGGATTTTCTATAATAAAAAGTAGGTAGAAAAATAAACACAGCATGATGGTTCTTTTCTAATCCTCAGGCACCTCTCCAGATATATCATCCCATCCAAGGCATGGTAAATTAAAATTGAAGGCAACAGAAAAAATAGTGTCTTCCACTACAAGTCATCAGCTAGATATATCTTCTCCATCAATAAAGTTATGAGACTTCACCTCCCAAGGAGAAGAAACCAATTTCTTTTCACATGTACATCCTCAGTAGGCAGCACAGGTCTTTGTACATAACCAATCGAAAAATATTTGCTAGTGACTTCTCAAGACATCTCCTTTTATTATTTATTTATTTTTATTCTTTTTTATTTCTTTCTTTCTCTTTTTTTTTTTTTTTTGTTTTTTTTTTTGAGACGGAGTCTCACTCTGTTGTCTAGGCTGGACTGCAGTGGCACAATCTCAGCTCACTGCAACTCTGCCTCCCGGGTTCAGGAGATTCTCCTGCCTCAGCCTCCCAGGTAGGTGGGATTACAAGCACCCACACCACACCCAGCTAATTTTTGTATTTTTAGTAGAGACTGGGTTTCACCATGTTGGCCAGGCTGGTCTCGAACTCACCCACCTCAGCTTCCAAAAGTGCTGGGATGGGATTACAGGCATGAGCCACCGTGCCTGGCCAACCCATCTCATTTTTAACAAATACAAGTAAATAAATAAATATTTGCTAAATTAAATTGTTACAGCTCAGCAAGCCCCTCCCCCTCTCCCAACACACACAGAAACCCTAGTTTCCAGGCTTCTGATCTAAGAATACCTTCTCATGCACGTTTTATAAAAGCTAACTTTGGCTGAGATTCAGATGCTGGTAGCAAGAGGGTCTGGGAGACACCCATCCCCACACAGCCATTTACTTGGGGGCTTGGGGTTTGTTTTGAAGCTAGAAAGCAGTTGGGAGATTTCTGGGAATGAGAGAAATACGTGGACTGTGGAAGCATGGAAGGGCAAACATGCCTCTCCTAGCGTGACCTAATGTTAGGGCTCCAGATATCAAAAGAGCCTGTGTCCACGGAAGACTTGGAAAGGAAAACAGCTGGCATGAAGGCCAGTCCCTCTGCTGACCTGTGGTACAGCTTCAGCCCCCTTGGAGCCAGGGGGGCCCCCAGGGATAAGTGTGGTACCTTGGAACCAGCCAGGGGAGATGGGTTTCTCACTGAGGACACAGGGGTACAGCATCCTTGGATGGTTTGTGGGTAACCAACCATGAAAGAGAAGCCTCGGTAAAAGAAACCAAGAGACCTAGTCCTGCACAGTCTTCCCTGAGGACATCCCATTGTGGAGGGCGGTGTCAGAGGCAGGGGCAGGGAGGATCAGGGCAGTCCTGGCTGGACCTCTCTGATAAAGTGACAATCTGATAAATGCCTGGGACACTCCTGTGTTTTCTGTTGTTTTCCTAACCGTCTGAAAAAGTACTTTCCTTTTTCTTGTTATGAATACAATGAGAGATGGGAAATTTCTTGAAGAAGTTGCCAGCCTTGGTACTGAAGACATGGGAATAAATAATTTCCTTTTCATCTTTTCTTCCCTTTGCTCCTCCAGCATGCTTGGTTCCATAATAAACATTCCATCTCAAATGATCACCATGTTGTGTAAGACAAGTGGTCTGGTTTATCTCCACATTTACGTATGTATTGGCTTTCTCACGCTCACTCTCTCTCTCTCTCTTTCTCTCTCTTCCCCACCCCGCCCCCACCCACCCCCATCCTCCTCTCTCTGGTTTCCTCTTTCTCTCTCTATATAAGAAAATGTTGCCTACAAAGCTTTTAGACTTAGCAAGAAAATAGCATACTCAGCTGGACAGTGGCTCATGCCTGTAATCCCAGCACTTTGAGAGGCTAAGGGCAGGCAGATCACTTGAGGTCAGGAGTTTGAGACCAGCCTGGACAACATGGCAAAACCTCATCTCTACTAAAAATATATTTTTAAAATTAGACGGGGCTGGTGATGTGTGCCTGTAATTCCCGCTACTTGGGAGGTCGGGGCATGAGAATCGCTTGAACCTGGGAGGCAGAGGTTGCAGTGAGTCGAGATCACACCACTGCGTAAGCAACAGAGCAAGCCTGGGCAACAGAGCAAGACTGTCTCAAAAAAAGAAAGGGAAAGGGAAAGGAAGGGAAGGAGGCCAGTGCAGTGGCTCACACCTGTGATCCCAGCACTTTGGGAGGCCGAAGTGGGCGGATCACTTAAGGCCAGGAGTTCAAGATCAGCCTGGCCAACATGGTGAAACCCCATCTCTACTAAACATATAAAATTAGCCAAGCGTGGTGGCACACACCTGTAATCCCAGCTACTTGGGAGGCTGAGACATAAGAATCACTTGAACTCAGGAGGTGGAGGTTGCAGTGAGCTCAGATCACGCCACTGCACTCCAGCCTGGGTGACAGAGCGAAATTCTGTCTCAAAACAAAAAAAAAGAAAAAGAAAATAGCACACTCAACATGTGGATGCTCTTCTGACTCTTTGGGGCCTGCATCAAGGATGAAAGTTTGTTCCTCACCCTGTCCTAAAGGGGATGCGTGCCGTGGGGCTATCCTGAAGAATTCAGTTCAATGTGCCGTCTGCAGCCTATCAGCCAAGAGTCAGAAACACCGTGAGGCCACAGCTCCATCTCACCCACCCCCTCGCCAGCCCCTGCTTTCCTGCATTCACCGAAACACTTGCCTCTGTCCCTCAACATTCCTAGAACCTTCACTGTCCTCTGAGGTCAGCGATGTATTTAAAGCACTTGTTTTCATCCTGTTCCCATCAGTAAGATTTAACGTAAGACACTCAGAAGGGAAATTCCACTCTCTTTCCTTCTGGGAAATGAGCAGCTACATTGTCCAGACCCAAATCCTTAGCCTAACACATCTGCCAAAATTCAAAAGTTCATGATTTTACCGAAATAAGGCCACACACTTCTTAGGAAACCACGAGTATCTCTGCACATCAACACATAAGCTTCTCTTTTTTCCTCCTTTTATAAAAGAAAGGGGTTGGTTTTTTTTTTTTTTTAACTCTTTCATAAGATCAAAGCAACTTGATTTTTTTATGCTTCTTTAAAATTACGAGTCCTTTAAAGTGGGTAGAGTTGGAAAATAGGCATCTCAATGAACATTAAACAGCTCAACAATGTCCCCTGGTGGCCATGAGCACAGAGAGAGGGAACTTGAGCCACTAAAGCTCTATTCAGCCTACCAAACAAGGAGTAAGTGTCTCATCAAGATGAAACCCCCTCCCCTTTACTCAAAAAAATATGCAACGGTCCTTCAAACCAGAAAAGCACAGCATCCAAATATGAGAAAGACCACAGAGTAGGAAATGGAGATGGAGTCGCTATTCATTTTAATAAGTCACCACAGAAAGAAATGCCCAGACTGAACACCACTTGTCTCTCCAGCCCAAAATGTGGGGAATTCTTTCTGGTAGCCAGAATTCATTGCCTAACCAGACATCTCCTCAACACCAATACCACCCACTGGCTGTTATTTTAAAATTTTGGGCTGTTATGCTATCTATCAGTACCATTCTTACCCACTGAGGGTTGAATGTAAAACATACAGACAAAAATCACTGTCTTCAGGAAGCTCCTATTTTAGTGGGAGAGAAAGAAAATAAAAAAAAAATAAGTTTTTAGAAAACAAGCTCTAGGCTGGGCACAGAGACTCATGCCTATAATCTCAGCACTTTGGGAGGTGAGATGGGAGGATCACTTGAGGCCAGAAGTTCAAGACCAGCCTAGGCAACATAGGGAGACCCTCATCTCTACAAAAAATAAAAACAAAAAAATCCCTTTTGTAATTAGCCAGGCATGGTGGTGAGCGCCTATAGTCCCAGCTACTCAGCAGGCTGAGGCAGAAGGATTGCTACAGCCCAGGGGCTCAAGGCTGCAGTGAGTTATGATTGCACCACTGCACTCCAGCCTGGGTGACAGAGTGAGACCCTATCTCTAAAAACTAATAATTAATATTTTTTATTAATATGAAGCTCTATGAAGAAATTGAAGCAGGGTAAGTAGATACAGAGTACTAGCGTGGAGGCTGGTGATGGCAGTTGAGCAGGCACCTGAACAACTATGGAGAAGCCATATGTTGACAGTGTCCCAGGAAGTGTGAACTGCAGATGGAAAAGTCTGGAGGCTGGAAAAACTTTGACCCATTGAAGGAACTGCAAGAAGGCCAGGGAGACAGCTGATGCTTAATGGGAAAGGAGGAGAGCAGGGGGAGATGAATTAGAAGTAGGCAGGGGCCAGATGACATGTCCTATGATGAGGAACTTGGATTCCATTCTAACTTTAATGGAAACTCACTGGAGAGTTTTGAGCTGGTGCTGACATGTTCCCAAATGCATTTTTAAAAGATCACTCTGAGTGCTGAGTGATCTTTTGAAAGTTATGGTGAAGACTAAGACTAAGGTCCAGGGTGGGAGGTATATAGGCAAGAGAAAACCAGTTTGAAAACTACAGCAGGAATCCAAGCAAGAGGTGGCTGTCTTGGATTAGGGTAGTTGTGGAAAAGGCACAGGTGGGGAGAAGTGGTGGAATTCAGAATATATTTCAGACAGCAAGCCAACAGGGCTTGTTGACAGATTAGAAATTTGGGGATGGGATAGAACCAATTAGGACTTGTTTTTGGTCTGAACAATTGGGTGAACAGAAATTCCAATAACAGACAGAAAGTAACAGATAGAAACAGAGAAGCCTGGGTGGAAACCGATTTGGGGGCGAGGGCAGAGGTGAGAAATCACAAGTTCCGTTTGATTTGCGTATTAGATGTTCAATAGGACATGTGTAGAAGTTGGGTGGATATAGGAGTCTGGTGCTCAAAGGAGAGGCTGGGACTAGAAATTGATCTTTGGAAATCCTCTGCATATAGGTAATAGTTATAGCCATAAGACTGGTTGAGATCACCTAAGCAGAAAGGGTAGATAATGAAGAAAAGGAGGCTGAAGAGGGGTCATAAAAGTAGATGGAGCTAGCAAAGAAGACTGAGAGGGGACAGCAAGGCAGAAGGAACCAAAACTAAGGGAGAGGGGGTTTCAAGAGGGAGGGAGTGTCAACGCTATCGAAGAAATCAGATAAGAACAAAACTGGCCATTGGATTTGGCAAGACGGAGATCAAACGAAGAGCCTTTCAGTAAAGCAATGAAGACGTATGTTTCCCACGTGGGATGAGTGAAAGTGAGAACAGGAGGTAGGGCTGTGGAGCCTACAGAACAGCCATTTCTTTCAAGGAGTTTTTATAGAAAGGGGCAGAGAGAAGGCAAAGTAGCTGAAGACAAATATGGGCTCAAAGAAGGTCTGCTCATTTTTTCTTTCTTTTCGTTCACAAGGAGGATGTTGCAACATGCTAGGCAATGCTGGGGATAATTCTGTATTGAGGGGAAGTGCTGATCAGGGAAGAAGGGATGGGATCTAAGGCACAAGTTGAGGGGATGGCAGCCTTACACACGAGCAGGGACAGGAAGGGAGGCAGAACAGGATGCAAGGAGGAACGGCAGGGCTGAGCGTGGGAAGTCCTCACCTGACTACTTCTAATTTCTCAGTGAAATAAGAATCAAGAAGCTAATATGCTTAGTATTTGCTCAGAGCATGTGTGAAGTGGGGGTCACAGATGTGAAGAGGGAGGAGAAAATGAGTGGAAAGTGAATTTACTGGGGCCCTATAGCCGGAGGACTACAATCATTGTCCCCTGATAGTAATCTACTTTTTTTTTTTTTTTTTTTTTTTTTTTTTTGAGATGGAGTTTTGCTCTTGTTGCCTAGGCTGGAGTGCGATCTCAGATCAACACAACCTCCACCTCCTGGGTTCAAGCAATTCTCCTGCCTCAGCCTCCCGAGTAGCTGGGATTACAGGCACCTGACACCACACCCAGCTAATTTTTGTATTCTTAGTAGAGGTGGGGTTTCACCACGTCAGCCAGGCTGATCTCGAAATGATCCTCACATGATCAACCCTCCTCAGCTTCCCAAAGTGCTGGGATTACAGGTTTGAGCCACTGTGCCTAGCTAGTAATCTACTCTTAAAGTACTTGCAACAGGATGCCAACTAAATATTCCTGAGAAAGAAAGAGCCACAAGCATTTTTTGTTTAAGTATAAAGTATTTTAAATGCTTTAAATATCCAGAAGCTATACAACCAACACCATGGATGGACACACTACCCACATTTCATCAATGCTGACATTTTGTTTCAGGTATCTTCCCCCTCCCCCTCCCCACAGACCTCCCCTGTGGTTATTAGGTATCTTTTTAAAAATAAAACATAACAGGCTGGGCGCAGTGGCTTACACCTGTAATCCCAGCACTTTGGGAGGCCGAGGCAGGTGGATTGCTTGAGCCCAGGAGTTCGAGACCAGCCTAGGCAACATAGTGAAACCCCGTCTCTACAAAAAATACAGAAATTAGCCAGGCATGGTGGCCTATACAACTATAATCCCAGCTACTCAAGAGGCTGAGGCAGGAGGATCATTTAAGCCCAGGTCAAGGCTGCAGTGAGCCATGATCGTGCCTCTGCACTCCAGCCTGGGCGACAGAGCAAGACCCTGCCTCAAAAAAAGAAAAAAGAATGAAACATAACAGTCACAGAGGCGCCTTAAGGCACCTCTCCAATTCCATGTCCTTCCTCCTCTCCCTGTTAAAGTTCATTATATAATGATAAAAAGCAACAGTGTTCCTCTTTATCAGGACCTATGAACAATTCTGTGGTAACTTTGTTAATCCAAATGCTGTTATTCAAGATTTACCTGTTATCTGGGTTGTCAGGGAGATGACCACAGGAAGTTCCGAAGACAGAGCCCGGAGACTGACATTGTAGTTGGTACCCGGACGTAGGTCCAAGCACACCTCGGGATCTCGGCTGCTGCTACTGATATTAAAGGTCATTTCCTGGGCAAATTCCTTCTGATACCATCTCTGGCCCCAAATGTGGAACTGAAACATAAAAAAGCTCACTGGGTGAATGGTTGGCCTAAAAGGCTTTAGATGCCTTGAAACCTCCCCTTTTCCTTTTTCTTTCTCTTTTTTTTTTTTTTTTTTTGAGATGGGGGCCTCACTCTGTCACCCATGCTGGAGTGCAGTGGCATGACCTCGGCTCACTGCAGCCTCAACCTCCCAGGCTCAAGTGATCCTCCCTCCTCAGCCTCCCAAGTAACTGGGACCACAGATGCATGCCACCACATCCAGCTAATTTTTGTATTTTTTGTAGAGACAGGGTTTCGCCATGTTGCCCAGGCTGGTCTCAAACTCCTGAGCTCTAGTGATCTGCCACCTCGAATCCCAAAGTGCTGAGATCACAGGCGTGAGCCACCGCGCCCAGCCCCTTCCCGTTTTCATGAGCTTTCTTCCTCTCTCTCTCTCTCTGGACTCTAATGTTTCTTCAAAAGGTGAAATGCAGCAGTAAGCAAATATTAGAGTTGCAATACTATAAATATTGTACTTAAAATATTATTTGTATAATAAATATATTTTTAAATAAAAACACACAAAAGGCTAAGGTCCCAATACTGGCAGCTTTCTCCTTATTCTCACACATACAGTGCACATACACAACAAGAAAGTCTATTGGCAAAACTGCAGGAGCAAGGACAAGAACATTTTCCTAGAAAGAATATTAGGAATCCAAACTAAGCAGGACCTGAATTAGAATACTCGTAGCTGGTCTGCTAGAACCTGAGAACAGTTTTTCTCCTCTTCCTGCCAGCTTCTGGTGACCCTACCCTTTCCTTAACCACCCTGACACTTCGGCCAAGAGACACCCTTTTGTTCTTACTTAATTTCTTCCAGTAGAAGTTCATCCCAGTCTTCCCCCTCCTTTTTTTTTTTTTTTCGAGACAAAGTTTTGCTCTGTCACCCAGGCTGGGGTTCAGTGGCGCGATCTTGGTTAACAGAAACCTCCACCTCTTGGGTTCAAGCTATTCTCCTGCCTCAGCCTCCTGAATAGCTGGGATTACAGCTATGCGCCACTACGCTCGGCTAATTTTTATATTTTTAGCAGAGACAGAGTTTCACCATGTTGACCAGGCTGGTCTTAACTCCTGGCCTCAAGTGATCCGCCCGCCTCAGCCTCTCAAAGTACTGGGATTACAAATGTGAGCCACTGTGCCCAGCCACTGTCTTTAAATACACAGAAGTGGCCATCTTCTTGCTTCTTGATGCAATTGTCACAGTAAATCGTCTACTGATAATGATAGTTATAGATGTAGATTTTTAGGTTTGTGGGTATTTTTAAGCCTCCCACATAAGACAACCATCTATAAATACAGTAACTTTCAGTCACTTACTAAATACATCTCCTCCATATCAGCTGTCTTGATGCTTCTCCATCTCAAGCAGGTTTCATTAAATCCTGAAATGTTACTGATGGTCTGTTTTACTGTAGTGGAAAAGAAATGAGAAATCAATTTACACTCTATAGAAAAAATGCTACCTTTTAATTGAGCCATTTTTCCAAGGATAAGTGTTAGCATGAGTTCAACAGTATTTTAATTTAGAAATTAGTGGTAGCAGTCTCAAAGTAATACCACTTTTATATCTAGGTAAACTCAGTCTTGATGAAAGATTTCAGATCCAAAGATACCTAATCGGAGGACCCCTCTTAAGAATTATTTGAGTGGGCCGGGCACAGTGGCTCACGCCTGTAACCCCAGCACTTTGGGAGGCCAAGGCAGGCAGATCACTTGAGGCCACGAGTTCGAGACCAGCCTGGCCAACATAGCGAAACCCCATCTCTACTAAAAATACAAAAACTAGCTGGGCGTGGTGGTGTGTGCCTGTAGTCCCAGCTACTTGGGAGGCTGAAGCAGGAGAATCGCTTGAACCTGGGAGGCGGGGGTTGCAGTCAGCAGAGATTGTGCCACTGCACTCCAGCCTGGGTGACAGAGTGAGACTCTGTCTCAAGAAAAAAAAAAAAAAGAAAAGAAAAAGGAAAAAAATTATTTGAGTCTATTTACTGCAAGCTTCCTTGGCTTACTAAGCTAAAATTACAACTATTTGTCCTGGACCTTGTATACCCTCATTTATACAAATAAGTGTCGGTTCGAAATTCTGAGCTAAGAGCAACATTTCAGCAGAGAATTGCTCCTTGAGGAACTGAAAAAAGTGCTTTGAAGCAATCAGGTTTTTCATGAGGAAAAGAATAGGAGGTGGCGGGATTCTCTTGGTTTGGGCTTCCTTATCTCTTGTGAGCAAAGAAATATTTCTTGTCCTCTGCTCAGTTTCATAGTAATCAATCTAAAAGACAGTTCAGATCTGATACAGTTTAATGTGGAGGTACACCCATCCAAGTAGTCAAGAAAGACTATTTATTCAAAACCCTGACATCAGAGGTTACTTCCTTCAATAAGGATCTCTGTCCCTAAAGTGGAAATAATAGAGCAGACTTGCTAAGAAGTTTCACAGGAACACTGTGATGATTAACGAGTGATAAAGACAACTCCCAAATTACGTGAAAAAAGGAAGGTCTCATGAAAGGTAAGGCTGTATTTTGTAACTCCCTGGCCTGACAGGTTCCTACAAATGAAGCCAAGTTGGTAGACACGACTCCTCTCTATGGATTGGGCAGCTTGGCACAAAGAAAACCTGTACAAGTCACAAGCTGTACCTCAAATGTTGCAACACGGAGCAGGTAGGGAACAGGAGGAAAAGATGAACAGGTGGTAAGGAACAGGAGGAGTACAGATGATTCCAGGTTAATGCAGACCCACAGCTGGGTAGAGACAGGTTTGGAGATTAGTAGTAGTGGTCCAAAGTTACACTTCTGAAACTTTCAAAATACAAATAACTCCAATAGTATTTAAACAGTTCTAGACTATACAAAAAGGTGGAAGGGTCCCCAAATCATTTAATATGACTAAATAATCCACAATGCCCGACCTGTACAAGGATGGCACAGCCAATCACTAAACATCCTATGCCAAATTTGCTTGTTGATATAAATACAAAAATCCAAAATAAAATATTAGCACAAAGAAGTCAGTAGTACATTCAAAGAACAATACACTACGACCAAAGATTTATTCCCAGAATACAGAGAGTATCATTATTGGAAAAGCTATTAATAGGTTAAAAGAGAGAAACCATGTGGTTACTTTTATAAATGGAACTGTTAATACATTTAATATACTTTGTTAACTTGAAATCTTAGTGAGCTAGGACTTCATTTGACAGAAACGCCTTAGTTTAATAGGGTTTATAAGAAACCACCACACTCAGTGGTAAAGCAATTAAGCAATTTCTAGTAAAGTTAAGAACAATACAAGGATGTCTGGTCTTGTAGCTATTACTGAGCCTTATTCAAGAGATTCTAGACAATGCAGAAAAAGGCAAGAAAAAAAAATGAGCTATAAATGCCAGAAAGAGCAACAAATGATGCAACTGCCAGTAAATCTAAGAGACTCAACTAATCAAACATGAAACTGTTTGAAAATAACAGAAAGGCAACATACAAAAACTGATCATTTTCTATCTATCTTCAAGAACAAGTATGGTAGGTTAAATAATGACCCCCACCCGCCACCAGCATGTCTACATCCTAGTCCCTGGAACCTGTATGTTACCTTACATGGCAGAAACACTTTGTAGAGGTGACTAAGACAGTGAGATTATCCTGAATTGTCCAGATGAGCTCAATGTGATTACAAACATCCTTATAAGAGAGCAACAAGAACATAAGAGTTAGAAGATTTAAGAACGGAAGCAGAGGTTAAACTGATGAGCTTTAAATATGGCGGATGGAGCCACAAGCCAAGGAGTATAGGCAGGATCTAGAAACTGGAAAGGGCGTGGAAATAGATTCTCCCCTAGATACCCCCCGCCCCTGAAGAAACACAGGCCTACTGACACCTTGATTACAGCTTAGTGAAACTGATTTCACACTTCCGACCTCCAGAACTATAAGACACTAAATTCATGTTGCTTTTAGTTTTTGTTTTGTTTTGTTTTTTTGAGACAGGGTCCTGTTCTGTCACCCAGGTTGGAGTACAGTGACCTGATCATGGCTCACTGCAGCCTTGACCTCCTGAGCTCAAGTGATCCCCCTGCCTCAGTCTCTCAAGTAGCTGGGACCACGGGCACACACCACCACGTCCGGCTTATTTTTTATTTATTTTAATTTTTTTGTAGAGACAGGGTTTCTATGTTGCCCAGGCTGGGCTTGAACTCCTGGGCTCCCACCTCAGCCTCCAAGCAATCCTCCTACCTCAGCATCCCAAAGTGCTGGATTATAAATGTAAGCCACTGTACCCAGCCCTCATGTTATTTTCTGCCACTAAGTTTGCAGTAACTTGTCATAGCAGCAACAGAAAACTAATACAACAAGTAGCAGAATATAATAGAAAAATAAAAAGATCCATATTCATGAGATGGGATATCACAAGCAAACTTCAAATACCTAGAAATAAACCTAACTAGAAATGTCCAAAACTTACACGAAGATTTTAAAGAATTTTTTTTTTTGAGATGTAGTCTCTCTCTGTTTCCCAGGCTGGAGTGCAGTGGCACAATCTCAGCTCAGTGCAACCTCTGCCTCCTGAGTTCAAGCAATTCTCCTGCCTCAGCCTCCCAAGTAGCTGGGACTACAGGCATGCACCACCACACCTGGCTAATTGTTGTATTTGTAGTAGAAACAGGGTTTCACCATGTTGGGCAGGCTGGTCTCGAACTCCTGACCTCAAGTGATCCGCCCACCTTGGCCTCCCAAAGTGCTGGAATTACAGGTGTGAGCCACCGCCCCCAGCCACCACAATTATTTTCTTATCTCACGGAACTAATTTATACTGATTGAAAAAGCTTTTACAGACCAACATAGATATTAAATTTTAATTGTATATTATAAGACAAAAATATAAGCAAAATTAATTGAGACATTCCTAAAATTTCTTCACGGTCAGAATATAACAAACACTTCTCAATCACTTCTCAATTAAGAGTTGTTGGTGTCTATATTTTTCCACATAATAACATCCTATGTGCTATCTATCCAGAGTTTGGTGAGGCAGTATTTCTTCAAAATGTGCTCTTTTTGTTTCCAGAACTTTCTCGCCATCCACTGACACCCATTCTGATGCTGAAAGTTGATCTTATACTTTGCCGTTCTGTTCCCATTGCGCTTTACATATTATAACACTATGTCTCAATGTCAAATCATAATGTAGCTTTTTGGAAAAAGTTTTAGTAGGCAATTGATCTCAAGAAATAAATGGCACCACTAGTGTCCGTAACTAAATAGAAGTGACAGCACTATGAGCAACTATGACCAATATGATGCATAGATGGACAATGACAATTATGTTCTTGGCAGCCACCTGACTGACTGTATAACAATTGTAGGATTTCATAGATACCAAAATGTGAAAAAAATATGCCTCTGAGAATCAATAAAACATAATATATACAAGCATATTAACAGTAGCATTGTCTGTAATGACAAAAACTTGAAAGGGAAAAAAAATACCCAAATAACCTTCTATAGATAATAAGTTAATAAATTAGTATACCTTTATGTGATAGAATACTGTGCTTCCCTCAAAGAGAATGAGATGACAATACATGAATTGGTATGGAAGTATGTCTACAGGATATTGTAAGGCCAAAAGTCAAAGAATAATATAAAAAAGCAAAATGAAGAATAATATATATATAATTATTTCATTTTTTAAAATTACACACACACATATGCTCAAGTAACCTAACAGTAGTGGTGAGTCTGCAGCTCCTTCTGCTCACAGGAAATGTCTCACTGGCTCAGTTCATTCAGTTCCACCCGGGTCAGGGAGTGACATTCTCACTCTAGGTTCGCTTCCCTCCATTCAAGTGGCTTTACAGTTTCAGCCACAGGCAGGTTGAACCCATGATGCATTCAATGAGGAGAAAAGGATCCCCAGTAGAGCTCATCCCAAGTCCCTTCCTAGTGCTCTCAGATCCTTTGCTATGAAAGATACGTGCGGTGGTCTCTCATACAAATCTTCCTTCTCTAATGCATTTTTAGTGGTTACTCTGTGTTCTCTCTCTTTTCTCCACCCGCTGGGCCAATGTGATCTAGAATCCTGAAGTTGAAAAACCAGAACTGCAAGAATGCCTCAAAAAAGAGAAAATTAAGCTCTTAATGAAACTTTGTTTCTGCTTCATTTGTATGGGCAAGCGACTCTTGGCAAAATCAATCACTATTTCCTCTCTGCTCCTGTGGTACCCTGCAAATACCTCAAATATGCTTCATATATTGTATTATTGATCTTTGTCTATCACCCCCGTTGAACTGATAGCTCCTTGAAGAGAGAGACATCTTCTTAATCTTTGCACTCTCAGTGTCTAGGGCAGTGATTTAAACAATCACAGCAGCTATGATTGTTCAAATGCAATCAGCAATAAGGGGAAAGCTAAGCAAATGGTATTGCATTGACCCAGTGGAATATAAGTACTCTGAGTAAGACATGCTTTCTGCCCATAACATGCATTTCACCTAGGAGAGAAGTTATGGCCTATGTAAGTACAGTTTTAAAAACAAGGGAGTATATAATAAATGTCAGAAAGTAAATGTAAGTAATAGTTAACATTTGATAGACATTCATCTTGTGTCAGGTATTGTGCTGTTTCTCCATGTGCTTTAATCCATTTGGTCTTCACAACAAGCCCACGATATGGATATTGTTATTCCCATGTTCACAGTTAAGGCAACTGGGACACATAGAGGTGAAATAACTTGTCCGAAGTTACAGAGATAGTAAGTGGCAGATCTGGGATTTGAATTTAGATCATCTGACTCCAGAGGAACTGTGCCAAACTACTACCTATACTTCCTGTTAAAATAGGTTACGGGAATTCAGAAAGAAAGATACTTATCAGCTTGAAAGGTGGGAAGTGGAAATCATGGAAGAAAGAAATCTATGAACTCAAGAAAAGGGAGTGGGCTCCAGGTAGAAGAAATGGCATGAACAAAGACACGGAGGTGGAAAAGTTAGCACGTAATATATTACCGATCAGAGTTCCAATCATCAAAGATAATGGTGGCCCCTTAAATATAACTCACTACGCATCCTCCAAAATATTCTTCAGATCAGCAAGAAGATCAAATAAAACAACATATGCAGTAAGCCGAGATTGCACCACTGCATTCCAGCCTGGGTGACAGAGTGAGACCCTGTCTCAAAAATAAAATAAAATAAAACAACATAAAACAGAAGCTGTCATCATAAAAGGAAAATAGAAAACATTACAAACTTTAAATTACTGTTAAGGCCGGGTACAGTAGCTCACACCTGTAATCCCAATACTTTGAGAGGCCGAGGTGGAAGGATTGCTTGAGCCCAGGAGTTTCAGACCAGCCTTGGCAACATAGCAAGACCCGCCCCTCTCACCACCATCTCTACAAAAAATAAAAAAGTTAGCTGAGCATGGTGGCGGGAGCCTGTAGTACCAGCTACTCGAAAAGCTGAGGTGGAAAGATTGCTTGAGCCCAGGAGGTCAAAGCTGCAGTGAGATGTGTCCTGCCAGGCTGGGTGACAGAGCGAGACCTTGCCTCAAAAAAAAAAAAAAAAAAATCTGTTAAATAGAAAAATAAATATGAAATTCCAGCAAAATTATCTCTCAATCTCCCACAAGTCCTTGTGAAGAGTGAGGGGTGATAGAAGGGATGTGTGAAATAGAAAAGAGGGAAGCAAGGTGGCCCAGAGTAAGCTAGGTTCACTCCCAGCAAGAGAAACTCCACTCTAACTATGAAAAAAAGAAAGAAAGAAAGAGAGAGAGAGAGAAAAAAAGAAAGAAAGAAAGAAAGAAAGAGAGAGAGAGAGAGAGAGAGAGATCTGGTGTATAGACAGAGCACTGACTACAAGGAAAGGATTAAAAGTCCATGAGTTGTCAGGTAGTGGTAAGAAAACGGCATTGCTTCTGGGAAAGAAAAGGATAAAAGGGAAGGAATGGGTGTCCTTTGGAGACTAAGCAGTGGTGGGCAACAGAAGCGAGAGGGAAATGCAAGATCCTACAAGGCAAAAGAGAACCTAAAATGAGAAGAATACATGATTCATGCCCAGTCTTATCAAAACAAACAAACAAACAAACAAAAAAAACCTTTAAAGAAACTGCATTTCACTCAGTGACAGAAGAGGGCACTCTTAACCTAGAAATCTTGTTAACCATCCTAAACCAGCAATTCTGTCCTGGGAATTAACAGACAAAAGCAGTTTGTATTTTATATATATATACATATATAAAATATACATATATAATATACATATAAAATAAAAACAATGCAGCTTGTAAAAAGCTCTACATTTTTTTAAACCCACAAACTGGGGTGGAGGGGGAGTCCTATACATTAATAAACTGAAATAAGTATCCTCAAGCATTTGGGGATATGAAGAAAACTCCTTGAGTCAGAAATTTTAAAACTTCTTTTTTTCTTTTTTGAGATGAAGTCTCTTTCTGCTGCCCAGGCTGGAGTGCAGTGGCACGATCTCTGCTCACTGCAGCCTCTGCTCACTGAACCCTGCTGGGTTCAAGTGACTCTTCTGCCTCAGCCTCCTGAGTAGCTGGAATTACAGGTGTGCACCACCAAGCCTGGCTAATTTTTGTATCTTTAGTAGAGACGGGGTTTCACCATGTTGGCCAGGCTGGTCTTAACTCTTGACCTCAAGTGATCCGCTCACCTCGGCCTCCCAAAGTGCTGGGATTACAGGTATGAGCCACTGAGCCAGGCCTAGGAAATTTAAAACTTAAAACATAAATGGACACAAAAAATAGGGAGGAAATGAAACAGGTGACTAAGTTCAGGAAAAAATAATGAAAATACAAAATCACATTAGAAATAATAAAGACTAAATTTCATGGTGCCTAAAGAAGGGTAGATTGAATAAAAGGCATTGAAGAAATATAGGAAAACAACTGAAAATAATAAAAATGAGATCAAAAAGAAGTTAAAAGGGTCAAAAATAAAGTGAATGAAGTGGAATATAGGCAAAGATCCAACACATGTATAATTAAATTATCTGAAGAAGATAAACAAGCATGAAACAGAATTAGTGTTTAAAACTACAATTCAAGATAACTTTACAAGAATAAAGAGACCTGAGTAGAAATACTAAAGGGATACACTGGGTACCTGTGAAATCTGACCCACAACAATCAACCCCAAAATGTATCCAAGTAAAACTATTAGATTTTAAAGATAAAGGAAGAAATCCTCAGGGTCTTCACTCAAAGAAATAAACATAACATCCAAGGGCAAAAGAATCAGGCTGCATCAGACTTCTCAAAAGCTACATAGAAAGCAAGGCAAGAAAAGAACTGAATCTTTTTAAGACACTCAAACCAAGAAAGTGTGAATTAAGATTTTTATATCTAGCCAAGCTACCTTTCAAATATCAAGGCTATACAGATACAATTCTAAATATCCAAGAACTCAAGGAATACTGTGCTCTTAAGGAATCTACTAGAAAATGAGCTTCATCCAAGAGATAAACTGAGGAAACTTCAGTAAAAGGATTGGTGATAAGCATTTGCTGTATTCAATTGTAGCTCTAAGACAAAAATAAAGATGGGGCGAGGCGGAAGAGTGATATATAAATGCTATATGTTTTCATAAAGTAGAAATAATGCAACTGAAAAACTGAGAGGAAAAGGGATGCAGAAAAAGGAAAATAGAATAAACTAGTTGATTCAATAGTTGAATGTCATAAAGGCAATAAATGAATTAAAGTATGCCATTAAAAACTGTCAAACCAGGCCAGGTGCAGTGGCTCAGACCTGTTAACTCCAGCACCTTGGGAGGCCAAGGTAGGAGGATCACTTAAGGCCAGGAGTTCAGGACTAGCCTGGGCAATATAGGGAGAACCTGTCTCCACTAAAATAGAAAATGAAAATAACAAAATTAGCCAAGCATGGTGGTTGTAGCCCCAGCTATTTGGGAGGCTGAGGTCGGAGGATCACTTGAGCCCAGGAGTTCAAGGCTGTTGTGAGCTATGATCATGCCACTGTACTTCAGCCTGGGAGTGAGACCACATCTCAAAAAACAAACAAACAAACAAACAAAAACTGACAAACCAGCTGAGTGTGGTGGTTCCCGCCTGTAATCCCAGCACTTTGGGAGGCCAAAGGTGGGAGGATCACTTGAGGTCAGGAGTTTGAGACCAGCATGGGCAACAAAGAGAGACCTTGTCTCTACAAAAAGTTTTAAAATTAGCTGAGCACAGTGGCTTATGCCTCTAGTCCCAGCTACTCAGGAGGCTGAGACAAAAGGATCACTTGAGTCTGGGAAGTTGTGGCTACAGTGAGCTATGATCAATCCACTGCACTCCAGTCTGGGCAACAGGGTGAGATCCTGTCTTAAAAACAAACAAATAAACAAACAAACAAAAAACCTGACAAACCAGATGGTGAAAAGTTAAATGAGAAAACAGAAGAGAGGGCGTTTTTTAAAGGTATAAAGGTAACCACTAGAAAAATGTAAACCTTCCTTTAAAAATTAATAAATAAAGCAAAGAAAATCCATCACACAGAGAAAGAAATGCAGAAAATATAACACAATACATATAGCAGTTGTAACATAAAATAATAGGATGGAGTTGAAACTATAAGAAAGTAAGCACTGCAATCTCTATATAAGACAAAGTAGAATTCAAATCAAAAAGCATTAAATATGACAAAGGACCACTTTTAATGCTAAAAGCCACAAGTCACAATGAAGATATAGTACAACCACCTTTGTAAAGCAAAAGAAAGTATAAGAAAGGATATAATAGTTATGAAAGCAGAAACTGGCCAGGTGCGGTGGCTCACACCTGTAATCCCAGCACTTTGGGAGGCCAAGGAGGGTGGATCACCTGAGGTCAGGAACAGCCTGACCAACATGGTGAAACCCTGTCTTTACTAAAAATACAAAAATTAGCTGGGCGTGGTGGTACATGCCTGTAGTCCCATCTACTCGGGAGGCTGAAGCAGGAGAATCGCTCGAACCCGGGAGGCGGAAGTTGCAGCGAGCTGAGATCGCGCCACTGCACTCCAGCCTGGGTGACAGAGCAAGATTCCATCTCAAAAAAAAAAAAAAAAAAAAAGAAAAGAAAAGAAAAGAAAGCAGAAATAATGATATAGAGCGAGAATCAAGAAGTTTTATCTATAAAGGGCCAGATAAGTAAATATTTTAGGCTTTCCAGGCTGACAGTTCTGTCACAACTATTCAACTCTGCCTTTGTTCCAGTAAAACTATTTATGAAAACAGGTGACAGGCCAGATTTGTTCTGCAGGTCATAGTTTGTTAATCCCTGATATTGTGAGACAGAAAAAAAATAGTAGATCCAATTAATAAACCAAAATCTTAGAAAAACTAATAAAATAAACAAACCACTTAGCTAATTTAATCTAGAAAAGGGGCAGAAAATAAAGATAAAGGGAGAAATGATCACTGAGACAGAAGAAAATTCAAAAAGTTAAACGAAACTACTTTGCAGATCAGTGTACAAATAAATTTTAAAACTTAGACGAAATAGGTAATTCCTTGCAAAATCTGGTTTGCCAAAATTGACTCCATTAGACAGAAAAAGCTTAAACCGACCAATTTCCATAGAAAAAAATTGAGAATGTCATCAAGGAATAACCCCATAGAAAAGCCCCATACCCAGATCATTTCATAGAATTTGATGGATTCTACCAAATCATCCAAAATCAGATAGTCCAAATGCTATGTGAATTGTCCCAGGGCATAAATAATGAAGGAAACTTTACAAATTATTTTTATGAAGAAAGGAAAATACCAATGCTTAAACCTGATAAAGAGTGTCAAAAAAAATAGAGAAAAGTATAGACCAACATTACTTATAAATATTGGTGCAAAAATACTAAAGAAAATATTAGTGAACAGAATCTAACGCCACATACGACAATACACAATGACCAAGTGGGATATATTACAGGAAGGGGTAGAAGTGCAAGAAAGAGAAAAATTTGAAATTATATCAAATTTAAAAATTATAAGTAAATAAAAGTTGTTAAAATATCTTGTAGTTAGCTTTCCTTTGCATGGCACTAAGGAATATTTTAGACTAAAAAGTATGTGACCCTTTCTCTGATTCTAGCCTAGGAGAGAACAGTTTTGGAGTCTGTGTCTATACGCATGATTAGAAAATGAAGGTACTAAAAAGAATGAGATGAATCTATTGCCTTCAGAGCCACTTAGAACCCATTTAGCTGAAGGCTCCAATTCTAAGCAACTTATTCATCTTTATGAGT
Source organism: Homo sapiens (assembly GCF_000001405.40). Taxonomy (NCBI): domain Eukaryota; kingdom Metazoa; phylum Chordata; class Mammalia; order Primates; family Hominidae; genus Homo; species Homo sapiens. Next base: position 112,091,004 of record NC_000009.12, read on the forward strand.
AAAGGTAATGGATATGGTCCCACTGAGCTGGATCTACAAGGTCACTAACTTATCTGTTAAAAGAACAAACATCTACTCTCTCCATACTTGGCACATTCAGATGATTGTATATTCCATGTAAAATATATGCCAATTTCTGGCTTGACCAACTACAAGTATGGGTTTCTCAGGCTAATGGTTTGTAAGAAAAGAAGGTAGACTTCAGGCATAACTCTTCAACCACAGAATACTGTTATAATATTTATCACTCTGTGGAAAAATATCAGAAACAACATTAAATGATTTATGGTCTTAATTATCTTTTGTTTGGACTTTAATTCTGTGAACAGGAATCCATTATGGGGGAAGTTTTATAAAGTCCACATAGATCTCAAATTATGCATGCTGTTCAAAACCTGCAGCAGAAAGCCACCTTAAGAGTAATGGTTTTCTACCAGGGCTTTACTCCCTGGGAAGAGTGCTCTGTTCCTTCTCCTTGTAGGATTTTTTAAAACTTACCAACATTATTTTGGGAATATCTAAATGCATGCAATCTTCTGCTAAAAAGAACTGAATAAAAACATTCTTTTGTACATAAATAATAGCGGTATTTAAATCTCTAATTAGAAGTAGCCTATATAGACAGTTGGCTTTGCAAGCTAAATATTGTCATAAAGAATGGCTATAAATCAACTATCCTGAAAGCAAAGTTACTATTGTATAACTGCTCTATAAATAGTGGTATCATCTTAGTTATCCTTGATTTACATTTGGGGAGCAGTTTATCTTAAAGAGGGCAACAAGATATAATATGGTTCAAAGCTGGGAGCTTTACTGTTATTTTATTGAAATTTTTCTTTAGACAAATTTGGTATCTGGTCAGAACAACTGTGAAATTTTTCAGGCTAAACACCTGTGACTATATTACAAGGAGAGGAATTTTGAGAGTTCAATCACCCATTCATTGGCAGAGCAGATTCAAACAATTCCCTTGGCTCAGCTCCCCAGGCTCAACCTTCCAGCAGAGGAGGCCAGCGTTCAATTCAAGCACAAGTCCTTGTTATTCAATTGGTGGCACAGAACAATTGCTCCCTGGGTACTTATAAGAGAAAACAGTTGCTAGCTCAGTGACACCAAACATTCATCAAATCTCAGTTGAGGGAAACAATATTTAGAAAACAATGCTTGAAAGAAATGGACTCCAGTCATACCTCCAAATAATCTAAATAACCTAATCCTACCCCTGAATCAAGCCAGATCAGCAAACAGCAGGCATTTCTAATGCATCTTTTCTGCCACTCTACACTGAATTGTGCTTTTCTGTGTTCAGGGGCAATACAAAAAAATAGCCTTATAAAATCCTCATAAAATGCTGCTCAGACACTGTCCTATTTATGAGACCCCCTGGAATCAGAAATTTCTAACTGATTCTTAATGTTGAAAAAGAATTGTGCTTCTGAAAAACACTGCTTCGTTGTAACATTATGGACAATGCAATGGTTCCCTTTCTGGCTGGATGGGAAAACTCAAACCTAAATTTTAGAGGCACTAATGAACAAGTAAATAGGTTATAAGGGCATGAATTATTCTTAACCTTATTCCTATATTTTTTATGTCTCTGTTTTTGTTTTCTTTCTTCTTTAGCCTAGACGTCTAACCTATTATCGTTTATTTTATATACCCATGCAGGTCACTTAAAGTCTTTCCTAGAAATAAGACAGAATATAAATACTCTTTTGTTTTAAAAAATTCTACATTTAATAACAATGTAATGAATCACAATGGAAAAGATCAATAGATTTGACTGTATAGCAATCTAAAACTTTTATATGTCAAAAACATCGTAAACAAAATTGAAAGAAACCATAAAACAGAAGAAAGGCAACATAAATAATAATCAAAGAAGTCATGCTCTCAGTATATGAATAAACTATCTATGTCCATGAGAACACAAAATTTGATCAATAAATAAAATAGTGATGGTAAATTAACCAAGAAATTTGGACAAATTTTTCCTTCAAAACAAATGAATTTGAAGGAACCTAAAAGTAATTTAAATTGCTTTCCTAACATAGACTCCTAGAACTATAATGGACCTTTCCTGTTCAAGATAATTACAGAGATCAGTGACCTTGCTTGAGTGTATTAAAGGTTGCTATTTACCTGTCTTTCCAATTCCATAAGGGAAAAGGCAATTTTGGCTTCTCCCTATTCCCTATATGTTAATCCTCAAGGAAGGAACAGTAAATATGTAATCTAATTGGTAGGAGACTGCCATTCCTTGAGTCACATTTCCAAGTAATAAGTTCATATATTACAGGTTGCCACCCAAACAAAAGGCAGACTTGCTCTCTGGGACCCGCCTGTGCACAGGTACAAGGAGCACTCTGGGTATCTCCGGTCTCCAAGAGGTAAGCACCCAGTGTCTGTCACCGCCCTTTCCTCTGCTTTTCGGCCTGAGACTGGGTGGGTAAGCCAGGCAAGGGTCCCTTACAGACCCAACTGCCCATATTTCCAGGGGGAATTCCAGCAAGTAGGAAGTTCCACTTGGCCACAATAGCTAAACCTCATCCTTCAATATAGCTTTTACCTGAAATTCAGTTTTGGAGAGAGTTCCTGGAAACTTGCCCAGATCAATAAAGTTGATCCTCTATTTGTCATTTATCTATCTGTTTGTCCTGTTAATCTCAGATGGAAAGGAGAGGTAAGATTCAGTATCTCCCTGCAAAAGACAGATATACTGACTGGGGCCTTGAGTATAAAGATAAGAGCTGCCACAGCGGAGCAAGGCACCATGATGGAAGATGAGAGCTCCTGGTCTCTGCAGCTGGAATTCAGGAACAGATGAGGTAGGTAGATATCTGATTACCAGGAAAACTTTGCAAATCAGACAAAGCTCTAAGACATAGGCTTTTTAGGCAGGAGCAGATGGAATTATTTTAGCTACCACTTTTTTTTTATTTCAGTCTTTCTTTTCTTATTATGTCTCCGCCTGCAAGAGCTTTGACATTGCCCGGAAGTAGCTAAGGTTTATGTGGTTAGAGCAATGCGACTCAAAATGTGGACTGACAATATCAATAAGGCCTGAAAGCTTGCTAGAAATGAAAATTTGCTCCCCTCCCCAAAGGCCTACTGAATCAGAACCTCTGGGATGGGGCCCAGGAACCAGTGTTTTCATAAGCTCTCCAGGTAATCATTACACTTGCTAAAGTTTAAGATGCACAAAGGGAGCAATGGTGGGAGGTTTTAAAGAGCATTTTGGGGAGCTAGATATTAGTAGACAACATTAGATTAGCTTGCCAAAATTCCATTTCTCTTTATATTGTTTGGAATTTCATCCAGGGCTAAGGAGAGAACTGTAGAAAGACTGGATCCACGGTTTCTCCACAGGCTGAGTTCACCCCCACACCAAGGGCTTTTAAATGGCCCTGGATGATCTGTTTCACAGAAACTCAGACCGGGGATTCTAGATAAGAAACTCTTTGGGGGCTAAAGTAGAAAAAAAGTCCAGTGGAATTATTACAAACTCAAATGCTAAAAAGAAATAGCAAAAAGTGTACACCTAGAACTCTGTTCCTAGAAATGAGATTTTCCCCATCTCTGAAAATAGAATGAAGTCAGTTTACAAAACAGGTTTTGGTCTTGCAGACAGGATAAGATTAGGGAGAAACGATAAGATTAGGAGGAATGAAACAAAGTGAAGGAAATAACACTAAGAAGAAAATTTGAAATCATATTGGCCCAGTTAGAAAAATATGACAAGGAAAAGTTTTAAATAGGGGAGCGAGAATAGGCATTAATGAGAACTCTTCGTTTCTTCCTTAATAACTGGAACTGTGATACTCTATAGTTAAAGAAATGTGAACATGTTTAAAAAGAGAATCATCAGTGAATGATCAGTGTAGAATTCTTCAAGCATCACTAAGTGAGTTTCAAGGTGGCATTGTTTTTGTAAGATGGGGCAACAGGTATTGCACCGGCTATAAGGACATCTGCCTGGGAAATAGAGCTGTATTAAACAAGGTCCAGGGAGAATGAAAATTGATAAAGCCCAGGCCTGGGTTTAGGCCGAACTGAATAGAAAGAAATGCCTCCTAGTGAAAATGAAAGTGGGAAGAAGGTATTTTAACACTGGATGTTTATGGCAGGTCGAGAGCTCTGTGACATCATTCTTTCTCTACAGAGACCTCGGAGGCAGATTCCAAAGTAATATGTGAGGAGAACAAAAATCTAAGTCTGAAAACAAAAAGCAAATATAGAGAAGGAAAAGTACTAAGACCTAGCAAAAGGTATGAGTCCTACCTGGCAATAAAGACGGAACAGAAACAACTTAAATGGAAGGGTAAAGGCTTAGAGCTGAGCAGGACCTGCTAAGTAAGAACGTTCTCAGAGGGACCTTGAACATTGCAGGCTTATCTCTCTGATACAGAAAAGGAAGCGGGAGCAAGAAGTGTTTCAGTTTCCATCAAAGAAGCACCGACCATTTAAGTCTTGGAAATTCAATTCCAAGAAGGTAGGGCTTGGGCGAAATGCCACTAGCCCAGGGGGTTTCCTGGACCTCATCAGACCAGTGAAAGTTCAGGTTCTGGAAACCCAACAGCAGCTCACAGATCAGCTGAGGGTAATTCCCCATGGGAGACAAAAGGGAAAATCTCCTAACCAGGAAGTAGGACTCACAGGCAGACATTCAATAATAGGAGCCTGTGGAGTCCAGAACTAAAACAATTTGGGGGATCTTTCTGGGTTTAGAGAAATTCAGAGAAAAGAGTCAGAAATGGAGACAGGGAAGGAAGCATGCAAGATGATGCATTTCACTTGAAGAGTTTCCTAAGATAAATGTGGGGTGTCCTGCCCAGAAAGAAGGGAGACTCTTTCACTAAACAGATAAAGATCTTCAGCAATGGTGAAGCTTGGGTAGAAATAGGGCTCAAGGGAGCAACGAAAATGGAAAGGTTTTAATCTTTGGAACGGGCATCAAGAAAGACCTAGAGCCACCACTGCAAATGTCTAAAATTTTCAAGGAGAGTACAGTGTCAAAATGAATCCAACTACCCTGACGAGAAGACATTTCCCAATTTAAGTTTAAATTGACACGTGGTAGACTCCAGACTGCTTGGTAACCTACAGAGGCTGAACTATGGCATGCTACATTATACTTACTACTAGTAATTTAGGGAGGCAAAGGAGAAGGTAACAACAGGCTTCTTTCTGAACCTGACACCATGGGCCTCTCATTTATTATACTCATGCTAGAGTTTAGACCTCATCTCTCACCACTGTCCCCAGCTCTCTGCTCCAGCCATACTGGTTTCCATGACATTCCTAGAATATGCCAAGTATGTGCCTGCCTCAAAACCTCAGCATTTGCCAGTCTCCTATACACCAAAGGAGTAGCATCTATTACAAAACAAGATTCCTAGGTTTCAACAGCTAGAACACACTCTCCACTCAGCAGGACACTCTGGCCAAGACTCAGCAGAAAAGATGTAGGATAGAAAAAACTGGGGACTTCATGCCTTTACATTTTAGTTTATTTTACAAGGAGAGGTGGATTTATTTATTCTTATTTCTTTATCTGAGGAGATCTTGCTCTATTGCCCAGGCTGAAGTGCAGTGGCGCAATCTCGGCTCCCTGCAGCCTCAACCTCCTAGACTCAAGAGATTCTCCCACCTCAGCCTCCCAAGTAGCTGGGACCACAGGCTTATGCCACCACACCCAGCTAATTTTTGTATTGTTTATAGAGACAGAGTTTCACTATGTTGCCCAGGCTGGTCTCAAACTCCTGAGCTCAAGCAATCCACCCGCCTTGGCCTCCCATAGTGCTGGAATTAGACGTGAGCTACTGCACCCAGCTAGATTTTATTTATAGATTTTTATTTCTCTAAGAATTTAATAATTGGAGGGAATTCATATTCAATTTGCGAGCATTACTATGCAGCTGAAAATGTGTTGGGGGGTAGGTTTATGATGTCATGAGGTGCTCCTTGTGCAAACTCTGCTGATACAGACAGGACAAGGTGCCAGGCTCAATCTGATAAAAAAAATAGGATAAAAACTGAAGCCAGACACGGTGGCTCACACTTGTAATCCCAGCACTTTGGGAGGCTGAATTGGAAGACCTCACTTGAGGTCAGGAGTTCGAGAACAGCCTGGCCAACATGGTGAAACCCTGTATCTACTAAAAATACAAAAATTAGCTGGGCATGGTGGTATGCGCCTGTAGTCCCAGCTACTCAAGAGGCTGAGGCAGGAGGATCACTTGAGCCCAGGAGGTGGAGGTTACAGTGAGCCAAGATGGCACCTGGCCCTCCAGCCTGGGTGACAGAGCGAGACTCCATCTCAAAAAAAAAAAATTAATTTTCAGCCTCAGGTGCTACGTGGCTCTCATGAGTGTCTAACACATTTCAGAGTCTTTTTTTTTTTTTTTTTTTTGAGATGGAGTTTGGCTCTTGTTGCCCAAGCTAGAGTGCAATGGCGCAATCTCGGCTCACTGCAACCTCTGCCTCCCGGGTTCAGTGATTCTCTTGCCTCAGCCTCCCGAGTAGCTGGGATTACAGGCACACACCACCATGCCCAGCTAATTTTTTGTATTTTTGGTAGAATCAGGGTTTCATCATGTTAGCCAGGCTAGTCTCGAACTCCTGACCTCAGGTGATCTGCCAGCCTCGGCCTCCCAAAGTGCTGGGATTACAGTCGTGAGCCACCGCACCCGGCCCAGAGTCTTCTAAATGCAAAGGCCAAACTGCCCACCCTGACCCACAAAGAGCAGAGGTGAATATCACAGAGCGGCTTCAGGGAGGTAGCAGCAGGACCTACCCTCTTCTGCTGCTTTCCTTCAAAGGGGTAGCCTCTTCTGGTTGCCCGTAAATTTGTCTGATAAACCCACAGGATTAAAGAACAAAAGAAATAGTAGTGATGGCTGCACCACAGCCATCCCACTAGGGGGAGCTGTGGAGTTAATACAGCTGGCACCTATGTGGCTTCCTCAAAAGACTGCAAGGGAAGAATTTCTAAGGAGCCTGACCTTAATCAGGCCTCTGTTCTCTATGTCAAGTTAATTTGCTTATGCGTGGCCTAGTCCTGAGGCTGTATTGCCTGCCAGTGCCTGACACTGTGGGACCCACGTTTCTGGTCTCCTGGAAGTTCGTTCTACTTGCCGATAATGAATACCCTTAGGGTTCAGTTGTCTTAAATTTGGGGTGAGAGATAAAATGCTTTATGGAATTCTCAACTTAGGACTCCCAGGGAGCTCTGAATAAATCAGTCTATCCTTGGTCTGTGCCCTCTATGAGCCAGTACCCTTCAGGGAAGGGGATAAGTGGTAAGATTCAGGCATCCTGAACCCCAGACGCAGCTAACAAAGTTTGTTAGAACTGGAACCCCTGTCTCTTGACTCCCAAACTAGCACTCTTATGCCCGCCCACACTGCTCAATTCACATAGGTAATTTGTCCTGAGGCACAAAAAAGAAAGACGTCTACACCCACCTGCTGGGGGAGTTGCTATTGTTATTTGCACTGAGTGCCGCTTAGGAGATCTCAGCAGGGTCACATTCACCGTATAATCAGTCGTAGGGTACAGATCCAAACACACTACAGGCACTTGTTCCCTCGTTGTGAAGTTAAACGATGTTGCATGAGAAAAGTTAGCCAGATACCACCTCTGACCCAGAACGGTAAACTGTCATGAGATTAAAAGAAAGTGTTACATTAGATTTTCCATTGACTAACAGGTGCCTAGACTATTAGCAAAATGGAGTTAAAACAAGAAAGTTCCTTTTATTTATCCTTGCCCACTTAGAATTACTTTTAAGACAATAGCAAGCTAACCTGAGGAAGGACTTGACAAAGCTACCTTACCTGTCCTCACAATCAGGTATAGGACCAAGCTTAATATGCATAACTACATCTCAGATGAAGAAAATATTAGTCTATTCCAAAATAATCCCTTGATTATAACGCAAGTGAAAGAGATTACATTGGAGCTAATGGGCAAAATTATTTTTTTTCCTCCTTCCCTTCTGAATACTTCGTTCTCTCTCTCTCTCTCTCTCTCTCTCTCTCTCTCTCTCTCTGTCTCTTTTCTGAGACAGGGTCTTGTTCTGTCACCCAGGCTGGAGTGCAGTGGCACAATCTTAGTTCACAGCAATCTCAAACTCCTGGACTGAAGTGATCCTCAGCCTCCCGAGTAGTTGGAACTACAGGCATGCACCACCACACCTGGGTAATTATTTTTACAATTAATTTGTAAAGACAGGATCTTACTTTGTTGCCCAGGCTGGTCTCAAACTCTTGGCCTCAAGCCCACCTCAGCCTCCCAAAGTGCTGGGATTACAAGTGTGAGCCATTGCACCCAACCAAAATTCTTTTAGTTTCTTTTCATTGTAAGAAATCCATGGACAAGCCTCATAGAACAGAGTACTTAAACTAGGTGGGTTCCTTAACCCTACCCATGGAAGAAAAAAAAAACAAAAACATATGGGGACCACCCCAGATTATGCATTCAAAGCAAATGCCATGGTACTTCACTGGACCCTTCCTATTAGACCTCTGGTAAAAGGGCTTTTGATCCATGGAGTCATATCACACACTGTCACCTAACCATCCTCTACGCACTGCCAGCTCCAGCAGGGAATTATAGGGAAAAAACTTTCGTGAAGGTCCTATAAGTAATATGATCAGCCCTTGATCAGTTAGGGTGCATTAGCTGGTGGAGACATATGCTCGGTGTTGCCACTGATGCTAGCACCATTGTCTATACCACCCTCAATCCCTCCTTATTCCCATCAATCACTAACTCTTCTCTTATCAATTTTGACAGTCATCCAAGACCCTGACAGGTGGTTCATAAGGATTCTTCTCTCTCAAACTCTTTGAATTCTCTTGGATAACTTAAAGGTCCTTACAGATAAACCATCAAATGTTGGCCTCAGAGTTCTTTGAGCTCAATGCTATGAACTTCCTTCACTCCACTTTGGCCACCCATATCCATGGCCACAACCTAGACTATGCTATCGTCAGAGCTGCTCCTCCACGGTCTGGCAGTCCCCTATTCTTCTGGACCACTTACTAGTGAGGCATAATGTGTTCATGCGTGTTTAGGCAATACGTCTATTTTCTTTAGCAAACCGCTTTTAAATATTGACTTTTTTCCAGTCAATTTAAAAGTGTTTCACATGTCACACAAATTAACCTTTATCTAATTTTTTTGTTGTTGTTTTTTTAGACGGAGTCTTGCTCTGTCGCCCAGGCTGGAGTACAGTGGTGCGATCTTGGCTCACTGCAAGCTCCACCTCCCAGGTTTACACCATTCTCCTGCCTCAGCCTCCCAAGTAGCTGGGACTACAGGTGCCCGCCACCACGCCTGGCTAATTTTTTGTATTTTTAGTAGAGATGGGGTTTCACCGTGTTAGCCAGGATGGTCTCGATCTCCTGACCTCGTGATCCACCCGCCTTGGCCTCCCAGAGTGCTGGGATTACAGGCGTGAGCCACCACGCCTGGCCAATTCCTACTTACTTTCTATGACTCAGTATAACAGTCTTTGCTTCTGGTTAAAAAAATTGTACCTGGCCTGGCAAGTAGCTCACACCTGTAATCCCAGCACTTTGGGAAGCCAAGGCAGCTGGATCACCTGAGGTCAGGTGTTTGAGACCAGCCTGGCCAACATGGCAAAACCCCATCTTTACCAAAAATACAAAAATTAGCTGGGCATGGTGGGGCATGCCTGGAATCCCAGCTACTAGGGAGGCTGAGGCAGGAGAATTGCTTGAACCTGGGAGAGGGAGGCTGCAGTGAGCCAAGATCATGCCACTGTACTCCAGCCTGGACGACAGAGCAAGACTCCATCTCAAAAAAAACAAAAAAATTGTACCTGGACACACACACACACACACACACACACACACACAAATAAAATCTCTATTTTTATACTTATTTACTTTTATTATTCCATTATTAATTTACTTTTTGTCAAAGCACTCATTATACCATATTGTAGTTGCCTATTTACCTATATATTTCTATCAGTTTGAATTGGAAACTTCCAAGTCCTAATATGTGATATACTTCTGGTAAATAGAATAAATTAATTAATTTTGGCCTGGGCGCGGTGGCTCACACCTGTAATCCCAGCACCTAGGGAAGCTGAGGCGGGTGGATCACTTGAGGTCAGGAGTTTGAGACCAGCCTAGCCAATATGGTGACACGACATCTCTAATAAAAATACAAAAATCAGCAGGGCATAGTGGTGCACACCTATAATCTCAGCTACTTGGGAGGCTGAGGCACGAGAGTCGCTTGAATTTGGAAGGTGGAGGTCGCAGTGAGCCAAGATCGCCTCCCTGCACTCCAACCTGGGTAACAGAGCAAGACTCGGTCTCAAAAAAGAAAAAAAAATTTTTTTAATGTAATACTTACTGAGTTTGCTCTCTACCAGATGACTTGCTAGGCACTAAAAATGACACAAAATAAATCTCAGTTCCTGCCTGAATTTACTTACAATTTTACTGATGATGTTTAAGAAAAAATCAAGTTAAATGAGGGTCAATAGCCATCCAAAGAGTTCCTTAAAATTCCATGCCCAGCTGGGCGTGGTGGCTCACGCCTGTAATCCTAGCACTTTGGGAGGCCGAGGAGGGCAGATCATCTGAGGCTGGGAGTTTGAGACCAGCCTGACCAACATGGAGAAACCCCATCTCTACTAAAAATACAAAATTAGCTGGGCGTGGTGGCTCATGCCTGCAATCCCAGCTACTCAGGAAGGCTGACGCAAGAGAATCGCTTGAACCCCGGAGGCAGAGATTGCAGTGAGCCGAGATCATGCCACTGCACTCCAGCCTGGGCAACAAGAGCGAAACTCAGTCTCAAAAAATAAAAATAAAAAATAAAAATAAATTCCATGCCCAAATGTGAATCTGATAGCAAAATAAGCTGTATTGTTTAATGCATTAAAATAAAATATAAGCTTGAAATGCCAGGCACAGAAAATGATAGCAAGTCACCAAATATAGTATCTTTCTTCAAGTTAGTACCTCATTTACACCCATCTCACATCTTACATCCATCTCTAGAAACAACAATCACAAACTGTCTAGAAGTTCATTCATTTTTAAATACTTTGGATACTTACTTGGAGATCGCCCAAATTTTTAAATGACACAATTCTTTAATGGAAAGCATAAGAGATCTCCTTACTTGGTACATGTGTTCTGATCCAACTTTCCTAGAACGCCTGTTCAATTTCAAACAAGTTTCATTAAATATTGAAATATTGAAACTTCCATCATCTTCTAAGAGATCAACTTCTAAAAGACAAGAGAGAGAGTTATAGACAGCTTGCACCATCTTAGCAAAATGCATCATGGCTGAGTACAAGTGAAACTCTGACACCTTAAGAGAGCCAATTGGGTGTTTAACAGGAATAATATTAAAACTGGCATCAGCAGACTTAGCTTCAAGTCCTGGCTCTCCAGCTTCTCAATTGTAATTACCTTAGCTAAGTCACTGAACCTCAGTCTCCTTGTTTGTAAAATCAAGTAATTCAGCTTGCTTTTCTTATGTCATAGGCTGCTTAATCAAATGAAATATTTAAAAATTGCTATAAATTAATAAAGAAAGCTGTGATATTTTTAGAAAGTTAATCCTATCGCTTGGATCGTCCATAGGAAAATGTCATGAAGGTAAGCATAGCAGTAGCCAGAAAGTCTGAGAATAAGGAAAACGGCAAATAAAAATCAAAGGCTATAGATTTAAACTCTCAGAGCAAGTGCTTTCCAACCTAGAAAATAACCAGAAAGTAGATGACCAAGCAAGAGGAAATTTGCTTTCACAGCAGACAGTATTTCAAGAGCTACTCAGCTGAGTACTAAGGCAATAAAATAATCAGAAAGCAGACTTGTTTTAACCATTGTACAGAAAAAAGTCATTTCATACCTCCTGCAGTCTAATTCATTCTTACAATGTTCTATTTTCTTAATATAGTTTAGAAGGATAGATTTATTACTAATGAATTAAAGAAATAACAGAGAGTCAGGAATAATATCAGTGATTTTCAAGAAAAAGCAAATTTCCCAACAAACAAGACTGCATGTTTTCTACCAATGAGAAAGGTGTAAATGTCTACCAGAGAGAAGCTATTTTATAACTACCTTTTATATGTGTATTTCTCCCGTGGGAGTTTCTGCTACCTAAGAATGAGAACAATAAATTATTTTAGTCAAGATCAGAATTGTCCACAGCATTTTCAATATCACTGACATATTCAGCACAAGGCAGCCAGCTGGGGAAAATATTCCTGCCTATAATTGGAAAGTGTAGAAAGATGGTTATGAGAGAGAATTTGAAGACCTATCATATGTGCTCTCCTTTGTCTTCACAACTTTTATTTTAAAGATTTCATAAGGACATCAGAAATAAAAATGGTCACATGTATGCATGTGATTGTGAGGAATACCAAGTGTCTGCATGTAAGAAATGCATGTATGTAAGAAATACCACATAAAGCTTCTGTCTCTGTACAGGCAGAACAGAAGCAGAAGTACTGTCTGCACAGTTCACATCTCAATGTGATTTTCACGTAAGATAGTCATTATCATCTGAATTCAGGGGAAGATGGCAATGTGAACAAAGGCATCTGGCTCCCACTTCCCACGCCCAAGCCTGACAGAAGTGATGGAGAATAAGTAAAAATGGGTCAAAATTTGCATCTGGGTTGGAAAGAAGGGTCGGTTGCCATACACAAGGCGGAAACATGAAGACATTTCAGCTTAGCACAGTATGGAAGAGCCGGGGCTAAAGAAAGACCCTAAGACCTACTATGCAACCTGGCTTCCAAGCAAAGGAATGTAGTCACAAAGTTTCAAAAGAAAGAACTGGAGGAGAACTAGAGCCCATGGAAAAATCAAGACAGGTCACAAGACAAATCAATGACCCATGCTCCATCTGGAGCCATTTAGCCCAGTGGTTCCCAAACTGCACATCAGAATCACCCAGACATCAGCAGATTTGAAGTAATGCTTCAACGTCTGTATTTTTTTAAGAGTTCGCCTGACAATTCTTCTTCTTCTCTCTCTTTTTTTAAACAGGGTCTCACTCTGTCACCCAGACTACACTGCAACCTCCACCTCCCGGGCTCAAGCAATCCTCCCACCTCAGCCTCCTGAGTAGCTAGGACTACGGGCATGCACCACCAAGCCCAGCTAATTTTGGGGGTTTCTTTTGTAGAAATAGGGTTTCACCATGTCCCCAGGCTGGTTTCAAACTCCTAGACTCAAGCCAACCACCTGCCTCAGTCTCCCAAAGTGCTGGGATTACAGGCATGAACCACCACGCCCCTAACCTCACCAGGCAATCTGATAGGCAACAAGGTATATATTAAAAAAAAATAGTATATATACTACTATTGCTACTGCTAATAATAATAATAGTAATAATAATAATAATAGTCCTTCTTTAGCCCACTGTAGATTAGTAATGGGGAAGGACTTCGAAGTAGAGGCCTCAGGACCTGAAGGTACCATCTGGCAGAGAGCCTGGGTTGACAGAAGGGGCTTGCCTCTTTCCTGCCTTGGTAGGCTGTAATGCCATAAAGAAGCCAGGCCCAAAGCCAACAGCTTCACCAATCATAGCAAAATGCTCAGAAATAAAGCACGGGGTGGTGGGCTTTCTCACAGCTGCTGCCCAAAGGACACTGGGTCACCCAACCAGCAGTAAATCCTTCATACTGAGATCTGACATAAACATACTAACATTATCCAATGAAAAGGAGGATCAAAGGGAAGGCCATCCATTTTATTATGAAGGAAATATCAGACCTAGACAGAACTTTTATCTTCCAAGGATAAGTAATCCAGAATGGGGGGGAAAAACTGCAAAATGATTCTACAAAGAAGGAGAGGGAAGGAAAGGAAAATTGTGCTCGGCAGGCAAAGAATGAGCATATTTATAAAAAAGAAAATATTGAGCAAAAGAATGGTAAAATTAGGCAGCATCTGTTTCATACGGTTCAATAAAAATTTTAAAAATAGATTCAAACAAGAGATAAAGGATTAGATAATAAAAGAACGTGACAGCAGAGAGGAAACTGGTAGAGAGAAGCAGAAATAAAAAGGGAACTAGATGAGACCCAAAGAAAAGGAAATGAAAGTGCAACAGCAGAATTTAAAGTGCATTGGAAATGGTAAAGATAGGAAATGTCAATGCAAAAATGCATATTTGTGTAAGTGCACATAGAGAACAAACTTGTTATATATTCAAAGAAGGCAGAGGAAAAAGACATGGACGATAAAAAGGAGAAAATGGGAAACCAGTGTGGACGAACAAGCAATTCCACACAGGGGTATTTGAAGAGCAAAAAACAAACTTTAAAAAAAAAAAGCAATAATCAGAGATGTAATAAAAGAAAATGTTCCTAATATATAGTTAAACCAAATTCTAAAGACCAAAAAACTCACAGGGGACCGGGCATAGTGGCTCACGCCTGTAATCCCAGCACTTTGGGAGGCCAAGACAGGTGGATCACTTGAGGTCAGGAGTTTGAGATCAGCCTGGCCAACATGGTAAAACCCCATCTCTACTAAAAATACAAAAATTAGCTGGGCATGGTGACACAAGCCTGTAATCCCAGCCACTCAGGAGGCTGAGACACAAGAATCTCTTGAACACAGGAGGCGAAGGTTGCAATGAGCCAATATCACGCCACTGCACACCAGCCTGGGTGACAGAATAAGACTCAGTCGCAAAACGACAACAACAACAACTCACAGGGTACTAGGAAAGCTCAGTGCAAAACATGAACATTTCTATCCGTCCACTACCCAGACGGAGGTTTCATGAAGAGACTTCTGTGTCACTTTCGAATTCCCAATGCCTAAAAAACATCAGACACATAATAGGTGGTCAATAAACATTTGCCGGGTACATTAATAAATGATTAATGTCTTAAATTTCATGGCTAAAGAAGCCTTCATGATACACAAGCTGAAAATCAAATTGCTTACATCGAATTTTTTATATTTTATTTATTTATTTGAGACAGTCTCGCTCTGTTGCGCAGGCTGGAGTGCAGTGGTGCGATCTTGGCTCACTGCAAGCTCTGCCTCCCATGTTCAAGCAATTCTCGTGCCTAAGACTCTCAAGTAGCTGGAACTACAGGCACACACCACCACCCCCAGCTAATTTTTGTACTTTTAGTAGAGACAGGGTTTAGCCATGTTGACCCTGGCCTCAGGTGATCCGCCCACCTAAGCCTCCCAAAGTGCAGGGATTACAGGCATGAGCCACCACACCTGGCCAGGATTTTTTTTTTAAAAGAAAGTCACACCTTCTAACTCTTCTTTCAAAGCTTCCAGTTCCCAACGTCAATAAGAAATACTTCTAGAATTCCAAGAACAAAAGTTTATGACCCAAGAATTTTATCTTCAATTGAGCTCTCATTCACATGTGAAGGCAACAAAAGACATTCTCAGATCATCATGGACTCAGAAAGTATCCCATTCCCTCCCTGAGGAGCAGGCAAATCACCACACAGAGAGAGAAATAGAGATAGAGAAATAATAGAGAACGTGGTTTGAAAAGACTGTCAGTAAGCACTGAAACTATTAAAACATGTACCCAAGGTTAAATCATCGCTACCAAGGTTTCTATAAATCAATATAAGAGTGAGCTCTTTGGAGAGATAATACATGTTAAAAATAAGAAACTGGTAATATAATGCTATACTAAACCAATAACCTAAGAGAAGAGAGAGGGGAAGAAATAAAAGGAAGTTTTAAAAATAAAAGGAATGCTAACTTATCTCATTCAGGGAAAAGTGAACAATATTTCAGTCTTAACACTGGTGAAAAAAGAAATACACACTCAAATAGAATTTGTCTTTTTTAAATGTGATCACTTGTAGAAAAGAAAACAAAATCTATACTATCTGACTCACTGGAAAAGAAAATCTGTGTAACAAAAAGAAAACAAAAGACACAGCAAAGTAGCATTAAAAAGGGAAAAAACAGTCCAGGAGCAGTGGCTCACACCTGTAATCCAAGCACTTTGAGAGGCTGACGCAGGAGGATCCCTTGAGGCCAGGAGTTCAAGACCAGCCTGGGCAATATAGTGAGACCTTGTCTTTACAAAATGAAAAAATTAAGTGATCTGCACACCTGTGGTCCCAGCTACTTGGGAGCTGAGGTGGGAGGATTGCTTGAGCCTGGAAGGTCAAGGCTGCAGTGAGCCATGGTTGCACCACTGAACTCCAGCCTGGGCAACAGAGCTAGACCATATCTCAAAAAAAAAAAAAAAAAAAGAAAAGAAAGAAAAAAAAGAAAAAAAGAGGCCAGACGTGGTGGCTCACACCTGTAGTCCCAGCTACTTGGGAGGCTAAGGCACAAGAATCGCTTAAAACCGGGAGGCCAAGGTTTCAGTGAGCCAAGATCACGCCACTGCACTCCAGCCTGGGCGACACAGCGAGATTCTGCTCATAAATAAGTAAATAAATAAATAAATAGACAGATGAAAGGAAAATCATATCACAAATAACAATGATGTAAGTTGGATAACTTATCTAATCAAAAATAAAAGTTTTCCAGAAAAGCTCTCAATACATGCTGTCTCCTAGAGTACATTTATAGTAATATTATTCAGATAGCTTTCAAGAAGGAAAAAAAGTAGACAAAGGCATATCATGCAAATGCAAGCACAAATAAATTAAGAAAACAATATTACTTTCAACATATAATTCAAGGCAAAGGTATTAAACAGGCTAAAATAAGCCATTTGTTACTAGCGAAAGAATCTATAATAAAGATATCAGTCATGAACATAAAAATCATATCAAAATGTGTGAAACAAACCAATAAGAATTTCTAAGAGGAACAGAAAATGGCAATCCATGTTAAAAATAAACAAAAACCAGAAGTCCTGAATAACCTTATTAATAAAGTTGACTTAATAACAGATCTTATTCCCCTTACAGGCAAACACTCTACCTTATTATCTAGCACCTACTGAAATTACCAAACTTGGCCAAATGGTAAGGCCCAAGAAAATGTCAATAAATCCTCCAAACATACCAAAATGTAATAAAACTAGAAAACAACAACACAGTATAAATGTTACAAAGAAAAAATCTACCACTGTATACAATGCTTGTAATTAATTATTCAAAGGGGAAATCAGAATAGTAATTATATAATGCTTTGAAAGTAAGGGTAAAGAGAACACATATTAAAACACTCATAAATAATTATTCTGTCAAACAGAAAATCAGAATAGCAATTATATCATGCCTTGAAACATGTATCAATGCCTAAAGAATTCTGCCAAAGCTCAAATCTGCAAGGGAGAAAGAAACATTAAAGACTTTTATTATCAAACAGAAACGAATGAAAATAAGCTGAATTTTGTTATGCATTCAACTCAAGAATTTAGAAACAGAACAATATAACCAATTTAACAGAAATATGGGCTGTGCACCGTGACTCAAGAATTTAGAAACAGAACAATATAACCAATTTAACAGAAATATGGGCTGTGCACCGTGACTCACACCTATAATCCCAGTACTTGGGGAGGCAGAGGCAGGCATATCAATTGAGCCCAGAAGTTCAAGACCAGCCTGGGTAACATGGCAAAACCCTGTCTCTACAAAAAATACAAAAATTTGCCAGGCATAGTGGTGCACGCCTGTAGTCCCAGCTACTTGGGAGGCTGAGGTGGGAGGATCACCTGAGCCCAGGAGGTCAAGGTTGCTGTGAGCTGTGATTGTACTACTGCACTGCAACCTGGGTGACAGAGCTGGGTGTCTCAAAAAAAAAAAAAAAAAGAAAAAAAAGAAAGAAAGAAAGAAAAAAAAAAAGAGAGAGAGAAACATGGAGAAGGAAAAATAAAAACAAGAGGAGAAATTAGTGAGTTAGAAAAAGAAAAACAATTTTAAAACCCAAGAGTTCATCCCTCGGGGAAAAAAAATAGTAATAAAACACGCAACCCAAACCAATCAACCTCTAAAAAGAGAAAGAACCAAACTTAGGAGTCAGAATAACCTGGGATTATATAACCTATGACCCCAGAGGAGATGTAAGCAAATATTCCATATGCCATTCTGCCAATATGTGTAGTATATCAACCAAATATACATTTTTTAGAAAAATATAAAAATTGACTCAAGAAAATGTCAGAAACATAAACAGACCCAAAATCATGGAAGAAATTGACAAAGTTCTTAAAGAATCATCTCCTGAAAGGGGTGAAACTTCAACAATCTTTTGAGAAAGTTTTCAACTTTAAAAGAAGGGAATAATTCAAACATGATATAAAGTATTCCAGAGGGAAAAACAATGGAAAACTTCCCAATTCATTTTAAGGAAAATAGCATAACTCCAATAATGAAATCAGACAACAGAATGTCCAGGATCTAGAGGAAAAAAATGACAAGTCTTTATAACAGTGCATAAATAAACAGAAGACCTGAGTAGACACTGAGTAAATGTGGAAACATACCTTGCTCCCAGTTAGGATGGCTCAACATAAATCCTAATTCTCTCTAGATTAACTTGCAAATATAATCCAATTCCCTTTAGTCCAGAGACATTAAATAACTCAGCCATGATCAGCCAACTCTTCAATACAGAGTTAAGATGCAAAACCGGATCTGCCTGACTCCAAAGACCATGTTTTTCCCAAGGGAAAGGAACTTGAACAGGTAATTGGATATTAGTAAAAACAGCTGACGCCAAACAGCAACCTGTCATCCTCACTGAACAGTGGCAGGTGAGTGATGATCTTTTAAAGACATTTCCCTATAGTAGTTTACTAATAATTTTGTAAGACTTCTCTGATTAGTTACCATATTAATTTTATAATATCTTTGCCTGCATATTATTTACTTGCAAAGAATTAATTTTGTTTTATTTATATACAAATGTCAAGAGACCTAATTTGTATAATCTCATAGTTGGTTTTATATTGTTAAGATTGGCAGACTTTTTCAACTATTTCTGCTGAACTATTCCCAGCTACTCGGGTTAAGGTACAGTTTCAGTGGGATAGCAAACAGCTAATTAAGAACTTTCTCAACTCCCCCAAAATAATAAATGACATCGGCCAGCTGTGGTGGTTCACGCCTATAATCCCAGCACTTTGGGAGGCTGAGATGGGCAGATCACTTGAGGTCAGGAGTTTAAGACCAGCCTGGCCAATAAGGTGAAACTCAGTCTCTACTAAAAATACAAAAAATAGCCAGGCACGGTCGTGGATGCCTGTAATCCCAGCTACTCAGAAGGCTGAGGCAGGAGAATTGCTTGAACCTAGGAAGCAAAGATTGCAGTGAGCTGAGATCGCACCACTGCACTCCAGCCTGGGCGACAGGGCAAGACTCCATCTCAAAAAATAAATAAATGACATCAATTACTTGTCAAGGTTTGTCTACCGGGTTTTTTGTTTGTTTTCTGAGACAGGGTCTTGCCCCGTCACCCAGGTTGGAGTGCAGTGGCATGATCATAGCTCACTGCAGCCTTGAACAAGTGATCCTCTCGCCTCAGCCACCCGAGTAACTGGGACTATAGGCATGCACCATCACACCAAGCTAAATTTTCTTTCTTTTTTTTTTTTGTAGAGATGGGGCCTCACTGTGTTGCTCAGGTTGACCTCAAACTCCTGGCCTCAAGCAATCCTCCTCAGCCTCCCAAAGTGCAGGGATTACAGACATGAGTCACCGTGCCCCACCTGTCTACAAGGTATTTAATTAGTCCTCATACCCATAACCAGAGCTTTTTTTTTTTAACTTACTGTAATTGTCACAATGTTGTTAAAAACCCACATGACAATTATGTAAAATGAGGTTTATTTCTACTTCTTAAAGCTCCTTCATTCCACTCCTTTTTTCAGCTAACACCTACCCTCCTGCACCCTAGGGGTGCCCCTGCTTCCACTTCCCCACTCTCAACTTGATCTCTTTAAAGCTGCTGGGTCAGCCTCCCTGGCACCTCCTCTTTCACACGCAAGAGCAAGAAATGGCTTTTTGGTTTTTTTGGGTTTTTTTTGAGACAGAGTCTTGCCCTGTTGCCCAGGCAGGAGTGCAGTGGTGCAATCTCGGTTCACTCACTGCAACTTCTGCCCCCTGGGTTCAAGTGATTCTTGTGCCTCAGCCTCCCGAGTTGCTGGGACTACAGGTGTGTGCCACCACACCCAGCTAAGTTTTTCTATTTTCAGTAGAGATAAGGTTTTGCCATGTTGGCCAGGCTGGTCTGGAACTCCTGACCTCAAGTGATCTGCCCACTTCAGCCTCCCAAAGTGCTGGGATTATAGGCGTGAGCCACCACACCTGGCCAGAAATGACTTTTGAGTTTACTACCAAAGATAAGCCACATGGCTACCCTCTGTTGCCTTGGATATTTGAGAGTGGACTGATCATCATTTAAAAGGCATTCCTTTTAAATGCCTTTTTATTACTTTCCACCTCTCCCGGAGGGCTCAGCTGAGAAAAAATACCCCAGAGCCCATTCAGCCTGGTACCAAGAGGATACGGATCTCTTGACCTGCTCTAGTTCTGTGGCTGGAGCAACTACATCTGAGTATAAATCTCAGACAGCAAATAGGAGCTCTCCAGCCCAGCTGATTCTGCAGCATACTTCCCCACATTCTGTGCTTAGCATTTTCTAGGAGGAAATGAGACTTCACCTCCACCTACCAGCTGTCTGGAAACCGATGACGGCTGGCATCGAGCGCCTGGGAGGTGCTGTGGAGATGTTCACGGTGTAGTTGGTGCCTGGGTACAGGGCTAGGCACACTTCTGGGGTCCTGCTGTCTGTGGTCAAGTTGACTGTCTCCTCACGAACTGATTCCATAGGGTCCAACCGTTGTCCTTTTATGGATATCTTTGAGAGGAAAAGACAAGAGAACCCACTCTGACTCCAGTCAAAACAATCCAGGATTTGTGGTGCTGGAGCCCATTCTCCTACTATTCTATTTTATACTGTGCTGCTCAGCCAGGGAGCATTCGTAAGGTAAACCTGGTCTGCTGATAAAGTCTGATCAGCCCAGTGAATATTAAACCCCTAGAGGAGACATAAATGAGAAATCTCCCTAGGAAGTGCTCTCCTGCACACAAATGATCAAATGGAGACAATTGCAACCTGAGGACCATTGGCTGCACTCTGTCACCAAGTCAGCAGACGCTCCCGGGCTTGCTCTGGGGGAGTGAAATACAAGTGCTTGGAAACAAGCAATCGTGAGGATGCCAAATATAAATGCATCCCCCACACATGCACCCTGCTGAATGACAAATATGTTAAACACAAAATGCAAAATAACGAAATCATCCAGATATCTTCAAAAATTCCATCCACTCTTTTTAAATGACAATGGGATCAGAAAGCAATTAGATTGAGGCCAGGCGCGGTGGCTCATGCCTATAATCCCAGCACTCTGGGAGGCCGAGGTAGGTGGATTATCTGAGGTCAGAAGTTCAAGACCAGCCTGGCCAACGTGGTGAAACCCCATCTCTACTGAAAATACAAAAAATTAGCCAAGCATGGTAGTGCACACCTCTAATCCCAGCTACTCAGGAGGCTGAGGCAGGAGAATCGCTTGAACCCGGGAGGCTGAGGTTGCAGTGAGCCAAGATCCCACCACTGCACTCCAGCCTGGGCAACAGAGTGAGACTGTCTCACAAAAAAAATAAAAGAAAAAAAGAAAAAAAAACAGCAATTAGATTGAGAAGCTCTCACGGAAGCAAGTCCCTCTGACTCATATTCCCATGGGTGACGTGTCTGTCCTAGCAGGAAAAAGTAGATCACTTTACTTACCACATATGAGATCTTGGGGTTTATTCTTCTTGAGTTTATTTGCCATCTCACACAGGTATCATTAAACAGTGATACATCATTAATCTTTGTCAGAATTTCTAAAAGAGAAAAAGGCAGTCAACTCACAAAATGCATCAATGGGCTTTAGCAAAATTCTAAAGGAGATCAGTCTCTCTGCATAGCTGGTATCTCTGCTGGTCACCATTCATCCTCAGAGGCAGACACTGAGTCAGGCAATGCAAGCTCTCCCAAGCCAATCACCCAACTTCTCTTCATCATGAATGAGCGTGGCCCATTACCTGACTTAGAGGGAAAGGAAAGATTCCAGCTTGGATATAGGTCAGAATTCTAACCTGTGATTCACCTGACAGGCCACTGGATGCCACTGGCATTCCACTCTGGTAGAATGGAATGAGGCCCAGAGCTGGGTCCTCAGTGAGACCTTCCCTGCAACTGCACAGGTAAGACCTACTTCCACCTTTCTCTTCCCAGCAGAATGATGGGAAACTCCTTCAAGTCACTGCTATCCCCAGGGGGAAAATGACATGTCTCACCACACAGGACCATGCCTCAGAAACAGGTTGGGGCAAACTAAAGAAATTCTCCACAAGGTTCCTAGGTACTTCTGGGACTCCTGTAACTGAAGCTATTTAATCCTGGTCTATCAGGATGCCACTGATTCCTCTGGGTTGTTCTGCTTCTTTTAAATATTCTGCATATATTCCAGCTAATGAATTCAGCAATGTGGGAAACCATATGAAGGCCTTGGTTCCCTGAGGTAACATAGTTTTCAGCATTCCCAGTCAACCCGCAAGTGGTTGTGCAGACAGGAAGAACGAAAGGGGATCTAGCTTTTTATTTCTTTGAAATCAAATTCCCAGCCGAGTGCAGTGGCTCACACCTGTAATCTCAGCACTTTGGGAGGCCAAGGTTGGCGGATTACCTGAGCTCAGAAGTTTGAGACCAGCCTGGCCAACATAGTGAAACCCCATCTCTACTAAAAATACAAAACTTAGCGGTGCACGGTGGCACATGCCTGTAATCTCAACTACCTGGGAGGCTGAGGCAGGAGAATCACTTGAACCTGGGAGGCAGAGGTTGCAGTGAGCTGAGATTGCACCACTGCACTCCAGCCTGGGTGACGGAGCAAAACTCCATCTCAAAAGTAATAAAATAAAATAAAATAAACTTCCTACAGACAAGTAAAACTATCTCTACTTGCAAATGATACAATCTTATATACTTCTATATATAAAACTCTAAGGAATCCACACCAAAACAAGTATTACAGCTGAGAAAGGAGGTCAGTGAGGTTGCGGGATACAAGGTCAATGTACAAAAATCTATTGTATTTCTATATACTAGCAATGAGCAGTCCAAAGATGAAATTAAGAAAACAATTTCATTTACAATACTATCAAAAACAAACAGGCCTGGTGCAATAGCTCACGCCTGTAATCACAGCACTTTGGGAGGCCAAGGCAGGTTGGTCACCTGAAGTCAGGAGTTCAAGACCAGCCTGGCTAACATGGCAAAACCCCGTCTCTACTAAAAATACAAAAATTAGCTGGGCATGGTGGTGCATGCCTGTAGTCCCAGCTACTTGGGAGGCTGAGGCAGGAGAATCACTTGAACCTGGGAGGCAGAGGTGGCAGTGAGCCAAGATCCTGCCACTGCACTCCAGCCTGGGTGACAGAGTGAGACTCCATCTCAAAAACAAAAACAAAAACAAACAAACAAAATTCCTGCAGACAGAAGCTATCATATAATTATTCCCAGAGAAAGTTGTCCTCATGTCACCAAAAAGGGATATTCCACAGCCCCAGCTCAAGCTTTCCCATTGAAGCAGACACCTCTTAAGAACTCCTCAGCCTCTCTCAGCTTCCCCTGCTCCTTGTCCCATCCCTGGATGGGTTTTGACAACATGACCAGGTCTTGCCTCCTATTCTGGGACTTCCCTGCTGCAGCACCCACACCCCAGCACATGCCATCTGGAAGTGCAGGGGAGTTAAAATCCTGTGGGGACAGGAGCTGGTAGAGAAATCCTTCCTCCTTTCTTTCCTCTGAAGGGCTGTCCAACAAAGACTTAGTTTCTTCAGCGTCTAAGGACACTGTCACACAGATGTGGTAATGCCCACCCTCTGTGGAGACCAGTACAATCAGGCATCATACGCTGACTCTCCTTCTTTCCCTGTTTTACTGCCCTTGTTTCCCACTCCTGGTGCCTGGGATTTGATTCTCTACTGCATAATAAATATAAACCCAGTGAAAGGCTCCCATCTAAGAAGAGTGAGAAAGCTATTTCTCCATGTCAGAAAATGACTCTCCACAACTCAGCTCCCGTTTCTCCCTTCTAGTAAATCTCTTCGCAGTCTCCAAGTGCAAAAGGAAGCCTGCACCTTAGGTACCTGTAGGGCCAATCCTATTCTCCTGTACTCAGAACCAATGCTAGCTTTGGATTGACCCAGATCTACTGACCTCTCTGCCCAAAGAAGAGTTTATATCTTTACTAAATCATCCCTTCAGCAGCAATGCCTAGATTCTGTGTCCCACATGACCTGGTCTTGGGTAAGCCCAAGTTATCTATTAGCAAGTGAAAATCAATGGAGGCAGAGAGGGAAAAATAGGCAAACTCCTGCCGAGATACCAGAAAGGCCACCTATGGCTGTCTGCAGCATTCCTGGATCTCTATATCAGTATTTCTCCCTAGAACACACACAATTTGAAATCAAAGAAATACTCCAATTGTGGGCCAAGTGGGTGCGGTGGCTCACGCCTGTAATCCTAGCACTTTGCGGGGCTGAGATGGGCATATCACTTGAGGTCAGGAGTTTGAGACCAGCCTGGGCAACATGGTGAAACCGCATCTCTACTAAAAATACAAAAAAATTAGCCAAGCGTGGTGGTACATACCTATAATTCCAGCTACTTGGGAGACTGAGGCACGAGAACTGCTTGAACCTGGGAGGCAGAGGTTGCAGTGAGCCAAGATTGTGCCACTGCACTGCAGCCTGGGCGGCAGAATGAGACTCCATTGCAAAAAAAAAAAAAAAGAAAAAAAAAAGAAAAGAAATACTCCAATTATGAGCATGGGTACCCTAAGAGACACAATGACCTTCAGTTCGCCCCCTTGGGTAGCATAAAGATGATGTTGGTACCAGTCTTTTATCAGCCTGAACAAGCCCCAGATATTTCTGGCCTCTACCCTCTTTGCTGCCCTTCAAAGCCCCAGAGCTCTTGGCATCTCTGCTCACTTACACATCCCTTTGATGCTAACTCACCACCTGGTCCAGAAAGAAAAGGCACCAGCCCAGCCCTCATCTTCTCTCTGAGTTGCCAGCAAAGCGAATTTCCTTTTTACTCTCAGTTCCTTTGTCATCGAAGCAGAGATTAGAAAGGAGTTTTCTTTCTTGTCCTTCCTTCTTGCTCATTCACTATGACAACTGTAAATGGCATCTCAAAGATGCCATCTGCCTCCAGCCTGTGCCATGCTCTCTGCACAGATGGGACCCAGATCCAATTATAGGGGTGTCAGATATTTCATCCCAGGGAGCAGTTTAACAAAGTTTGGTTGCTTTTCCCTCCAGGTGCCTACAAATTAGTTGGAAAGACTCCTTTATAAAAGAATCAGATATTCAACATCTACATTAATGCTGCCCTTTTAATGGAGACTATATGCCCTCATTCCAATAGTGCTGATAACTGAAAACATTTCTGGAAGTCCTCTTTGGAGCTGTCCCAGGGCTCTTTCATTCCCTGCTCACTACTAACTGAATGGCTATCAAATGCCAAGCATCCTGCCATGCCAGGCACTGGGCTGTGACGATGTTATCTGCTGACTATGTAGGGAAAAAGTACTCTTGAAAGTCATAGATCTGTGAATGTTAGTTGAAGGTATGGGTGCAGGTGAGATATGCAGGTAGGACAGAGACAGTGAATGGCCCAATGGCAGAACACTGGGAAACACTGAAACCCAGGGGGGAACCAGAGGAAAAAGGCAATGCAGAAGAGAGGCAGGAGGCTGGTAGAGTGACTGATGTCTAGGAAGGAAAGGAAGGACTTGAAAGAGTGTCTCTCAGCCTTCCAAGGCCAGGCACAGTGGCTGACACCTGTAATCTCAGCACTTTGAGAGGCCGAGGCAGACGGATTACTTGAGGCCAGGAGTTCAAGACCAGCCTGGCCAACATGGCAAAAACATGTCTCTACTAAAAATAGAGAAATTAGCCAGGTGTGGTGGTGCACACCTGTAATCCCAGCTACTCAAGAGGCCGAGGCACGAGAATCACTTGAACTTGGGAGGCGGAGGTTGCAGTGAGCTGAGATCGTGCCACTGCACTCCAGCCTGGGTGATACAACAAGACTCTGTCCCTAAAAAATAAAAATAAATTCTTTTAAGAAAATTATCAGCCTTCTTTCCCACCAGTCTCCCACAGCCTCCTCATCCCCTAGCCAAGAAGGGCCTGGAGCAGGTCAAGGCAGAGGGTGCAAACTCCATCTCCCTCTCTCCTCTCACATGGCTTTTCTCCCCTCATGGAGTGCCCACGGCATCAGGATTAGATCTGTGGTTTGACTTTGGGTAGAGGTGGGAAGAGCAGGCCCTCAGCCTGCCCAGTTGTAGAACACAGAGGCCTCTCTGGCTTAAAAGAAGGAGGCCCCCACAGTGTCCAGCTGAAGTCTCACTGGATTTGGGGAGAGAAAGTCTCAGTGAGTGATAAAGTAAGAGCCTTTGTTTTGCTTTACTCTATGTGTGTGTGTGTACACACAGGTACATATATATGTTATGTATATATAGATATAGATGTACATAATGTTATGTATTTTGGTATTTTGTTAGCATCTAGTATTTCTGTATGTGGTACTTAACACACTTGTAACTAAATACGTAAGTCATTATATAATGACCACCTCTCCTGAATGTAACTTTACGATGGCAAAGACCATGTTTCTCTCTCTATCCTCAGGCCCTAGCACAGTGCCTTAAATATAGATACTAAAAACTATGTATTATTTGGTTGAACTGGTTGAATGGATGGATAAAGGATCAACAATGCTAAATGTTGTGGAAAGGTTGAGAAGAATGACAGCTGAAACTGGAACATGAAATTGGCAGTTAGGTAGTCATCAGTCACCTTGGTGAGATGCTACAGTGAAGTGGGGGTGTTCGATGCCTGGTTTCCCCCCAGTAGGCTGAGAAGAGCATAGGAGGGGAGGGAATAAGACAGTGAGCCCAGACTACTCTTTCAGAAGTCCCACTGTGCAAGGACAGGGGCTGGTCTAGTGTACTCCCTTGGTTTCCAATTTTATATCCTTTTTCTTTATTTTTGGAAACAGCAAAAGGTCATAGAGAATAAATCCAGGTGACCCAAACAGATGGTCAAGCAAGCTCAGCATCATTTCTAGTCAAAACAGCATCTGATTTCAAAAGGAATGTAACTGATCTTCTAATACGGCTCATAAACTACCTCCAAAGGACATTATCAAATAGGATTCCAAGGCAAACACATGATGATAATGGCAGCACCACAGAAATCAGGGTATGGCTTCCCACAGTGCCTACTTGAATAAATGTATGTTTGGCTATAAAAGTTTTCATGTGTTTCCTTTCTTTCTTTGAAGTCTTAGATTCACATAAAATAAGTAGGAGTAGCATGGCTTAGAGTACGTTAGTGTAAAATATATTGCACACTTTGGGATGATTTTTGGTGGCACGCGAATACTTTTTTTCTTTTTTGGAGACGGAGTCTTGCGCTGTAGCCCAGGATGGAGTGCAGTGGCATGTTCTCAGCTGACTGCAACCTCCGCCTCCTGAGTTCAAGTGATCCTCCAGCCTCAGCCTCCCGAGTAGCTGGGACTACAGACGCGTGCCACCACACCCAGCTAATTTTTGTATCTTTAGTAGAGACGGGGTTTCACCATGTTGGCCAGGCTGGTCTCAAATTCCTGACCTCAGGTGATCCACCCTTCTCGGCCTCCCAAAGTGCTGGGATTACAGGCGTGAGCCACCGCGCCCAGCCAGGAATACATTTTTATCTGTTCGTTATGTATCAGTTTTTGTGTATATCAGAAAAATACACCTACTTCATCAAACTCATGAGATCACATATATTGTCCTTAATAAATTTGAATTATAAATTTAAGGTTAGGTTGTTTAAGGAAACACTCTAAGTAAATAATACTCTTATTATGGCAAACATTGTGTCAGGGTGGTATACAAATAATTCAAGCTTGGAAGACACTGATGTAGGAGAAAGAATGTGGTCTTTCTGGGCTTACAGGCCTCAGTTCAAATCCTGGCTCTACCATTTGCTAATTATTGAGTGACCATGTAAAAGTCACTTAACCTTTATGAGTCTCAGATTACTTATCTATGAAATGAAAATAACAAAGCTTACTTCAAAAGGGTTTTAAGAGGATGAAATGAAATCGAGCATTAAGGTCCCTAGCTGAGCCCTGGGTGTGTACGTTCATGCTCAGCCAGCAGTAGCTATAATGCTTGATGGTCCAAACCTCATTCACATATTCCAATACATCCGGCCATGTGGCTATTTATGTAAATGTATCCATTTATTCCGGCTGACCTTTCTGTTCCATCTGAAATGTGTGTGGCTGCAACTGAGCACCCAGTGGGCTGGAGAAGAGGGTCACCAGCCAAACAGAAGGGACAGAGGCCAACAGGAGTCCTGGAGGCATCAGAGCAGTGCCCAGAGCAGTTTAGAGGCACAGAAAGGATCCTAGCGATAAACAGCCTCTGTTCCAGCAGAGATGTTACCCTTCTGAGAGCGTGGAGTGAGTGAGCGTCAGCCTTATAATCATTAACTCAGATTCTAAACATGAAAAGCCAAATGGCCTGTGCAGAATGGAAGCCAGGGAAAGTCTTATCAAGAATGAATCAGTCTCTTTGATCTTGAGGTAAACCGACTCATTAACATCAAGCTTCCACCTGGGGTTTTTCCAGACACGAAAGTGATTGCCTAATTCCCAGCTGTCTGGAGTTTCCAGTCCAAACTGGCCTGGCGGGGAAGGAGGGGGCAGGAAAAAATAAGTCCCACCAGCTTGATAGAGCTCACACCCCATTAAAAGCACATACGATTTGTGCTACTAATCCCAAAGACTAGTGGCTTCCTTACAAACAACCCAGGTAAAGATAAATTATTCTACCCAGTTTGGAACTAAACAGGAAGATGAACAGTGAAAACAGGACAGAGGTAGGAGGCATTCAGAGAGAAGCAGAAAAGTAGAAAAAGATGAGAGGGGAAGCCAAACGTGAACACGAAGACAGGGAAATATAAAATACACAGAGGCAGGAGGATGGCTTGAGGCTAGCAGTTTGAGACCGGCCTGGGCAACATAGTGAGACACCCGTCTCTACAAAAAACATTTTTAAAATTTAGCCATGCGTGGTGGGTCATGTCTGTAGTCCCAGCTGCTTGGGAGGCTGAGGCAGAAGGATCGCTTGAGCCCAGGAGTTGGAGGCTGTGGTGAGCTGTGATCACTGCACTTCAACCTGGGTGACAGAGTGAGACTCCATCTCCAACAACAACAACAAAATACACAGAGACAGTTGGGATGAGGGGAGTGAAGAAATAGGTAACAAGTGAAAAACAGGGAAAAGAAAAAAGAAGAGGGGTAGCTGAGCAAGAGCCATGGTAATCAGCAGCTCTCACTACATTACCAGAAGCCTCTCCTACCTACCCACCCAGAGATCATCTGCACTGTACCATGAATTAATCAGCATGTAAATCATCCCCTTTATCTGCGGAAATTGAATTTAGCTGCCAATCCTGATTGAGGGCATAAAGGCCTCCTCACAGAAAGATCACAGCTCTCAGGGAGAATGCCTTTTCTTTTCTTAAATCAAAGCTTGCATAAACCCATGGAAACAGCTGCAGCTGGAGCCACAGACTTTGTGAAAGGTAGCAGGCTGAGGATGGTAATTATAATTAGCAGTTACATAACATGTTTGTTCTTCAAAGTGCTCTACAAGCATCAGCTAATTAATAGCTTACTATGCCCCATGCAGATCCACTGGTTTTTCATGCGGTGACTAATTCTTATACCCCCATTGACTGCTGAATGTTGGAGGCAGAGCAGCTTGAGCAATGAAGCAAATGGCTGAGGCTCACAAGCTATACCCAGCTCTTACCAAGTGACTCCAGCAGTTGTTCTGTGTCGGGAATACTTCCCCAAACATTGAATTCAGCATTCCAGGAGGCAGCTACCTCACCTCCTCCAAATAACTCTTGGAGATGCTTTTGCAAATGCCATGATAGGTTGGAGTGACCATCAGTCTAGTCCAGCGTGGCATTAGCTCCAATTATTAAGACTGGACCCCCCTAGAGTCTTTGGTGTCAGTTACACGTTTGCCCTTGCTCCTCTGTGCAGGCTGGGCAAGTCAATGAGACCTCTCTAAGAGAAGACTGCATTGTATCTCTGGGTTCTTATCCAGCTCTACCCTTCTTTGTTTTTCTGATTGCAGTCTCTGGCCTACATCCTCTTGAATTCGCGATGGAGATAACCAAATATAGGAATTGCATGGCACATACAGGGCCTCAACAGCAGAGGTGAGCTTTCCATCTATCCCAAGAATGCTTTACTCAAGGATTTCAGAGGTCCAGGAACACCTTGCTACTTGTAAAACATTATATGTGTATGTGTATGTGCATACCTTTGGGGAAAAGGTCTGTTTCCCCTGTTGCACTGTAAATTCCAAGAGGGTCATGCCGACAAAGTACCTGACAAATAGTGTATGCTAAATAGATATCTATTGAATGAATGGACAGATTTCCTCAAATTCCCATCCCCAACATCGTTATGAACCACTGCTCTATGGACAAATAATCCCCAGGGGCCTACATGTCTTGTTTGCTCTGGCCAGAATTTCCGATGGAAAATGTTGGTGGGCAAGACCACAATTCTGCTGCTAGTCAAACCAGAGACCCAGATCAAAGCTCCTGGAGATTTCACTCTTCAGAGACCTGTCTTCAGAGCCAAGCAAGTCAACAGCCAGAAATATATTCCCAGGGACTATGTGACAACCATTTGTCATACCTTCTGATCAACCACCACAAATGGTAAGAATCATTGCCTTTTCTCACCTTGTTCCTCAGAGGCAGAGGTGTGAAATGAATCATGTAGAAGTACACGCTTCTGATTCATGAGAAGATCTTCACATGAGGCTAACAACTTTAGGAAAAAGACTAACATGTGCATGGTGCTTTCAGCTTTCTAAAATGCGCCCCACAGATTATCTTATTCGATTCCTTTTCAACACTCTCTGAGGTAAGAAAAACAGACTTTATTTCCCTCTTTTATAGATGAGGAAACCGAGGCTCAGAATGCCTGGCCTAATGACACACAGCTAATATATGGCATTGCTAGAATATGAAGTGAAGTCTCAAAACTCCTTTTTTAATTGAGACAGAGTCTCGCTCTATCCCCCAGGCTGGAGTACAGGGATGTGATCTTGGCTTACGACTGTCTCCTGGGTTCAAGCAATTCTCCTGCATCAGCCACCTGAGTACTGGGGACTACAGGTGTGCACCGCCACACCTGGCAAATTTTTAATTTTTTGTAGAGATGGGGTCTCTCTATGTCACCCAGGCTGGTCTTGAACTCCTGGGCTCAAGCAATCCTCCTGCCTTGGCCTCTCAAAGTGCTGGGATTACAGGTGTGAGCCACTGCACCCGGCTAATTTTTGTATTTTTAGTAGACATGGGGTTTCATCATGTTGGCCAGGCTGGTCTTGAACTCCTGACCTCAAGTGATCCACTGCCTCAGCCTCCCAAAGTACAGAGATTACAGGTATGAGCCATTGCACCAGGCCTCAAGACTCCTTTTCACCAGCAATTCCACTTCTGGATATATATCCAAAAGAATTGAAAACAGGGTCTCAAAGAGAGATTTGTACACACATTTCATAGCAGCATTATTCATCATAGCCAAAAGATGGAACACACACCCAAGTGTCCATCAACAAATGAATGGATAAACAAAACATGGGATACTCATATAATGGACTATATGAAGAATGGAAATGTTGACACATGTTACAACATGGATGTATCTTAAAGACATTATGCTTAGTGAAATAAGCCAGTCTCAAATGAACAAGTACCATATGAGATACCTACAGTAGTGAAATTCACAAGAGACAGAAAGTAGAAGGGTGAGGTTCCAGGGGCTGTGGGGAGGGGCAAATGGGGAGTTGTTGTTTAATGGGTATAAAGTTTCAGTTTTGCAAGATGAAAAAGTTCTGGAGATTGGTTGTGCAACAAGATTGGTATACATAAACACTACTGAACTGCACACTTAAAAATAGTTAAGATGGTGTATTCATCAGTTTCATGTTGCTATAAAGGAATACCTGAGACTAGGTAATTTATAAAGAAAAGAGGTTTATCCAGCTCATGGTTCTGCAGGCTGTACAAGAAGCATGGCACCAGCATCTGCTTCAGGTGAGGGCCCTGGGAAGTTGACAATCGTGGCAGAAGGTGAAGAGGGAGCAGGCATGTCACACAGCAAGAGAGGGAGCCAGAAAGAGAGAAGGAGGTGCCAGGTTCCTTTTAACAATCAGCTCTCATGTGAACTAAGAGCAAGAACTCATCACCAAGGGGAGGACACAAAGCCATTCCTGAGTGATCTACCCCCATGACCCAAACACTTCCCACCAGGCCCCACCTCCAACACTGGAGACCACATTTCTCATGAGATATGGAGGAGACAAACATCCAAACTATATTAGATGGTAAGCCAGGCATGGTGGCTCACACCTGTAATCCCAGCACTTTAGGAGGCCTAGGCAGGCAGATCACTTGAGACCTGGAGTTCGAGACCAGCCTGGGCAACATGGTGAAACCCCATCTCTACTAAAAATGCAAAAATTAGCTGGGCATGGTGGTGGGCACCTGTATTCCCAGCTACTCGGGAGGCTGAGGCAGGCGAATCACTTGGTCACTGCAACCCAGGAGGTGGAGGTTGCAGTGAGCTGAGATCGTGCCAGTGCACTCCAGCCAGGGTGACAGAGCAAGACTCCATCTCAAAAAAAGAAATAAAACTATATTAGATGTTAAATTGTATGTTTTTTGTGTGTTAACACAATTAAGAAACATTAAAAAACTATTTTTCGTCATACCACCTTTTCTCTGAAAAGCGGTCAACAGGTGTTAAGTTAGGAGCATGCCCCTCTGAGAAAATGGTTCATGGAGAAAAATGTCTCAGACAGTCAAGCAGAGGGGACAGGAATCACAGCGATTTAAGGTGGGTCTCAAAAGATGGATGCATAACATTTTCTATCCAACTTATTTTTCCAATCCACCTTCTAAATCTTCAGGATTTAGCTGACAAATCTAAAGCCAGGTGCACAACCAGGTAAATAGCCGAGCTGGGTACAGTATGTAGAGTGAAGCAGCAATCAGATAGTTTTAGGCCCTCGGCTCCCACTGGCTGTTTTGTTCCTGGGTAGCAGGAGCCCAGAACAGAATCTGTACCTGTGCATGTTAAAGTACTTTCTCTCCAGGTGCCTTTCTCTGTGCAAACAGAAGTGATCTTTCCTCCAGGGCTCTCAAAGCCCTCTTGACAGACATAGCGAGCCACACCGCCCAGCCTGGAGCTGTGATTTCCTACCAAGATGGCGTGCCGCATTTCTGGAGGGTTGCCACAGTTGATCTCTGCAATGGGAACCAAGACAGCACTGGTTATAAGCCCTGACTTCCAGCCCTACAATTCATATCTTTAAAATAAATATTTAATAGTGATAGAGGCCACTCAA
Organism: Homo sapiens; assembly: GCF_000001405.40. Classification (NCBI taxonomy): domain Eukaryota; kingdom Metazoa; phylum Chordata; class Mammalia; order Primates; family Hominidae; genus Homo; species Homo sapiens. The sequence goes on from NC_000009.12 coordinate 112,124,538, forward strand.
ACAGGAAAAGAGAAAACACTAACCCCATCAAATAATCCAATATAAGTATGTCTGAATTTAATAAAATTTCCAAACATGCACACATAGAGAATAGTCAAACTATGCAATTATTTACTTATAAAGAATTCATTGATCTATGAAATAATATATCTTAGGGTCCTTCTAAATATTACAGTTCTCTAGTACATTTTACTATGTATCTTCAGATCATCAATCCCAGAGTAGATGATAACGCAATTGTAGCAATTATTGCCAACTGACTGTTAAATAGAAGATATTCAAAATCTCTGAACTTTTTAAAGCAAATTAATGGAGAAAGTATTTATCTCCTAAGGATTCAACTTATATGCATCTTTCAAAGAAAAAAATCAGTTGCATAGGAGGAGACAAACCCGGAATTACAAAATTGATACGAAATTTTTTTCTCTACAACTCTGACTACTAAAAGACAATTAAATATTTACAAAGAACTATCTACAGGTAAAAGATTATGACATAACCACTCTAGACCCAGCCAAACTATACTTCACTTAAGAGCCCAAGAAAGTCATTTTTAGATATTTCAGAATTTTAAAAAATCGATCCGTTTATCTTTTCTGGGAAAAAAAAATCGAAAAAATGAATCAGAACAAATATCGTAAGAATAAGTGTGCAGGGCAGACAGGTTTTACAGAAAACACCAAGGAACAATGAAATCAGCAAGATGTATGGATGTCTCCATAATCGTTTAAATGTGACTGTAGAGCTTGACATAACTATTAGTAAAGGATTCTAGAACTAAAAGTTGAACAATGTAAAATAATAATAAAAATAAATTTTCAAATTATTTCAATAAAACCAGAGCAGTGAGTTGAAGGGAAGAAGTAAAGCATACTAATGTTTCATGTCACACAATAGCACTCATGGATACAATGTTATTCAAGAAAGTATAATAACTATAAAATAAGATGGCTCTAATAATTTCAAGTGTCACCAATAGTCCCAGTTATACCTAAACGCAGAAAGAAAAAAAAAATCTGTTCTTCCATGGTCAGAGAAAAAAAAAGAAAGAAAAAAACTTGAGGCATTCATTCTGATTTGTGATTTTCTCCCCAATCCGTAGAAAGCCAAGAAAATTAAGCCCTCCTAACATCCAGGCTTTTTAAACAGAAGTCCTTTTATTGAGATAACAGCATTCAAACTAGAGAAAATCATATAACCTGTTTCCATATCCCCATCAGCCATCCTTGGCCTTAGAAATAGATGGCTTCTTTTAAATGAGCCTCTGATACAGAATGTGTGGATTTAATGCAACTGCACTCTTTTACATCCCATTATGGATGCTTGGGCTGTTGCAGGACTCCAGAGTTATTTCCAGGAGGGAGGTTTCCCAGAGCAGGATCTCATCTAATTTCCAACCCTGTCTATCTCTCATGTCCCATGTTTGCCCACAGAGCTTTGGTTCCCTTTTCATGCATATTCACCAGACACAAGACCCCTTGGCCCTCATCATGTTTTCCCAGCATCAAACCTTTAGACGTATTTAATGGCCCAAGGCATTCCAAGAATGAATATATTTGTGTGTACACAAGCAACCAACCAAAGAGATGGTTAATGTTTCATAAGACTGCCTAGTCACATTGTTGACATCTGAAACATCTTCTAATTTAAGACAGAGTTCAGTTACAGCAGGAAGTAGAGGGGACATCACTAAAGAGGTTGGAGGTATAGATTCATGTACACTGAAGGTGGAAGGTTAAAGTGCTCAGTGGAGAAGTCTGGGAGGGAACCCAGTGACAAGTCATTGGATTAGGAGAGAAGCACAAGTACAAAAGGGATAAAAGTACAAAAGATAACTAGATTGGCTTCCATCTTGGACGTGACCAAGAATAATGGAAGGCATGATGACTTTGGTTGGGACTGCAAGATTTTAAAAAAAAATTAATACCAAATATCACCCAATTGATAAGAAATCAGTAACTTGTTCTCTAGGGATTAAGGCTCAAAGGCTCAGGTGGATGCCCCTTTAGGAAGCAGCTTGGACCTGTGGCTCTGTGAGTTCCCCGTTAACAGAGCTATTCAAGTTGAACAATCCCTCAGCAAGAGACATTTAGAGAGGATTTCAGCACGGCTTGGATTAAACGCATGGTTCTAACAGCTATACGTCTGAATCCCCTGGGAAGCTTTAGAAAAACGCACGTGCTGGAGTCCCACACCCACCCAGAGATAACTCTTCTGATTCAGTAGTACTGAATTGGGCTCTTGGTATTCAAATTTCTACAAAGCTCCAAATTTCATTTTGGCGCACACCCTCAGCTGACAATCTGAATGAAATCCTGGTACAAATGGCTACCATTTGTCATCATATGCATTCCAACAGGATCCTAAGTATAAAGCATTAATAGTCAAAATACCCATCCATGTTAAGGGGTATTTTCCCCACTGTACAGGCAAAGACTGCTCAAAATGATAGAATGATACATCCAAAGTTACACAGGCAATTGTGGGATGGCCAGGAGTTTAAGGCATGTCAGTCATATTCTTTTCCCTACACCCACAGCTTCTCGAAAGTTGGCCGGGCACAGAGGCTCACACCTGTAATCCCAGCACTTTGGGAGGCCGAGGCAGGCAGATCACTTGAGACCAGGAGTTTGAGACCAGCCTGGCCAACATGGCAAAACCCCATCTCTACTAAAAATACAAAAATTACCCGGGCGTGGTGGCACATGCGCCTGTAATCCTACTACTCAGGAGACTGGGGCACAAGAATCACTTGAACCCATGAGGCAGAGGTTGCAGTGAGCTGAGATTGTGCTACTGCACTCCAGCCTGGCCAACAGAGTGAGACTCCATCTCAAAAAGAAAAAGAAAAATGCTGTTCCAACTCTGAAATTCTATAGTCCCCGTGCCTCCCATCTCAGCTTACTCTCCTCTGCTTTTGCACTCACACCTTCTTCTGCAGGTGCACTCTTTCACCCTCACACTGAGCAAAGTCCTTCCCCGTGCCTGATCTGCTCCATTACTAACAAAGGGATCCTGTCTTCCTCTGAACTTTTAAGATCTATGTTCATTCGTTTATTTATTCCTGTCTATTGAGTGCCTATTACATGCTAGTCATTATAGCAGTGAACAAAGTGGGTAAGATTTCTGCCCTCATGGAGCTTAGGGAGAGCCAATAGGCAAAAAATAACAATAATAATAAGTCAACACATAACTGTGATTGTGGCAAATGTTATATAGAAATAATAATAACAATTATTATTAAGTGATAGGATGGGGAAAACTTCCATTGTTGTTGTCGCTGTTGTTGTGATCTCACTCTATTGCCCAGGCTGGAGTGCAGTGGTGCCACCACAACTCACTGCAGCCTTGACCTCCTGGGCTCAAGAAATCCTTCCACCTCTGCCTCCCGAGGAGCTGGGACCACAGGCATGTACCACCATGCCCAGCTAATTTTTCAGTTTTTTGTAGAGACGGGGTCTCTCTGTATTGCCCAGGCTGGTCTCTTACTCTCGGACTCAAGCAATCTTACCGGCCTCAACTTCAAAAAAACTTTTTTTGTTTGTTTTTTGTTTATTTTTGTTTTTGTTTGTTTTGAGACAGTCTCACTCTGTTGCCCAGGCTGGAGTGCAGTGGCACGATCTCAGCTCATTGCAACCTCTGCCTCCCAGGTTCAAGTGATTCTCATGCCTCAGCCTCCCAAGTAGCTGGGACTACAGGCATGCACCACCACACCCAGCTAATTTTTTGTAGTTTTAGTAGAGATGGGGTTTTGCCATGTTGCCCAGGCTGATCTTGAACTCCTGAGCTCAAATGATCTGCCTGTCTCAGCCTCCCAAAGTGCTAGGATTATAGGCGTGAGCCACCATGCCCGGCCTACAATCTTTTTTTTTTTGAGATGAAGTCTCACTCTGTCACCCAGGCCGGAGTACAGTGGTGCAATCTCGGTTCACTGCAACCTCCGTCTCCTGGGTTCAAGCAATTCTCCTGCCTCAGCCTCCTGAGTAGCTGGGATTACAGGTGCCTGCAACCACGCCCAGCTAATTTAGTATTTTTAGTAGAGACAAGAGTTTCATCATGTTGGCCAGGTTAATCTTAAACTCCTGACCTCAAGTGATCCTCCCAGAAACACTTTTTAAATAGAGTAGTAGTTAGAATGATTTGATCTCTCTGAAGAAATGACACATACATTAAGACCTGAAGGATGGCAATGAGCAAGCCATGTTTGGGACCAAAGGAAGAATATTTCAATCAAACGAAAGAACCAATGCAAAGACCCTGAGATAAGAAAGCTCTTGGTGGGTTCCAAAAAGGGAAAAGCAACCTGCATGGCAGGAGCCTAGTTAGTGAGAGGGAGACTGGCATGAGATGAAGGTGGAGAAAAAAGCAGAGCCAAACCACACAGGGCCTTATAAATCTTGGGTTTTATTTTAAAAGCAACTGAAGCTCTTGTTGGGTTTTAAGTACGGGAATGAAAAATCTGATTTAGGTTTTTAAAAGACCACTTTGGCTGTTAGGTAGAGAAAGGTTGGGAGAAGAATAGGAATAAAAAAAGAGACATCAGCCAGGGTCTACAGCAGTAGTCCAACAGAGAGATGATAGGGTCTTGGATGGACTTCAGAGGGGATGGAAATGGAAGGAAGAGATGGATTTGTGATGTATTCTGGAAGCAGAACTGAATGTTCGTGGTGATAGTTTGGATGTGAGGGTGAGAAGGGGGGTGGAATAAAGACTATTACCTACACTTAGAGATATACGAAGTATAGAGTATTATCTGTTCTTTCTGTTGTTTCAGGGGATTTTGTTTTGTTTTGAGACAGGGCCTTACTCCTGTCGCCAAGGCTGGAGTGCAGTGGCACAATCACAGCTCACTGCAGCTTCAACCTCCTAGGCACAAGTGATCCTTCCAGCTCAACCTCCTAAGTAGCTGGGACCTCACACGTGCACAACCATATATGGCTAATTTTTGTATTTTTTGTAAATATGGGGTTTCACCATGTTGCCCAGGCTGGCCTCAAACTCCTGGGCTCATGAAATCTGCCCACTTCGCCCTCCCAAAGTGCTGGGATTACAGGCGTGAGCCATCACTCAGCCGAGTATTATCTATCCTTATACAAGCATTATCTATACTGTTCATATGACCTTTATTTCCTGCCTTGCAGATTTAGTGTCTTTTTATGAATACATGCCTTCCCGAATATATGGACAGTTCCTCAAGGACAGAGTCTTTGTCTTATAATTCTTGTACCTCCACAAGGTCCGCTTAAAATCGTATGTTTTACACCGTTGTTCATTGATAGCTTGCTACTACTTTATCACAGTTCAAGATGCAATAAATGCTGCTACGATATGCCAACAGCCCCTCAGGAAGAAACCAGACATCAGCAGATCATACGTCTAAATAACAGGACAGACATTACTTCCATATTTATTATCCAACACAGGTAATTCACACATACCAAACACCAAGTAGATGAGAGCTGAGAAAAAGCCCCACAAAAACCAGTATTAATCTTGTGCCAGGGAATTATAAGAAAGTTGTTCAGGCCTCAGTAATTTTAATAATAATAGCATTCAGCCAGGCATGGTGGCTCACGCCTGTAATCCCAACACTGGGAGACCAAGGCAGGAGGATTGCTTCAGCCCAGGAGTTCAAGACCAGCCTGGCAAACATGCTGAAACCCTGTCTCTACTAAAAATACAAAAATCAGTCAGGTGTGGTGGCGCATGCTTGTAATCCCAGCTACCTGGTAGGTTGAGGCAGGAGGATCGCTTGAACCTGGGAGGCAGAGGTTACAGTGAGCCAAGAATGCACCACTGCACTCCAGCTTGGGCAATAGAGCGAGACTCCATCTCAAAAATAAAAGAAGGGGAGGGGAAGGGAGGGAACGGGAGGGGAGGGGAAAGAGGAGAGAGGAGAGGGGAGAAGGAAAGGAGAGGGAGAGGAGAGGCAGAGGAGAGGGAAAGGAGAGGGAGAGGAGAAGGAAAGGAGAGGGAAGGAAAAGAAAGAAAAGAAAGGAAGGAAAGGAAGGAAAGAAAAGAAAGGAAAGAAAGGAAAGGAAAGGAGGAAGGAAGGAAAGGAAGGAAAGGAAAGGAAGGAAAGGAAAGGAAAGGAAAAGGAAGAAAGAGAGAGAGAATATAGCATTCATTGAAATACTCCCAAACACAAGGTAGTCTACCAGATATACACTACCTTATTTATTACAACAGAAAATCCTACAAAGTAGCCAGGCAAGGTGGCTTACGCCTGTAATCCCAGCACTTTGGAAAGCTGAGGAGGGCAGATCACTTTGAGCTCAGGAGTTCAAGAGCAGCCTGGGCAACATCTCTACAAAAAAAAAAAAAAAATACAATAACTAGCCAGGCATTGGTGGCTCATGCCTGTAGTCCCAGCTACTTGGGAGGCTGAGGTGGGAGAATCACTTGAGCCCAGGAGGTGGAAGCTGCAGTGAGCCAAGATCGCACTACTGCACTCCAACCTAAGTGACAGAGACCCTGTCCCAAAAACACAAAAACAAAAAACAAAAAAAGAAAATCCTTCAAGGTAGGTGGAAACTATATCTCATATAGTTTACAGATACAAAGATGGAGGCCCTAAGAGCTTAAGTCACATTCAAAGTCACACCATTCGTAAAAGAGCTGATATTCAAACTGTGGTTTGTATGACCTCAAAGTCCAGGTCCAGTAAATCTGGGCAGTTTCACCACGAAGGGCTCCACCTAGGCCCTGACTTGGTTCTCTAATCTTACAGGTTAGCTAAAACCTAAGGAGAAAACGTTGCCTGAATAAGCATTCAAGTCAGTCTGGAAGGGTTCGATGACAACGCCTCCTGCCCAATCTTGTCTCCAAGAGCTTTCCCAGAGCAAGAGAGCTGCTGGAAATAGATGTCTCTCTGTAGCTCTGTGACTCCCTGAAACCTTCTTGGGCCTGATGTTTAACCCTATGTATGACATTATAGTCTGGCCTGGGGCTTGCCTAGAACATGACCCTGTCACAGATATTCCCAGCTACTGCCACTTCTGCTCAGACCAAATGGCATCCAAGAAAATAGGTAGTTCCTACTAAGAAATACTCAAAAATCAATCCAACAGAGGCCACAGTGGGAAATAAAAATATAATCCTATTTAATACATAAAAAACCCCCAAAACTCTTACTATCACAAGGAAATAAACATTTAAAAGCAGTTCATACCCCCAAGGAAGAAAAAATAAGCAGTACAAATTTGCATTGCATATGCATAGGGGCATTCATTAAAGCACATGTTTCTCTGGCTAATTACGTTATTAAGTAACAACGTTTGCATCTGCATCAGAAATACAGTCAACTAATTATGAGCATGGCTGGGAATTTTCCCTTACTTTCCCATTGTCTGTGATTTTATTCAAATAATCAGCTTCAAAATAGGACTCCTGAGGGAGTGGAGGAGAATGTGTTGTGCTGGTTTCAAGGGCCAAATTTATAATATAACTTATATCTCATATCTTGAAGATAAAAATGTTTATCCACAGGGCTAGCTTTGATATTCTACCAAGGAAATATTCCAGAAGGAAATTTGTTTGATGAAAGGTACAGGCAACTTACGGCATCTAATCAACAACTGACTGTATCACAAATGTCACCCATATTGGCTGCTGTTTATTATACGCATCAGCACAATAACATAGATTGATGACAGAAAGAATCTAGTAATATAAAGGCTCCATCTAAGACTGTTTAGAGATCAATAAATAACAAGCTGAGAAAGAAAAAAGTGACCAACAATGCCAATAAATTGAGGCAGACATTTTGCCAACTGCCAGGGGAATTAATGATAGACCTATTCCACTTATTGATATTGACCCCAAAATAAAATCTCCCCAGAAAAATAAGCAAGTGTTATATGTAAAGCTTTGCAAAAGAGCAGAAGCAAGTGCTAAAAACTGAAGAAAATCACATTCGAGTCAGTTTTCATCTTTACCCAACAATAACAGAAATAAGTCACTAGCATGCCTTAGAATCCAGTCAGAAGGCTAACACATCACCTGGAAATTAGTGGAATGTTGTAAGGGCCTAAACAGTCCAGGCAGATTAATACCAGAGTCTGCACAATGCTTACGTTCCAAATCAGATAATTCAGCTTGATACGTATACTTACTTCATTTGTTTCATCTGTGAAAGTGTTCTCTCCCCTACTAAATGGTAAGCTCTTTCTGGGCTGTGCTTATACCCTGTATTTTTAAATATCCCCTGCAGTCCTTTGGATTATAAACATTATTTTAAACATTAATCTTTGTGATGGTCTAAGGAACCTGCGACAAAGTTTCATGTATCTTGCAGCATGTCTACATACAACCATGAATTTGACTGTTGAGGTTGGCCCCTCATTCCATGATCCTTTGGGCACTAAATTACACATATCACTCATAGTGGAGGTTGGAATCTAATGTCTCAATATCTAGCAAGTTGAACTTAGAAAATGTTATACAGCAGAAAGAACAAGGCTGGGCGCAGTAGCTCACTCCTGTAATCCTAGTACTTTGGAAGGCCAAGGCATGAGGATCACTTGAGCCCAGCAGTTTAAGACCAGCCTGGGCAACATGTTAAGACACTGTTTCTACAAAAATAAAAAACAAATTGTTTTAGTTAGCCAGGCATGTAGTCCCAGCTACTCGGGAGACTCAGGCAGGAAGATCCCTTAAGCCCAAGAATTTGAGGCTGCAGTGAGCCATGACTGCACCACCACACTCCACCCTGGGCAACCTCATGTCTGAAAAAAAGAAAAACAAAGCCAGAGGCATTACATTACCAGACTTCAAACTATACTACAAAGCTACAGCAACCAAAACAGCATGGTACTGGTACATAGGCCAATAGGCCAATGGAACAGAATAGAGAACCCAGAAATGAAGCCACACACCTGATCAGTCACCTTATCTTCTGCAAAGAAGTAAACAATAACAAGCAAAGGGGAAAGGACTCCCTATACATAAATGGTGCTGGGATAGCTGGCTAGCCATATGCAGAAGAATGAAACTGGACCCCTGCCATTTACCGTACATAAAAATTAATTCAAGATAGATTAAAGACTTGAATATAAGACCACAAACTGTAAGAATGCTGGAAGAAAAACTGCAAAACACCATTCTGGACATCAGCCTTGGGAAATAGTTTTTTATTAAGCCCTCAATAGCAATTGCAACAAAAACAAAAGTGACAAGTGAGACCTAATTAAACTAAGGAGCCTCTGTACAGCAAAAGAAACTATCAACAAAGGAAACTGATAGCCTACAGAATGGGATAAAATATTTACAACCTATGCATCTGACAAAGGTCTAATATCCAGAATCTACAAGGAACTTAAACAATTCAACAAGCAAACAACAAATAACTCCATTAAAAAGTGGGCAAAAGACATGAACAGACATGTCTCAAAAGAAGACACACAAGCAATCAAGAAACATATGAAAAAATGCTCCACAACACTAATCAGAGAAATGCAAATCAAAACCACAATGAGATTCCATCTCACACCAGTCAGAATGGCTATTATTAAAAAGACAAAAAATAACAGATGCTGGTAAGGCTACAGAGAAAAGGGAATGCTTATATGCTGTCGGTGGGAATGTAAATTAGTTCAGCCACTGTGGAAAGTAATTTGGAGATTTCTCAAAGAGCTTAAAACAGAACTACCATTCAATCCAGCAGTCCCATTACTGGTATATATCCAAAAGAAAATAAATCATTCAATCAAAAGGACACATGCACTTATATGTTCATCGCTGCACTATTCACAATAGCAAAGACATGGAATCAACCTAGATGCCCATCAGTGGTGGATTGGATAAAGAAAATGTGATACATGTACACCATGGAATACTACACAACCATAAAAAATAAAATCATGTCCTTTGCAGCAACATGGATGCAGCTAGAGGCCACTTCTACTATCCTAAGCATATTAATGCAGGAACAGAAAATTCTAATATCCTAAGCATATTAACACATGAACGGATAATCAAATACCACACGTTCTCACATATAAGTGGGAGCTAAATATTGGGTACTCATGGACATAAAGATGAGAACGACAGACATAGAGGACAAATAGAGGGAGGAGGGAGGAAGGGGGTTGAAACACTAACTGTTGGGTACCATGCTCACTACATAGGTGACAGGATCATTCATATCCCAAATCTCAGCATTATGCAATATACCATTGTAACAAACTTGCACATGTGCCCCCTGAATCTAAAATAAAAGTTGAAATTATTTAAAAAAAAAAAAAATGTGGCCAGGCACGGTGGCTCACCCCTGTAATCCCAGCATTTTGGGAGTCCAAGGCAGGAGGATCACCTGAGGCCAGGAATTAGAGACCAGCTGGCCAATGTGATGAAATCCCATCTGTACTAAAAATACAAAAATTAGCCAGGTGTGAGGCAGGCGCCTGTAATCCCAGCTACTCGGGAGGCTGAGGCAGGAGAATCGCTTGAACCCAAGAGGCAGAGGTTGCAGTGAGTCAAGTTTGTGCCATTGCACTCCAGCCTGGGCAACAAGAGCAAACTGTCTCAAAAAAAAAAAAGAAAAGAAAATGTTATTGCAAGCATAAAAGAAAAATGGGAGGGTTATAGTTTGCCATGAAGCACATTCTCAAGCGTAGTTTATTAACCGCTCTAATGAGCTCATTAGTACCCAAAAGTCTACTTGCTCTTAAGGCGATAGAAAGAAAAACAGATTACTTTTTGATGCATTTTGTATTCTAAATTCTTCCATGAACTTTATTTAGCCTTGACTAACAATATATTTTCTTCAGATCGTATTCATACAGAAAGCTCACTTGGAGGAAAAAGAACATTTTCCTTTTCATATAACACTTATCATCAATAAATAGTGTCTAATATGGAAACAACTGGAATCTGAACACTTCAGAAACTGCAGAGGAGGTGATAGGGTGTGTAAAAGCATGAATGTTAAGGGAAAAAAAGGGCTTAGCAAGATCTCTTGTAAGGATCTTCCATTTGCAGAAGTGACAATAATGTTTGTTGATGCTTTGAGCTGCATATGAATATTTCTTTTTATCAAAAGATAACATTAAAACTCTTCATTCTAATGTTCTAGTTGTAAATAGAATGTCTGAATGGAAAATAAATAAATAAGGTAAAGTAAAAACTGAAGAACTTTAGACCTTCTCATTTTATAGTAAGAAGTTTCAGAAAGACCTTATGTTTTTGATGAGGAGACCTGCCACTCCTCACTAGAAAATGGCCCACTTGCTCATGACCGTGACATTGAGCCACACCTTTTCTGCACTAGGCACAGGGCCAAGGGCTTTATTCATTATCCGATTAAATCTTCACAATAGCTCTAAGGGATGAACACCATTTTATTCCCTTCCACAAAAGGAAACTGGAGTTTAGAGAGGTTCAGAAGTGGTTGCACAACTAGTTAGTGGCTCAGATAAAACTTACACGGGTCTTTCTGAGCCAAAAGCTCATGCATCGTCCCCACTATTGGCAGCCTTATAACCAATGTCATCACTCATTCTGCACACTCAAATGACTTCAACCATTTACAAATATGGAGACATATTTTAATGGCATTTACTTGGCAAAAGTGTAACCCAACAGAGCTGTTGCATGCAACGGGTAAGTCAATGCAGTTTTTAAAAATGTGTTAAAAGATCAGTATATCGTGAGGTGCCAGAAAATGTATTTAATTGTTTTTTAATTTTTATTTATTTATTTTGAAAATTTTTGTAGAGACAGGGTCTTCCCCTGTTGCCCAGGCTGGAGTGCAGTGGCATGATCACAGCTCACTGTAACCTTGAACTCCTGGGTTCAAGTGATCCTCCCACCTCAGCATCCTGAGCAGCTAGGACTACAGGCGCGTGCCATCATGCCCAGACAATGTTATATGTTTTCGTAGAGACAAGGTCTCACTATGTTTTCCGGGCTGGTCTTGAACTCCTGGCCTCAAGCAATCTTCCCTTCTTGGTCTCCCAAAGTGCTAGGATTATAGGTGTAAGCCATCATGCCCAGTCCAGAAAATGTATTTCAAATGAGCAAACATCCTATCACCTGGAACACAGATGGCAGACACAAGGTAAATGTGCTCTCACTCGCTCCTCCCTCACCCATGGTGGCATCATTAGTCAATCACAGCATTCACCTGTGCTAAGTCTGGATGTGGTCTCAGGATCCTTTCCATACCAGCACTAAAATTCCACAGGCAGCCGTGTAATGAAGCTTATCTGCCACTCTTCATTTGAATGCACTAAATTGTGGTACAATTTATGTCGAAGCTTTTTCAAACTCTTTCCACTTTTGTAGAGATAAATCAGGCTCTACTAAGAAAAATCTCAAAAGATGAAGAGTTGACTCGGCAACAATGAATACCCTTCTGGCCGGGTCCTAGACCACACTGTGCATGAACGTGCATGTTTGTCTTGGCACCCCTCTCCTAGGGCCCTCCAGCTTTTTCATCATCACCTCCCATCTCCAGGGCACACTGACTGGGGCTGCCTTCTAGAAAAGTGCATCGGGCTCTCATCTTGGTGCATAAGCTCATGACATACAGTAAGTCACTTCCTTATCCTGGTCCTTAAACTCCTCTGTGAAATGGGAAATAATACCAATCTATAAAACTTACACACCTTAAAGAGCTGGCCACCTCTAGAGAATCAGGCTTTGCTATTAATGGACTTTGGAAACCATGTGCTCAGAAAGGAGCAGGCACAGCAGTGAGAAACCGAGGCCATGTAGTGACACAGGGGAGGAGGAGGAGGAGGAGGAGGAGGAAGGTGTCAGCGGGCAGAGGGAGCAGTTATTAGAGAAGGAAAAAAGAAGCGAAGATCTTTTAAATAACAGTTCTTTGGGAAAATGCAGCAAGCACTCTCCTCTAAATTAATTTTCTACATTCTCAGTCTAATAATCCAGATGATGGCTAATTTTCAAGGCAATCTAAATGGTTTTATATGGGGTTTCCTATGTAAATCCTTAGAGCGTTCTTTGATAGGCACTATGGCACATTTTAATCTAAGTTCTGCATTTTAGTTGATCCATTGAAAGATCATCTTAGAACTAAAATGTTATCTTTAGAAATTCTTAACCCCTGAGGATGATAATTAATGATCAAAATGCGTGTAGAGCCTACACAGCAAGTCAGAATATCAAAATGATTAACTTAGCCATGCACATCACTGGGGTTTCTTAATTATGCAATAAATTCAATGAAAATTGTGAGGGTTTCTCTTTTCTCCAAAATGAAAACAGGTTTCTTTGTCTGATATGTGAAAAATTCCATCATGCTCACTTTGGCAGCATGTATACTAAAATTGGAACGATACAGAGACTAGCATGATCCCTGTGCAAGTATGACATGCAAATGCATTAAGCATTCCATTAAAAAAATTTCTTTCAATACAGAAAGTATATAAAATATAAAAATTGGCTGGGTGCGGTGGCTCATGCCTGTAATCCCAGAACTTTGGGAGGCCAAGGTGGGCGGATCACCTGAGGTCAGGAGTTTGAGACCAGCCTGGCCAACATGGCGAAACCCCATCTCTACTAAAAATACAAAAAATTAGCTGGGCATGGTGGCAGACACCTGTAATCCCAGCTACGTGGGAGGCTGATGCAGGGAGAATGGCTTGAACCCAGGAGGCAGAGGTTGCAGTGAGCTAGATTGTGCCACTGCACTCCAGCCTGGGCAACACAGTGAGACTCCATCTCAAAAAAAAAATGTGTATATATATATATATATATGTGTATATACATATATATATATATGAAGTCCAGGATCCCAAACCCTCCCATTGGAAACTATCACCATTAACATTTTGATGTATGGCATTCTAAACATTTTTCTAAGCTTATCTGTATATAGGAACTTTTTCAAAATTAAGATTATTATTCATAGAATTTGTAACTCTGAAACATACTATTAGTACTTATCTATGTCAATAAATATTCTTTTTTTTTTTTTGAGACGGAGTCTTGCTGTGTCACCCAGGTTGGAGTGCAGTGGCACAATCTCAGCTCACAGCAACCTCCACCTCCCAATTCTCCTGCCTCAGACTCCTGAGTAGCTGGGATTACAGGTGCACGCCACCACGCCCAGGTAATTTGTTGTATTTTTAGTAGAGATAGGGTTTCACCATGCTGGCTAGGCTGGTCTCGAACTCCTGACCTCGTGATCAGCCTGCCTTGGCCTCCCAAAGTGCTGAGATTACAGGTGTGAGCCACTGTGCCTGGCCTGCAATAAATATTCTTTTTTAAATATTGTTTTTCTAACATAATTTTATTGGATACATAATATTCCATTTTAAGGGATTGATTCACTTAACCAATCTCTTGTTGTTAGACATTTGAGATTGTTTCTAATATTTCACTACAATAAATAGTTATAAACAAATATAACCACAGCAAATTAGAAGGCTTTACACTTCTTTGCATGCACAAATAAATTGGAAAATCTGGATGAAGTAAATGATTTTCTAGAAATACATAATTTACCAAAATTGATCTTAAGAGGGAAAGAAAAAGAATGGACATGATTAGATATACCAGCAAGTATAGGAAGAATTTAAAAGTAGTCCAAATAGTCCAAGGGCTACCTCTCCAATAGTGCCACATCCAGATGGTTTTATAGGTGAAATCTCCCAAATCTTTAAAAATTCTATTTGTAGTATTCCAGAAATAGAGAAAGAAGGAAATTTTTACATTCTTTTTTTTAAAATTCAGAATAACATTAATACCGAACTGAACAAAGATGGCACAGGAAAAGAAAATAGAGCAATTTCACTTATGAATATCAATGCAAGATTTATAAGTAAAATTTAGCAAATATAATCCAAATGAAAGGAATAAAACACCAAAAACCCAGATTAATTCATTCCAGCAATTAGTACTGATCATTATCAGGAAATCTAACAATATAACCCACACATTATTATTATTATTTTTTCTTTATGAGATAGGATCTTGCTCTGTCACCCAGGCTGGAGGGCAGGGTGTGATCATGGCTCACTGCAGCCTCAACCTCACAGGCTCAAGTGGTCCTCCCACCTCAGCCTCCCAAGTAGCTGGGACTATAGGCATGCACCACCACTCCCAGGCTGGTCTTGAACTCCTGGGCTCAAGCTATCTGCCTGCCTGGGCCTCCCAGAGTGCTGGAATTACAGACATGAGCCACTGCATCTGGCCACATCGTTATTTAAAAGAAGAAAAAAAATATATAATCACCTGCCTAAAAGACATGATAAAAATAACTTATTTCCAATTAAAAAAAAAAGAAATTCCTAAACAGTGGGAATAGATTGATGTTTCCTTTAGATTATGGACATATAGCCAAAAACTAGAAAAATGGTAATTAAAAAAATTTTTTTTCACTTTTCAGATGGAAACAGGCACATAAAATGATAATATTTGTAGACAGAGAAACAGAAAACCAGGTCAAGTGTGGTGGCTCATGCCTGGAATCCCAGCACTGTGGGAGGCAGAGACAGGCAGATCACTTGAACCCAGGAGTTCAAGACCAGCCTGGGCAACATGGCGAAACCCCATCTCTATAAAAAATACAAAAATTGGGGCCGGGCGCGGTGGCTCACGCCTGTAATCCCAGCACTTTGGGAGGCCGAGGCGGGTGGATCATGAGGTCAGGAGATCGAGACCATCCTGGCTAACAAGGTGAAACCCCGTCTCTACCAAAAATACAAAAAATTAGCCGGGCGCGGTGGCGGGCGCCTGTAGTCCCAGCTACTGGGGAGGCTGAGGCAGGAGAATGGCGTGAACCCGGGAAGCGGAGCTTGCCGTGAGCCGAGATTGCGCCACTGCAGTCCGCAGTCCGGCCTGGGCGACAGAGCGAGACTCCGTCTCCAAAAAAAAAAAAAATACAAAAATTGTCCAGGCATGGTAGTTCGTGCCTGTAGTCCAGTTACTCAGGAGGCTGAGGTGGGAGGATGGCTTGAGCCCAGGAGCACCAGTGCACTCGAGTCTGGGTGGCAGAGCAAGACTCTGTCTCAAAAAAAAAAAGAAAAAAGAAAAGAAAAGAAAGGAAAAAGGAAAAGGAAAAAGAAACAGAAAGCCAAAATTTTTAAAAAACTAACCAAAAGCCAGTGTCACCATAAAAGCAGAAGCAGCAAAACAAAGTGGCTGAAAATAATTCTGAAACTAGAATTCCTGGGTTCAAGTTCAGCTCTGTCTCTAGTTGTGTGACCTTAAACAAATTACAGTCATGCATCATTTAACAATCTGCATACATTTTGAGAAATGCATCATTAGGCAATTCCTTCATTGTGTGAAGTCACAGAGTGTACTTACACAAACCTAGATAGTAGAGCCTGCTACTCACTTAGGCTGTATGGTATACCTATTGCTCCTAGGCTACAAATTCACACAGCATGTTACTATACTGATTACTGTAGGCAACTATAACACAATAAGAAGTACTTATATATCTAAATATAGAAATGATACAGTAAAAATACAGAATAAAAGATAAAAAAATGATACACCTGTAATAGGGCACTTACCATGAATGGAGCTTGCAGGACTGGAAGTTGGTCTGGGTGAGTCAGTGAGTGAATAGTGAGTGAATGTGAAGGCCTAGGACATTACTGTACACTTTTATGTATAGTAATGTACATACAGTAATATACATACAGTAATGTACTTGCTGGCAGAGCAGTAAGTTTGTTTACACCAGCAATGCCACAAACACGTGAGTGTGATGCACTACAACATTATGATGGCTACGATGTCACTAGGCAATAGGAATTTTTCAGTCTCATTATGATCTTATGGGACCACTACAATGTGGTCCATCATCATATATAAAGTGCTTAAAATAATACTTGGCACACAGTGCCATATGAGTAGACATGATTAGATATGCCAAATATCAGCCAGGCGCAGTGGCTCACACCTGTAATCCCAGCACTGTGGGAGGCCAACACGGGCAGATAACTTAAGGTCAGGAGTTCAAGACTAGCCTGGCCAACACGGTGAAACCCCATCTTTACTAAAAACACAAAAATTAGCCGGGTGTAGTGGTGGGTGCCTGTAATCCCAGCTACTCGAGTGGATGAGTCATGAGAATCGCTTGAACCCAGGAGGCAGAGGTTGCAGTGAGCCAAGGTTGTGCCACTACACTGCAGACTGGGTGACAAAGCGAGATTCTGTCTCAAAAACTATATATATATATAAAAAATATATAATATATTACATGTAATGTATTATATATAATATATATTACATGTAATATATAATATATAATACATTACATGTAATATATTACATATATTGTATATATTGTATATTATATATAATATATGTTATTCCCACATGACGTTTTTATATATATATGTATATATATACATATATGTGTGTGTATATATATGTATATATATATGTTCATTCCCACATGACTTCTGGGAATATATATATATATATACACCTAACATCAAAAAACTAACATCAGGAATGAAGAAACACCCAAACCATTTCCCTAATAGTCAGGAATAAAAAAATAATATTCAAAGGCAACACTACCATTTAAGTCTTTGTTCTAAAAATACAAAGTGATCAATCAAGAGAAAAACATAACTATTATAAAGAAAGAAAAATTTATGAATGGAATTATGATTTGCAGATGATATGATACTATTCCTGAAAAATCAAGAAAATCACCTGAAAATCTATGAGAAACAAATAGGAATTTTAAAGGTTTACTTAACTCATTTATTCCCTGAAACTGAAATTTAGAGAAAAATATGAAAACAGTTTCAAGGTGGTATGAATTGGGAACCTGTATTTTTTGAAAACTCACCTTGGCAATGTAATTTTGGGGACTCCCATGTGCCCAGGCCTGTGCAGCTTGAAACTGTATCTTCTGGAACACTGAAGAATCCTTCTCTGCAAGCATAACGAACCTGGCTGCCCAGACTAGACGTATAATTTCCTATGATATAGCCATCTGGAACCTCAGGAGGGGTACCACAGTCTATTTCTGAAAATAAATTAATGTCAAATTCATTACCTCGTGAATGTAAATCTTCAAAATTCACAATCTCTCTCCACCTCTACCCTATTCCTCACACACACACACCCCCGAGCCATATTTTAAGTACACTGGTTCATTCCCACATGACTTCTGGGAACATTTCCAACAATTGTCTTTATTCAATCTTTTGGCCTTCCATAGGTAAAGCATCTATACATGCACAAAGCTGAAATAACTTAGCAATCAACCCTCACTAATTTACACTAACTAAAGAGAAGCCTTGTCCAGTGAAATAAAAAATCTGAATTGCAAAATACCTTAAGATATATGTACCTTGATTATTTTCAGGGTCACTTTTGAGATGCAGGGACCTTACCAAATCATTGGCATTTACTATCTAACATAGTAGTTAATATCGGAATATCTATTAACTGCTAATAAAAATCCTTTAAGTTTATGAATTTTAGCTTTTTTTTTTTTTTTTTTTTTTTTTTTTTTTTTTTTTTTTAAGACAGAGATCTCACTCTGTTGTCCAGGCTGGAGTGCAATGGCATGATCTCGGCTCATTGCAACCTCTGTCTCCTGGGTTCAAGAAATTCTCATGCCTCAGCCTCCTGAGTAGCTGGGATTACAGGTGCCCACCACCACACCTGGCTATTTTTTTTTATTTTTAGTAGAGATAGGGTTTCACCGTGTTGGCCAGGCTGGTCTCGAACTCCTGACCTCAAGTGATCCACCAGCCTCGGCCTCCCAAAGTGCTGAGATTACAGAGCTACTGCTCCTGGCCTAATTTTAGCTTTTTTAACATGGCCCCCTGTAACTTGATTGTTGTTATTTGCTTTATGTCATAGGTTGTACAAAATGTGCAAAGGATCAGATCACCTCCACCTGCCTCCCCAACACAGGCTTGGAGCAGAAGAAAGTCACCATCAACAGAATTTCACGTTGAGATGCCGCAATTTTTGGCAGAAACCCACCTGTGCATGATGTGGCATCGGTGGTCGGGTGGAAAGGTTCAGGTCCATTCCTTGGCAAGTATCCATCCATACAGTAGCATTCAAAGCTCCCATGAGTGTTCACGCATCGCCCTCCATGCCTGCACAGGCCAGAAACTTCACACTCATCTATGTCTTGGGACCCAATCCAAATAGAGAAAAGGAGATAAAAACAGAAAAAAGAAAAAAAAAAGGAGAGGATATTGTGACAGCCATTTTTTCACATTTTCAAGCTACTCTTGTAAAAAGATGCATTTGTTTGCAATTGTATCATACATTTTATTTTATGCCTTATGGGTTCTTCTCATATATCGTTCATATCATAGGCACTGAAAACATAGCAAGTGCTCAATAAATGTTTGTCAGTGTGTTCTGGGATTTTACAAAAGCTGATAACCATCACCGGCTCCCTGACACCCAACAAAATGAACCAAAAACATAAATATATCCAATCACTAAAAAATATCCTGACCGGGCATGGTGGCTCACACCTGTAATCCCAGCACTTTGGGAAGCCGAAGCATGTGGATCACTTGAGGTCAGGAGTTCGAGACCAGCCTGGCCAACATAGTGAAACCTCATCTCTAGTAAAAATACAAAAATTAGCCAGCCATGGTGGTACATGCCTGTAGTCCCAGCTATTCAGGAGGCTGAGGCAGGAGAATCACTTGAACCTAGGAGGCGGAGCTTGCAGTGAGCCGAGATCACGCCACTGCACTCAGCCTGGGTGACAGAGCAAGACCCCGTCTCAAAGAAAAAAAAAAAGAAAATCCAATCACTAAAAAATCCAATCACTATAAATATATCCAATCACTAAAAGAATCCAGTCACTATAAATATATCCAGTCACTAAAATATATCCAGTCACTATAAATATATCCAATCACTATAAATATATCCAATCACTATAAATATATCCAATCACTATAAATATACCCAATCATTATAACAAAAGAATGGTCCCAACCTCATACTAAAACATCTAAAGTAGGGCTTCAGATAGAAAACAATTTACAGGCCTGGCACGGTGGCTCATGTCTGTAATCCTGGCACTTTGGGAGGACTGCTTGAGTCCAGGAGTTTGAGACCAGCCTGGGAACGAAGTGAGAACCTGTCTTAAAATTAACTTAAAATATAAACAACATTTTTAATGTTTTAAATAAGGAAAACAATCTCCAGGAGAGTGAAAATGCCAGCCCATGAGTATAGGATGGTGTGGCAGGTAATAAGGTGGTAACTTAATTAGGAAAGGTCTTACTAATTTTATGAAAATGAGACAGCCTTAAAACAGCCTTCTGGAAGGACAGGACATGCCCTTTTGCAGATTTTTTTGCACCTGACTGAAGACTATCAGAGGCAGCAGGTATAGGGTAAAAACTGCCCAATAAGCCAGAGGCTGGAGAAGAAATCTCTCTTCCAGTTAGTAGTTTTTTCCCTCAGAACTGACTTTAAAACTTTAAGAATTCCATCAGCTGGGCATGCCTGGGCATGCCTATGGTCCCAGTTGCTCAAGAGGCTGAGGCAGGAGGATTGCTTTAAGTCCGGGAGTTCAAGGCCGGCCTGGGCAACACAGCAAGACCCTCATCTCTAAAAATAATAATAATACTATTTTCATCAGAGCCACATAGTTCAATTCCACTTGGAGAAAACAAAAAAGCACCCTAACTGAAATTCCTAGGACATTGGCATAAAAACATCAGGGATTGAGCAGAAGACAGGAAGCAGCATGATTGAAGAAAGTCTGTTTTTTAAAAAAAAAATTTCAAAAAGCTAGTAATACCATAATTTCCTTTTTTTTTTTTTTTTTTTGAGACAGAGTCTCACTCTGTTGCCCAGGCTGGAGTGCAATGGTGTGATCTTGGCTTATTGCAACCGCTGCCTCCTGACTTCAACTGATTCTCCTGCCTCAGCCTCCTGAGTAGCTGGGACTACAGGTGTGTACCACCACGCCGGCTAATTTTTGTGTGTCTTTTTGTAGAGACAGGGTTTCACCATGTTGGCCAGGCTGGTCTCGAACTCCCGACCTCAAATTGTCCACCCAGTTGGCTCCCAAAGTGCTGGGATTACAGGCATGAGCCAATGCACCTGGCTATAATTTCTTTTTCTTAAATGACATTTTAGCCCCCAAAAGATAAAAGAAAATTGCCTCAGAATCCTTTTGAACTTTTATATTCTTTATTCTTTTTCCTTTTGGGTCTTGGATCAATGAACGCCTCTCCACTCACACCAATTATTGTTTGGGAACCAGTAATTCTATTCAATTGCTGAAGGAGCCCATCCAAGTCAAACCACCCTCACACAAGAAGTGCCACAGAGCTTCTTCTCCTGGGTTGTGGCTCATGGTGGTTTCCATGATTCCCAGGAGTCATTCAGGGGGCAGTTCTAAGGGCCAGAACATCTGCCTGTTCTCCATGACTGGCTGGAATCATCTCACACTAGAACCCCAGCAATTCATTCCTCCTCTAACATTGGTGACATTCAGAGGCCTACCTGCAACCAGCTCCTGAGCTTGATGTTGACTCTGCAAAGCACAATAAACACCTGGATGCAGGATTCCTTGGAATCCAGGAACTAGGATTCACATCCTGTGGTTCCAGGCAAACAGTGACTAACTGCTGATACCCCAACACTTGCTAAGCTCTGCCCCAGCTAAAGCCCGCTGATGTTTCTCTGGCAACTGTGATTCTGAAAGAAACAGTATTATCAAGAAAAGCAATTCATCAGCTTTTACAAAGTGATAACTGGAGAACTCACAAGGAAAGGTCATGGGAATGGCTGCCAGTGGACATGGTCTTCATGGTGGGGGCATGAAAATGCTCCAAAATGAGACAGTGGTGATGCTAGCACAACTTTGTGAATATACTAAAAACCACTGAGTTGTATACATCAAAAGGGTGAATTTGATGGTATGTAAACTATAGCTCAATTTTTTACAAAAGAGAAGGTCATTCAATCATTGCAAGAATGGAATAAATAAAAGTAGAGCCTAGATCTGGATTTAGTTCCAGGCAGATTAGGTCTAGTTCGGCTGACACCTATTTGGCCCTTACATAAAATATTTTTTTCTCTTTCCTCTTCCCCTCTTCTTCCCTCCTCCTGTTCCCACCAATCTTCTCACTCTTCCTCCTCCTCATTCTTCTTCCTAACTTAAAAAAAAAAAAAATTAAGACAAAGTCTCGCTCTGTCACCCAGGCTGGAGTGCAATGGCACAACCTTGGCTCACTGCAGCCTCAAAGTCCTGGGCTCCAGCGATCCTCCCACCTCAGCCTTCCAAGTAGCTAGGACAACAGGCACAAGCCACCACATCCAGCTAATTTTCTTATTTTTTGTAAAGATGAAGTCTCATTATGTTGCCCAAGCTGGTCTTGAACTCCTGGTCTGAAGTGATCCTCCAGCCTTGGCCTCCCAAAGTCCTGGGGATACAGGCGTGAGTCACCATGCCCAGCCTTCTTCATAACTTTCAAAAGCTGAATTCATCTCTTGGAACTATAAACATACTGATAAATATACAGTTGTAAGTTTTCCCTGGCAAACTCCCACAGCCTAGAAAACACAATTTCAGGGATCATATTCTCCAGAAGATTCCCCTGATTCCTTCCTCACAGCCAAGATAAGTGACCCCTAGATTCCAGTAAATGCTGTTTGCTTACCTATGACTAACACTTTATACTGAAATTAGCTGTCTGCTCGTCACCCTTCCACTAGCACAGTCTTGTCATATAAGAAGTGCATGAAAGGCCAGGCGTGGTGGCTCACGTCTGTAATCCCAGCACTTTGGGAGGCCGAGGCAGGTGAATCAGCCGAGGTCAGGACTTCGAGACAAGCCTGGCCAACATGGTGAAACCCTGTCTCTACTAAAATACAAAAATTAGCTGGGCATGGTGGCGGGTGCCTGTAATCCCAGCTACTCAGGAGGCTGAGACAGGAGAAGCACAGGGGAATCGCTTGAACGCAGGAGGCAGAGGTTGCAGTGAGCCGTGATTGTGCCACTGCACTCCAGCCTGGGTCACAGTGGCTCACGCCTGTAATCCTAGCACTTTGGGAGGCCAAGGCAGGCAGATCACAATGTCAAGAGATCAAGACCATCCTGGCCAACATGGTGAAACCCCGTCTCTCCTAAAAGTACAAAAATTAGCCAGTCGTGGCAGTGCGCACCTGTAGTCCCAGCTACTCAGGAGGCTGAAGCAGGAGAATCGCTTGAACCCGTGAGGCAGAGCCTGCAGTGAGCCGAGATCATGCCACTGCACTCCAGCCTGGGCAACAGAGCGAGACTCCGTCTCAAAAAGAAAAGAAAAGAAAAAGTACATGAGAAATGTGTATTGAATAAACAAAACACTAGATCATCATCTTATATGCTTTTTTTTTAGTGTCTTTTCTTCTTAATATACAAAATTTAATACTGTAACATTGTACTTCTGCAACCATGCAGCCAGTAATTTGCTACCTAGAACAACAGGATATTATAAAATGTTTTCTCTGAAGGAATGTGTTCATTCGTGCCAAGAATAAATCAAATGTATCCTTTGAGAGATTCTGCCTTGGTACAGGTCAAGAGGGAGGATGAATCCGAGCATAAGAACCTACGGTTCCTGGTAGCTAAGAAGATAAAATATGTTCTCCTTTCATTTTATTTTTCCTGAAAACCTTTAAATATCACGAAGCTTTCCAGCAGAGTCATTAAGTCTATGCAAAAGCATCTTAGAACCAGGAGGCTTTTTCTGCCTTTCCTCTTCATTATTGTTCAAAGATTTTCCTAGAAAGCCAGAGAGCAACATTAAATAGCGTATGCTGTTTATAGAGTTCAGATAACAGAGGAGCCGCTAAAAATTAGGAGGGTTTGTCCCCACCCTGTATTCGACCAGCCTATGCTCAGAGACCCAGCCTACAAAGCTCCCATGCTCCCAAAACTCGCACTCCTCACTCAGCGCACACATGTGGGAGGCAAGCCCACATCTCTTAACAGGGACAACTCTGACCTCCTGTGAGCCAACAGCCGGGTGCCAGCCCCCAGATTAGTGTGCTCTGAGCTGAGGAGTGCCACTCACCCCAAGGACCCCCGACCTGTGGTTACAGGAACCTGCAGGAGGCACACCATCTCCAGAGAGTCCCTCCTCACTATTCATTATGAAAACGATCAGGCCAGGTGCAGTGGCTCATGACTAATCCCAGCACTTTGGGAGGCCGAGGCGGGCAGATCACTTGAGGCCAGGAGTTTGAGACCAGCCTGGCCAATGGGGCAAAACCGCATCTCTACCAAAAATACAAAAATTAGCTGAGCATGGTGGTGCGTGCCTGTAATCCCAGCTACTTAGGAAGCTGAGGCAGGAGAATCGCTTGAACCCAGGAGGCGGAGGTTACAGAGAGTCGAGATTGTGCCACTGCACTCCAGCCTGGGCAACAGAGTGAGACCCCCCCCTTAAAAAAAAAAAAGTTCAAACAAAACATTACAATGAAAGAAAAAGAATATTACAATGAACTCCCATAGACCCACATCCCCCCAAGATTCAATCGTTGTTTACATTTTGCCATTTAAAGTAGCTTACAGACTAAAGGAACACTATTATAGATACATCATCATAACACCCCTAGATACCTCAGCATGCATCTCCCAAAATAAGAATATTATCCTATATACCACAATACCATTATGCCATCTAACAAAACTAACATTAATTCCCTAATATTAACAAATACACAGCCCAGATACTATCCTGCCATCGCCAATTGTCAACACCGCAGCCCCCTTCTTGAGTACCTGTACAAAAGGTGCCATCGTTGGGAATGAATGTCTTGTTGTTGTTTGTGGCTCGATATCCTTCCAGGCAAATGCAATAGAAGCCCCCGGGGGTGTTGTGGCAAGATGTGTGGTTCCCACAGACAAGAGTGGCTCCAAACTGGCACTCATTTTTATCTGTTGACACACAGACAAGGCACCGGAAGAGCTATCAATCCACACCGACTTCAACAGCCCAGACTGTCCTCCCATGCTATGGACTCGGGAACCAACGTTCTGTGACCACACCTTAGTGATCTATTTCTCCAGCCTCTTCTCCTTTCACGATGCTCCCCAGACTACAGGACCTGGGCCCCTCGTAGTTATGTGCCAGGAGTGTATGAAACCCCAAGAGAAACACAACACCTCAATCTGGCAATCCGTCTGATTTGAAGATTGGGAGAAGAGGGTTCTCTTTGAACTTTTCCAAGCTTAAAAAGATCTTTTCAGAGGCCCACGGAAACAAACCAGCAGAATTCCCCTTTTCCAGTTCAGCCATTCTCATGGTTTTCCATGAAAGCCAGGGTAGGGTGACTTTACAGCCAGTGATTAACTGGAAAATTTCTTCCTTCTGAACTACCAAGAAACACAATGGAATTAGTGCTGCAGCCTCATCCGGAGCAGGGCTAATGCAGAAGCAGGAATAGCTCATGCTAATGGTCAATGACCTGTGGTGAATAATGTTAGTCCCTCAGTGCAGAGGCCTGGAACATGGATGCTCGATGAGTCCCCAGAAGCTTGCCCAGAGTGTTTTTCATTGAATAATATGAAAGTGAAAGATGCAAAATGAACGTAAATCTCCCTCTCATCTCTGCCCTCTAGCTCAGGGGTCAGCAAACTTTTTCTCACAGTATCTGTTGCAACAACTCACCTGTGCTCATGGGCACGAAAGCAGCTGTAGACAACAGGTAAACTACCAAGCAATGCTACGTACCAGTAAAACTCCACCTACAGAAACAGGCAGCAGGTCGAACTTGGCCCATGGGCCATAGTTTGCTGACTCTGCCTAACCCTCTAATTTAAGAGGAAACTCCTGTGACCAAATTGTTTATGCATCCTTTTAGAGCTGATCTACACAGTTAGCTTTTTTTGGGAGAAAAATCATCAACTTATGAATTTGTAGCTTGTTTGTTACTTCGTGTTTTATTTCACCAGTGGGCCCCTCATATCCGTTTAATGGCCTCTCACAATTGCACTCAATTCTTATTCAACCAAAAGTACCCTCCAGAAGATCTGGGTGGGTTTTTTATTATTATTTTTATTTTACAGTCATATGTCACTTAATGATGGGGACACATACTGAGGATTGTGTCATTAGGCAAGTTCATGATTGTGGGAACATCATAGGGTGTATTTACACAAACCTAAATGGCATAGCCAACTACACACTTAGGTTATATGGTAGAGTGTAGTGCTCCTAGGCTAGAAACCTGTATAGCATGTTACTGTACTGAATACCGTAGGCAACTGTAACACAGTGGGAAGTATTAGTGTATCTAAATATATCTAAACATAGAAGTGGTACAGTAAAAATACAGTATAAAATGTAAAAAACTGATACATCTCTAGAGAGCACTTACCATGAAATGGAACTTGCAGGACTGGAAGCTGCTCTAGGTAAGTCAGTGAGTGAGTGAATAGGAAGGCCTAGAACGTTA
Organism: Homo sapiens; assembly: GCF_000001405.40. Taxonomy (NCBI): domain Eukaryota; kingdom Metazoa; phylum Chordata; class Mammalia; order Primates; family Hominidae; genus Homo; species Homo sapiens. The sequence goes on from NC_000009.12 coordinate 112,150,920, forward strand.
TGATACATGACTGTAGACTTTTATTTTTATATAGAGACAGGGTCTCCCTCTGTCACCCAGGCTAAATTGCACTGGCACGATCATAGCTCACTGCAGCCTTGAACTCCTGGGCTCAAGCAATCCTCTTGCCTCAGCCTCCTGGGGCTAGGAGCAGCTAGCACTACAGGCACAAGCCATCGTGCCCAGTTAATTTCTAGTTTCTAATTGTAGAGATCAGCTCTCACTATGTTGCCCAGGCTGGTCTCAAACTCCTGGCCTTAAGGGATCCTCCCACCTTAGCCTCCCAAAGAGCTCCCAAAGGGATTACAGGTGTGAGCCACCACATCCAGCCTTACTGTAAACTTTCTAAACACTGTACACATAGGCTACACTAAATTTATAAAAGTATCTTTCTTGGCCAGGCACGTTGGTTCACACCTGTAATCCCAGAACTTTGGGAGGCTGAGGCAGGAGGATCGCCTGAGGTCAGGAGTTCGAGACCAGCCTGGCCAACATGGTGAAACCCCATCTCTACTAAAAATACAAAAATTAGCTGGGCATAATGGCGGGCACCTGTAATTCCAACTACTCAGGAGGCTGAGGCAGGAGAATTGCTTGAACCCGGGAAGTGGAGGTTGTAGCAAGCAGAGATCATGCCATTGCACTCCAGCTGGGCAACAAGAGTGAAATTCCATCTCAAAAAAAAAAAAGTATCTTTCTTGGCCGGGCACAGTGGCTCACGTCTGTAATCCCAGCACTTTGGGAGGCCAAGGCAGGCAGATCACCTGAGGTCAGGAGTTCAAGACCATCCTGGCCAACAAGGTGAAACCCCGTCTCTACTAAAAATACAAAAATTAGGCCGGGTGCGGTGGCTCATGCCTGTAATCCCAGCACTTTGGGAGGCTGAGGTGGGCGGATCACCTGAGGTCAGGAGTTCAAGACCAGCCTCAACATGGAGAAACCCCGTCTCTACTAAAAATACAAAATTAGCCGGGCACAGTGGTACATGCCTGTAATCTCAGTTACTCAGGAGGCTGAGGCAGGAGAATTGCTTGAACCTGGGAGGCAGAGGTTGCAGTGAGCCAAGATCGCGCCATTGCACTCCAGCCTGGGCAACAAGAGCAAAACTCCATCTCAAAAAAAAAAATACAAAAATTAGCCAGTTGTGGTGGTGCACGCCTGTAATCCCAGCTACTTGGGAGGCTGAGGCAGGAGAATCATTTGAACCCAGGAGGCGGAGGTTGCAGTGAGCCGAGATCGCGCCATTGCACTCCAGCCAGGGTGACAGAGTGAGACTCTGTCTCAAAAAAAAAAAAAAAAGGGATCTTTCTTCAATAATAAATTAACTTTAGCTTACTGTAGCTTTTTTACTTAAACTTTTCAATTTTTTTAACTTATTGACTCTTTTGTAATAATGCTTAACTTAAAATACAAACACATTCTACAGCTGTACGAAGAATTTTTTTTTGTTTCTTTATATGAAATTCTATATGGTTTTTTTTGTTTTTTGTTTTTTTTCTGGAGACAGGGTCTTGCTCTGTCACCCTGACTGGAGTGCAGTGGTGTGATCATAGCTCACTGCAACCTCAACCTCCTAAGCTCAAGTGATTCTCCCACCCCAACCTCCCTGAGTAGCTAGGACCACAGGTGACTGCTACTGTGCCTGGATAATTTTTTTTTTTTTTTTTTGTACAGATGGAGGGGTCTCAATATGTTGCTCAGACTCATCTCGAACTCCTGGCCTCAAGGATTCCTTGTGCCTCCACGTCCCAAAGTGCTGGGATTAGATTGCAGGCATAAGCCACCACATCCAGCCTTTTATTAGCTTTTTTCTTCTATTATTTTTTTTAATCTTTTTTTTTTTTTTTTTTTTGTAAACAGGGTCTTGCATCATAACCAAGGCTGGAGTGCAGTGGTGTGACCATAGCTCACTGCAGCCTCAACCTCCTCGGCTCAAGGGATCCTCCTGCCTCGACTTCTTGAATAGCTAGGACCACAGGTACCTGCCACCACACCTGGCTAATTTTTTAATTGGAAAAAAAATGTTTTTACTTTTTAAACTTTCTTATTAAAAACTCAGACACAGGCCAGGCACAGTGATTTGCATCTGTAATCTCAGCACTTTGGGAGGCCAAGGCAAGAGGATCACTTGAGCCCAGGAGTTCAAGAAGAGCCTGGGCAACATAATGAGACCTTGTCTCTGCAAAAAATAAACAAAATTAGCCTGATGTGGTGGTTTGCCTCTGTAGTCTCAGCTACTTGGGAGGCCGAGGTGGAAGGATCACTTGAGCCCAGGAGGCTGAGGCTGTAGTGGGCCGAGATCACACCACTGCACTCCAACACAGGTGACAAAGTGAGACCCTGGCTAAAAAAAAAAAAAAATTCTAAGACACAAACACACACACACACAATAGCTTAGGCAATAGCTTAGGCCTACACATGGTCAGGATCATGTTATCACTGTCTTCCGCTTCCACATCTTGTCCCACTGGAAGGTTGTCAAGGGCAAGAGCATACATGGAGCTGTCATCTCCTATGATAACAATGCTTTCTTCTGCAATACATCCTGAAAGACCTGCCTGAGGCTGTTTAGTAGTTAAGTTTTTTTTAATAAGTAGAAGGAGTACATTCTAAAATAATGATAAAACATATAGCAAATACATAATCCAGTAATATAATCATTTATTGTCATTTTCAAGTATTACATACTATACTTTTTTTTTTTTTTTTTTGAGACGGAGTTTTGCTCTTGTCACCCAGGCTGGAGTGCAATGGCGCGATCTCGGCTCACTGCAACCTCTGCCTCCTGGGTTCAAGCAATTCTCCTGTCTCAGCCTCCTGAGTAGCTGAGATTACAGGCGCCTGCCACCATGCCTGGCTAATTTTTGTATTTTTAGTAGAGATGGGGTTTCACCATGTTGGACAGGCTGGTCTTGAACTCCTGGCTTCAGGTGATCCTCCTGCCTTGGCTTCCAAAAGTGCTGGGATTACAGGCATGACCCACCATGCCTGGCCTATGTACTATACATTATTGTATGTGCTATACTTTTATACAACTGGCAGCACAGTAGGTTTGCTTATACCAGCATCACTACAAACACATAATGCATTGTGTTATAACATTATGACAGCTACGACATCTCTAGGTGATAGGAATTTTTCAGCTCCATTATATAATCTTATGGGCCCACTGTTGTATATTCGGTCTATCATTAACCAAAACATCGTTATATGGCACATGACTGTATTACCTTTGTAAAATGTAATTGGCTTTGGAACATGATTCACCATATTAAAACTATCAGTGGGGCCAGGTGCAGTAGCTCACACCTGTAATCCCAGCACTTTGGGAGGCCAAGGCAGGCAGATCACTTGAGCCCAGTAGTTCAAGACCAGCCTGGGCCACATGGCAAAACCCCACCTCCACACACACACACAAAAAAAAAAAAAAAAAGAGAGAGAAAAATTAGCTGCACGTGGTGGTGTGTGCCTGTAGTCCCAGATACTCAGGAGCTGAGGCAGGAAGATCACTTGAGCCTGGGAGGTCGAGGCTGCAGTGAGCCATGGTCACACCACTACACTCCAGCCTGGACAACAGAGTGAGACCCTGTCTGAAAGAAAATCAAACAAACAAAAAAAACTATCTTTGGGGAGATCTGCATAAGAGCTTAGAGAGACAGAGCAGACTCTCAAGCCATAGTTAGGCCAAGTGTCCGTCCTAGGTTACAGAACACTATCCAGTGGTTTTAGAAACAAGTCCAGCTGTCCATAAAATGGAATATTCCTGTCCTTTGCTGTTGTTTTTGAGACAGGCCTCCTCTGTGGACCTCACTGGAAGGGACATTTCGGTTTGCAGAGGCGTCTAGAATTCTCAAGACCCTAGGCTTAATACCATGTTATAGCACCTCTGGCACATGTATAACCTTGCCTGCAATCTATGTAAGGCAAAGTCTCAGCAGGCCAAGCATCGGGATGCACAGTGCCTAGTGCCTGGGAGTAGTACCACATAAATTAATAAAGCCCTTTCTGCCCATTAAGAGGAGTTTCTTTGTTCAAAAATCAAAGGGCAGGGCCAGGTGCGGTGGCTCACGTCTGTAATCCCAGCACTTTGGGAGTCTGAGGCAGGCAGATCACCTGAGGTCGGGAGTTCAAGACCAGCCTGGCCAACATGGTGAAACCTCGTCTCTACTAAAAATACAAAAATTAGCCGGGCGTGGTGGTGCCCGCCTGTAATCCTAGCTACTCGGGAGGCTGAGGCAGGAGAATCACTTGAACCCAGGAGGCAGAGGTTGCAGTAAGCCAAGATCGCACCACCGCACTTCAGTCTGGGTGACCGAGGGAGACGCCATCAAAAAAAAAAAAAAGTCAAAGGGCAAGCTAGCACCCATGGGAGGAGGAATTCCTTTGGGAAGTGAACAGAAAAATTTATCCATTCTTCTCAACTTCATTTCTATCTCACTGCTAGCAAGTGCGGGTGAGGAACGGGAGGGTGAGAAGCATTAGGAGAAATTCCCCCTGGAGCCTCAGACTGCAGGGTAGCCAAACTTCTCATGGGTAGAAACCTAAAAAACAAGAGTCAAAGAAGGCTTCACTCCAGCCTGCAGAATGGGCAATGGTGGGTGACTGTAAAAGCTTGTGTCTGCAAAGTGAAAGGTGACTTTTTGAAGACAAGACTCAGTGGGGATTTTTTTTTGGTTTTTTTGTTTGTTTGTTTTTAGTTTCTTTTTTTTATTTTTAAGAGATGGGATCTTGTTCTGTCGCCCAGACTGGAGTGCAGTGGTGGCCAGGTGCGGTGGCTCATACCTATAATCCCAGCACTTTAGGAAGCTGAGGCAGGAGGATCACTTGAGCCCAGGAGCTCAAGACCACCCCGGGCAATGTAGTGAGACCCTGTATCTACTAAAAATGAAGAAGGGGAAGAAGAAAAGGAAGAAGAGAATGAAGAAGAAGAGGAAGAAGAATAAGAGGAAGAGGAAGAAGGAGAAGGAGAGAGGGAGAAGGAGAAAAGAAAGAAGAGGAGGAGGAAGAAGAAGGAAGAGAAGGAGGAAGGATGGAAGGAAGGAAAAGAAGGAAAGGAGAGAGAAAGAAAGAAAGAGAGAAAGAAAGAAAGAGAGAGAAGGGAGAGAGAGAGAAGGAAGAGAAGAAGAAAGAAAAACACTAGCTTAGCTGGGTGTGGCAGCAAGGTTGCAGTGAGCTATGATCATGCCACTGTACTCCAGCCTGGGAAACAGAAAGCCCTTGTCTCTAAAAATAAAATAAAGGTAAAAAAAAAAAAAACTCACTGGCCGGGCGCAGTGGCTGACGCTTGTAATCCCAGCACTTTGGGAGGCCAAGGCTGGTGGATCACGAGGTCAGGAGTTCGAGACCAGCCTGCCCAACATGGTGAAACCCAGTCTCTACTAAAAATACGAAAATTAGCTGGGCATGGTGGCACATACCTGTAATCCCAGCTACTCAAGAGGCTGAAGTAGGAGAATCACTTGAACCTCGGAGGCGGAGGCTGCAGTGAGCCAAGATCGCACCACTGCACTCCAGCCTGGGCGACGAGTGAGACTCCATCTCAAAAAAAAAAAAAAATACTCACTGAAGCTTCGAACTCCTGGGCTCAAGGCATCCTCCTGCCTCAGCCTCCCAAATACCTGGAAGTACAGGCATGTGCCACCACATGTGGCTAATTTAAAAAAAACTTTTTTTAGATATGGGGGTCTCACTATGCTGCCCAGGCTGGTCTCAAACTCCTGGCCTCAAGTGATCCTCCCACCTCAGCCTCCAGAATAGCTGGGATTACAAGATCGAGGCTCAGTACCTCGCTGTTATTTTTCTTTAGGGAGAAAAAAAGCACACAAAGATATCACAACAAGGCTGTATATACCATCTATCCACAACTGTAAGGTAAAACCATCAATATTTTTAATGCATATAACAAGGTTGCTGGGAGGAAATTGGAAGATTATTGCAACATTTACTATTGTAAAATTGTTGTGAAAGTCTCCCTCTCTCTGAATTGAGCTTGAACCTGGATATTGTCTGACTGTCATGGCATGGTGGATATCATGAGGCAAAAAATAGTTTCAGATGCTTCTAACCTAAAGGGCTTTGAGTTCCTTTAAGTCATCTAAGTCCCTAAAAGTATCACAACTACCAAAAATTTGGAGGATGAATTCTGACAGACATAAGACCCAAAGCAACAGTATTTTACCAATTAACCATAAAGTCCAATGGCAAATTGTTTTGTTTTTCCTCATAGTACTAATATAGTTTTATATCAAAATAACCAGAGAAATTAAGCAATGCAATATTCACTTGAGTTGTGAAGTTAAACTTAAGACTTGAAACAGATGTCAAATTTGTGTTAGGTCCCAGAGTTTCCAGAGATTCAAGTTCAATGACCTCTAACATGAGGAATACTATCTTGGAAACACTAGAGAAAGAATGTATCCAAACACTAAAACAAAGACTTATTATAATTGACAAAACTTCTCATAATAAAAACATGTGAACAAAATAACAATGTTTTTCCCCAAGGACATCAACTCTTTAATACAAGAGAATCTTGTTTCTCGATTCAGCTTTTCAACTTAACCCAGAGTTCAGAACTTACCAACACACTGAGTCCTCCCGTTCCCTACAAATCCATAGTTGCAAATACAGATCTTCTTCCCTTCTCTTTGCTGGCATGTGGCATGTTCATGGCAAGTGGCACAGACGTCTAAACCTGAATCATAAATTGTATGTTTCAGAAAAAGAAAAATGCAAGATGAGACACATGTAGTTAGTGGACATTTACAACGAAGAACCAAAATTTGAAGACCAAAATAACACAGGACACACCTAGTCTCATCCTTAAAAACCTTCAGTGGCTGTTTATTTCTCACAGAATAAAGTGCAAATCTCTTCCTCTGTGTGGCAATGTCTTTCTTTCTTTCTTTTTTTTTTTTTTTTCAAGACATGGTCTTGCTCTGTTGCCCAGGCTGGAGTGCAGTGGTACAATCACAGCTCGCTGCAGCCTCAACCTCCTGGGAGAAGGTGAACCTCCCACCTCAGCCTCCCAAGTAGCTGGGACTATAGGCACACATCACCACACCTGGCTAATTTTTTTTTTTCTTGTAGACACAGGGTTTTGCCATGTTGCCCAGGCTGGTCTCGAAATCCTGAGCTCTAGCAATCCACCCACCTTGGCCTTCTAAAGTACTGGGATTACAGGCGTGAGCCACCGAGCTAGGCCACAGTCAATGCTCTTAGTGATCTCACTCCAGACATACTCCTCCAGCCTCATTGTTTCCGAGCCCCAACCACACATGGTACTTGCCAGATGTCAGAGGCTAACTACTCTTTCCCTAACAGAATATCTACTATCCTACTCGCATGCCACAATCACAATACTCTCTATATACCTAAAATGCCTATGCCTTCTTCTCTACCTAGCTAGCACCTATTCATATTTTAAGACCCAGCTTAATGTCACATTCCCTCTGAGGTCTTCCCCACTACTCCATTTTTTTCTTTTTTTGAGGTAGAGTCTGACTCTGTTGCCCAGGTTGAAGCGCAGTGGCATGATCTCAGCTCACTGCAGCCTTGACCTCCCGGGCTCATGCAATTCTCCCCACCTCAACCTCCTAAGTAGCTGGGACTACAGGCGCACACCACCACACCCATCTAATTTTTGTATTTTCTGTACAGATGGGGTCTCCCTATGTTGTCAAGGCTGGTCTCGAACCCCTGAGCTTGAGGGATCCACTGGCCTCAGCCTCCCAAGGAGCTGGGATTATAGGTGTGAGCCAATGCGCCCGGCCCATTCCTCCATTCTTAAGGAAAATTAAATGCATCTTCCTCTGTGCTCCCCTAACACTGGCACATTCCCTATCAATCATGTTAATGTGTCATTATATTTGGTTCTAGCTTTGTATTCCAAGCTCAGTATTATGAATGAGCCGCTCAAGGATAGGGATGATGTCATTTGCCCATATGTTATGATGGCACAGTGCAGACACTCAATATATTTTTATTGACTGCCTGGATAGAGAAATCTGAAATCCTGCTTGCTGCAACTCAAAAAGCAAATGGAGTGAAGAGGAACACAGCTGCCTATTACCCTACTCATTTTTTTTTTTCCAAAGAAAAAAATGAATGTGTTTAAGATGACAGTGATATAACAGCCAAGTCCCAGTAGGATGACCAGATCCCAATTATTGAAATAAACAGCAGAATTGTTTGAGGCTAAAACTTCTAAAACATCCAAATCTACCAGATGGTGATATATGGCCCAAGATCAAACAAGAATTTCTACCCAAGGCTATGTGGTATACTGTGTTTCACTCTCAGTGCCTCTGTAATTTCAGGAGCGACCTAGTAAAGAGAATCTTTCTAGCATTGAATTTCATTTTAGTTTTGGCTCCACTGTTACCCAGGTAAGACAGCCTAGCCCTTAGGCTGCTCCAGGCATGAAACCAACTGAGACTAGGGATTTCTAAACACTCTAACCATGCTGCTGTTCTGCGTGTTTTTTAAAAAAATAAAAGACAACACAAAAATAAGACAAACCGCTAATCATCACTAAGTAATGCCAAATTAACCATGGAATATTTCCAAAACTTATTGTATCTCAGACCGTAAAGACAAATGCAACAAATTCCAAACAAGTAAAAATGTTAAAGGCTGAATTATCTGACCACATAATAATGTAATAGAACTATCAAACAAAACATAAGACTGGCATCCCCAAAAAAACATACTTGCAAACCACAGAACATTCTCCTAAATAATTCTTAGGACAAAGGGAATATCAAAATTGAAATGTTTAACACTAGGTATAAAAACATATTTACTCCACAAATGTAAGACTTATGCGTTTTTATACCTTAAGAGTATACTTTTATACTTCAATGCGGCCTTTAAAATTTTTACTTTTTTCAAATTTGTTGCATTTTCCTTTATGATCTGAGATAGAATAAATATTCCATGGTTAATTTGGTATTACCTAGTGATAATTAGTGGTTTTTCTCATTTTTGAGTTATCTCTTATTTTAAAAAAGAACACACAAAACAGCAGCATGGTTAGCATGTTTGGAAATCTCCCAGTCTCAGTTGGTTTGATGCCTAAAAAAGAGAGAGAAAAGCAGGCAGCCAAGAAAAAGAAAAAAAAAAGAAAACACTAGAATTTTAATATAAGAAACCTGAAAAAAGGAAAAAAGAAAATGGGGATTTAGGGATTAGTAAATACAATTTTAAAGATGTTAAAGAATTAGAAAATATTATCAAATGCACTGGGGGAAAATTACATAAAAGACTAGGAAGGTATAAACCCTGAGAGAGAAGATGATAGCAGACAAAAGATGCTAAAAGTATTTCAGAAAATGAAAATGAGGCTGGGCGGAGTGGCTCACGCCTGTAATCTCAGCACTTTGGGAGGCCAAGGCGGGTGGATCACTTGAGGTCAGGAGTTCAAGACCAGCCTGGCCAACGTGGTGAAACCCCATCTCTCCTAAAAATACAAAAATTAGCCGGGCGCAGTGGCAGGCAGCTGTACTCCCAGCTACTCAGTAGGCTGAGGCAAGAGAATCGCTTGAACCCAGAAGGCTGAGGTTGCAGTGAGCTGAGATCACACCACTGCACTCTAGCCTGGGCAACAGAGTGAGACTCCATCTCAAAAAATAAAAATAAAGAAGATGAGAAAGAGATGGATGGGCCAGGTACAGTGGCTCATGCCTGTAATCTCAGCATTTGGGAGGCCTTGATCCCAGGAGTTTGAGACTAATCCTGGGCAACATGATGAGACCTCATCTCTGTTAAAAAAGAAAAAGAGATGGATGCATGGTAATTGCCTTAGCAGAGAGGAAGAACTAAAAGCCAATCCTAGAAAGGCCCAGGAAGCAGAGTCTTTGCAAATTTCAGAAGACAGACATAAGGAACAGGAATGAAAGTTCAAGGAACTGGTTGAAAATACCTGCAAGGAGTAGTTAAATGCCTGGATTCCTTCACTGATGCCGCACAAAACAGAATTTTACGACCGGGAGAAAATGAACCAGAAGGCTCCACATTAGAAGGACAACACACCAAACTGAAGTGAGGATGAGTCCCCATACCTAAATGTCCATCATATGGGTAAGTATATTTAACCATCTTAACACATTAACATTTTAGCACAAAACATTTTAAACCGTGTGATCAGTACATTGTCAATTCATAATGACATGCAGGGCCAGGCACGGTGGCTCATGCCTATAAATCCCAGCACTTTGGGAGGCTGAGGCAGGTGGATCACTCGAGGTCAGGAGTTTGAGACCAGCCTGGCCAACATGGCGTAACCCTGTCTCTACCAAAAATACAAAAACATTAGCCAGGCGTGGTGGCACACACCTGTAGTCCCAGCTACTCAGGAGGCTAAAGCAGGGGAATCACTTGAACCCTGGAGGCAGAGGTTGCAGTGAGCCAAGATAGCACCACTGCACTCCAGCCTGGGTGACAAAGTAAGACTTCATCTCAAAAAAAAAAAAAATTCATAATGACACGCAACCAAAATCTTGGAAATACTTTCTAAATAATGGATCCTGGGTCAAGTTGAAGAACCCATTTGTGATCAACCCTACAATGATGAACATATGAACATTCTCCCCAATTTAATTTGTAGATAGAATGCAATCTTGGCCAGGCAGGGTGGCTCATGCCTGTAATCCCAGCACTTCGGGAGGTCAAGGTGGGCAGATCACCTAAGGTCAGGAGTTTGAGACCAGCCTGGTCAACATGGTGAAACACCGTCTTTACTAAAATACAAAAATTAGCCAGGTTCAGTGGTATGCGCCTGTAATCCTAACTACTCAGGAGGCTGAAGCAGGAGAATCGCTTGAACCCGGGAGGCGGAGGTTGCAGTGAGCTGAGATTGTGCCACTGCACTCCAGCCTGCGTGACAGAGCAAGACTCCATCCAAAAAAAAAAAAAAAAAAATGCAATCTTATTAAATACCCTAAATCTTGGGTAGTGTTTCAGTTTGGGATGATGAAAAAGTTCTGAAGATGGATGGTAGCGATGGTTGCACAACAATATACAACTTGCCTCTCAATTGCACACTTCAAAATAGCTAAAATGGTAAAATTTTGCCTTATGTCTACTTTACCACAATAGTAAGAAAATATTGAAAATTACAGTTTTTACTTTAAAAATCAACTTTATTGAGATATAATATGCACACAATAAAACACCCCCATGTTTAAGTGTGCAGTTTCAGTGGGTTTTAACAAATGTAGACAACCATGAAACAACTGCCTAATGCAAGATGCAGAATATATGATGCACAATTTGCATCTGATGATAATCTGATAATATATGGTACACAATCTGATGATAAACATTTGGTTTGTTTTCACTTGGGGGCTAATATAATTAAAGCCTTGATGGCAAAAAAGGGGAGGGAAACTCAAATTTCTATAGGGAAATCATTTTGTGTCTGGATCCCAAATTTCTCATGATGCCATTGAGAGATGGTAGATAGCAGGTACATAGCTTTAGAGAACAAGTAACTAAAGTAACCCAAGCTAAGGAAGCCTGTAAGAATTTTTCACTGAAAACCAAAGAAGCCCATTATAAGCTACTTCCCCAGTGAACAGACAATATAAACACGCGGTTCAAAGGCTAAAAACCTTAAGTAGACACTGAAGTCACATATAAATGTGTGTAGTACAATAATAGACATAAATATGATTCTATTGAAACAATGAAATATGAGAAATTAAGTAATTCAAACTTAAAGCTGTTGGAACTTTAAATTATACCAAGCCTTGAGAGGAATGTGGCTATGCAGTTTGAGTCACAAAGTATACAGCTGTAACTTCTGCCTCTTTTTCCCCCTGTAAATAATTAAGCCCAAATGGCACCAGAGATAAGACCCCCTTAGATCGCTATCTCTCCTCATGGAGTAATAAAGTAATTTTCCTTGGAGTGCAGCAATCTGTAACCAACCAAATCGCTGTGGCATATGCACTGGTCTTGTATGGAAAATGTAATTCTGCTACAATTTCTACATAAATGAAACTGTAACTTCCCCATTTTTGAATGAACACTCCATTCATTTGAAGTCAGTGTTTCCCAGTGGCCACCTTCAAGTTTTATGCTTGAATAAACTCTATATGTAATCATACGTTCTGAATCTCATTATTTAAGGTTGACAAATGCAAATTTTTTAGATTTTTTTCTTATATAAAATACTTGTCTAGGGCAAGGTGCAGTGGCTCACACCTGTAATCTCATCACTTTGGTTTGTTTGTTTGTTTGTTGAGACAAGGTCTCACTCTGTCGCCTCTGTCACCCAGGCTGGAGTGCAATGGTGTGACGACAGCTCACTGCAGCCTTGACCTCCTGTGCTCAAGCTATCCTCCTTCCTCAGCCTCCAGAGTAGTTAGGACAACAGGCACATCCCACCACACCTGGCTAATTTTTTGTTTTATTTATTTACTTTTTTAGAGACAGGATCCCACTATGTTGCCCAGGCTGGTTTCAAGCTCCTGGCCTCAAATAATCCTCCTACCTCAGCCTACCAAAGTGCCAGCCTGATCAACATAGCAAGACCTCATCGCTACCAAAAAAAAAAAAAAATTTAATTAGCTGGGCATGGTGGTGCATAGCTGTAATCCCAGCTACTTGTGAAGCTGATGTGGGAGGATTTTTTGAGCTCAGGAGATCAAGGCTGCAGTGTGCTTTGATTGAGCCACTGCACTCCAGACTGGGCAACAGAGCTAGACTGTCTCTTTAAAAATGTTAAAAATAAAATTTAAAAAACTTGTCCTTATAAAGATGCAGAGATTATATAGATCCATTTGCAAAAACTCAGCTGGGCATGGTGGCTCACGCCTGTAATCCCAGCACTTTGGGAGGCCAAGCAGGGCAGATCACTTGAGGCCAGGAGTTTGAGACCAGCCTGGCCAACATGGTGAAACCTGTCTCTACTAAAAATACAAAAAAAATTAGCTAGGCATGGTGGTGGACACCTGTAATCCCAGCTACTCAGGTGGCTGAGGCAAGAGGATCACTTGAACCCGGAAGGCAGAGGTTGCAGTGAGCCAAGACTGTGCCACTGCACTCCAGGCTGGGCAACAGATCAAGACTCTGTCTCAAAAAAAAAATAAAAATAAAAAAAATAAAAAAACTTAATATCAGCTGGAAAATGGCTATTTCATGTAACTATTGAGTAAATCTAATAAACATAAAAAATATGAAGAAGAAAAGAGGTGGGACTCACTCAGATAAATTAAAGGAAGTCCAGTCTGAATTAGTGAAGGATAGAATAGAAAATGTTTTAAAAGAAACTGAATTAAGTTCAAGTTTATTTAATAAATAGCCCCAGACAAACACATGGCCTTAGAGGAAGGCAGCCAGGTATAGGGGGAAGCACTGGACTTGAAAGCTAGTTAGAGCTGGATCCTAAATCTAGCTGAGTCTAATTCACTGTGTGACCTTGAGCACACCACTTAACCTTTCTGGATCTCAGTTTTTTCACCTTTAAAACAAGGACTTTGGGCTTCTCGAATTTTAAAGTGCATTCAAATCACCTCGGGAGGCTGAGGCAGGAGGGTTGCTTGAGCCCAGGAGTGCAAAGTTACGTAAGCTATGATCATGCCACTGCACTCCAGCCTAGAAAACAGAATGAGATCTTGTTTCTAAAAAAAAAAAAGAGAAAACTCATATATCCCATAAATATACACACCTACTATGTAACCATAAAGGTAAAAAAAAATACATACATACTAAAAAAGAAAAATACAAACAAAACACCTGGGCCAGGCACAGTAGCTCATGCCTGTAATCCCAGCACTTTGGGAGGCTGAGGCAGGCGGATCATGAGGTCAAGAGATTGAGATCATCCTGGCTAACACGGTGAAACCCCATCTCTACTAAAAATACAAAAAACTAGCCGGGTTTGGTGGCCGGTGCCTGTAGTCCCAGTTACTTGGGAGGCTGAGGCAGAAGAATCACTTGAAGCCGGGAGGCGGAGGTTGCAGTGAGCCGAGATTGCACCACTGGCACTCCAGCCTGGGCGACAGAGCGAAACTCAGTCTCAAAAACAAAACAAAACAAACAAACAAACAAAAAAATACCTGGGGATCTTAACCTTTGTTAAACTGCAGGCTCCAATTCAGTTGGTCTGGGGAGGAGCCCTATATTTTGGATTTCTAAGAAGCTCACAGGTGGATCACATTTTGAGTAGCAGAGGATAAAGAGCCCCCCGAAAGTCCTTTCTCCCTAAAGTTCTGACATTTCCTTCTTTTTTATTTTTAACTTTAACTTTTGTGAGTACATAGCTGTTTATATTTATGGGGTACCTGAGATGTTTTGATGTAGGCATGCAATGCGTAGTAATCATGTATTGTAAAATGGGATATCCATCTCTTTCAGTATTTATCCTCTGTATTATAAACAATAGTCATAGTCTTTTAGTTATTTTAAAATATACAATTAAATTATTATTAACTATAGTAAACCTGTTGTGGTGTTGTGCTATCAAATACTAGGTCTTTGACACTTTTTTTTTTTTTTTTTTTTGAGACAAGGTCTCGCTCTGTCCCCCAGGCTGGAGAGCATTGGCACGATCACAGCTCACTGCAACCTCTGCCTTCCAGGCTCAAGCGATTCTTGTGTCTCAGCCTCCTGAGTAGCTGGAACCACAGGTGTGCACCACCACACTCGGCTAATTTTTTTATTTTTAGCAGAGATGAGTTTTCACCATGTTGGCCAGGCTGGTCTTGAACTCCTGACCTCAAGCAATCCACCCACCTCGGCCTCCCAAAGTCCTGGGATTACAAGTGTGAGCTACCACACCTGGCATACACTTCATTCTTAGGGTACCTGTTTTAATGACCCATTAAGAATCATTTATTTAGATGAGATACACACATCAAAAAGAAAGGAAAGAGAGAAAGAGAGAGAGAGAAAAAGAAAGAAAGAAAGAGAAAGAAAGAAAGAGAAAGAGAAGGAAGGAAGGAAGGAAGAAAGAGAAAGAAAAAGAAAGAAAGAAAGGAAGGAAGGAAGGAAGAAAGAAAAGAAAGAAAGAAAGAAAGAAGAAAGAAAGAAAGAAAGAAAGAAAGAAAGAAAGAAAGAAAGAAAGAAAGAAAATAATTTAGCATAAGTATAACCGCAAAGACAGTAGCTGGCATGCAGTAGAATTTGGCTCAATACATGTTTGTTCCCCACACCAGCAAAAAAACGTAAGATGGGTTCCAGGCTACCAAGGCTTCTCAGACTATCTGCAGATGAGAAGGTGGTTTCCAAAGAAATACAGGCAGGGGTGCTTATTATTCAGCCGTGATTAGCCTATTCTGCAGGACTTTGCGGGACAACTCTCTGACCACACGGGTCCACTGTTCCACAGCCTGAGGCTCAGTTAAGAATCACCTGGAGACGGAGTGACTAACTCATGCTAGTTTTAATACAAAAAGTCCTGTGTCCCAGGAAACCCCTCAGTTCTGTGCAAACCAAGACAGCTGGTCATGCTTCCTGGCAATCCTGTTAAAACACAGTGTCCCCAAAGATTCTGATTCAGTAGGGGAGAGGCAGGGCCTGAGAATCTGCATTTCTAAACTGCTCCCAGGTGGACCACACAGAGAGGAACACTGCCAGACTAGCTCAACCTCAACCTCAGGGACTGGAGTCAGAATCCTGGGGAAAGAAAAGGCAATACTGAAAGAAGTCTTTCACCAAGTCTCGATTGCCACATAGCACAGCTGTGGGACAAATGTAATAGAATAACCCAAGGGAGAGGAATTCTCCAGGCCAGAGAAAGATCACTAGGGCTTTGCTAGGATCTGAGGGAGAGCTGTGTCGGGGGCACTTGGTACCCACGTCAAGGATGGCTTTAGTTCTGTCGTCAGCATACTCAGGGCCTGAAAGCAGGGAGGTGGTTGCCATGTAGTAACCGAGGGAATGACTGCAGAGGTGAGGGACCCCGAGGGATGTCTAGAATTACTGGCAGAGAAACAGGAAAGTTGAAGAACCCAAAATCTAAAAGGAGAGAAAACCTGACAAGTGCTCTTTGTTACTATTACCACATCCCCCGGCTAAGGCTGCTGAGCTAGCTTCACTACCCGTCCCAGCTCTGCAGTGACTACCCCAGCTAAAACTACACCTAACAATGAGAGGGTGAGACAGGTTTTGGTGTCTCAACCAGAGTCAGGGTTGGAGTCATGATCCTTAGTTATGTGAGTTTAGCAAGTTAAACTGTCAGTTCTCCAATTTTTTTTTGTCTCCCTCTTTCACCCAGGCTAGAGTGTAGTGGCACAATCATGGTTCACTGCAGCCTCGACCTCCCAGGCTCAGGCGAGTCTCCCACCTCAGCCTCCCAAGTAGCTGGGACCACAGGCATGCACCACCATGCCCAGATAATTTTTTATTATTATTATTTTATAGACACGGGATCTCCCTATGTTGCCCAGACTGGTCTCTAACTCCTGGGCTCAATCGATATTCCTGCTACAGTCTCCCAAAGTGCTGGGATCACAAGCATGAGCCACTGTGCCCAGCCAGGTCTCTCATTTTAATCCATGAGATGAACATGTTGTGGCCAAGATTAAATAAGAAATATAAATGCTGTATGAAGTGTAAAGCAACACGCAAATATGAGACAATTGACATGAATATTTATATCCATTTCCACAGATTTTGTTATTATTGTTAGAAACAGTCTGCAAGATGCAGTGCCTGGTATTTGGCATGGTGGTTACAAGCGCTTGGGTTAGTTACGATCCTAGCTATGCCACTTACTAGCTATGTAATCCTTGGAGAGCTCTGTGCCTCAGTTTCCTGTAAATCTGTAAAATGAGAAGAATAATAAACCTACTTTATATGGTTGTTGTGAGGATTCAAAAGTAAATGAGTGTATATTAGTCTTTCTTCATGCTGCTGATAAAGACATACCCGAGACTGGGTAATTTACAAAGAAAACGAGGTTTAATGGACTCACAGTCCCAAGTGGCTGGGGAAGCCTCACAGTCATGGCAGAAGGCAAAAGGCATGTGTTACACAGCAGCAGCAACAGAGAATGAGGGACAAGTGAAAGGAGAAACCCCTGATAAAACCATCAGATCTTGTGAGACTTATTCACTACCACGAGAACAGTATGGGGGAAACCTCCCCCATGATTGAATCATCTCTCCCTGGGTCCCTCTCACAACACATAGGAATTATGGGAGCTACAATTCAAGTTGAGATTTGGGTAGGGACACAGCCAAACCATATCAATGAGTTAATACATGAAAAGCAATTAAAATGTGTCAGACATTGTTATAAGCAACCACTCAACGACTCTTTGTTAATGAATAAAAGAAGGTACTAACACTGGTGGTTGGCTAGCCAACTCCCAATTACTCCAATGGGAAGAGTGACAGAGAAATGCACTGATGCAAAAATCAAGAGCGGTATCTTTGTGCATTCAGGTGTCTACCCATTGATGGGCTGATATCCCAGAAACCATAATATTCAAATTTACATAATCACTCCCTGTCTTCGCCACATCCTCCCAGCCTTCTGGGTAACAGCTGACTCAGAAGTTGAAAGTTCAGCTCCTCACCTTTTCAGCCCTGCTCACCTGTCCTTCCTCTCCACTGCAACCAAGTAAAGCTGCAACTCAGGATGGGAGGGAGGCTGCCAGCTTCTGAGAAACACTCTCACTCTTTACTTCAATACACGAGCAACAACTTCAGTGTACTTCTGAGACATTAGCTGATGGACTTTAATAGTACAGTAAAGAGATGTTCACAGTCAAGAGAAGAAGGTAGTTTAAAAGCACAAATGCAGGCCAAGCACAATGGCTCACACCTGTAATCCCAGCATTTTGGGAGATTGAGATGGGAGGATCACTTGCACCCAGGAGTTCATGACTAGCCTGGCCAAAAATCTAGACCCCATCTCTAAAAACCCAACAGCAACAATAACAAAAAAGCACAAATGCAGTGCTTAAATTTTAAATCTGCTTTTAACCTAACCCTCAACCATTCACAGTCAGACCAAACAAATCCAGCACAACCTTCCTGAGATTCTGTCTGTCAAATTTGGAAAGACAGATCAAACAACGGGAGGAAATAAGCCAACGGGGCCCAAAACTCAGGAAGAAAAAGCATTCCCAAGTGGTCTCTAACACTATATAAAATTGCATTGCTCTTAAGAGATTGCACCAAATTCCAGAGGTGGAAGGAATCTGAGAAATCTCATGTTCTCTCCTTTCCAACATCCCTGACAAAAAAAAAATCCAGAAATGAAAACATAGACTCTGCTTTTAAATCCCTCCAAGACAGAGAGCACTCTACTCTCTCCAGCAATGTAATATTTGCAGGGCTATTCAAATTGTCATATATTTCCCACACCCACCCAAATTTAGGACTGACATTCTCCATCAAGAACTCTCAGTTGGGCTGGTCCAAAGGTAGTGAGTTATCTCAATTGATTGTGGACAGTCAGTTACAGATCAAACTTCTCATTCTACTCTTTCCCCCTTCTCACTACTGTACTTGACTAGTCAAAAAAAAAAAAAATCAAAAAACAAACAACAAAAAAAGAACTCTCAACCTTTCCTCATAAAAAATGGCTCACACGACCCAATCCTGTTCACTTTCTGGTGTGACCAAGATCAACCAGCAGTGGGGCCCCCACACCTGGCCTCAGGACCAGAAACCAACCCACACTGAGTGCCATTCATTTACGCCACACCCTACGGTTCACGTCAGGCAGTCACTCACTTAACCCCTACCGGTTCTTTTCACACCTGTCTCATACCTGATTCATTCTCCAGAAGGGTGTACCTTTTTTTTTTTTTTTTGAGATGGAGTTTCACTCTTGTTGCCCAGGCTGGAGTACAATAGCATGATCTCGGCTCACTGCAACCTCCACCTCCCGGGTTCAGGCTATTCTCCTGTCTCAGCCTCCTGAGTAGCTGGGATTACAGGTGTGGGCCACCATGCCCCGCTAATTTTTGCATTTTTAGTAGAGATGGGGTTTCTCCATGTTGGTCAGGCTGGTCTCGAACTCCTGACCTCAGGTGATCCATCCACCCCAATCTCCCAAAGTGCTGGGATTATAGGTGTGAGCCACCACGCCAAGCTGAGTGTATCCTTTTTCTTAATCTTTGCAGTTCATTTTCCCTCTCTCTTCTGCAGAGCTGAGGCCAACAGACTACTTGGGATTTTGAGCTACAGAGACCTAGCATCCCATTTTAGGATTTGACCAGAAGACCAAGAATACACCCAGGACCAAGTCCCTGGAGGTGGAAGACAAGCCATGGTGGGCATCTTCATCAACTCTAATCCTGCACCCTTTATTTTAAGTAACTTTAAATCACTCCAAAACAATCCACTCACTCTATTTCTCTTCTTTCCTCCTGTGGCTCACCCTGAATAGTGAATGTGCTGCTGTGATTCCTGAAGACAGAGGGAAGATCAAGCATGAAATGCATGATGAGTGAAGTCAGGTGACCTTTGTATACAGCAAGAACAACTTCCTGACCTCCAGCCAGGCCTGAGCCAACAGGCCTGACTCTAGCAACGAATGCCAGAGAAAGGTTAAGAAACAGGACTAACTGGTTCTACCCCTCCTCGCCCATTCCTACCCTCTGGACTCCCCTGGGCCCTGCACCCCACCCAGCCACCAACACCCTCCTGCCATATCAATTACGCGAAACACACTTTCCTTACACTCAGGTCATCTGACTTCAGTTCAACTGACTTCAGCTCTCCTCCCCAAAACATCTTTGATGCCAATTAATGTCATTCAGCCCATGTTGCCAGTGACAGACTGAATATACAAATGGACAATGGCCAGATCATATATATATATATATATAGAGAGAGAGAGAGAGAGAGAGAGAGCCTTGCTCTGTCACCTAGGCTGGAGTGCAGTGGCATGATCTCGGCTCACTGCAACCTCTGCCTCCCAGGTTCAAGCGGCTCTCCTGCCTCAGCCTCTGGAGTAGCTAGGATTACAAGCGCCCACCACCAGGCCCGGCCAATTTTTTTTGTATTTTTAGTAGAGATGGGGTTTCACCATGTTGGCCAAGCTGGTCTCGAACTCCTGACCCCAAGTGATCCACCCACCTCGGCTTCCCAAAATGTTGGGATTATAGGCGTGAGCCACCGCACCCAGCCCATATATTAAAATAGAAGTCTAACCCACAATCTGCAGCAATCATTCCAGGAACTCTGTAGCAATCAGCCCCAAATGGTCAGGCTTTAATCAGTAACGGCCAGCTACGCTAATTTTTGCCCCCAATTCCAACTTGGGACTAACCAGAAAAGCCAGATATGGCCCTCTCACCAATCACATGGGATGCATGCTGCTAGAAAACTTCTCCAGCTGGGCGTACCTGAACCACCACCACCCCCAACCCCCTTCCTTTTTCTACTGTAAAACTTTTCCACCCCCAGCCTATCTTTGAGTCTCTGCCAAATGGAAGTGATGATGGCTGACTCCCTTGTCACAGCAAGTTCTGAATAAATAGCCTTTGCTTATTCTTGTTTGGATGGTATTCATTTATTTGCCTACCAGATTCCTAATACAAGCCACTGTCCCTACCCACAAGGAGCTCTTAGTTTAGTAAACAATCACACTGCAATATGGTATAAGTGTACAACCAAGGCACGGAATATGGTATTACTGGTGCTGTAAAGAGAAGCGGATAGTGGCAACGGACTTCCTAGGAGGAGTGAGGACACCCAGGCTTGCTTTGAAATATGAATAGCACTCATTAAGTAGCCCGCCATGGGAGAAGGGAAACACAGTCCTCTAATCTTCTTCCTCGCCCCCCACTTTAAGAAACTAACCTCCCCCACTTATAGCCCAAGTTTAATTTTTGACCTGCTCTGTCCATTAACTATCTCATTTATTTTTGCTTTTTCATTTTTCCCCTCTCTACTAAATAATACCCCTCAGTCTAAAATATGTTTGAGTCTGTTTTGCATTCTCTAAACATCTTGGACTGACTTGACCAGCCCAGCTGAATGCTACCTTCGTTTTCCTTCTAATTTCTTTAAAGAGTATCTACTCCGAGGCCAGGAGCAGTGGCTTATGCCTGTAATCCCAGCAATTTGGGAGGCTGAGGCGGGCAGATCACTTGAGGTCAGGAGTTCGAGACCAGCCTGGCCAACATGGTGAAACCCCATCTCTACTAAAAATACAAAAATTTGCTAGGTGTGGTGGTGCATATCTGTAATCCCAGCTACTCGGAAAGCTGAGGTAGGAGGATTTCTTGAACCCAGGAGGCAGAGGTTGCAGCAAGCGAGATCATGTCACCGCACTCCATCCAGCCTGGGCGACAGAGTGAGACTGTCTCAAAAAAAAAAAAAAAGAGTATCTACTCCGTAAACAAGGTCTCTGCCCTCAACCTAGAGCCCTCACATCTAGCTCTCACCCTCTCTCCTCTACTAGCTCTGGGTCTCCACTGACCAGATCCATCCAATTCAAAGGCTTTTTCTCAATCTCTGCCTCTCGGCTTCCCATCTCCTAGTTTCCTTGACTAAATGAGCCTAGTCTTTCTCCATCCTACCCAGATGCTGCTTCTTCCTTCTCGACTTGCATCTACCATCTAAACTCCAAGAATCCTCTCCAAGGATCTGTCTTTCATCCTCCCAATCTTGTCAACTTCAAGGTTTCAAGCAACCATCAAGTCTATTGATTTCATCTCTCCAAATCCATAACAGCACCTCAAATTCAGGATGTCCAAAACAACTAATCATCTTTCTTTCCAAATCTTTCTCCTTCCGTAGAAACATATACCAAGTCACCCAGCCCCCAAGCCTTAGTGTCATCTTTCCCCTTCTGTTCCCTTGCACCTTCATATCTGTTATTAAATCCTTCCTTCCAGTCCATTTCCACCTTACTGTCTACATTCAGTCCGTTTCTGCTGTCATTACTGTGGGCCCAGTCCTCAGAACTTCCAGGCCAGCTATTGCAACAACTTCCTCAATGGGCTTGTCCAAGCCTCCAGTCTTTCCCTACATTGTCGACTGTCAGGAAACCTGCCCTTCATAAAACCAGGTTCTCCAAGGTTGAACATGAAGGGAGAATGTCTAGATAAGGAGAGGGGGCTCAACCAGGAAGCCTTGACTTCTGTTTCCCCAAATTCACCCCCAAAACCTTTAGTTACAGATGACCTTACGTAGCTACTAGCTGTGTTCAGCCATCTTAGTCTAACAATTCAATGGGATCATACTGGACAGTTTCCTACCTTAGAGATATCACAGGAAGATCCTGAAATAGACGCCAAGCATCTGCAAGTCCTATGCGCACTGTTCTCGGAGATAGAGCCAAGGAAGGAATCTTAACCAGGGCACCTAATATTACAAAAATGGCCACTCCAGAAGATCAAGCCATTGAAATACCCATCAGGCATGGTAAAAGTCCCAAGCCAAAGAGAATGGGGGTGGGGGCGGCAGGCAGGATTCTCAACCACAAGTCTCCTTGTATGTCATCACATGGAAATTTCCTTCCACTTCAGGATCAGCGTTTGGTTTTAGTAAGGAAGATGGGGGTTCCTTAGACCCTCTTTCCCCCGCCTCAAGTTTACTTATACAAATAGCAAAGGAGGACATCAGCCCCATGCAGATGGCAGTCCAAGGGGGACAATCCTTCTGTCCTCACGTTGGCAGACACAGATCTCTACTCTGAAGGCTTTGTAGGGGCCTGAGCTCCTTCGGGAGTCTGAGCTGGAACTGAAGCTGGAGCTGCAGCCTGAGCCTTGGTTTGATCCTTGACCTTGGTCTTTGGCTGGCACAGCCTGAGCCCCTTGGCAATGCGGGCACGAGCACGTTTCCCAAGCTTGAGGTGGGCAACGTAGGCAAGAGCTGACACCCTTTGGAATCTTGGGCTTAACCTCCTTGGGGTTTATGAGGGCAAGGCCTCAGCACGTGCACTCATGGCCTTGGCACTGTCGCCCTGCATCTTCTTTAGGCCCCTCTTATTGTGCTTCTTGGCAAACCGCATGTTTGTCAGGAACTTGGGGTCCACCCCTTTAAAAGATTCGTATCTTTGTGATCCGGGTTTCATGATGCCGTTTCTGTGCCATTTTCGGGACTGGTTGTGTGTGGTGTGGTGCTTGGATTTGGCCATGTCTGCACTGTAACCTGTGGCTCCCGAAGCGCCTAGAACTGGCTAGACCCACTTTTCTTGTCACTCCCTGAGACGGCTTCCAGTGGCTTCCAGGCACAGCTAAGTCCAAAGGCCTAGGTCTGCCAATCAAGGCACTCTGCCCTCTGCCTCTGGTGCCTCCGTGTGCTTCCTTCCCTTCTCCCCCGGGCCTGAATTCTGAAGGAATTCATTCATTCTACACTCATTTGTGGAGAGGTGACAGTGCCTTCTGCTATGAGCTGGGATACCTTTTTCACATTTTCCCATATCCAAATATGACCAATCATTGATGGCCCAGCTCAAGGGTCACCACCGATTCCCCTTTCCCTGCCCTCACCACCCACACCTTCTCATGGCACCCATGCCATTCTGCCTTGTATTACAGTTATGTGGATGAATGTCACCTCCCCTGCGTGTCTGAATCCTCTGTGTAATTCCTACTCAGCTCAACACTGCATTTTGCAGAGGAGGAAAAACAACTCCCTCGATTGCTTGGAAATAGAACATTTGCTGGTCTAAATCCTCCAGACAATGAGCTCCACGAGGGCCCGCACTGCCCGCCCTCATCGCGCACAGGGAAGCTGTTCAAGGGCCATCTGTTGAATGAATGAGTGAATTAATGGCTTCACTCCTGTACTCTTCCTTACGCGTCTTTCTCACCATATTTAGCATCCGGCTCTCTAACAACGTGAAAAAATTAAAAGTGGTAAGAAAATTGCTTCGGGTCAAAAATGTGTCATGCAAAAGCCACCGCAGAGCCGGAAGCGTGACAGCGCCGCAGAACGCCCTGGCCTCCCCGCCCTTCCCCGGGCGCCGCCCTGCCCGGGTCCGCGCTCGCGCCCAGCCCCCACCCCGCCTCCTGGGCAGTGGAGGTCCCTGGGGGCCCGGCCAGGCCGCCTTAAAACCGGCGTCCCCCGGCGTCGCGGGGTCGGGCGGGGGCAGGGAAGCCCGGCGGGGAGCCCCCCGCTTCTCTGAGCTCCTCCTTGCCGATCTCCAACGGCCGGCGCGGGCCCCACCTGCGCCCCACGCCTCGGCACCGCGCCGGCCCGGCCCAGGGGCGGGGAAGCGTCCGTGCGCCCAGAGTCCTCGAGGCCCAGCCGGGGGCCCCGCCGGCCGCCCGTGCCCGTCCCAGCCCGCACTCACCGTCGGGGCCCGGCGCTCCCGCGGCGCCGCGGGCCAGGCCGAGCAGCAGCAACAGCGGCAGCAGGCGGCGAGACGGGCCCGCATCCCAGGGCCCCCGGCCCATGCCGCCGCCGGTCCCTCCCGGCGCGCCCGCGCCTCCTCCCGGGGCCCTCAGGGTGCAGAGATAAGGCTACAGGCGCCGCGGGGAGGGGACCAGCCGGCGGCTTCCGGCGCCGCCGAGGGAAGCGGGGGGCGCTGCGGGGTCCCCGGGAGGCCGCAGAGCGCGGGTCCTTCCTCTTGTCGGGGCCTGGGCTTAGGACACGCCCGTTCCGCGTCCGTCTCTGGCTCCGCACTTGCTGCCCTCTCGCCGCTCACATTCGCAAAGGGGGACAGACACTCATCGGATAATGACACAGCTGGACGCAGAGCCCCGGAGAGTGCTGGGGAGGAAATGTTGCGGAGGATTCAAGCCACTCGAGGGCTCAGGGAGGCACCCCCGGGGAGAGGGGTGAGGGGAGCAAGGGGCGGAAATCTTCCAGGACGTGAAAGGGAGCTGGATGAGGTGACCACAGCGCAAGGCCCAGATGAGAGGTCGGAAGACGCAGACCCAGGCCACCCAGGGGCGACACACTTGACCAGGTGACACCTGGTCACCGGGAGTGAGAGAGAGTAGGGCTGTGATGGAGGGAGGGGCTGGCATCAGTCCCCGCTGCTCTGAGGACACCCGGCTTGGGACGCGCTGATGCCAGCCCCTACCTCCATCACAGCCGTACTCATCCCAAGGGAAGGAGTAAACCAAGACCCAAGGATGAGAAGGACGTTGGGGAGGAATCTAAGCGGGAGTTTGTTGTAGAAATGGGGAATGGGGACCTAGAGTGAGAGCAGAGGGTTGGAGAGGGGCGTTGAGCTGCAGAGGGAAGTTAGCCCTCCTAACCCAAGTGATGGAGGTCGCCGGGAAGCTGTCACAGTTTCAAGCAGTGAATGACTTCATCACTGACACATCTCTGTCTGTTCTGTGGAATTGGGATTGGGGTTGGGTTGGGATGTGGAAGGCAAAGAGTCCAGCCCGGAGTTGCTGCAGGAATCAGGCAATAGAAGACATGTCCTGGCCCGGTGCGGTGGCTCACGCCTGTAATCCCAACACTTTGGGAGGTCGAGGCGGGTGGATCACTTGAGGTCAGGAGCTCGATACCAGCCTGGCCAACTTGGTGAAACCCCGTCTCTACTGAAAAAAAAAAAATTAGGTGGGCACGGTGGCAGGCACCTGTAATCCCAGCTACTCGGAAAGCTGAGGCGAGAGAATTGCTTGAACCCAGGAGGCGGAGGTTGAAGTGAGCCGAGCTCGCACCACTGCACTCCGGACTGGGCGACAGAGTGAGACTCCATAGACAGATAGATAGATAGATAGATAGATAGATAGATAGATAGATAGATAGATAGATAGACAGACAGACAGACAGACAGACAGATAGAGATAGAGATAGATGTGTCCTGCAGCTGGGCATTGACAAATGAGTGTGAAGAGGGCAGTGTGTAAGAGTGGAATCCACTAGGTTTTATGACTAGTCGGGGAGAAGGAAATAAATAAGATCCGGTTTGAAGGCTTTGAGCTTGTGATGTCTGTGGGAGCGCAGCCGAGAGCAGGCACCCCACTACTTCACCCCATATCCTCACTTGTTTACTCTCTGCCATGAGCCTGCCGTAAATCTCACCACTTTCAAACACACCCATATAAGGGCTAAAGTTGTGGAGTCTTAACAAGTAGTTAAAAATCAACTTCAAGCTGGGTGAAGTGTGGCATGCCTGTAGTCCCAGCTACTAAAGAGGCTGAAGGGCAGGAGAATTGCTTGAGTCCAGGAATTCAAGGCCCATGTGGGCAATACAGTGAGACCCCCTCTCTTAAAAAAACAAACAAACAAAAACAAACAAAGAAAAAGCTCATCTTCCTAGGCTCTTTTTTCCTCTTGGGGAGACAAGGTCTTGTTCTGTTGCCCAAGCTGGAGTGCACAGCTCACCACAGCCTCAACCTCTTGGGCTCAGGTAGTCCACTAGCCTCAACCTCCCAGTAGCTGGGACTACAGGGGCGCAGCATCATGCCTGGCTCATTTAAAAAATTTTTTTTGTAGAGACAAGATCTGGCTATGTTGCCCAGGCTGGTCTCCAACTCCTTGGCTCAAGCAATCCTCCCACCTTGGTCTCCCAAAGTGCTGGGATTACAGGAGTGAGCCACTGCATCTGGCCTCACAAGCTCTTTTCTTAGCAGGCTTTCTTGAAAATTATTTTTGATCAACAAAGACAGGCACCTGTTTGGGGAGCAATAGATGGACGGTGTGTCTCTATTATTTAGACAAATTTTTTAAGTTCAGCTCTCCATAAACTTCAAACTTGGAAATCATGTCATTGTTTCAACAAATATACCATTCACTTAAGATTTTTAACCAGCCTATACCACTTCATCCCCACTGTGGCCCCTTGCAAAATAAATAAACTTAAGTATATATGTATATACATTTTTTATTGATAATGTCAGGAAAATTTGTCCAAAACTTGGAAATGGGCAAAAGAGATTACTGGGTATCCTTTCAGTGGGGTGCTGGGTGCACCGTCGCTGGACTTCCTATTGACTAGGCTATTTTGCAGCACTAGAGGGCTAGAAGTTAACTTGCCGAAAACTGATGATAATGTAAAAGATTTATGTCCATAGCAGTGAAAATGAATGTTTTCCAAGAGAAATATAAGTGATCAGTCCTTTCTGCCAGAAAATAAATAAGTTAAACCCACTAATTTCATTTTGTCCTATATGATACTAACTAGTTAACCAGTTTGGCACCTATTAGCAAATTCATGTGATCATTCCTGATGTTGGATTTTCCTTTGAACCTTAACATCTTGCTAGTTCTCCTTTGAGATCAACAACTTACTGAGTCCTCCATTAATCAATTGAATAGAATCTTAGATATGTTTTCATCTTATAGTTGCATAAGTCATGTTTTCAACTTTTTGAAAATTATATTTCAGGACAATCCATCTTACTCTATATTCCACATTAGATTGCTTGACTTTCATCAATTCTTTTCATTGGCTCATTTTTAAATTTCAAATACATATTTTTGGTTAAAACAATACTTCTTACTCAATGGTGAGTTCATTGGATCACATAATGAAAAATTATCTCCTCATCCAACAGTATTTGTCACAAGAATTAAAACAGAATCTTGAACCAGTGTTAAGTTTGGAGGAACAGTGGGATTATTGCTGACAAAGTATTTGACTTAAGAAAAATGTTCTTTCAAGAGAGCATGGTTAATATACCAGCATTTTCTAAAAAAGAACTTGAAAGAAGCTTTCTTCTCCTTCTCCCTCTCCTCCATTTCCTCCTCATTCTTCTTCTTCTTTCTTTGAGACAGGAGGATCTCACTGTGTCACCCAGGGTGGAGTTCAGTGGTGCAATCATGGCTCACTGCAGCCTTGACCTCCCAAGCTCAAGCGATCCCTCCACCTCAACCTCCCAAGTAGCTGGGACTACAAGCACATGCCACCATGTCCAGCTAATTTTTTAAAAAAAATGTAGAGACAGGGTCTTGCTGTGTTGCCCAGGCTAGTCTTGAACTATTGGCCTCAAGGGATCCTCCCGCTTCAGCCTCCCAAAGTTCTGGGATTGCAGTTGTGAGCCACTATGCCTGGCTGAGACTTAGTGTTTAGTGGGTATCGACTTTCAGTTTTGCAAGATGAAAAAAGTTCTGTGGATGGATAGTGGTGGTGATTGCACAACAATGTGAATGGACCTAACACTGAACTGTACACTTAAAAATGTTTGTTTGTTTGTTTGTTTTTGAGACAGAGTCTCACTCTTGTTGCCCAAGCTGGAGTCCAATGGCATTATCTCGGCTCACTGCAACCTCTGCCTCCCGAGTTCAAGCGATTCTCCTGCCTCAGCCTCCCAAGTAGCTGGGATTCCAGGCACATGCCACCACGCCTAGCTAATTTTGTACTTTTAGTAGAGACGGGGATTCACCATGTTGGTCAGGCTGTTCTCAAACTCCTGACCTCAAATGATCCACCCACCTCGGCCTCCCAAAGTCCTGGGATTATAGGCATAAGCCACCACACCCAGCCTTAAAAATGTTTAAAATTGGCTGGACGCAGTGGCTCACACCTGTAATCCCAGCACTTTGGGAGGCCGAGGCAGGTGGATCACGGCGTCAGGAGATCGAGACCATCCTGGCTAACACGGTGAAACCCCGTCTCTACTAAAAATATAAAAAAGTAGCTAGGCGTGGTGGCAGGCGCCTGTAGTCCCAGCTACTCTGGGGCTGAGGCAGGAGAATGGCGAGAACCCGGGAGGCAGAGGTTGCAGTGAGCCGAGATCGCGCCACTGCACTCCAGCCTGGGTGACAGAGCAAGACTCCATCTCAAAAAAAAAAAAAAAAAAAAGTTTAAAATCGTTTTTAAAAATTCAATGACAAAAAACGTTTATGCCCATTTTTATTTTTATTTTATCAAATAGGCAAATATTAAGGACTTTCCAAATTAGTTTTGGTTCTGGCAAATCTATATGGGATCAGGTTTACAAGAAAGATATCTTGGAAAGCCCCATTTTTCCCAATATTCCTGAGACATAAGTGAATGGGATTTCGGGAGAGCTCTGAGAGGACTCTGGAGAGCCATGGGTATGGGAAGGCAGAGGGCAGGCAAAAAATTTCATTCTGAACACTGGTTCAGTATCTCTAGGGAGATTTTCCCCCAAGCTGCTCTTCTCAGTGTCGGATTCCAGTGTGAAGAGGTTTGGGGTTTGTCCAGTGGGTTCCCATCTGGCTACAAGGCCAGAAGGAGAATCGAGGAGGGAGATTGGATACTAAATATCCTGGGACTCTCCTGGAAAAAAATCCATTCTTGCTTACCACACTCCTGACCATAAATGATTACAGAGACTGCTTTGGGACAGCTCCTGGCAGGCTTGCAAATTGTTATTTTTGTTTTTAATTTAATTTATTTATTTAGAGACAGAGTCTTGCTCTGTCGCCCAGGCTGGAATGCAGTGGCGTGATCACAGCTCACTGCAACTTTCAACTTCTGGGCAAAAGCAATCCTCCCTCCCCAGCCTCCCATAAATTGTAAATAAATTGTTTATATGTGGGTTTTTTAGGAATGGCTTGAATATCTAATTGTAATGAGTTTAATATACTCTGGGGTTGCACTTACTGCCTGAAGTTTGCATTAACAGAAATAATTTAAATATTTGAAGCCTTTGAAGTATATTGGCTGAAAACTTGTGTGTTTGAAACAAAGTAACAGTCCCTCTGTAACAGTCTGCTCCACCCCCACCTCATCTAACCCTGGCTGACTCGACATCTGTGAAAACCCCAAGGCCACCTTCAAAGAAGCCACATTACCCCTCCCAGAATGGAGTCATCATCTCAAGCAGATTTGTAAAGGCTGATAAGAAGGACCTGTCCCTCTGGAGAAATGCCCTTCTGATGAAGTCTCTAACTCAAACAAAGGCCAACTTCTCATTTTTTGAAGCTTAATGACTCTCAGATACTTTGCTGCTATTGGAGAAACAGTAGGATTACTCTGCCTTCTCCAGCATACCTCTCCCTCCCTTTAGACACACACATACATCAAACACCCTACCTGGAGTTAGTGTGTAGACCTTGGGCAACAAGTGCACTATTGTCTGCTGCACGTGGCTGTGCTACAACCAGTGTGTAATTTACCCAAAACGCTAGTATTCTCAGAAAAGCAAAACAAGCATGGGTGGAAAGGGACAGCTCAGCTTAGGGGACAAGTCCTGGACTCCCTATTTTTACAATAGTGCTCTCTCTCCTCACTGTAATGGACTCAAGAGACCCTGTGATCCCCCCAGCAGAAGCTGGGGCAGCAGCAAGATTTAGATTTGGACTTGGATTTGGGAGCAAACTTCAGACACTGCAACAGACAAGTTCAAGGAGCAGCAGGCTTAGTATTCACCTATCCTCCCCCGACCTCAGGTGGTGGAGACAACACCAAGTGAGACAGGCTGTGTCACCCAGTCTCTGTCTCTGTCACACACACACACACACACACACACACACACACACACAGCATCACCTTCCTCACTTGCAAAAGCCTCAGCTGTTGGTGTTTTTATTCCACAAACCCTGAAAGGAAGCCTGCTGACAGCCCATTTCCGGACCCAGGATCAGCCACCCACAGCCCTAAGGAGAAGCAGGCCAGGCAGTGGGGACCAAATCAGCAATGAGCAGCACAGTCGCTGAGGAAGCCACAACAGCTGTGAAGGCGGATGGTTCCAGACCTTCACTGATAGAGAGACCAGCTCACAGTGAAGACCCGTATCATCGACCTGGGCAAATAGTGCAATCTTCAAAACAAAAATACTTTACTCAATTATTTTGCAATGGACTTAGCTACAAGCTCTATTGGTTTCTTTGCTCGCCACTGTTTTTCATGTCCTATGTCTTCCTCTTTTCCCACTTCTCCTCCTCCTTCACCTTCTTTGGGGACGTCTTTGAGTATCTGTTTCAGAAAGTATTCCTGGGTGGTAAACTTCGAATCTTTGCAAGTCCAAATACATATTGATTTTGCCCTCATAATTTTTTTTTTTTTTTTTTGGAGACAGGGTCTTGTTCTGTCGCTCAAGCTGGAGTGCAGTGGCCCAATCTTGGCTCACTGCAACCCCCGTCTCCTGGGTTCAAGCGATTCTTGTGCCTCAGCCTCCCAAGTAGCTGGGATTACAGGCATGCGCCATCACATCCAGCTGATTTTTGTATTTTTAATAGAGCCAGGATTTCGCTATGTTGCCCAGGCTGGTCTCAAACTCCTGGCCTCAAGTGATCTGCCTGCCTCGGCCTCCCAAAGTGCTGGGATTACAGGCATGAGCCACCGCACCGAACCCCATAATTTAATTATACATTAACAGAATATAGAATTCTGGATTCAAAATAATTAAGTGATAGGTTAATGTGGTCTAGAATTCCAGATTCAGATGGAGTGCTGCAGATGGAGGGTCCCATGCTACTGTGGTTATCAACCCCTTATAGGTGACATGTCATTCTCCTATCATATCTACCAAGCTTTGGGGGATTTTCTCTTTATCCTGGGAATTCAGAAATTTCATGAGGATATAATGTTTCATTATTCTTGCCTAGCACTCAATGGACCCTTTCAATTTGTAGAATTAAGGCTTTCTACAGGAAAGACATTTTTTCTATTAATTATTTGATTCTTTCATTCCCTCAATTATTTCTATTTATCCCTTCTGGAATGCATGGGAATTTTTTTTTAATAGAGTCTCACTTTGTTGCCCAGGCTGCCTTCAACCTCCTAACTTCAAGCTATCCTCTCTCCTTGGCCTTCCAAATGCTGGGATTACACATGTGAGCCACCATGCCTGGCTGGGAATTTTTTAACACTTGCCTCTAGCCTCCATGGCTGTTAGTATTTTTCTTTGACTCTTTACTTTCTTTGCCTTCATTTACTGAATGTGGGAGATTGCCATAACTCAATTTAGTGAACTTTGTGTTCATGAATTTGATCCTTATCCATGCCGTTCTGCTCTTCATTTCATCTGCTGAAATATTTTTATATCAGCAATCATGCTTTTAATTTCTAAGAACTCTGCTTCTTTGTATAGAATGGCTTTTTTTTTTCTGTAGTTGTAATGACTTCTGTTTTATCAGGAAGTTGTTCATTTACTTGTTGAGTTTGATGACTCTTCTTCTGCTGGTTTTCCTCAAGTGTTTCATGATTTTTGACTGTCCTTATTTCTACATGAGGGTCTCCTCTGTTATGAATTAACAGTTTATGAGAATGAATCAGATGGTGATATGGTTTAGCTCTGTGTCCCCATCCAAATCTCATCTGCAATTGTAATCCCCACGTGTCCATGTCCAGGAAGGGAAGTGATTGGATTATGGGAGCAGTTTCCCCTATGTTATTCTCATGATAATGAGTGAGTTCTCCTGAGATCTGATGGTTTTATGAGGGTCTCTTCCCTCTTCACTTTCTCTTCTCTTGCCTGCCACCATGTAAGATGTGCCTGCTTCCCCTTCCGCCATGATTGTAGGTTTCCTGAGGTTTCCCCAGACATGTAAAACTGTGAGTCAATTAAACCTCTTTCCTATATAAATTACCCAGTCTAGGTATTTCTTTATGGCAGTATGAAAATGGGGCCAGGCGTGGTGGCTCATGCCTGTAATGCCAGCACTTTGGGAGGCTGAGGCAGGCGGATCACCAGCTCAGGAGTTCAAGACCAGCATGGCCAATGTGGTGAAACCCAGTCTCTACTAAAAATACAAAAATTAGCCGGGCATGGTGGCGCCCACCTGTAATCCCAGCTACTCAGGAGGCTGAGGCAGGAGAATTGCTTAAACCTCAGAAGTGGAGGTTGCAGTGAGCCAAGATTGAGCCACTGTACTCCAACCTGGGCAACAGAGCAAGAATCCATCTCAAAAAAAAAAAAGAAAAGAAAATGGACTAATACAGGTGAGTTAAAAAAAAAATGGAATCAATAATTTGGCTATATTTCTCCAGGTGAGAATCTCTGCTTTCTTAGGAGTAAATGGAGATTTGTTTACAGTGGTTCTAGCTCCAGTGGTTGTGCAAAGCAGGAGGTAGGAGTGGGGAGATAAAGAGAGTGCATTTGAGACCTCCTTCTTGGTTGCCATACTTTCTCTGGCCCCAGTGCCTTCTCTGGGAGCCTCTTTTGTATCACTATTCTCATCTTATTTGGTAAGCAATAAGCTTCATTTACAGTTATCACTTGGGCTGGTCATGGTAATCCCAGCATTTTGGGAGGCCAAGGTGGGCAGATCACTTGAGGTCAGGAGTTCAAGACCAGCCTGGCCAACATGGCAAAACCCCATCTCTACTAAAAATACAAAAAATTAGCCAGGCGTGGTGGCAGGCACCTGTAATCCCAGCTACTCAAGAGGCTGAGGCAAGAGAATCACTGAATCACTTGGATCCAGGAGGTGGAGGTTGCAGTGAGCAGAGATCGTGCCACTACACTCCAGCCTGGGCAATAAGAGCAAAACTCCATCTCAAAATAAATAAAATATAAATAAATAAATAAAGTTATCCCTTGGGGAAAAAATTCAGAACTAGCCACTTCTAAAACAGAAAATAGGTGAAGACGTTTGTAGCTCATGAATAAATTACCAGTTCACTATCCTACCGGTTCCTTTTCCCATCTCTGCTATCTCTGAACCTGAGATAATTCTGGAGTTCTAATGGGAAAATGTACTATTTTGGAGATGCTCTCTTTCTGCTTTCATGAGATTGTGGGTGCCTCAGCTCTGTTATGTTTTTATCAGTCTGATCACATCTGCTTTATGTTTTCAGCAAATCTCCTGTTTTGCTGCTCTCATAATACCATGCCTGGATTTCCAGTACTGCTTTCAAGTAATTCTGCTCCCACCCCCGGCCTCCATTAAAAAAAAAAATTGAGATGTAACTTTCATGCAGTGAAATATACAAATATTAAGTATATAGCTTATAAATTTGTACTTAAACACACACGAAATATCCACCACCCAAGCCAAGAAACAGAGCATTACAAGCTCCTTGGAAGCTCCCTCATATATTTTATCAGTCAGTCCTCCATAAGTAATCAATGTTCCAACCTGTATAATCACCATAGGTTAGTTTTGCCTGCTTTTGAATTTTATGCAAAGTAAATCACTATTTATTTTTTTGCTTGTGACTTTTTATACTCATCATTGTATCTGTAAGAGTTACATCCATGTCGTTATCAGTAGAAGTTTGTTTTCTTCATTTCTGTGTAATAGTCCAATGCAAACATGTATATGCAACAATTTACTTACCCATTCCATTGTGGATGGACATTTGGACAATTGTCCATTTTTAGCTCCAAATAAAACTGCTATGAAACTTCTTGTATTAATACATGTTTTGGGGGGTATGTACAGTGTTTATTCTGCTGGGTAAATATCCAGGATCACAGGATTTATAAATGGTCAGCTTTAGGCGTATTGCCAAACAAATTTCCAAAGCAGCTGCTGTTCACACTTCCATGACTGATGCAGAGAGTTCCAGCAGCTCCATGTCCTTGCCAACATTTGGTTTTGTCAGTCATTTTAATTTTAGCAACTTTGATGTGTGTATAGGGGCCTCTTATTGTGGTTTTATTTTCATTTCATTGTTGACCAAAAATATTAAACACATTTTCTTTTTTTCTTTTTTTTTTAGATGGAGTTTCGCTGTTATTGCCCAGGCTGGAGCGCAATGGCGTGATCTCGGCTCACTGCAACTCCAGCTCCTGGGTTCAAGCGATTCTCCTGCCTCAGCCTCCCAAGTAGATGGGATTACAGGCATGTGCCACCATGCCTGGCTAATTTTGTATTTTTAGTAGAGATGGGGTTTCTCCATGTTGGTCAGGTTGGTCTCGAACTCCCGACCTCAGGTGATCCGCCTGCCTTGGCCTCCCAAAGTGCTGGGATTACAGGCATGAGCCACCGTGCCCAGCCATTAAACACATTTGTTTATTGACCATTTTGAAATCCTCTTTTAAGACATGCTATCACATATTTTGTCCATTTTGTAAAATTGGGTTATCTTTTTCTCATTGATCTATTGGAGTTTGCTTATATTCTGGATTTAAGTCACTTGTCAGACATATGTATTCCAAATATCTTCTCCAAGCGTATGACTTGCCTTTTCACTCTCTTAATGATGTCATCTGATGAATAAACTTAACTTTAAAGAAGGTAATTTATCAATGTTTTCTTCTATGGTTAGTGCTTTTGTGTTCTGTTTAAGAAATTTTTGCCTATTTGGCGATCATGAAGTTATTCTGTTTTCTTCTAGAGTAAACTTGTAGAACTTCTTATTTTACTTTTCACACTTAGCTCTAAAATTCATCTGGAATTAATTTTTATGTATAGTGTGAAGTTCATTTTTCCCCATGTGGATATCCAATTGTTACAGCATCATTTATTGAAAATACCCCTCTCCCTGCCCCCCAAGAATTGCAGAGGAGCCTTCATTATGAATCAGGGGATTGGGTATGTGTGGAGTCTGCTGCTAAACTCTATTCAATTCCGTTGACCAATTTGTCTATCCTTGCTTTAATACCACTGTCTTAAGTACTGTTGCTTTATTGTAATTCATATCTGGTAGTGAAAATCTTCTGGTTTTATTTTTCTTCAATAGTATCTTGGTTACATTTTTAGCATTTTCCATTTTTACATTATATATATAAAATGTAGGCTGAGCCATGATAATCACTTGAACCTGGGAGGCGGAGGTTGCAGTGAGCTGGGATTGTGCCACTACACTCCAGCCTGGGCCACAGAGTGGGACTCCATCTCAAAAAAAAAAAAAAAAAAAAAAAAAAAAGATCTCCAGCATGGCACACAAGACCCTTTATAATCAGGTCTCTGCTCATGTCTCCATATACATTTCTACTTCCAAAGTCCCCTATATGTCACATTTAGCACTTACTACGTGTATTAAACTGTCACTTACTTGTCTGTCTTGTCAGTCTTTCCCATTAACTTATAAGTTTTGCAAGGACCTGGAGTGTACCACATTCACCAGCTATCATTGCATCTGGGCAAAATTCCTGGTACCTAGTAAGTGTTCTACATATTTGGGGAAGGAAGGAAAAATTGGAATTGATCACTGTCAGCTCTGGGTTGCCAGTGGGTATTAATATTCAGCTCACCTGTGCATCTTTGGAACAAGCTAGGGTAGAAAATCTTCAAATTAGTCATCCCTCTACATGTCTTATTTCCTGTTCATTCAAAGGCTTGATTCCTGGATCATATATCCTCAGGTGACTGTCTCCCACACTGACTGTCTCCAGGGCTCCAATGATGCTTCACATTGTACCGACTTGCTCACATGGTTGTTTAAACATGGAGGCTGGGCGCGGTGGCTGACTCCTGTAATCCCAACACTTTGGGAAGCCAAGGAGGGTGGATCACCTGAGGTCAGGAGTTCGAGAACAGCTTGGCCAACATGGTGAAACCCTGTATCTACTAAAAATACAAAAAATTAGCGAGGCATGGTGGTGTGCACCTGTAGTCCCAGCTACTTAGGAGGCTGAGGCAGAAGAATTGTTTGAACCCAGGAGGTGGAGGTTGCAGTGAGCCGAGATCGCGCCACTGCACTCCAGCCTGGGCAACAAGAGCAAAGCTCCATTTCAAAATAAAAATAAAAATACATAAAAATAGATATGAGTGAGAAACTTTGAATCTGTGCCAAGGTGGGTAATGGAAAAGGAAGCCTATATTAGCCAGTCCAAAAGATTTCTTATGCTTTGATTTTCTCTAGCAGGTTTGTGGAATAAACCCTCAGCACTCATGGGTAATTTTAAAATCAAATTATTGTTTCTTATTGTGGTAGCTAATTCTTAAATACGGTTTGCTAATATTGGCTACAATACTGGACTGACAAGCCACAAGCCTTAGAGTCTCACAGAAAACACAGGTTGTCACACATCATTTAAATCAAGTCACCCGCACCCGTCCAAACAGGTCAGCTGCCATCAAAATTCCTCTTTCCTGGATGCCCCGCCTTCAAAGCTCTGCTCTCTATACTTGGGAGAGTTTGGGTTCAAGTGAAATAAAATATGATGCAAAATGTTGAAAGAAGAGCTGAAATTTATGGGCACCCATAACCCAAAAGTTTCAGTTACAAGTCTGACTTAAGGTGGCATTAACCAGTGATTCAAAAAATACCTCAAGAATCCAGTTTCTCCTCCTAGCTCTGCTCTGTTCTCAGGTTCTCCTCTCATTATCATAAGATGACTGCAGCTGCGGCAGCAGTTTTTACATCCTCTCAGCTTCAAATCTGGCGGACAGAGAAAGATACTCTTCCCACTGAGTGACTTGAGCCCTTGAGCCCTCCATCTATGGGGGAAAGTACCCATAACTAAGCCAACCTCACCACTACACTGAATACTAGCATCAATAATTAGCCTCCATCCACTGGAGCTCGACCTGAGCGTGGGGTCAGCCTCTCCCAAACCCCAGGACTGAGCTGCGAAGGAGCAGTTCCCAGTGGAAACTCACAGAAATGTTTTACCAGAAGGGCAAAAGGATTCTGCACAGAAAATCAGCATGTGTGACTAGCTAGCTATTCCAAATCATACATGCATTTTCTTTTTATTCTTTATTCTTTTTTCTTTTCTTTTTTTTTTTTTTTTTTTGAGATGGAGTCTCACTCTGTTCCCAGGCTGGAGTGCAACGGCATGATCTCAACTCACTGCAACTTCTGACTCCCAGGTTCAAGCAATTCTCCTGCCTCAACCTCCTGAGTAGCTGGGATTACAGGCATGTGCCACCATGCCCAGCTAATTTTTTTGTATTTTGAATAGAAATGGGGTTTCACTCTACTGGCCAGGCTGGTCTCGAACTCCTGACCTCAAGTGATCCACCTGCCTCGGCCTCCCAAAGTGCTGAGATTACAGGTGTGAGCCACCCCGCCCAGCCTGTACAGGCGTTTTCACAAAGCATAACTTACTTGAGCTGGAAGTTTTTTTAAATCCCCTGTCCATGTGGAATTACTGGTGCAAAAGTAATCATGGTTTTTGCTATCAAAAGTAATGGCAAAACCGCAATTGCTTTTGCACCAGCCTAATAGGACTTGGCTTTAGGTCTGTCATCGCTTTGGGTAACTCTTTTTCGTTCTGTTGTTTTTAAGCTATATCCACCTAAAGGTTATTTAAACCCCAAACTGAACACAGTTCTCTGGGCTAGTCTGACCACTGTAAAATCAAGTGGAACTTCTATAGGTCCTGATATTAAACCTCAGTAATACATTCAGAATATTTTTTATAACTCAGGTGCAGAGCCTTAAATGTCTACCCATTACATTGTACATTGTTAAATTTAGTCTATTGCATCTACCCTCCCTTAGCATATAACTCCAGAAAACACTAGAAATGGCTTTCTGGAGACCAGCTCTCCACCCAGGAATAATGAGCCTGATGTCACCTCAGGCTAGCCCCAGGGACCTCTCCAGAAAAGTCTAAAAGGGGAGATACTGGGTAAGGAGACTCATGGCTTGCTTCAGCCAAACATTTACAGCCTCTGCAAAGCTACAGGAAGGATTCTGGCTTCTAGATCAATCTAGTTTTT
This sequence comes from Homo sapiens, assembly GCF_000001405.40. Taxonomy (NCBI): domain Eukaryota; kingdom Metazoa; phylum Chordata; class Mammalia; order Primates; family Hominidae; genus Homo; species Homo sapiens. The sequence continues at coordinate 112,189,217 of NC_000009.12, forward strand.
TAGAAGCGGAGACCTGTCTTGTGCAAACAAAAACCTCTGGGGCCTCAGGAAAAAGGAAGAACCTTCCAGCTTCCAAGATCAGGAAGATATTGAGGAGGAGGCCCTCAGGCTAGATAGATAGGTTTTCTTTTTATTCTTTCTTTCTCTCTCTCTCTCTCTCTCTCTCTGTCTCTCTCTCTCTCTCTTTCTTTCTTTTTCTTAGACAGGATCTTACTCTCTCTGCTGCCAGGCTAGAATGCAGTGGTGCAATCACAGCTTGCTGCAGCCCCTACCTCCCTCGGCTCAGTAATCCTTGTACCTCAGCTTCCCAAGTAGCTGGGACTACAGGCATGCATCACCACACCCAGCTAATTTTTTTTCTTTTTTTGTAGAGACAAAGTTTCGCCATGTTGCCCCGGCTCGTCTTGAACTCCTGGGCTCAAACAATCCACCCACCTTGGTCTCCCAAAGTGTTAGAATTACAGTTGTGAGCCATGGCATCCGGCCTACAAAAAATTTTTTTTTTTTTTGAGGCAGAGTTTCGTTTTTTTGTTTAAGTTCTGGGTTACATGTGCAGAACGTGCAGTTATGTTACATAGGTATACATGTGCGATGGTGGTTTGCTGCACCCATCAACCCATCATCTACATTAGGTATTTCTCCTAATGTTATCCCTCCCCTAGCCCCCCACCCCCCACAGGCCCCGGTGTGTGATGTTCTGCTCCCTGTGTCCATGTGTTCTCATTGTTCAACTCCCACTTATGAGTGAGAACATGCAATGTTTGGTTTTCTGATCTTGTGATAGTTTGCTGAGAATGATGGTTTCCAGCTTCATCCAGATCCCTGCAAAGGGTGTGAACTCATCCTCTATTATGGCTGCATAGTATTCCATGGTGTATATGTGCCACATTTTCTTAATCCAGTCTAACATTGATGGACATTCGGGTTGGTTCCAAGTCTTTGCTATTGTGAATAGTGCTGCAATAAACATACATGTCATGTGTCTTTATTGTAGAATGATTTATAATCCTTTGGGTGTATGCCCAGTAATGGGATGGCTGGGTCAAATGGTATTTCTAGTTCTAGATCCTTGAGGAATCGCCACACTGTCTTCCACAATGGTTAAACTAATTTATACTCCCACCAACAGTGTAAAAGCATTCCTATTTTTCCACAACCTCTCCAGCATCTGTTTCCTGATTTTTTAATGATCGCCATTCTAACTGGTGTGAGATGGTATCTCATTGTGGTTTTGATTTGCATTTCTCTAATGACCAGTGATGATGAGCATTTTTTCATATGTCTGTTGGCTGCATGTCTTCTTTTGAGAAGTGTCTGTTCATATCCTTTGCCCATTTCTTGATGGAGTTATTTGCTTTTTTCTTGTAAATTTGTTTAAGTTCTTTGTAGATTCTGGATATTAGTCCTTTGTCAGATGGATAGATTGCAAAAGTTTTCTCCCATTCTGGAGGTTGTCTGTTCACTCTGATGATAGTTTCTTTTGCTGTGCAGAAGCTCTTTAATTAGATCTCATTTGTCAATTTTGACTTTTGTTGCCATTGCTTTTGGTGTTTTAGACATGAAGTCCTTGCCCATGCCTATGTCCTGAATGGTATTGCCTAGGTTTTCTTCTAGGGTTTTTATGGTCCTAGGTCTTACATTTAAGTCTTTGATCCATCTTGAGTTGACTTTTGTATAAGGCGTAAGGAAGGGGTCCAGTTTCAGTTTTCTGCATATAGCTAGCCAGTTTTCCCAACACCATTTATTAAATAAATGGATAAGCTTTTTGATGTGCTGCTGGATTCAGTTCGCCAGTATTTTATGAAGGATTTTCGCATCAATGTTCATCTAAAAATAAATGTATTGGCTGGGCACAGTGGCTCACGCCTGTAACCCCAGCACTTTGGGAGGCTGAGGTGGGTGGATCACCTGAGGTCAGGAGTTCAAGACCAGCCTGGCCAACATGGTAAAACCCCATCTCTACTAAAAATATAAAAATTAGCCAGGCGTGGTGGTGGGCACCTGTAATCCCAGCTACTAGAGAGGCCGAGGCAGGAGAATTGCCTGAGCCTGGGAGGCGGAGGTTGCAGTGAGCCGAGATGGCGCCACCGCACACCAGCCTGAGCAACAGAGTGAGACTCCATCTCAAAAATAAATCAATAAATCAATAAATATGTATTAAGACAGAGCAAGACCCTGTCTCAAAACCAAACAAAAACAATAACACTTTTTGGTTCACAATCTGGTTATGAAAGAAACACAAGTGAATTATGGAACATTTTAATAAAGAAAAATTATAGAGAACAAAATAAAGACTTGTCATGAACATTAAAAACTACACCTGTAGTCCCAGCTACTTGGGAGGCTGAGGCGGGAGAATCATTTGATCCTGGGAGGCAGAGGTTGCGGTAAGCTGAGATCGCGCCATTGCACTCCAGCCTAGGCAACAGAGCAAGATTCTGTCTCAAAAAAAAAATAAAAAGAACTGCCTGAGACTGGGTAATCTATAAACAAAAGAGGTTTAATAGACTCATAGTTTCGCATGGCCGGGGAGGCCTCAGGAAACTTACGGTCATGGTGGAAAGGGAAGCAGGCACCTTCTTCACAAGGCAGCAGGACAGCCAGTGAGAGCACAAGCAGAATTACCATTTATAAAATCATCAGATCTCATGATAATTCACTACCACAAGAACAGCATGGTAGAAACCGCCCCAATAATCCAATCACTTCCCTTCCTTGACATGTGGGGATTACATTTTGAGATGAGATTTGGGTGGGGACACAGAGCCAAACCATATCACCAGTTAAATTTGCATTTCAGATAAACAGTGAATAATGTTTTAGTATCAGTATGTCCCATGCAATATTGTAACAAATACTGCATCAGATATACTTAAACTATGACATTATTTGTTATTTATTTGAAATGCAAATTTAGCTGGGCATACTGTATTTTATCTGGCAACTTCAATTTCACCTCCATTCATCATGCCAAGATGGTCCTTATCTATGCTACAGTTTTAGGAATACGGAAAAAGGTTTCCAAGCATTTCCCACAGCTGCCGGTATTCTGGCCTAAAATTTTACTAACAGAGGATGGGTTTTTTGTGTGTGTTGCCATTGGTTGCAGATTTTATCTCAGGGGCTGTACAGAAAACAAGGATCTGATGGAAAGGAGGATGGAAAATGATGAAATGATGAAAAACACTAAAAATTACATAGCACTTTCTCCATGCCAGGTACTTTTCTGAGCACCTTACACATTTTAACTCCTGTAATCTGTACAACCACTTAATAGCACCTACTATTATCCTGATCTTACAGACGAGGAAACTAAATTACAGAGAAGCAGAATGATTTGCCCAAAGTCTCAGGTGGCAGAACTAGCATTCAAACTTGAGCAGCCTAAGTCCCAAATTGATGCTTTCAGCCACCCTGCTATGGCAATTCTCAGAGGCAGAGCCAGCGTCTGGAGGCCAGGGACGGCTCCAAACGAGTCTTGCTGAAGGTCTACGGAGGCTTGCTAAAGGAATGGGGCTGGAAAGGACCTGGACGAACGCTACGTCACTGCTTGTTTAGCGGTCCCCCGGTTCCAGGAGGTGAAGTCCTAATTCCTTAGCCTGGCATTGTATTGGCAGTCTTCACCACACCCCAATTCCCACCTGAGGCCCAATCTAGCCTCCTATCTAGCAGGTACTTGGTGCTGCTCCCCAAACCTCCCACACGCCCTTATTCCTCTTCCTTAGCATATTCTGTTCCCTCCCCTCACTCTCTTCCATGTCTGTTCAGAGAGAGCGCTCACCAAATAACTATTTGCTCCTCCACCTTCCCCAGCCTCCCTAGCAATTAAGTTGGGACCATATAATTCTGGCTAGTGGATCGTGAGCAGAAGTGACATGTGTCAATTCTCAGACAAGGTATTTAAGAGCTCAAGTATCTAAGAACCAGTGGTCTCTTCCCTGCTGAGAAGACTTTGGAGGCTGTGTGTTTTAGATGGGGCAGCGGCAAGGTGGAGGGCAATAGCCCAACCCATAGAAATGAACTTTTGTTGGTGATAAGCTGTGGATTTTCACGTTTATCTGCGGCCACAACATCACCTAGACTCTTCTGACCAGGATATCATTCAAGACCCTGTCCAGACTGCACTCTGGCCCCTGTCCCTTCCACTGTGCTCCCCTGGTGTTTTCTTTTTTTTTTTTTTTTCCTTTCCCTGGAGACAGGATCTTGCTCCGTGCCCAGGCTGGAGTGCAGTGGTGCAATCACAGTTCACTGCAACCTCGACCTCCTGGGCTCAAGTAATCCTCCCACCTCAGCCTCCAAGTAGCCAGGACTACAGGTGCATGCCACCATGCCTACGTTTTTTTATTTTTTGTAGAGATGAGGTCTCACTACATTAACTAGGCTGCTCTCAAACTCCTGTGCTCAAGTGATCCTCCCACTTTGGCCTCCCATCATGCTGGGATTTGAGGCATGAGCCACTGTGCTGGGCCTCCCCTGGTGTTTTCTAAACCCCTCCCTTAGTTCTTAGTAAAGCTTAGTAAACGCCTGCCTGCTTAGTTCTTTTTCTCCCGCTAATCAGGGCTCAGGAACCTTGTCTCATTTGACTTTGTGACTGCAGACATTTACATAGAACTTTAGCATGTGCTGAATGAACGAATGAGCCAATGATTTACTGAGTTTAGACCAAGACTTCTCTTTAAATTCTTTTCAACCTAAAGATACTTGTGGAATTGCCCTGCTCACGCTAAAGACGTTACCTCTCCAGCTGTTACCTCTGCTATTACTTAAGTAAAGGATAGCCTCCCTTTAAATAGGTCTGAAGTCTTTGGAAATTCAATTACATGTAGCTGTGTTATTTATATAGTGGCTGGTAACCAGAAGAGAAAGAGATTGTGGGTGATGACATTCATTCTTAGTCACAAATTAAAAGGGAAACATGACAATGACATTCCCACTGTGAGAGAAAAGGTCACCAGGCATTGAGAAGCCCTAATTGCAAGGCTGTGTTCACATTCTAATCATCTGTACTTCCTGGGGATGTCACTACCAGTGATGCAGAAAGGCTAAGTCCATCGTCTACTTAGCAGAAAGAGGGAACGTTATTTCCCTAAACATTTGCTGTCTTGAGATCAGTGATTCTCAACCAGGGAAGGCAGGCAGACAGCCTGAGCTCAGGAGTTCGAGATCACCCTAGGCAACATGGTGAAACCCCATCTCTACTAAAATACAACAACTTAGCCAGGCGTGGTAACACGTGCCTGTAGTCCCAGCTACTCGGGAGGCTGAGGCAAGAGAATCGCTTGAGCCCAGGAGGCAGAGGTTGCAGTGAGCTGAGACTGCTCCACTGCACTCCAGCTTGGGCTACAGAGTAAGATTCTGTCTCTAAATAAATAAATAAATAAAATAAAGTTTGTAAGTGGCCAAAGAAATATTCACTTGGATAAATTTAGAAACTGTTGCCCTACTTTGGGACCAGACTAACATTTTCAAACTTTTCAAAAAAGGCTAATGTGCAATTGAGCTTGTTTTGTTTGGAATACAGAGTTGAAGTTCTGAAGACATTTAATCTGAAACACGAAGGCTCAAATACCAACTGTGTTGTTCCTTTCAACATTTATTACAAAAATCTATTTCTAGAGTCTTCAGGTTGATATTAAAATGTCTTTTCTTCACAGTTTACTGGGAGCAGAAAAAAAAAAGTCTTTTCATTTTCTCATCTTGATGACTCTCTAAAAGACAGGATTTTGAGATTGGTTACCAAGAAAAACAAACTCCAACCTCCTCCAGCCCAGCTGCAGGATAAATTCAAGCTATCAGTTTTCCTTGTGTCAGAGGTGGACCCAAATTTTCTCTGTGAAACTCCAAGGGGAAACTCTTTCCTCCTGACATTTTGTCCTCTTTGCCAGAAAAAGCCTCAAGAAGGGTTTAAGTAACACAGCTTTGAGTCAGTTGCGTAAGAAAACATTTAGAAAAGCACTTTCAGAAATTCAGAGATAAAGTAGTTCCCTGTTTACCAAAAAGAAGAGAACCAACTTCATACGCCATTTTATCAGTTCCATCAATGTCCATGTGCTAAGCTGATCTGTCTGTACTTCCGGCTATGTCAACCAAGCAGTGGAGGGCTTGACTTTGAAAAAGCTGTGTCTGGCTGGGTACAGGCTCATGCCTGTAATCCCAGCACTTTGGAAGACCAAGGTGTCTGGATCGCTTGAGCCAAGGAGTTTGAGACCAGCCTGGGAAACTGGAGAAAACTTGTCTATACAAAAATTAGCCAGATGTGGTAGTGAGAGCCTGTAGTCCCTGCTACTTGGGAGGCTGAGGTGGGAGGATTGCTTGAGCCTGGAGGCAGAGGTTGCAGTGAGCCAAGATCATGCCACTGCACTCCAGCCTGGGCAACAGAGCAAGAAGACTCTGTCTCAAAAAAAAAAAAAAAATGTAATCCCAGCACTTTGAGAGGCTAAGAGGGGCGGATCACTTGAGGTCAGGAGTTCAAGACCAGCTTGGCCAACATGGTAAAACCCCATCTCTACTAAAAATACAAAAATTAGCTGGGTGTGGTGGCACATGCCTGTAGTCCCAGCTACTCGGGAGGCTGAAGCAGGAGAATCATTTGAACCTGGGAGGTGGAGGTTTCAGCGAGCTGAGATTGTGCCACTGCACTCCAGCCTGGGCGACAGAGCAAGACTCTGTCTCAAGGAAAAAAAAAAGAAAGAAAGAAAAGAAAAGAAAGTAAAAAGAAAAAGAGGAAAAGCTGTGCCTTCCCCACAACATAAGGCTTAAAACAACCCAGTATACTCAGTGCTCACTTTGATACCACACTAGTAAGGTTAAAAAAAAATGTATTTTTTTTTAAAAACAATATATTTGTTCTCAAAAACTGTCATTGCTTTATTTGTTTTGGGCCATGATGTTTACATTATTTTGAACCTCCTAATGATCTTAAAGGGAAGTAGTGGATTTATGTTTATCAAAGGAAAATAAAAAAGAGATGAGAAAAAACTGCTCTAAATGGAAAAAATAGTATTGAGAATGAAAATGCTGGCAGAGGGATAAGGAATGGCTGTCTGCGGAGGGTCACTCATGCTGGGGTTTAATTTAAATTCTTGTCTGACGTTGGAGGGCATATATGGCCCCTTGAGGACGGTGACTTGCAGATGTGCAACACTCTAGGCTTTGTAGATCCCAGGCTTTGGTTCTGAGATGGACATGCAGATTTTCGCTCCTCCACCTGACTTTTTGATAATTCAGATTCCTTCCCACGCCTTAGAGACCCTCTGCAGCTTGCCCCGATGTGAGTGGGGCAGGGCATGCCACGCAGCTCCCTCCAGCTTTATACTCATTTCCATCACTGTCTGGCCATTTGGTCCAAACTACTGTTTTGACCTGCTTGACACCTCTCTAAGCTGATGGCATCTTTGAGCTCATACGCCCAGTTGAAGATATCTTTGACTTCTTCTAAACACCTAGCTGAGGTCTAGGCGTGGTGGCTCACGCCTGTAATCCCAGCATTTTGAGAGACCGAGGTGGGAGGATCAGTTCAGCCCAGGAGTTTGAGACCAACCTGGGCAACATGGTGAAACCTGCTGTCTACAAAAAATACAAAAATTAGCCGGGCGTGGTGGTGTATACTTGTAGTCCCAGCTACCCAGAAGGCTGAGGTGGGAGGATCACTTGAGCCCAGGAAGTCGAGGCTGCAGTGAGCCATGTTCACACCACTGCATTCTAGTCTAGGTGACAGAGTGAGATCCTATCTAAAAAAAAAAAAAACCTAGCTGAGACAATTATCTTTTGGGGCAGGACCAAAGGAACATGGCATCCTTTCTCCCCACTGCATTCGCTGCCTTCATCTCTGTATCAAGGGCTACGTCCTTGGGAATTCCAGAGAAAAGGAAATGTCTACCCTCAAGGAAAATTTCGAGCTTCTGGGTCTTCTTATGGAGAATGAAGGTCAAACATAAAATTTGAGGACCCAGACTGTTAGATAACAGTTCAATAATGGATAACTTTTGGATAACATTTATTGTGTGCCAGGCACCATTCTAAGAGCTTCATATAGAGCAACTCATTTATTCCTCACGACAACTTCATAAGAAACATTTTATTAGATCTCCGTTTTATAAAGAAGTAACCAAGGCACCAAGTGTTATGGACTGAATTGTGTCCCTTGAAACTTCCTATATTGAAGCCCTCACCCACAACGTGACTGCATTTGGAGACAGGCCCTTTAAAGAAGAAACTAAGGTAAAATGAGGTCATAAGAGTGGGTTCTGGCCAGGTGCGGTGGCTCACGCTTATAATCTCAGCACTTTGGGAAGCAGAAGTGGGTGGATCACCTGAGGTCAGGTGTTCGAGACCAGCCTGGCTAATGCAGTGAAACTCCATCTCTACTGAAAATATAAAAAAAAATTAGCCGGGCGTGGTGGTGGGTGCCTGTAATCCCAGCTACTTGGGAGGCTGAGGCAGGAGAATCGCTTGAACCCAGCAGGTGGAGGTTGCAGTGAGCCGAGATTGCACCACTGCACTCTAGCCTGGGCGACAGAGCCAGAATCTGTCTCCAAAAAAAAAATAAAAAAGAGAGAGAGGTCTTAATCTAATAGGACTGACGTTCTTATAAAAAGAGGGAGAGACACCAGGTATGCACATACACAGAGAGAAAAGCCCATGTGAGACCACAGCAAGAAGACAGCCATCTGCATGCCAAGTAGAGGGCTCAGAAGACACCACCCCTGCCAACACCTTGACCTGGGACTTTCAGCCTCCAGAAGTATGAGATAGTGTCTGTTGTTTAAGCCACCCAGTCTGTGGTACTTTGTTATGGCAGCCCCAGCAAATTAATACACCAAGAAGCCAAGAAATAGGCCCAGGATCACATAGCTCTTTTTTTTTTTTTTTTTTTTTTGAGGCGGAGTCTCACTCTGTCACTCAGGCTGGAGTGCAATGGCATGATCTCGGCTCACTGCAACCTCTGCCTCCTGGGTTAAAGTGATTCTCCTGCCTCAGCCTCCTGAGTAGCTGGGACTACAGGTGAGCACCACCATGCCCAGCTAATTTTTGTATTTTTAGTAGAGACAGGGTTTCACCATGTTGGCCAGGATGGTCTCGATCTCTTGACCTCGTGATCCACCCACTTCAGCCTCCCAAAGTGCTGGGATTACAGGCATGAGCCACTGCACCTGGCCTAGGATCACACAGTTCTTAAGTGGTAGAGCTAGGATTTGAACCCAGGCAGTCTGGCTTCAGAAATCATGCTCTTGACCACTGCACTTTTCTGTCTTCCTCCAGTGGTTTAAAGCAGCACTTTCCAATAGACATATAAGGTCAGGCACAAATTTGAGAGTCATATAGACTTTTAAATTTTCTAGCAGCCACCTTTTTTAAAACAGGTGGAATTATTTTTAATAATACATTTTACTTAACCCAATATACTAAAGCATTGTCATTCCAGTGTGTAATCAATAGGAAAGGTTATTACCGATATATTTCACATTCTTTCTTTCGTACTAAGTCTTGGAACTCAGTGTTTATTTTACACTTACAGCACATCCGAATTTGGAGCAGCCACATTTCAAGTGCTCAGTAAGCCGTGTTAGACAAACCTATTAGACAGCACAGGTTAAAGCTCTTTTATGGCTCTCTACTGTGTACAAGATAGAGACTTGACACTTCCTGAACTGCCTGCCCTTTAAGGCCTGCCCTGATGTGGCTCCACCCCTGTTTTGGGCTTCATCTCATGTCATTCCTAGCATCACACTTTATGCTCCTTCAACTGGCAATACTTCAATGTGAGTCCTCTGCTCACACCACACTGTTTTTTTTTGTTTTGTTTTTTTTTTTTTAGACTGAGTCTTGCCCTATCATCCAGGCTGGAGTGCAGTGGTGGGATCTTGGCTTACTGCAACTTCTGCCTCCTGGGTTCAAGCGATTCTCCTGTCTCAGCCTCCCGAGTAGCTGGGATTACAGGAATGTGCCACCATGCCCGGCTAATTTTTGTATTTTTAGTAGAGACGGGGTTTCACCATGTTGCCCAGGCTGGTGTCGAACTCCTGACCTCAAGTGATCTGCCCACCTTGGCCTCCAAAGTGCTGGGATTATAGGCATGAGCCACTGTGCCTGGCCACCACGCTGCTTTTCATCTTGGCATTTTTGCTCATGATTTTCCCATTGTCTGAATGTCCTCCCTCTCATTCATCCAGCCTACTCCTACTTATTCTATGACACCCACTCAGGTTTCCCCTCCTCCAGGAAGCCTTCCTGATACCCCACACTGAAGTGGATACCCCTCCTATATATGCCCGTAACGCTTCATCCTAATCCACCCTGACATGGAGCTCATTTTATTATAACTATTTGTATATGTGTCCCTCCCTGATTAGACTGTGCACTCAAGAGCAGAGGATGTGCTTTGTTAATCTGTGCCCAGCACAGAATCTAACACATAACAGGCACCAGTAAATGTGTGTGCAATTAAACTGAACTCAACATACATGCTTTGGTATCCAGGATTGCTCGTCCAGGTAAAGCAGGTTCCTGAAATCGTGAGGACACTAGGCACAGGCCTCATGGAGGGGAAACATGGGTGCTACCAAGAAGTGAATTGTTTTGGTGTGTGTGTATATAGTGCCTGTATTGTCTCTATTAGACTCTTAAAATAAAAATACAATCTAAGTAAAAGCAATGAATGTTCTATGCAAAACCAGCATCAAAAGCTGTCTCTCCAAACCAGCGACACAACCTGTTGATAAGATAAGCTGAGTGTACTGCCCACTACAAATAGTTATAATAAAATGAGCTCCATGTTAGGATGGATTAGGATGAAGCTTTATGGGCATATGTGGGAGGCTTATCCACTTCAATGTGGGGTATCGAGAAGGCTTCCTAGAGGAGAGGAGACCTGAGCAGGTGTCATAGAATGAGTAGGAGGCAGTTGGATGAATGAGAAGAAGGACATTCAGACAATGAGAAAATCATGAGCGAAGAAGCCAAAATGAAAAGCAGCGTGGTGGCTGGGTGCTGTGGCACATGCCTGTGATCCCAGCACTTTGGGAGGCCGAGTTGGGCGGATCACGAGGTCAGGAGATTGAGACAATCCTGGCTAACACAGTGAAACCCCATCTCTACTAAAAATACAAAAAAAATTAGCCCGGCGTGGTGGCGGGCACCTGTAGTCCCAGCTACTTGGGAGGCTGAGGCAGGAGAATGGCATGAACCCGGGAGGTGGAGCTTGCAGTGAGCCGAGATCTTGTCACTGCACTCCAGCCTGGGTGACAGACTGAGACTCTGTCTCAGTAAAAAAAAAAAAAAAAAAAAAAAAAAGAAAAGCAGTGTGGTGTGATCAGAAGGCTTGCATTAAAGTACTGCCAGTTGAAGGAACATAAGAGTGTGATTCTGGGAATGACATGGAAAACCTACATACATTCCCAGCCTCCCCTGCAGCTGGCCATATAACACAGTCCTGGCCCATGAGCTGTAAGGAGGATCTTACACTTACATGGGGAGATGGGCAGACACAGCTGGCAGGGCCCTTTCCCCCTCTTTTTTGTCTAGAATGTGCATGAAATGCCAGAGCTGGGGCAGCCATCTGCAATCACGAGGGGACACGCCAAATGCTAAGGATAGTGAGGTGGTCAAATCCAAGAAAGCTAGCTCTTTGTTAGTACTGTGGAGCTGCCACACCCACTCTGGTCTTGCTACCAGGAAAATTTACGTAAATACAAATCTCTTTATTGCTTAAGCCACTGTTATTGGGTGTTGGTGACTTGCAGTGAGAAGCACTTCTGATTCACTGCTTCTATTTGCAGATTTTGTAGCCACTACTTCAGGCAGAAATGGAGATGGAAAAGCCATCCAAACTGAATAAGCCTAGGCAACAGTCGTCGCAAGGGAGCTGAATGTCTTGGTGTCACTACATAATTAGAATCATCAGATAAAAACGTGGGCTGGGAGGTGGCATTTACATTGGGAGAATCTCTGAAGCTTTGAGGACAGTGGGGGGTGGGCAAAAAAAGAAGAATATTTCTGAGTTTAGAATCATCTACATACAAGTTAGCTCTGGGTAACAGAAACGTTTGCCACTAAAGCAAAACCAAACCAATCTGATGGTTGTGGTCCTAGCCATGGGGTCTGCCTAGATCCCCCAGGGCTCCCAGATTCTAGGCCATGAAGATGATTTCAACCATTAGGATCTACTCTTTAACAGACAAAACTATCCAGGCCTTAACATCCAACAGTAGTCCAGGAAGGGAATTGGTAACAAGGCCTGGGCTAGGTGGATAGAAGACAGATCTGCATATTTGTAAATTCAGAGTCATTTATAAATTAAAAATTTGTAAAAAACAAAGAGGAGGCATCTATTTTCCCCAGAATATCCAGGGTTTTCTGGGCTTCATGGGCCATGGCCATTGCCCCTTCCTCATTCCATTGCCTCAAGTGCCCCATTTATGAATCCAACAAAAGACAGTTACTTTATTTTTTGTTATAAAAGTTATACATGGCTGGGCACAGTGGCTCAAGCCTACAATCCCAGCACTTTGGGAGTCCAAGCAGGCAGATTGCTTGAGCCCAGGAGTTGGAGACCAGCCTAGGCAACAAAGTGAGACCCTGACTCTACAAAAAAATGCAAAAATTAGCTGGGCATGGAGGTGTGCGACTATAGTCCCAGCTCCTCCTGGGACTGAGATGGGAGGATCACTTGAGCCTGGGAGGTTAAGACTGCAGTGGGCTGAGATTGTGCCACTATACACCAGCCTGGGCAAAAGAGTGAGACCCTGTTTCAAAAAAAAAATTATGTTATGGAAAAAATTGGAAAATGCAGGAAAGCACAAAAAAAAATCCATCATCTCACCATTCAGAGATAGCCGTTGTTAACATTCTCAAAAACATCTTCAAATCATTTAGGATGCTTCCAATTGTAAATAAATGGAAAACCCAACCCAAAATGGTTCAAACAATGGAACATTTTATTATATCATATTACAAAGAGTCAGTGATGGGCCATTCCAGGATTGGTTAATTCAGTAGTTCACCAAAGTCATCAAGGATCCGTCTTTCCATCTCCCTTCTCTGCCACCCTCAAGGTTTAAGACAGCTGTTGCAGTTCCAGACATTATATCAAGATGCAGTATTCACAGAAAGAGGACTGTTCATTTCTTTACCAGAAGATTCTCCCATATATCATGTGTCTACATCTAAACCAATCACTACTAAGGGGAAATTGACCTACAACATTTGGATTAGACTAATCAAATTTACCTTCTGAGTTAGGCATAGAGTCAACTTCTATGAGCATATGGCTGAGCCAAGGATAAGCATTCTGCCAGCAAGAGAGGACATAATATGGGTGTGGGATTGGAGATGGGAGAGGAATATTCAGGCAGTAACCAATAATGTCTATGATCTTTTTAGTCTATTTTTTATACTTATACACATACCTAGAAAAAGTTTAAATATAAAACCATGTATATACTGATGATGTTTTTTCAAGTAGCAATACACATGGCAAATATTTCTCCATTTCAAGAAATATTTTTCTATAACTTTTTTTTTTTTTTCTAGACAGGGTCTCACTCTGTTATCTAGGCTGGAGTGCAGTGGTGTAATCTCAGCTCACTGCACGCTCGACCTCCCAGGCTCAAGCAATCCTCCTACCTCAGCCTCCCAAGTAGCTGGGACTACAGGTGCGTGCCACCATGCCTGACTAATTTCGTGTATTTTTTGTAGAGAAGGGGTTTTGCCATGTTCTCCAGGCTGTTCTCAAACTCCTGGGCTCAAGCAATCCTCCCGCCCTGGCCTCCCATAGTGCTGGGATTACAGGCATGAACCACTGCACCCCGCCATCTTTTTTTTTTCTACTTTTATTTTAGATTCAGGGATACATGATACATATGAAGGTTTGTTATAACGGTATATTGCATGATGCTGAGGTTTGGGGTGCGATTGAACCTGTCACTGAGGTAGTGAGCATGGTACCCAATAGACAGTTTTTCAATTCTTCCCTCTTTGTTTCTCATAATTCCCAGTGTCTACTGTTCCCATCTTTATGTCCATTAGTACCTAATATTTAGCTCCCACTTATAAGTGAGAACATGCTGTATTTAGTTTTCTTCTGTGTTAATTCACTTAGGATAATGGCTTCCAGTTGCATCCATTTTACCGCAGAGGACATGATTTCATTTTTATGGATGTGTAGTGTTCCATGGTGTATATATTCCATATCTTCTTTATCCAATCCACAGTTAATGAACACCTAGGTTGATTCCATGATTTTTCTATTGTGTATAGTGCTGTGATGAACATGAGTGCCTGTGTCTTTTTGGTAGAACAATTTATTTTCCTTTGGATATATACCAAATAATGGGATTGCTGGGTCAAATGGTAGTTCTACTTTCAGTTCTTTGAGAAACCTCCAAACTGCTCTCCACAGTGGCTAATTTACCTTCCCACCAACAGTGTATAAGTGTTCCCTTTTCTCTGAAGCCTCACCAGCGTCTGTTATTTTTTGACTTTTTAATAGCCATTCTGACTCGTGTGAGATGGAATCTCATTGTGGTTTTGATTTGCATTCCTCTGATGATTAGTGATGTTGAGCATTTTTTCAAGTGTTTGTTGGATACTTCTATGTCTTTTAAGAAGTGTCTGTTCATGCCCTTCACCCACTTTTTAATGGGGTTTTTTGCTTGTTGAATTTTTAAATTTCCTAATAGATACTAGATATTACATATTTGTCAGATGGATAGTTTGCAAATATTTTCCCTCATTCTGTAAGTTGTCTGTTCACTCTTGATAGTTTCTTTTGCTGTGCAGAAGCTCTTTTAATTAGGTTCCCACTTGTCAATTTTTGTTTTTGTTGCAATTGCTTTTCAGCTTGATATCCAAAAGGGTGTTTCCTAGGTTTTCTTCTAGAATTTTCTTTGCTTTAGGTCTTACATTTAAGCTTTTAATCCATCTGGAGTTAATTTTTGTATACGGTAATATATAGGGATCCAGTATCATTCTACTGCATATGGATCAACAGTTATCCTAGCACCATCTATTGAATAGGGAACCCTTTCCCCTGTTTATTTTTGTCAACTTTGTTGAAGATCCTTTGGTAGTAGGTGTGTGGCTTTATTTCTGGGTTCTCTATTCTGTGCCATTGGCCTATGTGTCTGTTTTTGTACCATACTTTTTGGTTACTGTAGCCTTGTGGTATAGTTTGAAGTTGACTAAAATGATGCCTTCAGCTTTGTTCTCTGGCTATTCAGGCTTTTTTAGGTTCCATATGAATTTTAGAATAGTTTTTTCTAATTCCGTGGAAAATGATATTGGTAGTTTGATAGGAATAGCACTGAATCTGTACATTGCTTTGGGTAGTATGGATATTTTAATGATATTGATTCTTCCAATCCATGCACAGAGTGTTTTTCCACCTGTTTCTGTCGTCTGTGCTTTCTTTCAGCAGTGGTTTTTGTTTTGATTTTTTTTTGAGATGGGGTCTTGCTCTGTCACCCAGGCTACAGTGCAGTGGTGAAATCTCAGGTCACTGCAAGCTCCGCCTCCTGAGTTCAAGTGATTCTCCTGCCTCAGCCTCCTGAGTAGCTGGGATTAAGGCGTGCACCACCATGGCCCGCTAATTTTTGTATTTTTAGTAGAGACAGGGTTTCGCCATGTTGGCCAGGCTGGTCTCGAACTCCTGGCCTCAAGCGATCCACCTGCCTCGGTCTCCCAAAGTGCTAGGATTATACGCATGAGGCACTGTGCCTGGCCAAGTGTTTTTTATTTAGTTCTCCTTTTAGAGATCTTTCATCTCCTTGGCTAGATGTATTCCTAGGTATTTGTGTGTGTGTGTGTGTGTGTGTGTGTGTGTGTGTGTGTGTGTGTGTGTATTGTAAATAAGATTGCATTCTTGATTTGGCTCTCAGCTTCAACTTATTGGTGTTTAGAAATGCTACTGATTTTTCATACATTGATTTTGTACCCTGAAACTTTACTGAAGTCATTTATCAGACTTAGGAGCCTTTTGGCAGAATCTTTAGGGTTTTCTAAGTATGGAATCACATTATCTGTGAAGAGAGATAACTTTTTCTTTTCCTATTTGGATGCCTTTTCTTTCTTTCTCTTCCCTGATTTTGCTTCTGGCTAGTACTATGTTGAATAGGAGGGGTAAGAGTGGGCATCCTTGTCTTGTTTCAGTTAAGGGGAATGCTTCCAGCTTTTGCCTGTTCAGTATGATGTTGGCTGTGGGTTTGTCATAGATGGCTCTTATTATTTTGAGGTATGTTCCTTTGATGTCTAGTTTTTTGAGGGTTTTTGTCATGAAGGGATTTATATTATTAGGCTTCTTAGCTTTCCATTACAAAGACGTAATTATTCAGTTTCTTATTGCTGGATGAAATAGTTGCTGGACATTTAAAGTCATTTCCAATTTTCCATTATTGATACCAATGTGGTGATGAACATTTTTTGGCTTTTGATATACAGTTGGCCCTTCACATGTGTGGGTTCCACATCTGTGGATTAAATTAACTGCAGATCAAAAGTATCTGGGAAAAAAAATGGATGGCTGCAACTGTACTGAACATATACACACTTTTTTCCCTTGTGATTATTCCCTAAATAATACAGTACAACTACTACTTACATAGCATTTACATTGTATTAGGTATTATACGTAGTCTAGAGATGATTTAAAGTATATGAGAGTGTGGCTAATCAGCACCAAGCCCAGACTCTGGGCATTCCTTCTAGATGAGGCCCATGTTGGTAGACTTGCAACAAACTCACCAGGGTGCTGAGCTAGGCTACTTTATAACCTCATTTTTTTCCTCTGGATGTTTGTGTGTTTATTGCTTTGATGTATGAACTGTTAAAGAGATCCATTTAAAAAAAATCTGTGCTTGGCCAGGCATGGTGGCTCACGCCTTTAATCTCACAACTTTGGGAGGCTGAGGGGGGCAGATCACTTGAGGTCAGGAGTTCAAGACCAGCCTGGCCAACATAGTGAAACCCCATCTCTACTAAAAACACACACACATACACACACAAAAATTAGCTGGGCCTGGTAGCACATGCCTGTAGTCCCAGCTACTTAGGAGGCTGAGGTACAAGAATCACTTGAACCCGGGAGGCAGAGGTTACAGTGAGCCGAGATTGCGCCACTGCACTCCAGCCTGGGTGACAGAGTGAGACCCTGTCTCGAAAAAAAAAAAAATCTGTGCTTTAAAAGGAAAACCACCTTAAATGGAATCCTTTCTATTACATTCTGATATGCTACTATTACATTCATAATTTTGGAAGGTGAGAGAAATAAAGTATATGGGAGGATGTACGTAAGGTATATGCAAACACCACACCATTTTATATGAGGAGCTTGAACATGTGTGGATTTTCATACCCCAGGGGGTTCTGGAATCAAGACCCCATGGATACCAAGGTATGACTGAATATTACCAAGCTGCTTTCCAAAAAAATAGTACCAGTTTATACTTCTATCAATGGAGTGTGGCAATGTTTAGTTCACTTAATCCTTATCAGCATTTAAAAATATACCTTTTTAATTCATTACTCATTAGACAGATGTCATCATTCTTGAAGAAAGCATGTGGTTGCTCTATAGGGAGAGGCATTATTGGAAATTCAGCTTTGGCCCACACATGCTTTCTGATTCTGAAGGCAAATGAGTTCAAATCAGAACTGTAAGCCCCAGGTCTCTTTTTAGTGGGTTCTCAGAAAAGTAGGGATGCTGTCCTCTCTTCCCTGACCCCACCTATATGGATATGCATATGCATATGACTACAGGTCAGAGAAGACTCCTGCTTCCCCTGGAAGCTGAACAGAGGGGTTGTACAAGGCTTATAATTTTTCTTCCACTCTTCTTCCGTGGTTTTGTTTTAATCTAAATCAAGTTACAGTTACCTTGGCAAGCCATTTCTTTTGATTGGGTGATTTAATCTATTTACATTTAATACTATTCTTGATATACCATCAATTCTCATTATTCACAATTCCTTATTTGTGAATTTTTCCTACTTGCTAGAAGTTTGTAATTCCTAAATCAACACTTAAGGTGTTTTCATGGTCATTTGCAACATGCACACAGTGGCAAAAATATTTGAATTGCTCAACATATGTGTTCCCAGCTGAGGCTGAACAAGGTGACACACAAACCTCTTGTATCAGCTCTCATACTGTAAACAAGCGTCCTTCTTGTGGTCTACTTAGTGCCAGGTTTTTTGTATTTTTCTTGGTGATTTCACAGTTTACAAGAGCCCCCAAGAGCAGTGCTGCAGTGCTGTTTAGTGTTCCAAAGTGCAAGAAGGCTGTGAGGTTACTTGCTTTTAGCCTGAACTTTAGTATTTCTTCTAAAGAAGGGCTGCCAACATTAAATTCTCTCAGTTTTATTTTTCTGGGGAAATCTTTATTTTATCTTCATTCTGAATCACAGCTTTGCTGGCAATACAATTCTTGGTTGACAGTTTCTTTCTCTGAGACTTTGAATGTCATCCCACTACCTTTTGGCCTCCATTGTTTCTGCTAAGTGAGCCACTAATTCTACTAGGGTTCCCTTGTAAGTAATGAGTTATTTTTTTCTTGCTGCTTAAAGATTTCCTCATTGTCTTTGACTTTCGACATTTGTCCTATGCTGTGCCTCACATTTCTAAGGTTCTCTTCATTCTTTTTTCTCTGTTTTTCAGTGTGTCTAATCTCTATTAGTCTGTTATTCTTTCCTCTGTCAGTTCAAACCTATTGTTGAGCCCTTTGGTGAATTTTTTGGTTATTGTGCTTTTCAACTCCATAATTTCCATTTGGCTCCTTTAATAATCTCAATTTTTTTGTTGATATTGTCTTACTTGATGTGACATTGTCATCCTACCTTCAATTACTTCTTTAATCATGGCTCCTTTTAGTTCTCTGAACAGGTTCATAATGGCTACTTTAAAGTCTTTTCTGATAAATGCAACATCTGGTTCCTCTTACTGTCAATTTCTGTTGTCTGCTTTTTTTCTGCTGTTTGGGTTGTACTTTCCTGTTTCCTTGTGCTTTGTAATTTTTGGTTTAAAACTAGATATTGAAAATCATATATTGTAGTAACTCTGGTTGCTGGTCCCCCCTTCTCTGGAGCTTATTATAATGTGCTTATTTATGTAGTAAACGACTGGATTATTTTAGTGAAGTCCCTTTTCTCCAAACTGTGTTTAGCCACTAATGTTGTTCCTTCAGGAGGTACAGCACTGGGTATGCCCACAGTCACTCCGGAATCAGTGGGTTTGGTGGGTCTCTCCTCCTCTTTTCACTGACCCCACCTACCTGCTAAAACCATACTATTATCAGATGATTGCTCTAGTGTTTTCAACAGTACCCTGGGAGCACAAACTGCTCTAAAATTTATACAGTTGAATTCTGGCTTCTTCAACTGAACAATTTTTTAGGTCAGTGTTTGATTTTTATTCTGACCCCAGGAGGATTCTTCCAGCTATCTTATTCCCAGTTCTCTCCTGCAAACCAGCCTTCTACAGTTTAACCTGTATCTTGAATATTCTCCCAGTTGCCTTTTATCACACCTCACTGACCTTGAGAGTGCTTTTAGACTTGAAATTATTCACTCTGCTGCAATAAGCTAAATTCCTTCTGAAAGAGATGAAAAGCTATCTGTTTTATGGTGGGTTTCTCCCCGCAGGTACAATCTCTGAGCCAGGGCACTGGAGCTGGGAAAGGGAACGATGGTAAGCTTCTCTCTGAGTGACATCCCCACTCTAGGGGCTAAGCCCTTGATTGTGAGGGAGGTGTTAAAGAAAAAATTATTCTGACACTTGTTAAGATGAGAAAGAAGACTTTCTTCAGAATGATCCCGATAGGTGTCAAGATAATTGAGGCTGGGCGCAGTGGCTCACGCCTGTAATCTCAGCATTTTGGGAGGCTGAGGTGGGTGGATCACTTGAGGTCAGGAGTTCTACACCAGCCTGGCCTGGCCAACGTAGTAAAACCCTGTCTCTACTAAAAATACAAAATTAGCCAGGGATGGTGGCAGGCATCTGTAATCCCAGCTACTTGGGAGGCTGAGGCAGGAGAATCACTTGAACCTAGGAGGCAGAGGTTGCAGTAAACCAAGATCGCACCATTGCACTCCAGCCTGGGTGACAGAGCAAGACTCCGTTCTCAAAAAAAAAAAAAAAAAAAAAAAATTATTGAGATAGAAGAGATCAGTCTCAATTACAAACTCACGAGGAACAAGTAGGGATTTATAGGCAAGGAGTAAGTTGGAGAAGGGTTGTCAGTAGATGGAAAATTACTAAGAGGAGACAGAAATGAAGGGTAAGGGAAATTCTTGCTACATTTACCAAACAGGATTCTTGCTTAAGTCAGGTCAGGTTGATCAGATATAAAGGGTCAAGGGGATTCTTTTTAAACTGCCAGGATTCTTGCTAAAACTGGGCTCTTGAGGACAAGGTCCAAGAATGAGGCCTAGTCTAAAAAAGTTTCTAAGCCTGGCCAGGTGCAGTGGCTCACACCTGTAATCCCAGCACTTCGGGAGGCCGAGGCGGGTGGATCACAAGGTCAGGAAATCGAGACCATCCTGGCTAACACGGTGAAACCCTGTCTCTACTAAAAATACAAAAATTAGCCAGGTGTGGTGGCAGGCGCCTGTAGTCCCAGCTACTTTCCCAAGTAGCTGAGGCAGGAGAATGGGGTGAACCTGGGAGATGGAGGTGGCGGTGAGCCGAGATCACGCCACTGTACTCCAGCCTGGGCGACAGAGTGAGACTCTGTCTCAAAAAAAAAAAAAAAAAAAGTTTCTAAGCCTGACTAAAGTTTGGGTAAGGAGAGAGCCTCTGTCAGTGCAGAGCAGCTGGGGTCCTCTCGGCTTGCCTCTCTTGCCATGGAACCACCACCTCGCAAGCCAGGACCAAGGCCCCATTATCTTAGCATGTCATGCCTAAGGAAGCCTCCAGTCCATGAGTGGGGTCTGGGTGGAATAAGAGAGCCTCAGCAACAGGTGGCTACGAGCAGGATGAGAAAAGCTGTGGTTCTGCTATTCCCAGGACGAAAGCCCTCTGTGAGGGGATGTTCTTGGCTGCAGCAGCCTGTCTGGGGGCCTGGATAGAACAAAAGGGCAAGAAGAAAGGCAAATTTCCTCTCTCCTAGAGCTAGAACACCATTTTATCTCCTGTCCTTTGGCATCAGAACTCCAGATTCTCTGGCCTTTGGACTCTGGGACTTGCACCGGCAGCCCCCTGGGTTCTCAGGTCTTTGGCCTTGGACTGAGAGTTAGACCAGTGGCTTCCCTGGGTTTTGGGGCCTTCAGACTTGAATGAGCCACCCCCTACTGGCCTCCCTAGCCTGCAGACGGCCTGTTTTAAGACTTATCAGCCTACAATCACATGAACCAATTATATCTACCTACCTACCTACTTATTTATCTATCCTACCTGTTCTGTCTCTCTGGAGAACCCTGACAAATCCAAAGCCCTAGTCCACAGTACCTCAAAATCTGACTGTATTTGGGAATAGAGCTTTTAAAGAGGTAAAGTACAATGAGGCCATATGGGCAGGCCCTACTCCAATATAACTGGTATCCTTTAAGAGGACATTGGGACACAGACTCACACAAACCAAAAGATAACCAACCACGTGAGAACATAGGGAGAAGGTGGCCATCTACAAATCAATGGGAGAGGCCTCAGAAGAAACCAAACCTGCTGACTGACACTTTGATCTCAGACTTCTACCCTCCAGAATTGTGAGAAAATGAGTATCTATTATTTAAGCCACCCAGGTTGTTGTATGTAATTTGTTACAGTAGCCCTAGTAAACTAATACAATGTACACGGAACTATTTTGGCCTCCTTGGGACTGCCCATATATGGGCAATCTATGCTTCTGGGGAACATGATGGAAGAAGTTATGGTTATCACACAAATGTACAGGTCAGAGACAATAAACTTTGGTGAGGGTATGGATCTATGAATCCATACGCTCAAATACAGTTGTGCTGTTGGAGTTTGTCACTGAATTCCCGAAGCCCTATATAGACAGCAGATGTTTTTGTAGGTTGAGGCAAGGCTCCATTTTCCTTCTGTATATGTTCAGCTCTCTGGGTATTTCATTCATCAGATGGCAGCTTGGCTTAGAGAAGGTGTTGGTCTGTATTAACGCAATGGCTGCCACCAAGTCACTACAAGCACTAGGGTTCTATCAATGATGATCTAGCTCAGTGGCTTTGTCATGGGGACTGCCAGGGGAAAGAATCTGGGGCTGGTTCCGTCAGAAGCTCCTACCAGCTGAAAGGAAATGGCAGATATTCAACAGATAATCTACTGTATGCTGGTCTCTGCATGGGTATTTTATTTCTTATAAAGAAGATCCTGCTTCTTACTAAATAGGGGTTGTCACTAGAACCCTGTAATCTCTTCAATCTTTATGCCCTTATTTAAAAGAATTTAGAATAAATTCATTCTAACAGTGAGCTAACATCATAGACCAAGCACACAAACTAACAGTTAATTCTGCAGCCCTGGGAACTTTTTTTTTTTTTTTTTAAATGACAGAGTCCCGCTCTGTCACCCAGGCTGGAGTACAGTGGTGCGATCTTGGCTCAATGCAACCTCTGCCTCCCAGGTTCAAGCGATTCTCCTGCCTCAGCCTTCCGAGTAGCTGGGACTACAGGCGTGAGCCACCACACCTGTCTATTTTGTATTTTTAGTAGAGACAGGGTTTCACCATATTAGCCAGGATGGTTTTGAACTCCAGACCTCAGGTGATCTGCCGGCCTTGGCCTCCCAAAGTGCTGGAATTGCAGGCATGAGCCACCGTGCCCAGCCAAGAACTATTTTTTGAATAAAAAAACTGGAAGTGTTCTGAAAATACAAGGATAGTCTGCCTGTTCTAGAAAATCTGGGGCTGGTAGCTACTATTCTTGGACCATATTGAGAGATGGTTAAAAACATTAGATGCTCAAAAAATCAGGTAAATTATTTAGATTTAGTTTGCAAGCTAGTCCATGTTGCAAGAAAGGACATACCAGTGCTTTCCATCTTTATTATAATGTTCCTTGATGGCATGGCTAGACTTTTACAACTTTGGATCCTCTGGCAATGCATATATCTGTCAAATCAGCCCACACTAAAGCACAGCAATAAGAGGCATGGGGGTGAGGGAGCGATCAGGACAATCCTAAACCTTGGCATTTTTTCCAGATGAGATCGGGTGCAGTCAGGGTAGTATGGCATGCAGACATTTGTGTTTTTTTCAAAGTAATTCCTACCTAAATAAGTTTTTGTTCCTACCTAGTTATATTTCATTCTCAAGTTCATATATATTGTTTCTGTCATAAAGGATAAATGTGCATTGAAAATTCATAGGATATATAAGGCAATCTAAGACAGCTATGATTAACATATCAAGTCACACAAAATAAGAAGTATAAAAGAAGCATAAAATAAAGTTAAAAATGAAATGAAACACTAATAAATGAAAAAACAAACATTGCGGAGGATCAAAACACATGAAAAACAGGTTATTTGAAAATACTTCTGCAAGATGGCTCAAGAAAAGGAGAAAAGGCACAACTGAAAAACAGTAATATGGATATACAGGCTGGGCGCGGTGGCTCACGTTTGTAATCCCAGCACTTTACAAGGCTGCGGCAGGCGGATCACTTGAGGCCAGGAGTTCGAGACCAGCCTAGCCAACAAGGTGAAACCCGTCTCTACTAAAAACATAAAAACACAAAAATTAGCCAGGCGTGGTGGTACACGCCTGTAATCCCAACTACTTGGGAGACTGAGGCACAAGAATTGCTTGAGCCTGGGAGACGGACATTGCAGTGAGCTGAGATTGTGCCACTGCACTCCAGCCTGGATGAAAGAGCAAGACTCTGTCTCAAATAATAAGTAAATAAATAGTAAATATAAACAAAAATAAAAATGGGTATAGGCCGAGTGCAGTGACTCACTTCTGCATACTCA
This sequence comes from Homo sapiens, assembly GCF_000001405.40. NCBI lineage: Eukaryota > Metazoa > Chordata > Mammalia > Primates > Hominidae > Homo > Homo sapiens. Next base: position 112,213,135 of record NC_000009.12, read on the forward strand.
GCACTTTGGGAGGCCAGGAGTTTGAGACCAGCCTGGGAAACACAGCAAGACCTCATCCCTCCAAAAACAAGAAGATATAATTACTGATAAGGCAGAGATTTAAAAACATTATAAACTTTAACCAATATGTTTGAAAACTACTATATAAATTAATAGTTAATAATCTACCCAGTAGAAAGGGAGAGGGGCAGGAGTATAGAAGATACAACGCAGAATATGAATCACGTAAGTTAGGTGACAGAAACAAAGTTTCATTATATCAGTCTTTCAATTTTACAAATGTTTGTGTTTCCATAAAAACAGGCTTTAGAAAAAGGCAAACTTTTGGAGGAGAATAGGAAACAAAAAAAACCCAAGCATTTATTTTGCCTTTCTACAGAAGCTGTACCTCAAAGTAATGAAATAGCTGATATGGGGGTTTCTCTTATATAGAAGAAATCCAACTAATACAAGCAAAAGGAATTAGAATTATAGCTTTACCATCTTGCAGTCCCTAAAAATTAATGGATCTAGGCAATGATCAATGGATACTGCCATCAAAAGAAAAGCCACATTATGGAAGTATCCAACGCTATCAATGAAGTATTCTTACGAAAAAAAAAAAAGGTAGGGGGGAAGGGGAGGCAGGGAGAAAGAAGAGAGAAAACAGAATCTGAATGAGCTCTTCTCGATTTACATGTAATTGGCAAAATTCAAAGAGCTGTTTCTTCAACAAATAAATTACAAAAAAAAAAGGATGGAGAGGGAACCTGTAAAAGCCTTTATCAACTGCAATGTATGGACTTCTATACTGAAATGTTTACAGATGAAATTATATGATGACTGGGATTTAAAAGAAATCCTAGGATAGCCAGGTGTGGTGGTGCATGCCAGCTACTCAGGACGCTGCGGCAGAATTGCTTGAACCCAGGAGGTGGAGGCTGCAGTGAGCCAAGACCACACCACTGCACTCCAGCCTGGGCAACGAGAGACTCTGTCTCAAAAAATAAAAATGAAAAACTAAAAGTAATCCTAGGAGTGGGGTAAAGAACAGATTAAACAAAATTGGCCACTAGTTGCAGTTGGGTACTGGGTAAATGGGAGTTCATCATAGTAATACTTGTGTATTACAAATCTTAATTTTTGGCCAGGTGGTGGCTCATGCCTGTAATCCTAGCACTTTGGGAGGCCAAGGCAGGTGGATCACTTGAGGTCAGGAGTTCAAGACCACCCTGGCCAACATGGTGAAACCCTGTTTCTACTAAAAAATACAAAAATTAGCTGGGCGTGGTGGCTCATGCCTGTAATCCAAGCTACTTGGGAGGGTGAGGCAGGAGAATTGCTTGAACCAGGGAGGCAGAGGTTGTAGTAAGCCAAGATTGTGCCACTGCACTCCAGCCTGGGCAATGGAGCAAGACTCCGTCTCAAAAAAAAAAAATCTTAACTTTTATAAAGTCTTCTCTTAGGATGCTAGAGATCTAGGTAGGTCTTTCTGGCTTCTTTTGATAAAATATATTAGGAGGCCAGATGCAGTGGCATACTCCTGTTATCTCAGCATTTCAAGAGGCTGAGGGGGGAGGATCACTTGTGTCCGGGAGTTCAAGACTAGCCTGAGCAACATAGTGAGAACTCGTCTCTACAAAAAATAAAAAATTAGCTGGGTGTGGTGGTGGGTGCCTATAGTCCCAGCTACTTGGGAGGCTGAGATGGGATGACTGCTTTGAGTCTGGGAGGTTGGCTGCAGTGAGCTATTGATGGCCCCACTGCACTCAGCCTTGCCAACACAGTGAGACCCTGTCTCAAAAAATAAAAGGGAAATATATTAGGGGTTAGATGTCAAACAGCTCACCAGATCAGTTACAGTGGCAAAACCAAAACTAAAACACATTAATTAAATCTTTCTGAATCTAGTTGGATGTAAAACTGTTCGGAAGGGTAAAATTTACTTGAAAACATGTTTTTTTGTTTGTTTTTTTTTGGTCAGTGAAATATTTTTCCTGTAGATATGCCGTGGTCAGGACAATGCAATATATGCACATGTAAGAGTTTCATGTTGAAACTCAGTCCATGGTATCTTGGGTTCTTTATAAGAGGGCCTTACTTATTGGCTAGAATAATCTGCTGACTTAAGAAAAGAATTGGTTGCTAGCTCCTTGCTCAATTATAATAATTTTTGAAACACTCCTGGGTAACTGGTACAAAGTACATTAACCAGATACCAGAAACCCCTCCTCATACTCTTTCAGTTACCTCCTTCCCAAAGGTAACTATCCTGTTTCTGAACTTGATGTACATAAAATTATATAGTGTTTGTACGTGGCTTCCTTTGTTCAGCATCACATCTGTGAGATTCTTCCATGCAGTGGAATGAGCTTCATTTTGTTCAGTTGCATTACTATATTCTACTATAGAACTCTATCATTATGAAATCTATCCCTAATAATGCCTTTTGCCCTAAAGTGTACTTTGTCTAACATTAATGTAGTTAATAACAGTTTTATTTTGAAGACAATCTCTTAACAGGTTAGAATGTGACATTTGTATTCTGCAGGAATAAGGACTGAGCAGATAATTCTCTAATTTTAGGCACAGAATAATGATAGAGATGCTTATCAAGTGATTAGAGGGCAATTTATTCCAAAAGAAATATTGAGTTTTTCCTGTTACCCTGTCTATATCCTTAGAACAAATATAGGGGTAAAAAAATTGAGAAGGCTGGGCACAGTGGCTCACCCCTGTAATCCCAGTGCTTCCTACTGTAATCTGAGAAGGGAGGATCGCTCGAGCCCAAGACTTCAAGACTAGCCTAAGGAACAAAGTGAGACCCAGTTTCTACAAAAGTAAAAAGTAAAAAACTTAGCCAGGCACATACCTGTAGTCCCACTTACTTGGGAGCCTGAGGCAGAAGGAAGGCTTGAGCCCAGGAGTTTGAGGCTGCTTCAGCCTGGGCAACACAGTGAGACTCTGTCTCAAAACAAAACAAAAACAGAAAGAAAAATAAAAAAATAGACATTATGAATCTGCTAGGAACATTAGAATCATTACTTTTCTGGTTTCTTTATACTAGTAGAGTTGGAAACTCTACATCAGAACCCAGTGGCTCCAGAATGTGGTAATTCCAGCAAAATTATTACTAGAGTTTTATCACTTCAGCATAAACTGTTTTGATAAAAAACACACAAAGGAAAGTGATGAATTCCCATTATAGGTTGAAATAGACAACAGGAAAAAAAGCTTTGATGTAGAAACAGTAAGACTACAAATAGGTCTATCACTCCTAACTATACCTAACCCAGCATCCCAGTTCATTTATCACAAATGTTAGACATTAAATACTGGGCACAGCTTGTCTGACGATGTCCTCTTATTTCTACAATTGTTTTTTTAAGTAATGGCATTTGTCTTAGAAATAATCATTGCTCTGATATGGCTATTTATCTCTAAGAGTAAAAAGGACAAATTATGGCAGGGTCTATATTCCTACATATTCACAACTAGCTGTAGGATAGTTATAGCCATATGTATTCTGAGAAGTGCCTCAGAGAGGCCTCATGATCCATTTTTGGGGATTCCTATTGAAGGCAGGAGTTCAAAAGTAACGTGTTTAATTTGTGGATTTAGGCTGACATATCTACTACATTACACATTTCTAAAAGGTAAGTCACCACGTGCTTAACTCTATATTTTTCCCAACACCTAGCTCAAGTGCTGGTACAATCAGTACTCGGTGAACTGAATGAATAAAACAGTGCTATGGGGCTGAATTTTGTGTCCCCCTTCCCAAATTCCTACGTTGAAGTCCTAATCCCCAGAATCGCAGAATGTAACCACATTCAGAGACAGACTCTTTAAGGAATTAGGGTAAAATGAGATAATATGAGTAAGCCCTCATCTTTGACTGATGTCCTTATAAGAAGAGATTAGGACATGGACACACTCAGAAGAGCGAGCTTGTAGAAGGCGCAAGGAAAAGACAGCTATCTACAAACCAAGGAAAGGCATTGGAAGAAATCAACACTGCTGACACCTTGATCGTGGCCTGCGAGCCTCCATGAACTGTGAGAAACTCATTTCTGGTGTCTAAGCCACCTAGTCTGTGGGACTTTTTTATGGCAGTCCTAGCAAACTCATACAAACAGTAACTACATTTTTTGTTAGTTTTCTGAAATTTAAAATGTGAAACGACATTAAAAAATTTTTCAGAAGTAGATAAGGCATTTTTACCCTTCATCAGAAACATTCTCACCACTTACTCAATGTCTTTACGTTGCAGTGAGGTATGATCATGTGGCTTTTAGGAGAAAACATAAGCACTCCAATACTGTGTACAGATCTTCAAGATCATAACCTTAGCAGCACTTGGAAGTCTGAAACTGCAACACCTGGGTGCAATAGAGTGCACTGGACCAAGTCACAGAGACCTGGGCTTCCTTGCTGTTAACTGGAAATTGAACTAGGTGGTCTCTTGGGTCACTGACATGACTTAATGATGGTTATAACCCCTCTGCTGAGTAAATAAGCATTTCACAGTCAATCGAGTTTATAAAAGCCTAATATAGTCATACAGTTATTTTATCTTTTCCTGATAAAAATGCCTCATGTAAAAATACCTATTTATTTTCCCAGTATTTATGGAGACCACAGATTTTACAGGTAAGCCAGCAAAGATTAGTAGTGATTACCTAATTTTCTATTCCATTCAAAATAAATTCCCACTTCCAGGAGACTAAAATATACAATGAACGCTAAGTCTAGACTTCTGCAATCCAACAATTCTTTAAAGATCTGAGAAGTAAAACGTTTGTCTAAGGAAAAGGAATGTAGCATCAGCTAGTATCTGTGCTACCTTTTTAAAGAGGACACAAATTTGGTTTGAGATCACACCTTGTGTCTCAAAGTGTATGTATACTAATGCCGTAGGGAAGCCAAATACTGAACAAAACTGGAAATAGTGTTCCAACTGTAGTTTGGCACTGCACATATGGGGAGAAAGAGAGAAAGAAAAAGGAGAGTGAGTGTGCAAGCAAGAAAGCATGCCGCCATGCCCCTGCATTACGGGGCAGTGCCAGAGAAGGTGCATCATAGGAAGATTAGGAAAGCACTTTGCTCCTCAAAACGAGAATTATTCCTAAATGAAGACAGAGACAGTTAATAGATTTTGTGTTTTTCCCATTTTGAACATTGTTTGAATATGTGCTCACTATTCACTAACCATGACACGTTTAGATGGATGGCTATGGAAAAGAAAAGAAAATAGGACATCATTAGAATTACAGGTAAGACAAAGGGAAACCCAAAGTACAGACAAGAACACAGAAAAATTTTAAGAGAGTACAGATGTCATGACATTTATTAAAAGGCATGCTACAATGCTATATTTGTTAGGAAAAGAGATTAGAGATATCAAGTAATAGTCAGCAAATATACAAACTGAACGAAAATGGAATATACTGTAGTGTACAGAAGCTTGAATTAACCATGCACTACGCATTTAGAAAATATGTTTTTTAATATTTTATCTTCTCTTTGCATTTATAACATAATTCACTTCAACAATCACAGACTCCTTTTTTTCCAATGCCACAGACTGTTACAAATGAAAGCTGGTACTGCTGCTTATCCAAAATATACAAGACAATTGATGTTTTATATAAAACCACTTTATAAGTTCATTTGTTCCCAAAAACCTTTTTTTCTTTTTTGGCCTTGTTAAAAAAAATGTTGTTACAAATATTTACAGCATTTTCTTCTGTTAGACGAACATTCTTAAAAACTGAAAAGGGGAATTTTGATGAACAGACCACGTAAAACACCAGACAATGTCAGAGGCTCCTAGCTGTGCTATTTTTTTTTTCTTAGATACAGTACTGAAAATGCCCATCAAACTCGTCATCCTAATCCATTCTGTTCACACTGAAACTCACATTTTCTCTAAGTAGTCTATTCAGCAGTAGAAATTGAAAGTAAAGGCCGCTCTGCACTGGTTCTTCTTTCAGAAAGGAGCTTGGGGAAAATGCAAAATGCTTTACAGAGAGGAGTTAAAACCACAACAGTCAGTCTTTGGTCAGAGCAATGAGGTGACACTTTGATGCAAAACTTTGCTTGGTCAGCAATCTTTATAACTGGTACTTTCTGGATATGGGATGAATTTTTAAAAGATCTGGGAAACAACAGTAAGGGGGAAAAAAGGCCAGAGTATGATTTTTTTAATGGCATCAAAAAAATAGCTATTTAAATATTTGTTATTACAACTACTACATAGATCCAAGAAGTGAAAATAATACAACAACAAATCAGTTGACAATGCTGATTTAAGCATGCCATAGGCATCTTTCAATTATGACTATGATCACCAAGGTCACTGGACCAGACAAATATCCCTGTTCTCTGGAACATATGCCTCAGGTTACAAAAACTAAGGAAACTACCACAAAGATTTTGAGCAGCTCTATTCTTGGACCTGCACAATGCTCTACAATGAATATTATGTGATAAAGGCAAAAGTGTAACTGAGACTTTATTTATAGTTACAATTCTTTGCTTGGATGAATAGTTGGTGGGACAACATTCTTTTAAAACTATATAGTACATATTTCCTGAAAACCAGAATACTGATACTACTTTAGTCTCAAATAGGAAGAAAAGGTCAATTAAGACTACTGAAGAAGGCACATAAACTTTGGTCCTGTTTTTTCTCCCACTATAAAACCCCTCAAACTAAGATTTTAATAATTTTCTATATTTTAAACCACTCACAACTAGCTGTTAAAATTTGCTCTGAAAAAAGACTGCTAATAGTCTTGTAGATAACAACACAACTCTTTTAAAAGACAGCTGAGTTATATTTTCAAATTTTGTGCAATCTAAATTGTATTTCTTTCAGCACAATAGTAGAGTATTTTGAGTCTGGCAGTTTTGTTCTCATTAACAGATCAAGACAAAGGAAAGGCTAAGAAAAATGCTTTACGCATCGTCACGCTGTCTCTTTTTGGTTTTAAAAATAGCAGTACACATTAGGTTTTCTAAGGGATAGGTGGGGAAAAACACATGTACTTTTGTCAATTTTTTGTCCAAAAATATCTCGTGGGAACAGAAGAGAAACTGCATGACAATATGCTAAACATGTAAGCACTGCTGACTGATGGCACGGAGACACTGAAAAGAACAGAGAGCCAGGCGTGGTGGCTCATGCCTGTAATCCCAGCACTGTGGGGAGGTGGAAGCAGGAGAATCACTTGAGCCCAGGAGTTGGCGAGACCCCTAAAAATAAAATAAAGTAAAATAAAAAGAAATTGAGCAGAGGCATTCATAGGAGCCACTTCTCATCAACTAAAACAGAACCCATGATTATCATACTAGGTGGAGCCAAAGAAGGCCTCACTGTCATAAGGGAACAGGCAGGCATAAATGATATCTCCAAAAACTGAGCTCAGCAACTTTTAACAGTAAATCAGAAACATTACTTCAAATAATTGATTTCAATATTTAGTCTTAAAGAATTTATGGCATTCTGTAAGAGCTGCTGGGTAATTCTGATACTCTCCAGTAAGTATCAATTAAGATACTGGGTCATTTTTCTATTTGTATGTTACACAAAACACATTTTACTGCTATGCAAATTATTCAAATCTCAAAGTAAATCATTTTGGTGTAATTCGCTACTGTTAAATGTGTACTGCTATTTTTTAAAGTCCTGAATATATATACTTTGTGTAGAAGTCAAGACACCTTGAAAAGTGATGACAATACTCCTTAAAAATAAAATAAACTTAAAAATAGGATACTACGGTAGATCAACAGAGAAAAACCATTGCTAGAAGATACTGAATAAATGCATGCCAAAACAGAGATACACAGATCTAGTTTTTCCACCATCCTGATATTTTTTAATCTTTTTTTTACAAAAACTATGCCAACACAAATACTGTAGACCTCTATAATTCAAACAGCAAATAGCTTAATATGGACAACATCCATGTGCTACAGCTAATTTTAGACACAAACTGATGGTTTCAAACATGCTATTTTAAAACAAGAACATCCCACATCTCCAAATCTTAATTTGGTTAATTTTGTCAATAAATTAAAATGTATGTAATGTGCATATGTATATACAACTTTAGAAGAGTGTATTTATGTATATACACTTATCTACACACACACACATTCACACACACACACAAACACACCCCTACACAAATCCCTGAAAAGGATTCAAATGTTCTCTCTCAGACTTAAAAGGCCATTCCCTACTTCAAAGTTACATTCAACACCACTATGATCCCCTTCCGTTATTAGCAACTTTGCTACACTTATGCTGAATGTTATGAGAATCATGAATTAATAAATTACACAGTAATTCCTAACTTAAAGTAAATGAAATAATCCAATTTAACATGGCACTGAAAATTATAATAGTGCCTGTGTGGAAGGGAAAAAAAAGCAAGTTTTGGGAGATTTTGCAAAGAAATTTTTTTCCTCCTTCATATACCCCTTGTGTCTAGGTCAAAACTTATTTCATAAGTAAAAAAACAAAAAACTAAAAACTCCCACAACTACATACATGAGTATATCTATCTATTCAGCCAAACTGATCCATTTGAAAAGTCTTAACTTAGTATCCCTCCTTTCTATTCTACCAACTAAGTGTTGCTCAGTGGTGAGTGAATTCTGCTTTTTAAACAATCTGTATCATCTCTTGCAGTCTCTATTTTTTGGTAAAATTTCTTCTGTAAAAACCTCCCTATGTTCAAATTAATCACTGGAATACAGCAAAGAGATTGAGATTTTCTTAATTTTTACTTTTAAGAGAAGGGGTCACACTATGTTCCAGGGCTGGAGTGAAGTGGCTATTCACAAATGTGATCATAGCGCACTGCAGCCTTGAACTCCTGGGCTCAAGTGATCCTCCTGCCTGTAGCCTCCTGCCTACAGGCTCAGCCTGTAGCTGGGACTACAGGCGCACAGGCGCACACCACCATGCCCAGCAAGATATTCTTTATTCTTTTAAAAGTTGAGATGAGACACTTTGAGAATCTGAAAAGTGTAAAAGGGGTAGACAAAAAAATGACCCTTTTGACAAATTCTGCTTTAAAAAATTCTGATCAACAATTGAAGAAATAATAGCAAAGTTTCTTATTAAAAAGAAACAATTTTACATTATACAATCACTGAAGCAACATTAAAATGTACTCTTACATTCAATGAAAAAGAGAGGGACAGAGTATGAGAAATAACCCACCTTCTCATACTCCAAATACGTGGGTACTCAGTAATGAAAGTCACATTAACAAAGAAAAGCAAGTTCTCGCTTGAGGACTGAGAAAAACCAAGTAATCCTGAGACAAATTCTGATGGGTGAAAAAGATGAAACTGAGATTGCACTCTACAGCCCCAAATTGATATGCAATAACCCCTATCAGTCACAATGTAAAGAGGCCTACAGGTGTGCACTGAATTATTCCCAAAACCATTCACCCTTCCCCACACCGTCTCTGCACCAAGCACCAAAAATTTGATAAAAACTATTACTTATTGAAAACCACTTAAAATTGCAATGAAAAAAATTTTAAATCCTTACCAAAACAGAGAAAGAAAAAACAAAATGCTTACCAAGCCCACAATATAGCTTTCAAGATATTTAGATTAAACTCTAACCTATTGTATCTTAAGCACATAATAAGGCACATAATAAGAAATTAAGTAAATACACAGTAATTCTGAGTAAGTATTAGAGATTATAGTGGTACAAAAAACCCTTGAGATTAATTTTTTTCTAAAAGAAGACCTTACCAAAAATAACTTTTAAAAAATCTGTCAAACCATATGATAGACCTGAATATTTTCCTTAAGACTGTAAACTTTTTTTCTGAAAACAATTATAAAAAAGTAGTTTATAAGTAGGATTATTTTTCTTTAAAATTTTCCAAGATCATATTACTTGACAAATAAGTGTCATTTTGAAATTTAAAACATGATTTTTTCCTAATAAAATTATTAGTTATTCTGACATCTTATTAACAGATCTTAGTTGAATTCCACTTAATTTCCCTGGGGACAGCTGAGACACTGCATTTTTCCAAATAGTCTTAAAAAGTTAAAGATAGGCATTATTTAAAGGAGTGTCTTACAGTGAAAAAAAGAAATCATTCAAAGAAAACATGCAGGTTTATAAATCTGCTTCCAACACAACTCAATGTGTTTATGCATAATAACCATCAATATATGGCAAAGATCTGATGTACTTTATATGTGAATATAATTTCCTACAAGGGTCAGACTTCTGATTCATAAGGTTAATAACTTGGTCATAAGTGATTTAAATTACTTACATCAAGTAATTTTAGAAGTCTGTGTTTAAATTTTTTAAAAGTACAAATGAGTTTAGAAATGTTGTATAAGGCTGATCTGGACCCAAACTAAAACAACGTTAATCCTCTTCAAATCTAATTTAATATAGGGAATAAGATTATTGAAAAAAAATTTTTTTCCTGATTTTCTTTTTCCTGAAGGTTATTTTTGTAGAAACCATGGTAAAAAGGGAAAAGAAACCTTTGACTGGCGGGGGCAGGGGGAATACAAAAAAAAAAAATCCCTTGATTTTTAAAATATACTTGAATATCAAACTCAGAGTTATTTTTGTGAAAGAGGCAAAATTGGTCTTGAGCTGCTTCAGTCTATGTCTGAAGGTTTTACTGAAATTATGGTCCAGTTTTAGGAGAAAAATTCACAGAAAAGTCAGATTGTAGATTTTGAGAAGGAAACTCTGAGGTGGTGATTTTCTCCAAGGTCATGGTTATGAAGCTCAATGAGGGCCTGAATTGCTTCTTCCACAGATCCCAATTGAATGAGCGCCATTTTGCGATCTTTCCTGAAAATGGTATAAGAAATACAGAAAGTATTTAGAATGAATTTTGCTTCCAAACTCCTTCCTCCACCAGAAGACTTCACTGAACTACCTTTAAAATTTGCATACCATATTAAATAATTTTAATGTATTTCTTGAAAGCAAAGACTTACTGAAAGAATTTAAAAGCCTTCACTGAACATCCAGCTTCTATGAAAAGGTTCTTCAGATCATCCACTGTAACAGAAGGGCTGTGAAAACATCAGAGGGAGTCAACTACCTGGGCCGCATTCTCAAGTGAAGCAGATTAACTCTTGCAATCATCAAATCTCTAGAGTACATTTCAAACAGAATTATTAAGCCATATGACAAAGACTTGATTTGGAAGTTCCCTGAAAGATGTTCAAAAACTGACATGTATCGTCAAGCAATGGAATTTTGTCTCAATCCTTGCAGAAGACATGTGCAGGTATATAAAGGGCAAGAAAAATCTTTCTATATTCTTTTTTCTTTTAATGCAGCTGTGCCTGGAATCTATATTTATTCTTATTAGTCATACCACTGGCTTTAGTAATCAACTGTAGTACTTCCAAAGTTTCCTAGCTCTGACTTGTCTGCTACAGTCTGGAGTTCCATATTTTCAACTGTTTGCAGGGTAATTCTGAATGTGTGTATGTGGCTGTCAGCCTCTAAGGTGGCCCCCAATTACTCTTGCCTGCTCATATTCATGCCCTTGTTTATTCCCCTCCCATAGAAAGCACAGGTATCCTCTGTAAACACTTTGGATACTGTAGAAATGACAATGTGTGACTTTTGAAGCTGAGAGACATTGTGGTTTCTACTATGTCCTCTCCTGAATCATTAGCTTTGGAAGGACACCGTGAAGACACTATGGAGAAGTCCTCATGACAAGGAACTGGGGCCTTCGGTCAACAAACAGGCACATGACTAAGCCATTTTGGAAATGGATCCTCTATCTCCAGTTAAAACCTTCAGATGACCACATCCTTGCCTTGCATCGTGATTACAACCTTATGACAGACTCAGCCAAAGCCACCCAGCTAAGCCACTTCTAGATTCCTGACTCACAGTAACAATATGAGATAATAAACATTTACTACTGTGTTAAGCTGTGAAGTCTGGGGTGGTCTGTTATACAGCCATACATAACTAATATAGTGGTCTATCACGTGACAGTCAACTGACTAAAAGTAGATTCATCTCACAACTGCCAACAAGGACAGTATAGCAGAACAATCATTAGCTCTGTAGGAAGACAGACCTGGGTTCACTTTCTATTCCTCACTCACTTGTATATCACTTTGAGTAAATTTTTTAACCTAAGTCTCAGTTTCATTAATACAATGAAAATACCTTACTTCAAAGGTTATTATGGATAATAATGCCAACAACAACATAGAATAGTGGATACCAGGAGCTGGGAGTTAGGAGGAAAAAGGTGGTTACTGCTTAATGGGTACAGAGTTTCAGTTTGGGATGATGAAAACGTTCTACAGATGGACAGAGGTGACGGTCGCACAATAATGTGTAAAGCAATTAATGTGAATGTATACTGGACTGTACACTTAAAAATAGTTAAAACTGTAATTTTTAAATTATGTGTATTTTATCACAGTTTTTTTAAAAAAGGTTGTTGTGGAGATTAAATGAGGCAACATGTGTAAAGCACCAGTACAGTACCCAGAACTTGGAAGAATATTAATATCCTTTCTTCTTCTTCCTACATGTCCTATGTAGGTTGCAACTGGAGCCCAGCTCCTGCGTGATGTGGTATATTTAAAAAGCTAACAACAGAGCTGGGCACAGTCGTTCACGTCTCTAATCCCAACACTTTGGGAGGCAGATTGCTTGAGCTCAGAAGTTAGAGATCTGCCTGGGCAAATGGTAAAACCCTGTCTCTACAAAAAAATACAAAAAATTAGCTGGGCATGCCGACACCTGTAGTCCCAGCTACTTGGAAAGCTGAGGTGGGAAGATCACTTGAGATTGGGAGGCAGAGGATGCAGTGAGCTGAGATCACACCACTGCACTACAGCCTGGGCAACAGAGGGAGACCCTGTCTCAAAAAAAAATATATTAATTTAAAAAAATTAAAAGCTAATGATGACAGGTGCCTGCCTCAGTATCTAATTGTTGTCCATTTACCCTACACTCCACAGTAATGAGCTGCTAAATTTCTCGGTCCATGTCATCTACTTTTAATCTACTTTTTTTTTTTTTCCTTGACTCTACCAGTTTCCCGGCTGGTATGAGGTTTGATCCACTGCCCCACTTGGATTCAAGGTTTCTCCATGCAGCCTAACTGGAGACCAGCAGGGAGGCCGGATATTCAGCATTCTTCTGAGTAATTATTCTCTATTACTATTCACTTCCCATTCTCATTCTCAATAATGTTCCAGACTTCACCCCTCTCTATACCCTCAAGTTTTTAAATTTTTACACACATACACACACATCCCCCACAGCTTTTATCTCTTTTCCAAAGCTTATAGTCCCTTTTATGTATTAGTTCAAATTATACAAAACTGCCATTTTTTTGTTTTAACAATTTCCAAAGTCCATGAACAAAACTGCCATTTTTGTAGACTAAGGACTTCAACAATTAGGACAGAGATAGCCAGATATTTTCTTTAAAGGGCCAGACAGTAAATATCTTAGGCTGTATGGGCCATATTGTCTCTGCTGCAACTAATCAGCTTTGCTGTTGTAACTCAAGAGCAGCCATAAGTAACACGTAAGTGAATGGGTACAGCTATATTACACGAAACTTTATAAAAGGCGAATTTTGAATTTTATATAATTTTCTCACATCACAAAATATTTTGCTTCCATTTTAAAATGTAAAAATCATTCTTAGCTCATAGGCCATACAAAAACAGCCATAGGCTACAGGTTGTCAATCCCTGAGTTTGAAGATAACTAAAGCACACATACAACACTGGTTAATAAAGAGACCTGTACAGTGGCTACAGGAAAATAACGTTTAGCTTTTAAGTAATTACCATATCTATGGCTTTACAGCTTGTAGATAAAAAGTATGAAATCCATTTTTACCAAATTCTTAGATACACAATTTGATTTTGTCATATTGGTTAACGTAAGAGTCATTACTTCTACAAACAGATGGACAAATACGTGCCAATGGAATACTTCTGCCTAGAATTTTTTTTATGACCTTTGATCACTGAAAAATAACTAGTTGTGAATTCTCTATTTGGAAAGAAAATTTTAAAACAGGTATCTTTCTATTTTAGAGTGTAGGATTGGAGATAACCTTCTGAAGGCATGATGGCAAATAAATTGTCTTATCAGAAACTGTTGACCAGGACAACTGCTAGGTTAGAACAATTTCAGAAGTTTTAACCTCTCCTACATCACATATTGTAGATTATTCATCATCTAAGTGATTAATAACTTATTAGGTACATACGGAATGTTGGAAAGATGCAGAGTGGCTGATGGTGGAAAGATATTCTGGAAGTTTTTAGAGCCCGGCTTTTTAAAGCGATGCAAAGGACTATTGCTGAAATCCTTAGTCAGACCTTGGTCTTCTTGTCCCTCTCGAGGAAGCTGTACTGCTTGATGTTTGGACAGTGTAGCACGAAGCACTTTCCCATAAAGTCTCTGACCACTTAGATGGTTCATTGCTAGTGCATGGGAAGAAAATTTTAAAGTTTGAGTATTAGGATAGATTTCTCAGTAGTATCTGACAACATTACCATAAATTATTTTTATGTAGTTATTTAAAACTGTATTATCAGTTTGAGGGTGAAAAGGGTTTCAAAATCCAAAAACCCTCAAGGAAATATATTAAATGACTTCATTTCACTATAAGAAAAGCAATTTAAAACAAACAAAAAATATTTTCTGAGCAGAGTGCTATGAAGTTTCAGAGTGCCTGGAACATAGTAAGTATTCATGAAATGGTTACTGAATATATTAGTTTTATCTCAAGCAAGGCATTTTTATAAGAAATTTTGAGTAATACTTTACAGCTTTTATAACAGTGAAGCCATGAACCCTTTCTTGTATCATCATTACAAAGTTTGCCCAAACTTTTAAGCCACTCAGTGGTTACAGAAAACTTAATTTGGAAGGAAAATAAATTAAAAAAATGAAATAAAACAAATCATGCTTATTAAACTTAACGGAAAAACCCTAGGGTCAAAGCTCTAGAAATTAACAATATGTTCACGTAGACAAATGAACTTCAGACTTAGAAGAGTGATGAATATTTTTTAACCTTAACATATAGACAGATGCAAATAATAATGAAGGCATTATCACAAGGAGGTGTTCTTTTGTAAAATCATATTCCTACTAGCTGTATTTTGAAGGAAAATTCACACACAAAAGGGGCAAGTTCACATTATTATTAATAATTATTAATCATTAGTACCTAGCTGAGCTTGATTTGCATCCGCCATCTGAACCAAGGCATTTTCTTTCTTATTAAACATAATCTTCACTCGATGTACATCACCATAGACTCCTAATTAAAACAAAACAAAACACTGTGTTTAACGTCTGATTGTGTTGTGTTTAATTAATTTTACTAATATACTTAAAGAAGGCATTTCTTACTCTCCCTTGGCAATTCCATACATACACCTGCAAATTTTTATCTCTTCCAAAGTTCCAGATCTATTCATGTACTTACTCTTTTTCACTTGGATGTCCCATCAACACTCTAAACTTATTATGTCCCAAAATGATTCATCCCCCCTTTCCTCTCCCCACTCCCAGTGCTCACTAAAGCTGTAGATAAATACCATCATTCACACAGTTGCTCCAGCCAGAAACCTGGGAGTCATCTTTTGACTTCTTCCTTTCCTCAAACCCTGACACCCACCCAATCAATCACCAGCACCCATTGATTCTATGGTCTAAATATCTCTCATATTTGTCCACCTCTCCCAATCCTCGCTACCATCAAAGCTATCAACACCATTTCACACTCGGACAATCAGGACAACCTAATTGATCCTAACTCATCTTATTACCCTCGATTTTTCTACCCTAGTGTTCCCCAAAGTGGGTCCCATATCCTAAAGGATGGGTAAAGTGATTCACTGGGGTATGGAAAGATAATAATCAAACTCTTATCTATACTAATCTATTTATATAAACCAATATTAAAAAACTACAGTTTTTGAATTTTTAATATATAGATAAAATTAAAGCCAACAGGTTCTACGAAGTCAATTCCAGTCTCACTCGATTTTTTCATCCAGTGTATTACAATATATTTCAGTTTATGTGCTACAGAGTATCATCAATATTATAAAAATAAGATCTTTCAGCAGGGCACAGTGGCTCACACCTATAATCCCAGCACTTTGGGAGGCCGAGGTGGGTGGATCACTTGAGGTCAGGAATTCGAGACCAGCCTGGCCAACATGGGGAAACCCCGTCTCTACCAAAAAATACAAAAATTAGTCAGGCCTGGTGGCGCACACCTGTAGTCCCAGCTACTCGGGAGGCTGAGGTGGGAAAATTGCTTGAACCTGGGAGGTAGAGGTTGCAGTGAGCCAAGATTGTGCCACCGCACTCCAGCCTGGGCAACAGAATAAGACCCTGTCTCAAAAAAAAAAAAAAAAATCTTTCAATAGTTACATCATTATCATACTAATGGCACTTTAAAAATTTAAAATGGAGACAAGTATTCCGAATTTGCTACCTTTCTCAGAAATAACACGATGGTGATGTAACTATTCTTTAAAAACTAAACATATACCATTTGTTTTGCAAAATGTGGGTGTTTATTTTTTGTAGAGATGGGGTCTCACTATCTGGCCCAGGTTGGTCTCAAACAATCTGATCCTCCTGCCTTGGCCTCCCAAAGTGTTGGGATTACAGGCATGAGCTGCTGCACCCAGCCATTTTTTAAATGAGTGAGAAATTAACTACTTTTGGTATGAAACATGCTTTGGCTAGAAAAGAGTCATATTAAAATGTATTATTAATACTTGATTTTATTACTGAAAATTACATGCATCAATCATTAATAAAAACTTTTATAGTGACTGCATATGAGCATGAGGAATTTCTCTCGGGCGTTGAAAATTTTCTAAAATTGGACTGTGGTGATGGCCACACAACTGTGAATTTACAAAAATCTTGAGTTGTAAACCCAAAGCAGGTAAACTGTATGGTTGTAAATTACATCTGAAAAAATTCCATTAAAAAAAACCTATCAGCCTGGTGTTGTGGCTTGCACTTATAATCCCAGCTACTTGGAAGGCTGAGGGAGGACGACTGCTTGAGCCCAAGAGTTTGAGACTACAGTGAGCTATGATCACACCACTGCACTCCAGCCTGGGAAACAGTGAGACCCTGTCTCTAAAACTATCACATTCAAAAAATTTGGAAGCAGTTTTCTATCTTATTTTAAAAATCTTACAAATGAAGCATATCAGTGAGTTTTAACTCTATTTGTCAGACATATTCAAACACAACAGTTTTCAAGATCCACTGATTTACGGGGAAAAAATCTAACTTTTCTAGATAAAACATGACAAAAATTGGTGGATTACATGAAAAAAATAATGAAATAATTATTGAAGTACAGCAACAATGAAACCCCTGCATTTAGATTATATATATTTATGATTTATCTTCTTCAGCTATGACAACCATTAAAATCAAGTAGTGAAATAATCTACCCTTGGATTACTGAATCAAAATGAAAACAAGGATTTTTAGTAATATCAAAGCATATTAATCATACTGCTCATTAGATGTTAATCATGTTTTATGGAAAAATAAACTGTCCTTAATAAAAATCTTTAAAATAGTAAATATTGCTTATTTCATTGTTCTCATATTTCTATGCTGTTCGAAAGTTTGGAGACTATTTTTAAAACCTGAATCGCATTATACCACTCTCTTGCCTTAAAATTATTCAATGGCTTCCGATTGTTCTTAGGTAAAAACCAAATTCCTTAACAAAGCTTTTAACAGCTCTTCACGATTTTGACCCTACGCAGCTGTCCACCTTCACCAGGTCTCCATTATGCTTGCCTATGCTCACCACTGGGCTTCCTTCACTTCCATGCACCAGGACCCATCTCTCCCCTCTCCCCTCCCCTGTGAAGACATTGCCCTCCCTTTCTGCCTGGCTGATTCTTACTCATGTTGAACAAGTCAGCTTAACTATCATTTCTATTGAGTCCCTCTGCTAGGTTAGGTCTCCCTGCGTTACACTCCCTTTACAAAACCTATATTTCCCATACTATAAATCATCACTGTAATTACTTACTAAGTCTTATTCACTGTTTTATCCTCAGTGTCAGCACAATACTTGGCACACAGAAGTAATCAATACATATTACTAAAAAAGTGAAATGTGCTCAATTCACACCTGTAGACAATAATAAAATAGCAAAAATGAACTTACCAAATAGGATAAAAAGCCCATGTGGTGTGATAAGCTGTAAAGGGTAACACAAAGTTAAGTGTCTGACAATTTAAGTAAAAATTGAAAATAAGTTTATTTATACTGTAATGGCAGTTGATTTTATTTTAAAGCATGGTTTTATATGCTTCTTCCGTATATACTAGTGATGAATTTTAATAGAAGTTCTTAAAACAAACTTAAGCATTTTAATTTGAATACAACCCTGGATCAGAAGCTACCATGGCTAGGCATGGTGGCTCACACCTGTAATCCCAGCACTTTGGGAGGCTGAGGTGTGTGTCGCTTGAGCCCAGGAGCTTGAGACCAGCCTGGGCAACATAGCAAGATCCTGTTTTTACAAAAGAATTAAAAAAAAAAATTAGCCAGGCGTGGTAGTGGGCACCTGTAATCCTAGCTACCTGAGAGCCTGAGGTGGGAGGATCACTTGAGCCCAGGAAGCAGAGGTCACAGTGAGTGAATGCAGCACCACACTGAAGCCTGAGTAACAGAGTAAAATCCTTTCTGAAAAGAAAAGAAGAGAAGAGAAGAGAAGAGAAGAGAAGAGAAGAGAAGAGAAGAGAAGAGAAGAGAGAAGAGAAGAGAAGAGAAGAGAAGAGAAGAGAAGAGAAGAGAAGAGAAGAAAAGAAAAGAAAGAAAGAAAAAAGTGCTACTATACCTTCTCCTGAAAGACTATTTACATATAATACTTTTCAACTCACATCAGGATTGAGATTTGTGACGAGTAGAACAGAATTTCCTGGTATACCACTAGCCCCAGGAATGGCCATCCTTCCAGTGACAGCAGAAGAGGTGATTGTGAGAGGACCAAGAGCTCCAGGAACAGCTGGAACTGATAGACCTTTTAAAAATACCAAAAGCATTTCATATTCTAATTATTTGAAGAACTGTAACACTTGATACAATTTAAGTAAATAAAGAGGAAAGGAAAACTACAGAAAGAAAATGTGTCAAGGCTACCATAAAGATACTGAAGGCCAGTTTTCTGCCCTACAGAGTCTGTCTGCAAGCTGAGCTCCTCATCTATTGACATTACTATACTTAGTGCTCTATTATCCACACAGTACTCTGCAGAGTAACTGAACTCACTGGGCCTAACGCTATTAGGCTTTTCAGAGGGTCTATCAACTACAAACACTCCCTCTGTTTCTTACAATAGATATATCCTAACACCCTTCTATCAAGTGTATATGCTTTTCATACTGACTTCTACCATAAAATCAGATATGTATTTTTTTAAAGTCCTTCAGCAGAAAGTCAAAAACATGCATGCTAGGTAGTGCTATATGACATTTTATATGGGAAAAACATTTTGTGACTGTATAAAATGCTATATTAAATATTATTCTGACCAAAATAGATATTTACAGAATTCAATATTCTTTTGTAGCAGAAATGTTCTGAGCTCTCTACTTCTCTAGGTACTATGGAAATCCTGAAAGCTCAGTAACAGCAGAATACTGACACTATACTTAAAACAGCACACTTTCCCACTATTTTGTGTTCTCAGCTTAAAACCTGTCTAAGGTAAAACCTCTAGTTTATGCAAAATGAACCAATTCCTTAATTTAATGACTCTTTAAAATAAACAGTCTGACCACTTCACCACAAATCATGTAATTAAATTATAATATATTTTACATTCAGCCTATTCTGCTTGATAATCTAAGAAGGTCATAACTACCATCATCCATACTGCTGAATTTTAAAACTGTGCAGACCACATTCTCAGGCTGAATACTACTGCACGAAATCAATAGCCTTCACATGACATATTCCCATGCCCCTCCAGTCCAACCCTGACTTTTGCATAACTTTTGCTGTTTGTATGTCTGTTATTCATGAGCTAAGAGCACAGTTGAGCTACACTGTAGGGTGTGTGTGTGTGTGTGTGTGTGTGTGTGTGTGTGTGTGTGTGTATCTTCTATCAGCTTAAAAGTCTTATCAAGTCAGAAGCCCTCTTTTATTCACTTTTCATCTTTCTTAATATTAATTAATATTTATATATAGAGTATATCTAAAAGAAATATCCAAAATGAGGGAAAACATATCAAAATGTCCACCAATTGTTAAACCTTGAGGAGCTTCAAATAAATAAACTATGTTTTTAACACAATAGGTAGAATATTCACTTAATTAAACATATGTTAAGATATACTAAAAACCACCAAGATGGTAAAATTTAAAACCTCAACCTTCATATCACTCTTTCTGTTAACTCCATCCTCTCCATCAAAAAGAGAGTAGTTATTGGCCAGGTGCAGTGGCTCACCCTTTAATCCCAGCACTTTGGGAGGCTGAGGCAGGCTAATCGCTTGAGGCCAGGAGTTTGAGACCAGCCTAGCCAACATGGCGAAACCCCACCTCTACTAAAAATACAAAAATTAGCTGGGCGTGGTGACATGCACTTCTAGTCCCAGCTACTCAGAAGGCTGAGGCATGAGAATCATTTGAACCCAGGAAGTGGAGGTTGCAGTAAGACAAGATTGCACCACTGCATTCCAGCCTGGGCAACAGAGTGAGCTATCTGTCTCACAACAACAACAAAAAAAAGAGAGAGAGAGAGTAGTTAAAATTCCCAGAATTCAAAGGTTAGAATATAAAGATTACTGCCAGAAAGCAGCTATGTTGCAATTTAAAATGTAGTTAAAGTCATGAATCAGTTTAAGTTGGAAATATGTGGAGTAGGCTTACCAAACTCTGTCATTCCCCTAATCACCAACCTCAGTGTTTTCTTTAGACACCAGAGATAAAACCATAAAGTAACATTTTCTCTTTTCCTTAAATTATAATCAAATTCATTTTGTTTACTGTTTTGAAAATAATGGGAATCATTATCAACGTATTAATCAACTCCTATCTCTTAATTACCTCCATTAGCTAAAGAGACAAAATATATATCCCCTGAAATAAACAGCATGCATACCCCTCTATCGTAATCTTCAAAACCCATTAATGACAAAAGGTTTTCCAAAGATGAATAGTGAATGTATAGTATGACTGCATATTATTTGTTGAGTACTGTCAAAGGCATTGAAGGCCCAAAGATAAGACAGGTCTGTTCAACACATAATTGATAAGTTTATCAGTAAAGACAGAGCAGCTTATACATTTTATATAACAACTGGAAAGGCAAATCTAAGGTTATTTAATGTAGTTAGCCTATAGTTATTTGTGCCAAAAGCAAACATAAATGATGCAGAACACATACTGATTACTGGAATTAAAAATAGGACCAGAGAGAATAATTTGTAAATAACAAGGAAGCTATATATCATACAAATCACTACACTTCTACAGCTGATATGCATAATGCTTTATGGTAAATTCTTCAAATATGATAACATTCTTCATCTTGGTAAGTTCCTAGAAAATATACAACTTCATTAAAAGTCATTTCAAATCCAACTTAAAAGAATCACCTGTAGCTTGAGGAAATCCAATGGCTGGGGCAAATCCAGCAGCCCCTGCATATGGTGAAGAAATTATACCCGGTGCACCTAATGGGAAAGAGAAGCTAAAGTAAACACACTACCTTCTATAAATATCGTTATCAAAGCAATATAAAATGGCTCTATGAAAGTATATTACTAACAAAGAGATTCTGTTACGGAGTAAAGATCTGTTCAACAAGTGATCTTTAACGTATAAAAAGAGCCTCTGCCACTTCCAAAGGCTAACCCTTTTCAATTGGGTTCAAGGACCAAGAGTACAGTTTAGCTATGATTTAGTTTTGGACTAGCCTGAGATTCTTTCTCTTATTTAGAGCAATATTTCATAATGAAAAATCAGTTACTTACTAAATGTTATTAAATCTGTATCTGTGGGGTAACTATGCTGATTTAAAAAAAAATGAGTTAAAATCCTTGCCTTTGAGAGGCTTACAAACTAAAAGTACGAATTATAGGAGATTCATGATGAGGGTCGAAAGGTACAAATTCAAATATATTACAATTGGAGTAAGAAGTGATCACAGAGGATTCACTGTGACTGGTCAGAGAAGTTTTCACTGGAGGTAAAACCTGAGCCAGATATTATGTAATTGAAGAAGCACAGTACTTAGTGTGTACTAAATGCTAAACAAATGCTGGTCTTCTCTTTCCTTTAAGAAGCCTGTTGACTGTATATCATCAACAAAAACGGGAGTTCCAATGGAGAGTCAGTTTTAGCAGACAAATGATTAATTTGGTTTGGGGGAACATCAAATTTAAGATGATGATGAGATATTCAAAAAGAAATGGCCAAAAGTGGAAATAAGGGCACAAACTCAGATTATTGTAAGTAAACACATAAATTTGTGAATTACCTGTGTAGAAATAAATGTGAAAGCCATACAAATGAGAGCTCCACTTAAAAAGAGCACAAGACAAGAAATGAAGAAGGCTAAAGATACAGCCTGGGGGTATAGGTACACTTAAGCAACAGAAGGAAAGGGAATATCCTACAGAAAAGAGGAAGAGACTAGCCCTAGAAACAGGAAAGAAACAAGGAATTATAGTACCTCAGAATCTAGAGGAATAGTTTCAAAAGGGGGATAGGGAGGACCTTCAATATAGGGCACAGAGAATGAGAAATGAAAAAGGTAAAACAACAGTATTACAGAAGTAGTGAGAGGTTGGACTGCAAACCTCAAAGGGGGGAGTTTGCTTTTTCAATGATAGGGAGATGACTGTATTTATAGGCACAAGTATGTAGGCTCTATTTTCCAGGAGTTAAAAACTCATATAATTTTATTTTCTTCATTAAAAAGAATTATTTAATATAATTTATTAAATATGTAACTAATTATAGTAATTCAAGAAAATACCGTCACAAGAGACTGCAGGGATAGAATTAGCACAGAGAATTGACACTGAGATTCAAAAAATGAGAGTAACTGACAGAATAACTGATGAAGTAAGAAGGGAGAGTGAAATCCATTTAACAAATACATGTTGAGAGCATATCATGAGCTAAGCATTCTAGTGAGGAGTCTGAACAAAGCAGACAAGATTTTGTCTTTGCTAAACTTACACACAAGCAAGCTCAAGATCATAGGTAAAATGATTCATTTTTACAACAGAAAACACTGTATTAAAGGCACAAAGGAAGACTTCACAAAGAGGCCTCAAGATAGACACAAGCAATTATGAACATCTACACTAGAAAGGCTAAAAACAAAGTTAAACAATAAGGAGAGATACGGTGGATATTGTATTATTGTTGCCAAATATTCACTTGCCCCCTTCTATATAACTGGCCAAACATGACTTGCAATGCCTTTAGGTGGAAGAGCACATATTTCCATGCAGTTCACACTGGGCTTGATCATGTCATGTTTTTCCCAAAGAATACTGGTGGAAATGACACATGTTCACATGTTACTTCTACACAGAGCCTTTAAATGGCATTAAGGGTTTATATCTGCTCCCTTATTCTCGACTCTCTGCCCCAAGAATGCCATGTCTCAAAAAGGAGTGGATCTTTAGCGTGGGCCCTAGATAAAAAAGGCAAGTGGAGGATGGCTGCAAGAGCTTATTCACAGCTGCCGAGGCATGGGAGAGAAATAAACATTAATTTCTATCAACCACTGATGAGGGGGAGTAGTTGTAAAGGACAGCAAAGTGGCTAACACAGATGGCTACAGAAGGGGTGAGCAGAGAGAGCTCTAGCAAGCAGTAGATTTGAGAGAAATGAGGAAAGATTTTGAGATAACTATCATAGAACATTAAATAGAAATACATAAAAGGACTGGCAAACAATCATCAAGACCAAATTTGAATAACTGTTTCCATGTAAAATAAGATTAATAAGAACATTTGCTAAAATTTGACAAAACACACATTTTTCAAGTGTCTATATAATCCACACTCCCTAAATGAGCAGAAACAGAAACATCATATAGCAAAGTAACCTGTTAGACAGTGGATTCATATCTTCATTTCAGAATGAGGCAATTACACAAACCTTTAAGAAAAATGTTTCAGATCCGAATAAGAACGGATTCTTCACATTTGGAAAATGTACCACCATGATAGCAACCAAGGCAATACGAATTAATACATAAGATAACATTTTAACCCATGAAATCAGTTTATCACAGTGTTATTTGAAATAGCAAAATCCTAAAGAAACAAGCTTAATGTCTAAATTGGAGAATAATTAACATAAACTAACCTTACTGCAGAAAAACGCTCAATGAACAAGTATAAAGACTTTCTTTAAAAAACCTAAAAGTTGCCGAGATTATAAGGAGTAACTAGGCCCAAACTCTAACCCTGTGACACTGAGCTTTGGTTTGATCAGCTCATGGGGTAGCAGGCCAGAAGCAAATCCCAGGGTTAGCCCACAGTGAGAAGTCAACAGGATACTCTCACTGCATTAACCTATTAATATAAGCTGAAAATAACCTACCCTATCTACTATTCCTCCCATCTTCAAAAGACTACAAGGAAGGTTTGCTTTGTGACCAGCAGAGAAGGGAGAAAAGTCCCCTGAAAAGTTCTAACCAAAAGGAAGCTTTCACAAAAATTTACAGTCCAAATTTACATTTCTTGGAAGTCCAAAGGAAAATCAAGCTATAAATTTAGGTTGAAATGATCCTGAACGTAGAGCCTTTAATGCTGCAGGCAAGCAAATTCTCTCTGGAGGAACAAACACCTTAATCCTGAGCCTCAAAGGACAATCATAATTAATTCTCCAAGTAAAGTGAATAACTCATCCCCACCCTCCCCCACAAAAAAACCCAAAAAGTCAGAAATATCTAAGCAGAAAGAAAATTGCAAAAAATCTGAGATACTAAATTAAGCAGATGAAGATTTAAATAGTATGTTTGAAAAAAGACATACAAAAAAAATCTGTAGTACAGGAGACACTTTTTAAAAATGAACCAAATAAAATTTCTAGAAATGAAAGCCACAATTGCTAAGATCTAAAATTATAGGACAGATTTAACGACAATTAAACCAAGCTGAAGAGCGTCATCAGTGAACTGAAAGTTAGGTCCTAAGAATTATTCCAAATGCAGCTCAGAAAGAAAAGTTAAGTTTTACACACTGAGGACAGTATGGGGGTATAACATGTCTAATCAAAGCTCCAGAAAGGCAGGAGAGAAATAGTGTTAAGGGGGAATATATGAAAGGATAATTTCTAGAACCACTAAAAATAACAAACAATCCACTGACTCAAGAAGCCCAATGAGCTCCAATTAGAATAAAAATAAATCCTTAAATGAATACATCATATTGAAAGTACACAAAAGAAAAAGGACACCAAAAAGGAAAATCCCTAAAGAACAGCCAGAAAAAACAGAGCAGCAGTTAGCTTGACAACTGACTTTCTAAGAGCAACAATGGACATCAGAATACCACAGAATGGTATCTTTAATACGCTGAAAGAAAAAATACCTGTCAACCTAGAACTTTATACTCAGCAAAAATAACTCTTAAAATTGATTAAAAAAAGAAAGATATTTTGGGGCAAATAAAAACTTCAAATATGTTACCACAGACCTTTCCTAAGTGAAATACTAAAAAGGATCCTCAGGCAGAATATAAGTGTTTTCAGATGGCATGTCTGAGTTGCAAGAAGGAATGAAAAGCCTAAAGAGTTATATATGGTTTAATCACTGATTGTACAAAACAATAATAACAAATTGCCAAGACTAAAGTCAAATAACATAAAAATATAATAACATCACAGGTAAGGAGGAGGCAAAAGGAGTCCAAGTGTCCTAATTTCTTCTATTATGTAAGAAAAGGTACAGCTATTAATTAACATTAGATTTTGGTAAAATGTTTGAAAGTTAAAAATCTAGATAAAAACAGAAGCAGTGCTAAACTTCAAACCAGTAGTGGAAAAAACAGAATAATAAACATTTATTCAGCAAATATTGTTTGCATGGTTATTTTGCTTCCAGAATTAGGAAATATTAGTAAACTGAATAGGCATCCTACTCCCCAAGTCTGCCCTGGTGAAGTTTGAGAGATTAAAAACAGAATAAACAATACACAGAATACGCAATAAGTTAATTGTATGGCATGTAAGGTGACAATTACTATGGAAAAAAACAGGCTGGGCATAGTGACTCACACCTAGAATCCCAGCACTTTAGGAGGCCAAGGTGGGTGGGTCACTTCAGGCCACGAGTTCAAGAGAAGCCTGGAAAACATAGTGAGACCCCGCCTCTCTATAAAAACTTTGAAATTAGCCAGGCATGGTGGTATCTGCCTGTATTCCCAGCTACTCAGGAGGCTGAGGTGGAAGGATTGCTTGAGCCCAGGAGTTCCAGGCTGCAGTGAGGCATGGTTGCACCACTGCACTCCAGCCTGGGTAACAGAGTGAGAGAGATCTGTTGAAAGAAAGAAGAGAGAGGAAAAAAGAAAAGAAAAGAAGAGAGGGAGGGGAGGGGAGAGGAGGAAGAAGAAAAGGAAGGAAGGAAGGGAGGAAGGGAGGAAGGGAGGGAGGGAGGGAGGGAGGGAGGGAGGGAGGGAGGGAGGGAGGGAGGCAAGGAAGGATCGATCAGGAGAATTCTGAGGAAGACCTTGACAAGACAGGTCAAAGAAGGCAGATGAGAAAAATCTCTCTCAGTGTACCTGGGAGAAAAGTACTCCAGGCAGAAGAAATAACAAGTGGAACGATCTGGAGGTTGGAACACACCTAATATGTTTGACAAACAATAGGGATTTCAGTATTGAGGGGTAGAAGGATGAAGTAGGGGAGCACAAAAAAAGATTTGTCAAAAAGAAAAAAGATGGTATAGGGCCTTGTAATCCAATGTAAAGATGGGGGCATCCACTCCAAAAGAAACAGAAACCTTTGGAGGGTAGTCAGCATTAGAGTAAAATGATTTGACTTAATTTATTTTCTAACTTATATAGAATACAATGTACATATATACATGTGTATGTACTATATTATGTATATCTATCTATGTACAATGTGATGAGTTTTGATATACTGTCATGTGCAGCGGAGCGGTCAATGATCCACATATACAATGGTGGTCCCATATGATTATAATGGAACTGAAAAATTCCTATTGCCCAGTAATGTTATAGCCATTGTAACACTGTAGTGCAACATATTCCTCATATGTTTGTAGTGATGCTGGAATAAAACTCTATAAAAGTACAGAAAATAAAATTGTGTACAGTATATAATACTTGATAATAAAGAATTATGTTATTGGTTTATATACATACTATACTTTTATTATATAGTATATACTATACTATACTTTTTATTGTTATTTTAGAGTGTACTCCTACTTGTTTTTTTTTTTCTTAAAACTTAACCGTAAAACAGCTTCAAGCAGGTCCTTCAGGAGGTATTCCATAAGAAAGTATTGTCATTATAGGAGATGACAGCTTCATGCATGTTTACTGTCCCTGAAGACCTTCCAGTGGGACAAGATGTAGAAGTAGAAGACAGTGATATTGACAATCCTGACCTTGTGTAGGCCTAGGCTAACGTGTGTATGTGTCTTAGTTTTTAACAAAAAACTAAAAGTTGAAAAAAGTTTAATAGAAAAAAGTTTACAGAATAAGGCTACGAAGAAAAAATATTTTTGAACAGCTTGTAAACAAAAATATTTTCTACACAATGTGCTTGTGTTTCAAGGTAAGTATTATTACGAAAGAGTCAAAAGTTAAAAATAAAATTAAGAGTTTATGAAGTTAGAAAGTTGTAGTAAGCTAAGGTTATTTTATTTATTTGTTTGTTTTTTATTTTATTATTATTTTTTTAAATGGAGTCTCACTTTGTCGCCCAGGCTGGAGTGCAGTGGCACAATCTGGGCTCACTGCAGACTCCGCCTCCTGGGTTCAAGCAATTCTCCTGCCTCAGCCTCCCAAGTAGCTGGGATTACAGAAGCCCTACACCACACCCAGCTAATTTTTGTATTTTTAGTACAGATGGGGTTTCATCATGTTGGCCAGGCTGGTCTCAAACTCTGGACCTCAAGTGATCCACCTGCCTTGGCCTCCCAAAGTGCTGGGATTACAGGGTGAGCCACCATGCCTGGGCAAGCTAAGGCTAATTTATTATTAAGGAAATAAAAATATTACTTCCAGTCCTGCAACCTCTACTCATAGGAAGTGCCCTATACAGGTGTACCATTTTGATCTTTTATACTGTATTTTTACTGTACCCTTTCTATGTTTAGATACACAAATACTTACCATATGTTATAGCTGCCTATAGTATACATTATGGTAACATGCCATACAGTCTAGGTGTTTAGTAGGCTATAACATCTATGTTTGTTTAAGTACACAACAAAACCACCTAATGACACGTTTCTCAGAACGTATCCCTGTGGTTAAGCAATACATGACTGTATATTTAAAGCATGTGAAATTATCATCACAATCAAGATAACAAATATTCCCATCATTCCTGAAAATTTTCTCATGTCCCTCTGCAATCTCCCTCTCTCCAAACCTTGTCCTCAGGCAACCACTGATCTTTCTCACACTATAGATTAGTTTGCATTTTATAGAAATATATACAAACAGAATTATAGAATAGGTGTTCCCTTCTGTCTGGCTTCTCTTGTTCAGCATAATCCCTTTGCCTTTATCACTACTTTATTCCTTTTTATTGCTGAATAGTACTTGATTGCATAGAAGGACCACTTTTATCTATTCAACTGTTAGTAGAATACTTCTAGATTTTGGCTATTATAAATAAAACTGCTATGAACATTTGTGTTTAATTAACACCTAATATTAAATCACATTTTAATTAATTTATTTATATATTTTTTAGAGATGGGGTCTGACTGTGTTGCCCGAAATGGAGTACAGCAGCTATTCACAGGCTTGATTAGAGCACACTCAAGCCTCAGCTCAAACAATCCTCCTGCCTCAGCCTCCCATGTAACAGGAACTACAGGTGTGCTGGCCACTGCACCCAGCAACATTTTTAAATTTCACAGATCACCAGGCTAGGTAGGAGCCAGAGGTTTTGCCAACTTGGAGTGAGTAATGTTTGCCTTTTGGTTTTATCTTTCAAGCAGCGGAGCACTAAAATAATTTACAATATGTAAATTATTTCCTTTTATGGTTTGTGCTTTCTGTGGTCTAATAAACTTTGCATATCTCCAAGTTACAAAGATTTTCTCCTATGTCTTCTTCTGGAAATTTTATAGGTATAAGTGTATTTGTTTTTAAGAGACAGGGTCTTGCTATGTTGCCCAGGCTGGAGTGCAGTGGCTATTCACAGGCACACTACCACTACTGATCTACATGGGAGTTTTGACCTCCTCTGTTTCTGACCTGGACCAGTTCATCCTTCCTTAGGCAACCTTGTGGACCTCCTCTCCTGGGAAGTCACGATATTGATGCCGAACTTAAGTGTAGACATCTGATCAGCACGGAGCACTATAGCCCAGAACTCCTGGGCTCAAGTGATCCTTCAACCTCGGCCTCCTGAATAGCTGGAACTACAGGTCCACGCAACAAATTTTACATACAGGACTAAGATCCATTTCAATTTAATTTGTCAGTATGGACAGGATAATGGTTAATACTTTTTATCCCCAATACCAATATCCACTTATACAAAACCGACTTGTTGAAAGACTTTCCCTTTCCCTAGTGGATTAGATTGGCAACTTTGTTGAAAATCAATTGACCACATCTGTGGATCTATTTCTAGCCTCTCTAATATGCTCCATTAATCTATATATCTATCCTTCTGACATTACCAAACTGGCTTGATTACTGCAGCTCTATATTAAGTCTTACAGCTTAAAAAAAAAAAAAAAACAGTTTTCAGCAGCTCTACTCTAAATGCTTTCTTTTCCCATTTCTATATTAATTTTAGAAGTTTGGTCTATCTTAGTTAAACAAGAAAAAGAATTAAAGTCCCAGGGATTAGGCCAGGCGAGGTGGCTCACGTCTGTAATACCAGTATTTTGGGGGACCAAGGTGGGTGGATCACTTGAGGTGAGGCATTTGAGACCAGGCTGGCCAACACGGTGAAACCCCATCTCTACTAAAAATTCAAAAAATTAGCTAGACGTGGTGGCAGGCACCTGTAATCCCAGCTACTCAGGAGGCCGAGGCATGAGAATTGCTTGAACCCGGGAGGCAGAGGTTGCAGTGAGCCAAGATTGTGCAACTGCACTCCAACCTGGGCAACAGATCGAGACTCTGTCTCAAAAAATAAAAAAAGCCCCAGGGATTAGAAGAAAGGATATAAACTGACATTATCTGTAGATGATATGACTATGTGTACTGAAATGTAAAAAGAATCCACGGGCAAATTACTGGAATTCATAAGAGTTTATCAGGGTTTCTGAGTTATGAAATCAAGAGATAATAATGTTGTACTTCTGTATTACCAACAGTTAGAAAACAAAACAGTAATGATACTTCAAACTTACATTGGGCTTATGTTAGGTATCATTTTAAACTCTTCATGTACATGAGCACATTTAATCTTCACAACCCTACCAGTTAAGAACTGTTACACATTACACATAGAAAGAAAGAGAAATGCAGAGTAGTTAAGTAACTTGCCCAAGATTACACAGCTCATAAATAATAGGTCCAGAATCAGAATACAAAAAGTATGGTTCTTAGACACCACACTATGCCATGTAAAATAAAAGTAAAAGTAAGAAGTTCTCAGGAATAGCAGGGCACAGTGGCTCACACCTGTAATCCCAACACTTTGGGAGGCCGAGACAGGTGGATCACGAGGTCAGGAGATCAAGACCATCCTAGCTAAGACGATGAAACCCCATCTCTACTAAAAATACAAAAACCATGGTGGCATGCGCCTGTAGTCCCAGCTTCGGGAGGCTGAGGCAAGAGAATTGCTTGGACCTGGGAGGCAGAGGTTATAGTGAGCCGAGATCATGACACTGCACTCCAGCCTGGGCAACAGAGTGAGACTCTGTCTCAAAAAAAAAAAAAAAAAAGTTCTCAGGAATAAGTGCAACAAAAAATGTGCAAATCTTTAAGGAGAAAAGTCACCCAACTTTACTGAGAGACATGAACAAACATCCAGGCTGCAGTGGCTCACGCTGGTAATCCTAGTGCTTTGGGAAGCAGAGTTTGGAGGATCACTTGAGACCAGGAGTTTTAGACCAATCTAGGTAATACAGAGGGACCCTACCTCTACAAAAAAATTTTTTTTTTAATTAGCAGAGCATGGTGATGTGTGCCTGTGGTCCTGGCTACTCAGGAGGCTGAGGTGGGAGGACTGCCTGAGCCTGGAGGTCGAGGCTGCAGTGAACCATGAGTGCACCACTGCACTTCAGCCTAGGCGACTGAGCAAAACCCTGTCTCAAAAAATAAAAAAATAAAAAAAGTCCAAATGAATGGACAGATGCACAATGTTCAAAGACTGGAAGATTCTATTGTAATGATGTCAATTATCTTCAACTCATTTGTAAATTCAATGTAATCCCAATCAAAACCCCAATAGCTACTGCTGCTGCTTTTTTTTTTGGAACTCAACAAGCTGATCTTAAAATGCTTAAGAAATACAAATGGTCAAGAATTGCCAAGATAGTCTTGAAGAAGAACAAGATAAAAAAGACTTTAGCAGAGATTCAAACTTCTGGTAATGACAAAAGGAGACAACTAGACCATTGTAGCAATGCCCAGAAAAACAAGTCTTGTAAGTACTAAGCTCAGCCGGGCACAGTAGCTCATACCTGTAATCCCAGCACTTTGGGAGGCCGAGGCGGGCAGATCACTTGAGGTCAGGAGTTCAAGACCAGCCTGGCCAACATGGCAAAACCCTGTCTCTACAAAAAATACAAAAAAATTAGCCGGGTGTAGTGGTGCACATCTGTAGTCCCAGCTACTCGCAGGCTGAGGCATGAGAACTGCTTGAACCCAGGAGGCAAAGGCTGCAGCGAGCCCAGATTGTACCACTGCATTCCAGCCTGGGCAGAGCGAGACTCTGCCTCAAAAACACAAACAAACAAAAACTAAAGTTAGTAGTATGTGTTTGCAATTCCGAAACCACTTCTGTGTAATCTAAGATTGAGCAAATAAGTAAACATGTTGAGGCTAATAGGAATCACATTTCTTATTCTTGAAGAGTTACCAATATGTAAAGGGTGCTGGACAGGAATCAGGATTTTCAGTTAAAATTTGTTTTTTAAAACACACACACACACACAGAAACATATATTTATGAAGCAAACATAGACACATGTCCTAGTCATGTCCATTTAGTCATGCCCTATTGTCAATGAGCACATCTAATGTTTAGGTATTGATTTTTAAATACCATTTTCCCCTAAAAGAAACCAGGGCTCATTGAAGAAATGGCTGATTCCAGTGCCAGGTTGGGTAAAGAAGATCTGGAATATCTAGTGCTAGAAAGAAAGGGAGTGCTCCAATTATGAGGGTGGCATGTCAAAAGGCCACAGAGCCAGTGTGAACGGGCTCCTACTGGCCAAATCAGGGGTAATTTGAACATAAAATGAAAAACGAAAGTAGGAAATTATACCCTGTAGAATAAAATAAGAATCTATGAGTCCTTACTGACATGAAATAAATGAATGAAAGTGATGATAAGAAACCTCATCCTCTCAAAGTGCTGGGATTACAGGTGTGAGCCACTGTGCTCAGTCAAGAAAAACATTTTTTTTTTTTGAGATGGAGTCTTGCTCTGTCGCCCAGACTGGAGTACAGTAGCGGGATCTTGGTTCACTGCAGCCTCCACCTCCCAGGTTCAAGCAATTTTCCTGCCTCAGCCCCCCTAGTAGCTGGGACTACAGTCACGTGCCACCACGCCTAGCTAATTTTTGTATTTTTAGTAGAGACAGGGTTTCACCATGTTGGCCAGGATGGTCTTGAACTCCCGACCTCAATTGATCCACCCGCCTCGGCCTCCCAAAGTGCAGAGATTACAGATGTAAGCCACCGCACCCAGCCAAGAAAAACATTCTTTATAATAAAATGCTAGCTAATAAAGGTAGAAGAAATGATGGAATTAGCAAATTATCTCATGGAAACCATCACAGTAACAAATAATTTTGGCAACAGATGTGAAAAATAAAAGGTAGGACAGGCGCGGTGGCTCACGCCTGTAATCCCAGCACTTCGGGAGGCTGAGGCGGGCGGATCACGAGGTCAGGAGATTGAGACCATCCTGGCTAACACGGTGAAAGTCCATCCTACTAAAAATACAAAAAATTAGCCGGGCATAGTGGCGGGCACCTGTAGTCCCAGCTACTCAGGAGGTTGAGGCAGGAGTATGGTGTGAACCCGGGAGGCGGAGCTAGCAGTGAGCCGAGATCACACCACTGCACTCCAGCCTGGGCAACAGAGCGAGACTCTGTCTCAAAAAAAAAAAAAGAAAAAGAAAAAGAAAAGGTGAAAAGTGGTAAGAACAGGGTATTTATCATCTCAATCAGTAAATTCGTTACAAAGGGAAGAATAGTAACATTACAGGGAAGAAATCTGCAAGACCACTTTAATAAGTGATCAAAGCTAACACCACAAGAAAAAGGATAAATTAACATCATGTGTCTCCTAATGTAATGAAGTAGGAAAGACACAAAATTATTTCTGCAGTATTTCTGCTCAAAAATGTATACAATGATGAGGAAAACCCAGACATCTATATTGAAAGACATTCTACAAAAAATATCCTCCCTAGACTCTTTAAAAATCCAACAGTCCAACCTGGGCAACACAGTGAGACTCTGTCTCTACAAGAAAGTAAAAATAAAAATTAGCCGGGTATGATGGTGAGTGACTGTAGTCCCAGACACCCAGGAGGCTGAGGTACAAGGATCACTTGAACCCAGGAGGCTGAGGTACAAGGATCACTTGAGCCCTGGAGGTTGAGGTTGCAGTTAGCTGTGATCACATCACTGCACTTCAGCCTGGGCAACAGATTAAGTCCCTGTTTCAATAATAAATAAATAAATAAATAAATAAATAAATAAATAAATAAATAACAATAGTTATGAAAGACACAGAATAAAGAAGTGTTCTGAATTAAATGACTCGAAAGAGACATGACAAATAAATTAGCCCGATACTTGTTTGGATCTTTACCAGAAAAGGTTCTGTCATAAAAGACATTATTTTCACAACTGGCACTTTGGGAGGCTGAGGTGGGAGGATCACTTGAGCCCAGGAGTTTGAGACTAGCCTGGTTGAAACAACAAGACTCCATCTCCACAAAAAAAATGACAAAAAAAAAAAAAGAAAAAGCCAGATTTAGTGTTGTTCACCTACAGTCTAGCTACTTTGGAGGCTAAGGCAGGAGGATCGCTTGAGCCCAAGGTCAAGGCTACAATGAGCTATGATCACGCCACTGCACTCTAGCCTCGAAGACAGAGAAAGACTATCTCAAAACAAAAAGTCTATGGATTAAAGGACTGTATAGATGTTAATTTCCTAACTTTGATAATTAAACTGTATTTAGTAAGAATGTCCTTGCTCTTAGTAAATACACAATGATTAATTTAGACATAAAGGGACATCATATCTGCAACTTACTCAAGTGGTTTGGAGGTGGGAGAAAATAAATATACACACACATGCATACACAAATATAGGTAGTGTATATATTATATATGTATATACATACATACACATAAATACTCAGATGATCTAAGTAAATATGGCATGATATTAACAATAGGGCAATCTGAATAACAGATACCCAGAAGTTCTTTGTACTACTCTTGCAACTTAATTTCAGACAAAATTTAATTGCAAAGTTTAAATTATTACTAAAACACCATAAACTTTAGAATATAAGTAAATATATTTATGACCTTATATCACAAAGGATTTCTTAAATAAGACACACAAAAAAGCACAAATGTAAAGGAAATAAGAAACAAACTTGACAACGTAAAAGTATCATTAAGAGAATAAATCAACAAGCCAAAACTGGGAGAAACTATTTGCAACCCATATAACAAACAATGGACTAGTATCTGGAATACATAATGAATTCCTACAACTAAGTAAGAAAAAAAGGAGAAATAAAACACAAAAACAGACAAAAGAATTGCACAGGGATGGGGGCGAGAGGTAAAAGACTACACACTGGGTACAGTGTACACTGCTTGGGTGATGGGTGCACCGAAATCTCAGAAATCACCACTAAAGAACTTATTCGTGTAATAAATAAATAAATAAAACAAAATGTATGAGAGGATAAATAATAAAAATATGTCCAACCTCATTAGTAATTAGGAAAATGCAAGTGAAAACTATGTTAAGATACCATTTACCACACACTAAAATAAAATTTTTTTTAACCTCACTCCTTTCAGTAGGAGATGGCTTAAAAAAATTATTTTAATCTCACAATGCAGTTATAAACTGGTGCAATCACTTTGAAAACTGGCATTATGTAATGAAACTGAAGAAATATGTTCTCTATGACCCAACAATTCCTTTCCTATGTACTTCTTAGAGAAAACTCTTGTCCAGCAGGAAAGAATGTTCATAGTAGCATCAAACTAAAACAACCAAACTATTTATCAACAATAAAATGGATAAACAAACCATGATCTATTATTCTTCCAATGGGATACTACAGACTTGACCGTACTGAGAATGAATGAGCAACAGCCACATGTATGAATATGGATGAATCACCAAAGACATACAGGGCAAATAAAGTCACAGAAGAAAACCAGCATGAGTCCATTTATGTAAGGTTCTAAATACAGCTTTAAAATTTTTCTAATGCTTTAAAGTATTGAATGCTTTAAAAAATTTTTAAGTTGCATTTAGGGATATATAATGAGTGGTAAAAAAACAACAGGAAAACAGAAAAGCAAGAGAATAATTATCAAATTTGGGACTGTGGTTATCTTGGGGGAAGGAGAGTGAACAAAAGTGATGAAGAAAGGTACACGGGGTGCTTCTTCAGTATGTATAAATATTTTATTTCTTAACCTGGGTGGTAGTCACATGGGTGTTTATATACTTACGTGTTTTATAAGCTTTTCTATAGGTATAACAAATGTCACTAAAAGTAAGGACATAGTGCTTATGACTCAGCCCTAGAAACTGTAAAGAGAAACCTTTAAAAGAGAAAGAACAGCCAGTGAAGTAGGAAGAAAGTAAGGAGAGTGGTGTTTCAGAGGCCAAAAGAAAAAAGAAGTGAATAGTGAAACTGTGTCAAATACTAGTGATAGGCAAAGTAGAGAAACTTTCACACAATATATAAAGTGCATTGTTCTCTCTCTGATGAATCACTTTTTCAGGATGTAGACATTATTTTGCAGTGACTAAGGATTTACTAATAACATTAATGAGAAAGGATATGAACATTCTGATATTTTATATTCAGAAATCAAAATTCTTAACATATTTTTAAAATGTCCTCCTCTCATAATACAGAACATTAATTGCACCAAGAGTATATAATCAATTATTAGAATAAGTGAATTCTTAAATTTGATAGCTGAGTTTTGGCAAACTTTAATTTGCCCCAGTATTTTTTTTTTTGCACCAAATATTTCTATCATTTGTTATTAAAATGGTAATGACAAAAGACCTTTGTCACTGCCAAATCAGATAAGTAAGTTAGGGGCTGGTAACAAATACAAAACACAAAAATTTGGTCAAAGAACCCAAAACAGACATTTTATCAATATTAGAAAGATGCATTGAATCATTCCCTTGGCTTTTTAAATTAAAAATAATAAAAAAGCTTTTACTTTAAAATAATGAACTATTTTTCAGAAGGGTTTGGACAATCATTTGGTTGTCTTAATTTTATAATTTGATTGTCTTAATTCTTTTAATTTTCTCACCTATAAAACATGATGAACTAAATACTACTTAAAGTCCCAATTAGCAATATTTTACGGTGTTATTTGGAAAAGGAAAAATCAATCACAAAAGGTAGTAATACTTTAAGTAATAAACCACACTTTTGAGAACTGTGAAACCAAAAGTAGCATATACTAACCTAATAAGATATTCAAACTGGGCCATCCATTGCTTTTTCCTTAAGAGGTTTACTTTAAATAAAAGAGGGAGGCTCTTCAAAGCTACAATTTGCAGAGACAATTTAGAAGGCTGTATTTTTACTAATGCAAAATGCAACTTCACACAAGCTTAAGATACAGCTGGAAGTTCTGAAGTTTAGGAAACAAAACAAAATAAATCCTCTTCTTTGAATAAAAGATCATACTATTAATTTAAGCTTGATATAAAATATCACTACTTAAAAAAGGAAAAGTATTTTTCTCAAGAGCATATATGGCAAAATTATTATGGCTATAAACTAGCATATTTAAGTTAATGTTAATAAGACTACTAATTTGAAGCAAATGGTTTGTGGCTTTTAAAGAATGAGTAATATCAATGTTAGAAAATAAATTTGTAACTCAATTTCAGATATTCATCTGTCAACTAACAGAACCTCCTAATATTAATATTTAATTAATGGGTATACTTTGTTCTAGGATTCTTGCTTTCCTTTATAAATCCTGAGAGAACTCGAGAAGAAAAAGGCTTATAAACATACATGGCTTAATAAATGAAACTTGTAACTTCAGAAAACTTGCTTTGTGACCCAAAAAAGAACTACTCACCAAAAGCAGCAGCCATAGGGGGTTCAAGGGATGGCTGGCCATCACCAGTAGGAAGGTCTAAGCGAGTGAAGTCTCTGCTTTTGTCATTATTATATTTCACATTAAGGCTGGTGAGCTTGGAGAAGTCAATGCGCAGAGTGCAGCATGCATTATAGATATTCTGGCCATCCAGAGCCTAAAGCATGTAAGAAAGGGACTGGTTTTGGCAAGACAACAACACTGATAACCAAGAAGCCTCTACTTTGACAAAGAGTGGCAATCAGGTGTAAGGCAGAAAGCACTGACTAAAAAGCCAAAGTCTTGGGTTTACTTTTACCTCACAGTCATTAACTATGAGCCTAAGAGAGAAAAAGAAAATCTCTAAGTCTCAGCTTTCATCTGTAAAATAAGACTGATAATATTTATCTTGTCTGTGGTAAGATCAAATAAGAGAGGAGAAATGTAAAAGATTGGAAAACTACTGTCTATCATAGAAATGTTCACTATTATTATGATTATTTTGCCTATATCAAAAGTTTTAAGATACTCTGATTTTACATTCCACTTTAATTCATTTTAGTATAATTCACATTATACTAGGATGTGTAAGCTTTGTTAGGATGAAACAAAGCTTTTGTAAATGGTACTTGTCAGAGCCACAATACATAAAATATTACCTACCACTTATTTTTTTCTCTTGTAAATTTACTTTGTAATACTTTGAATAATAAACTGAGGAAAATGTGGAGTCAGTTGTAACCAAAGATTAGCAACCCCTTCCTTTGCAAGAATAAAAATTTACCTAAGGGTATTTGTGGCCACTTAACGACTTTCACAAATGCTTGAATTTATAAAAATAGATACCAGAAAGCAAATCACATAAAAATAAAACATATATATATATATCCTGATTTATAATAATGGTAATTGACAAGTATGCCATCGTAAAGGTACAAAATAATATATGCATGTTCAGGGTACAGCAAATATAAAGGCTATACTCCCAATTGAGTGCCAGACACTGTGTGGTACACAAAAGTACCACAAGCCATAGTCCTCATCTTTGACCAAAAAGTAGAAATGACTAGCAAAAACTGCTACAAGATGAAATTAGAGTCAGGGATAGATATCAACAAGAGGTATGTCTAAGATAATCGAACTGAATGTCAAGTTTTATTCTTGTCAAAATAGGTTTTCGTGTACTAAAAAAAAAAAGACAACACGAATTGATAGCAGCATATTTCCTAAGATTTAGTATCTCCACCAATTTAGAGCTCAACAGGAATAAACATTGAATACAGCTGCAAAAATGGTGAAATCAATCTCTGACTGATTTAACAGAAGTAAATGGTCTACAGCCATACCACCCTGAATGCACCTGATCTCATCTGATCTCAGAAGTTAAGCAGGGTCGGGCCTGGTTAGTACTTGGATGGGAGAAGTAAATGAAAGCACGAGGGTAATGATGGCTCTATTAGTCAGCTTATGTGAGGAGTACTGTGTTCAATTCTAGACTTTAAACATGACAAACAGGACCTGCGTCTCAGAGATGTGAGAGGTGATAGGAGATTTGAGACCGTTTCATATGAAGTAGTAATGATTTTTAGCTTAGAAAAAAAAAACATGGAATCATACACTTTAAAACGACTAAAATGGTAAACATGTATATTTTGCCACAATTTTTTTAAAAACACATGGTAAAGTGGGGCACAAGAGAAGGTATCACTGGAGTGATTAACAATTGAAAAATGAAACAAAGATCATAATTACCATTTTGGCATAATGTGCATTTACTGGGTCAGCATACTGAAGCAAGGCTTGAAACTGATTATTCTTTGTAAAGGTGATAATCTTCAAGACTGTGCCAAATTTAGAAAATATCTGGAAAACAGTTCACATTAGGTTAAATGTAAAAGAAAAGTATTAAACTGATGTATCTTTATAAATACAACTTGTTCATAAATCCTTTTAAATGAAAATTTTCTCTTGAAAACTTTGGTACCAAAATGACTTAAGCCTAAAACATTAACATTTCAATACCCATGACTATCTTACAACAACGCCCGGTACACAACAGGCACTTAAATAACTAGCCTATTTTATGGGATATATAAATGGTACAGTATTAAAATAGGAGACTACAATAATCAATGGTATGAGATGTGTTACAAAGCATATGAATAAAAGTGGGAGTCATGGACCAACTATTTCACCCTGTGAAGAATCATCTACTTTTTGAGATTTCTGTAGCCACTAGAAGATGTTCAACTAGAGGCTGCTCTATTAATTCACCAAATATTTGGAAAGACAGCAGTAAACAAAACAGAGACAAAAGTCTATGCCCACATGCAGACAATAAACAAATGACAAATATCCTAATATCTGGTGATTTTTAGAAGTCTTACGAATAAAAATAAAAGAAGGGAAGGGGTGAGCACGAACCAGAATGCAAGATGAGACAGTGCAAGAGTGGTGGCCAAAGAAGGCCTTTCTGAAGTGTCTTTTGAGAAGAAAAGAGTGAGGGGAAGGCTTCCTGACACCAATATCCTCACAATACGTGTGCTACCTCAGCATCACAGGGTTCACGGCCAGGGTTACTATTAATAGTAACTCATTTCTGAAGGACTAAATAGGGGGGATAAAACAACAACATATTTAGTTTTACTCTGTTGATATGGTTTGGCTCTGTGTCACCACCCAAATCTCATCTCAAATTGTGATTCCCCACATGTCAAAAGAGAGACCTGGTGGGAGGTGACTGGATCATAGGGACAGTTTCCCCTTTGTTGTTCTCGTGATAGGGAGTTCTCAAGAGATCTGATTGTTTAAAAGGGGCAGTTTCCCCTGCGCACTCTCTCTCTCCTGCCACCATGTGAAGAAGGTCCTGGCTTCCCCTTCGCCTTCTGCCATGACTGTAAGTTTCCTGAAGCCTCCCCAGCCATGCAGAACTGTGAGTCAATTAAACCTCTTTTGTTTATAAATTACCCAGTCTCAGGGAGTATCTTTATAGCAGTGTGAAAATGAACTAATATTCACTCCATTTTAAATTTGAATCTTAAAACAAGAATTTGTTCTGCTTTTGAGATTAAAAAAGTTAAGTATTCCCTATGCTGGTAAGATTTTGCTGTTACCAACCACTATGGTACAATCATGGCTCACTGTAGGCTCCACCTCCCAGGCTCATGCGATCCTCCCATCTCAGCCTCCCAAGTAGCTGGGACTACACCACATCTGGCTAATTTTTTATTTTTAAGGTTTTATAGAGATGAGGTCTCACTATGTTGGCCAGGCTGGTCTCAAACTCCTGAGCTCAAGTTATCCTCCCATCTTGGCCTTCCGAAGTGCTGGGATTACAGGTGTGAGCCACCATACCTGGCCCTGCTTTTTAATTCTCAAAAAGTATGCTCAAGAATAACTATCCTTCCCTGGTAGTCTAGTGGTTAAAAAAACATGAAAGAAAGAATATTCTAAAGCACAGGTAATGAATGAAAAATAGATAAACTGGACTACCTCAAAATTAAAAACTTTTGTGCATCAAAGGAAACTATCAACAGAGTGAAATAAATCATGTATATGATAATGGGTTAAGATCCAGAACAGATAAAGAACTCATGCAACTCAACGACAATACAAACAATGCAACCCAAAAATAGGCAAAGGACTTCAATCGACATTTCTCCAAAGAAGCTAATCAAATAGCCAATAAGCCCACAAAAAGATGCTCAATATCACTAATCATTAGAAAAATGCAAATCAAAACTACATATCACCTAACTTCCATTAGGATAGTTATAAAATTTTTTAAAACCCATAAAATATTGGGGAGGATATGAAGAAAATGCAACCCCTGTGCACTGTTGGTAGAAATGTAAAATGTTACAGCCACTATGGAAAAAGTATGACCTTTCCTTAAAAAATTAAAAATAGAATTACCATATGATCCAGCAATTCTATTTCTAGGTATATAGCCAAAAAATTGAAAACAGGGACTCAAAGAGATATGCATATACCCATGTGTATCGCAGCATTACACAAAATAGCCAAAACAGGAAGCAACCAAAGTGTTCATCAATGAATAAATGGATAAATAAAATATGCTATATACATACAACTGAATATTACTCAGCCTCAAAAAGGAGAAAAATTCTGAATATGGGTGAACCTTCAAGACATCATGCCAGGTGAAATATGCCAGTCACAAAAGCACACATACTGCATAGTTCCACTTACATGAGGAACCTAAGGTGTAGTCAAACTCACAGAGACCGAAAATAGACTGGTGATTACTGGGGGCTAGGAGAGTAGATGAATAAAGAGTTC
Organism: Homo sapiens; assembly: GCF_000001405.40. Classification (NCBI taxonomy): domain Eukaryota; kingdom Metazoa; phylum Chordata; class Mammalia; order Primates; family Hominidae; genus Homo; species Homo sapiens. The sequence goes on from NC_000009.12 coordinate 112,255,228, forward strand.
CGTTTAATGGGTAAAGGGAGTTTCAGTTTGGGAAGATGAAAAAAATTCTGGAAACATGGTATTTGGTGATGGTTGAAAAACAATGTGAATATACTTAATGTCACTGAACTATACAATTAAAAATAGTTAAAACAGTAAAATTCATGTTATATATATTTTGCCACTTGAATCACTTATGGCAAGACATGAATCAATGTATGTATTATACATGCAGCAACTCAATGTTTTCTCTCAATAAAGGAGTAACGTTAGACTTTAAAAAAAAGGTTGGGGGTGTAATATAACAAATTGTCTGACCTCCCTTCTTCATTACTACAGCCCAGGTGGCGTTCTAAATTATAAGGCAGATTATATTTTCCCGTACTGAAAATCCTTTACTACCTCCCCTTTATATACAGGGTAAAATCCAAGCTCCTTCATATAACATAACACTCTTGCCCTGGTTTATCTCTCAAACCTCACTTCCTGACACTTCTTGTATAACACTACTCTATTTACATCAACAATATGTAGTTGCCTATAGTTCTCCAAATTTACCAAGTGATTTCAGACCTCTAGGCCCATATATGAGGATTTTTTGTTTTCCTAGAAATGTGTTTTAACAGCTAGTAAGCCTTCATTTATCTTTTCCAAAACTCAGCTCAGGGAACAATGCCACCATAAAATTCTCAGCCTCCCCCAAATCCCTATAGAATTATTTTTCTTGAGTTGTATCTATTTCTTGGTTTTATATAAATATTTATCAGCTGGGCACAGTGGCTCACGCCTGTAATCCCAGCACTTTGGGAGGCTGAGACAGGTGGGTCACCTGAAGTCAGGAGTTCAAGACCAGGGTGGCCAACATGGTGAAACCCCATCTCTACTAAAAATACAAAAATTAGCCAGGCATGGTGGTGCATGCCTGTAATCCCAGCTACTCAGGAGGCTGAGGCAGGAGAATCGCTTGAATCTGGGAGGTGGAGGTTGCAGTGAGCTGAAATCGGGCCATTGCACTCCAACCTGGGCAACAAGAGAGAAACTCCGTCTCAAAAAAAAAAAAAACAAAATATATATATATATATATATACATATATATATATATATTTATCTATCTTGCTGTTGTACTTCTACTGTACTATATATTTATTTATATAACTGTCTCCTTTCATTAGACTGAAGGCTCCTTGAAGGAATATACCTTGTCTTAATCATTTCTGCATCATTAAGCACAATTCCTGACATGTAAGAGATATAGACTAAAATGCTTATTATTAATTGATAAAGAATTATATCTAGACCTGGTTGGAGAATTATAGCAATATGCAATTTTTTTTTCCTTTTTAAGAGATGGGGTCACCCTGTCACCCGTAATGGTGTGCAGTGGCGCCATCATAGTTCACTATAACCTTGAACTCCTGGGCTCAAGCAATCCTCCTGCTTTCGTCTCCAGAGTACTACAGGTACATACCACCATGCATGGCTAATTTTTAAATTTTTTTAGAGATGGGGTCTCGCTACCTTACCCAGGCTGGTCTCAAACTCCTGACCTCACACGATTCTCCTACCTTAGCCTCCCAAAGTACTGGGATTATAGGCCTGAGCTACTGCACCCAGCTGGCAATATGTAATTTTTTTTCCCTTTTTTTAAAGCTTTCATTTTTTCTTTTTAAAAAAATACTTATTTTCACCCCAAGGGAAGTCAGCAATTTCAAAAAATAATAAATATTCTTGATGTAAAATATATCATTAGTGAAGGAGTAGGAAAACACATAATTTGCTCTAACATTTGGAAAATTTTTATACTAAATTATGCTATAAAACCTAATTTCCACTCACCTTTCAGATTTTGTTAATGTTTACATTCCTTTTCTCATTTAACTTCAACAATGGCCTAAAGCACATCCTGGGACAGCTTGGTGTTTTGCTGTGTGGTTTTTATCTGAATGTGCTAAGAGAATAGAACTTGCCTGAATGGGCTAACCAGCAATAGCACTCTAGTCCCCTGGATTGTATTCACTGATAGAGGAGCTACAAAAAACGATATGATACTTCTGAATAAAGTAACTGGGCACCAACATCAGGGAATCTAGGAATGCCTGAGGTGTGATTTTTAACACCCTTTCATAATTATCAAAATAGCAAATTTTAAACAGATTTGGTATCAAAAATTAAAATTCAGGAAGGTTTGATATATATATGAATCTATTTTTATGAATTATAAGGTCTTTTACTCTGTTTCCCTAATATATTTTGCTGTCAAAAATATGGACAAATACTCAACTCTATATACCTCCTGTGTATTTTAATATTTTCAGACTGTAACACAGGACTAAGAAGATACTAAAGATCAAATTCTGATAAAATTCATCTTCAGAGTGATTTTTTATAAAGGTAGAATTTGTCAGAAACTGAAAATGTCCACTAGTATTCACTTGTAAAAAGTGTATTCATGGCGAGGCGCAGTGGCTCATGCCTGTAATCCCAGCACTTTGGGAGGCCAAGGTGGGCAGATCACCTGAGGTCAGGAGTTCGAGACCAGCCTGGCCAACATGGCGAAATCCCTCCTCCACTAAAAGTACAAAAATTAGCCAGGTGTGGTGGTGGGCGCCTGTAATCCCAGCTACTCAGAAGGCTGAGGCAGGAGAATTGCTTTAACCCGGGAGGCGGAGGTTGCAGTGAGCCATGATTGCACCACCACACTCCAGCCTGGGCTATAAGAGTGAGACTCCATCTCAAAAAAAAAAAAAAAAAAAAAAAGTGTATTCACATTAGAATTTTTTTTTAGTATCAAGCACACTGGCCACAACTTGTTTATAATAGTTTTTGTAGCCAATGAAATAACATGATTTAAGAACCAGAATTTCATATTACTAGGATTCTTTTATTTAGTACCATAATGCCTAGCTTTTGTAAGTTATTTATCTTTATTACAATTCAAAAAGATTGGTCCTTTGTCCAGAAGAGATTTATCTATTGGACACTCAAAAACCATTCCCATGTATAACAGTACTCAGAAGTAATGGATTACATGAGAACATCGTTATGAGCTACTTCTTTCATGCACAATGACACTTTTTAGTATGCAGGACTGAGCATTTACATAATGAATCAGTTGATGAATTCTATCTACAAATACTCTGAGATGATGTCATCCAGTCCAATGGCTTTAATTACCACACCTACGCTGAAGGTTCCCAAATCTCCAGCCTGAATTCTTTCCTGAATCCAGACTTAATTCCCATTTATCATCTCCCACTTGAATATCTAATAGGTATTCTTAAGTTAACATGTTCAAATCAAACTCCTGATTCCTGCCTACCTCCAACCCCTGCCCCAAATCTTTTTTTGTCTTTGTCTTTTTATTATTACTATTATTTACTTACCTCAGTCTTTACATCTTAGCTCCATTTTACCAGAGGCTCAGGTCCAAAATCTGGGAGGCATTCTTGATTACTCCCTTTCTCTTCAGAACCACATCTAATCAATCCATCAGCAAATCTTTCAAAATATATCCACAGAAGCCTGTGTAGGTGGCCCGTAACTATAGCCCCAGCTTGTCATAGGGTGGAAGGATCTCTTGAGCCCAGGAGTTTATTTAAGGCCAGTCTGGGTAACATAGCAAGACCCTATCTCTAATTTTAAAAAAATCCATAATCACCACTTCCAGTGCCTATGCCCTCACCCAGGCCACCATCATCTCTCACTTGAAGTAGGACAAGAGCCTCCACTTAACCCTATACAGCTTATTTTTTTGGAGGATGGGGAGGCAGGGTTTCACTCTGTCATCCAGGCTGGAATGCAGTGGTACAATCTTGGTTCAATGCAACCTCCACCTCCCGGGCTCAAGCTATCCTCCCACCTTAGCCTCCTGAGTAGCTGGGACTACATGTGTGTGCCACCACCCTTGACTAATATTTTGTATTTTTGGTACAGATGGGGTTTTGCCATGTTGCCCAGGCTGGTCTTGAACACCTGAGCTCAGATGATCCATTGGCCTCAGCCTCCCAAAGTGCTGGGATTACAGGCGTGAGCCACCACACCTGGCCAGTTTATTCTTAATATAGCAACAAGAGTGATTCTGCTAAAACATAAATGATATAATCTCACTGTTCCATTCAAAATCCTCCAAAGGTTTCCCATCTTACCCAATATAAGAAATTATAAAAGCTTTGCATCACCACTGCTCTAATGCCCTCTCGCATAGGGCTTTCTTACTCTCTCTATTCCAGTGACACCAGCCTTCTTTCTGATACTTGAACACAACAAGCATACTTCCACCTTAGGCACCTTACATTGCTGTTCTTTTGGACTGGATCATTATTTCTCCACATACACATATAACTTATATCTTCACATCCTATAAGCCTCTGCTCAGATATCATATTGCAAAGACTTTCCCTAACTTCCTTCATCTAAAATAGCATCAATCCCATTTCAGTCACTCTCAATTCCCTTACCATGAGCTAAAGGAACATTAGTTTCTATAGATGTTAGATAGCAGTTGAGCCAGGACCAATTTTCAGCAAAGAATATAATAAAATAATTCGTTAAATAGTTATAACAGGTACAACCAACTCCATACTTCTGTATATTCCCCTACCATAATATTCACCACATCTTATGCCATTATTTATGAAATTAGTGTCTTACCCACAAGACTACAAGAGAAAGAACTAGTTTCTTACATTGCTCTTTACTAGCATTTGATCATTAGAGCTAATACTTCTTGGGCACTTAGATGGAGTCTTGCTCTGCTGCCCAGGTGGTCTCAGCTCACTGCAATCTCAGCCTCCTGGGTACAAGTGATTCTCCTGCCTCAGCCTCCAGAATAGGTGGAACTACAGATACATGCCAGCACACCCGGCTAATTTTTTATATTTTTAGAAGAGATAGGGTTTCACCATGTTGGCCAGGCTGGAGTTGAACTCCTGACCTCAAGTCATCCACCCGCCTTGGCCTCTCAAAGTGTTGGGATTACAGGCATGAGCCCCCACACCCAACCCCTTCTTGGGCACTTAATATGTATCAGGCCCTGTTCTATTTAATGAGTACTTTAAATGTATTAACTCATATAATCCTCGCAATAAAAAATGAGAGAGAACATCATCTTCATTATAAAGAAAACAAAAATAGAAGGGGTAAGTTACTTGCCCAAGGCTATAGAGGCAGTAGAGTCAGGATTCAAACTACCTCTAGACCCTGTATCTGTAACTGCTATGCCAGACTGGCTCTTAGTTGGCTGATGGGATAGAATGCCAGGGGAGAGGGCTTGTTTAATGTAATTAGATTCAGGCTCCCTGAGGAGGTAACATTTGAGCTGAGAGTTCAATGATGTCGATCCTGCCAGGTGACTACCTGGGTAAACAGTGTTCCCGGCCTAAGAAATACAAGACAGAAATGGACTAAGGACAGAACTAAGCAGGGGAATAGGGAAGGGAGGTAGGGAGAGAGAGACAGTGCCAGAAAAGACAGGTGCTAAATAACCAGAAGAGTGTTAGGTAATGAAGATAAAGAGATGGGGGAGAAGTCTGCATTTGGGGGCCTTCATAAGGAGTTGGTTTTATTTCAATAGCACTGGAAAAGAGGGTTAAAAAAGTGAGTGCTATAACTGAAAGGCTGAGTGTCCTACCCCAGCACTTGCTACTGAGGACACTCAGAATTAGTCCTCTTCACCTGAAGGTCACCATGATCTCTTGAGGGAAAAACAAAATTTGTTACTGTGGTTAGGGAGATGATAAATGAAATTATAAGACAGGACCACATGACTGTAGCTAAACTTGCTGCTGGCTGATGGCAGTGTTGGGACATAGGCATAAGAACATCTTTTATAAAAGCAATAGCTACAATGTTACAGTAGCAACCCCGGAACAAACACTGCTAAAGATCACATTAGTCTTCAATGCCACTTTCCGGGATAAACAGAAGAGAAGAAAATCCACAAGAACAATGAAACCAATCACTTAAGCAACAGCTGAACCCTTTCAGAGAGCAACCGTGGCTCTGGATACCATTGCTAGAATCCTGTTTAGGACATGCTTCACAAATGCATATGTTTTAAAAATGGTACTCAGAAAACTATCAAAGGGGAAACCCAGTACGCCTACTCAATGGCATGTTTTAATATATACATGCATGGCACAGCACTTTACTGAGAAATGTGTCTGAGCTCTATCGCCAATTGGTATAAGGACTGTGGGAAAGTAAACGAACTTCTAAGGGCCCTAGCTTCTTTATTCGTAAAATGTGAGCCTAGAGTAAGATGTATTTCAATTCTTACATATACAAGCACACACACACCTCTATGACTCTGCACATACTACAAATCCAAAGGCATGACTCTGTCAAATGAAAATAAGCAAGGGAAGTGTTGCAGTATTTTAATATGTGGGCTAAGTGTAATGAAATGAAATCAACATATAGCTAAAGAGGACAAAAGCTGACTAAATTTTGGGGCTATATGTCAAATATTTATATACACAGATTACCAGATAACTGTATATTACATTCTTAGGATATGTATATATGAAGTATTAGTTAAAAATGTAACAACCATTCAAAAACAAAACATGGGAAATTACATCAGGAAGCTTCAATTCTAATTGGCTCTTCAATTACGCTCTACAATATTCTATACTTATCAATTATTTGGGTTTTGGATTTATTCACTACAAAATTGTGAAACTAAGTAACCTTCAATTCTTAAATTCTACATATTACTTGCCATGATTTCTTTTATCAAGACAACTTAGATATAGCAATGGGTAGTGTATGAAGCTTAGGTTGGGCATCAGTCAATATTTAACATGGTATATTCATATTACACATGAAGACTTATTGAACACTTTCCCTTTAGAATTTTTAAATCAGAAATACTCAAAGGTAAGAAGCTGTCCAGAAATAAATTAGTTGTACTCAACGGTGACATTACTTTCTAAGGAACAACTACTACCTGGACTTTTCACAATATTCTATGCTTTATTTTCATGATTACCTACAAGAAAAAAAAAATCAAAACTTTTTACACCCTTTTTAATTATGTATTCAAGTTAGAAAAAGGAGGCTGTCAAAAAATTACCTCTAATTTCTATGAAATTAGATGAAGTTTTTTTCATTATTTAAACAAATATATCAACAAAACCAATAAGCTAAACAACTTAGATATAAAACATCAAAAGTTTCAGAGGCCATATTTAACTTAACTTTCTTAAGGGTATTTATTCCTCCTTACCTGATGAAGAACTTCCAGGGTAACAGGGTAAAAGAGGTTTTCAATAATTATTCGAAGCACAGGGCTCTGCCCAGGTAGGACTGTGCCTTCATTGGAAGGACCTCCAGAAAGGGCCAGGCTTCCTGATTGGACGGCACTGACAGCCTGCAGTGCAGCTTGGGCTCGCTATAGAACAACCCAAAATGAGAACTTTTGATTATACAGACGCATTATATGAATCCTAAAATTTAGTTGACATAAAACAGTATGAAGCAATGTAGTTAAGTAAAACAAGATTTATCTACTCCGTCTGGAGATACATATCCTAAATTTGTAATCAGTCAACAGTCAAACACCTCCCTGCATACCACAATGACACAGTATTTTTAAAAGGTGCTTAAATTTACTTGAAGAATAAAAACACATGGATAAAAGGAGAAAATCTGGATGTAATTTTTATTTCCTAATTTTTTAAAGACAATGGGGGAAGAAATATGAAAGCAACATTAAAGACTATGGCATGGGATGTTTACACCCAAACAAGGGTAGTCAAGACAAACTTCTAAATATTCTCCACTAAAAGAGACCAAGGCACTCTAAAAGAATAGCTGATTCCAGAACTGGGGCCCAGAAATCACAAGAAGAGTATAAAATATTTTTGTTTTGGGGCAGGGGGAGGGAGCGTTGATCAGAATGCAAGGAAATGTTCAAAGAATGATAGGGATATTCCAAAAGGACATAGAAACCAGCTTGAAGGGGCCTGCACTGGCCAAATCTAGGACAATCTGTGTATCAAAATAATAACAACTGTTAAAAACAGAAAATCCATCAAATAACATAGGAAACCTTTAGTCCATACCGATATAAATCAACAGCTGATAAGGAACAGTGTATTTACATAGTCTTAAAGTACCTGCCCACAAAATACTACTTTTCCCCCAAGTAACAACTTTATAGTGGAGAAGGCTGGCAAACACCACCCTAATCAAGTGATCAAAGAGCCCATCATTACTAACACAACAAATGGAAATTTTATAATGCAATGAAAAGAGCATTACTTCTGTGATGTTCTGTCAAAGACAGATACTCTGAATTGAATCACAAGGAAACATCAGACAAACTCAAACTGAGGGACATTCTTGAAAATAAATTGCCTATAATTTTCAACAGTGTCAAGGTTATGAAAGGCCCTAAAGGAGACTAAAAAGACATTACAATTAAATGGAAATGTGATTCTAACTGAATCCTTTTGCTATAAACAAATATTATTGGGTCCATTAGCAAAACATAAATGGGGTATGAGGAATGGAGGGAACTTATGTATCAATGATAACTTGCTGATGTTGACTGTTGTATTCTGGTTGATAGAAGAATGTTCTTGTTTGTAGGAAATGCAGGCTAAAAATATTGGACAGGAAAGAAGGACCAGAGTGGCATCTTATTCTCAAAAGCCTCAAGAAATCAAAACTCCTTTGTACCATAATGGAAACTTTTTTCTAAGTTTGTGATTGTCTCAAAATTTAAAGCAACTATTATTACTTTGGGGCCACAGAGCAAGGTGCTGTCTCAAAAAAAAAAAAGTGTGTCTGATGCTAAAAATTATGAAGGAGCAGAATTCCTATTATGGGAAATAATTTTTAAATGTTTGGGTAACAAACTCTTTGGAATAGTTAAATTAATAAAGGAAATAATAGCAGTAGTATGATCAGGAAAACAAATTTAATGTGGGATAAGGAGAAATGTATACTTCATGTAAAATTTTAAAATGCCTGGAAAATGTAAAGAAGGTATTTCTCAGATTGAGAAGAAGAAAATTAACATACAATAAAAATGCACAGATCTTAAATGTTAAGTTTGATTGTTTTTTAGAGAAAATCCTTCTATGGTCATCTCATGGCAGATTTATAAACTTTCATCCACAAGGTCAAGAAAAGCTGCATACAATAATGACTCCTATTAACACGACCATTTCTCAAATGCTGTATCTCAGAATATGACCTAAATTTTACAGTTGTGACTTTAGTTTAAATCAAGGAAACAAAACACTTAATATTCACCTGACCTTCTGGCAAGTACAATCATAAACTGGAAAAGTAAAGTGCATATTTTGGGATAGCTTGCTATTCAGAGAACAAAAAGGAATGAAACACTCATCTATCAGCTTTCTGGGAATGTCAGAATAAAAAGATACTACAGTACTTTAAAAATATCAAACAGGTATCTGCAAGTTGGACGTTAGGTTTGATGTAGGACTTTGAATTTTTAAAAAATTATTGCATTTTATCAAACATCAATGCATAAAAGTTGTACAAAAGCAACAAGATGGAAAAAGTATTGGGAAGAAATGAAGGCTATCTCAGAATAAACTAGGTCATTTAGGCTGGCTTTGGTTGCCAAGCAACTGGGATTTCTCACTTTCTCTTTGGAATAATCTAATCTTTTAAGATTTATTAAATTGTTTTTTCCCTTCAAGGTTTATAGTAACATATTTAGGAATCACACTAATGAGAAAACTGCAGGATTTACATGAAGGAAAATTAAAAACTCTACTGAAAGACATAAAAGAAAACAAACAAAATATAACTTTCTTCTTAAAAGAATCAGAGTAATATAATTAATGTGCATAATTAATTATCTCAAATTAACTTACAACATCAACCCAATTCCAAGTGTGTTTTTTGGGGGACAGGAGTTACCAAAATAATTCCAAAATTTATCTGAAGAAATACGCAAGATATATTAATCAGTTAATTTCTGAAAAAAGAGTAAGAAATAAGATCTTGCTCTGCAATACATTAAGTCTTAGGAGCCGGGTGCAGTGGCTCACGCCCATAATCCTAGCACTTTGGGAGACAGAGGCGGGTGGATCACCTGACCTCAGGAGTTCCAGACCAGCCTGGCCACCATGGAAAAACCCTGTCTCTACTAAAAATACAAAAATTAGCTGGGCGTGGTGGCTAGCACCTATACTCCCAGCTACTCGTGAGGCTAAGACAGGAGAATCGCTTGAACCCGGCGGGCGGGGGGTGGGGGATGGGAGCAGAGGTTGCAGTGAGCCGAGATAGTGCCACTTCACTCCATCCTGGACAAAGAGCAAAATTCTGTCTCCAAAAACAAACAAAAAACAACAACAACAAAAAATTAAGCCTTAGGGCACAGACGTGGAAATGGAATCCAAGCTTTTGGAATTCAAAAGGTAGTAAAGGTTAAACATAGAATGCATAGCATGTGAGCAGCACACACATGAGGGTAGAACAAGACATGCAAGCAGAACGTATAAGCATGTTAGACGAGACTGTGCATGAGTGTGTGTACATATGATCAGCAGGCATAGAGTGTGTGTAGAAAACTAATATATGACAAAGGACAAGTTTCACATTAGTAGATAATAAATGAGTTATTCAAGAATAATGCAGGAGAAACTGGTCTCTTGGAGTAAAAAAAAGACTGAACCCTTACCCTCATTCCTACATCCAAAAAATTCCTAATAGAAATAAGAACAACTACAACACAGAAGTATTAGAAGAAAACATATGTAGATTCTTTTTTTAATCTTGGTGTACTAGATCTTTCTGAGCATGGTACTGAAGTCAGAAAAGATTGTATTATGACATCCTAAGAGCTTTGACCATGTATTTAAAAATTCATAGAGACTGAAGGTAGAATGGTAGTTGCCAGAGGTGGGAGGGAGGAAGGAATAGGGAGTTACTGTATAATGGATAGAGTGTTTCAGTTTGAGGTGATGGGAAATGGCATCTAGAGACTAAGTGTGGTGGTGACTATACAACAATGTGAGTGTACTTAATGCCATTAAACTGTACATTTAAAAATGGCTGAAATGGTAAATTTTATGTCATGTATATTTTACTACAATAAAAAATGGGGAAAATGGCACTAACAGAAATCAGTATAAGTATTTTACAAATTATCAAATAAAAGTAAAACATAAGATATTATTACTCATTTGCTCATCCATTATATTGGTGGCACTCTAAGCACATAATCTCTACAGAAAGCAATCATGCAACATATACCAAAATTTAAAATATGTACATGCTGTGTCCCAGCAATTTCATACATATACATTGGAATACACATTGTCTTCCACGGCAATATACATTGTATTGGATTGGAATATGCTGCATTGGAATATACACTGGAAACAACTTCAGTGTATATCAAAAAGAAATTGGACGAATTATAATTCTCCTATAAAAGGGAGTATTATAGTCATTTAAAGCTGATGAGGTAATGCTATATTTGTTGTAATAAACCCATGTCCATAACATTACACAAAAAAAGATTTCAAAACATTTTGTGTAAAATTAGATATATAGACATCTGAATACACACCGAATATTACCACTAGTTATTAGTTATCTCTGGGTAACTGGATTGGTTTTGGTTCTTTTCTCTTTTACTTTTCTTGATTGAATGGTGTACCAAAAGCATGTATCCTATGTACAACTTGTAATGACAATTTTTCATTTTAAAAAGTCTATTCTGTTCATCTAATATTGTATTTATTGTAAGCTTATATAGTTTATTACATGCCATTAATATTGCCTAAAATAAGTTAAGGATTATATGCAGTAAATGTCGCTGTTTCAAACAATGTGGAAAACAAATCTCACCAGCTAACATTATACTGCCTTTCAACACAAAATCAGAGAGCTGGAGGAGTTCTTTGCCTAGAGCAAGAATACAGAGGCCAAACATGCCCTTAAAATCATAATTTTAAAAAAACCCACTTTCTTTTTTTTTTTTTTTTTGAGACAGAGTCTCGCTCTCACCCAGGCTGGAGTGCAGTGGCACGGTCTCGGCTCACCGCAAGCTCCGCCTCCCAGGCTCACGCCATTCCCCTGTCTCAGCCTCCTGAGTAGCTGGGACTACAGATGACCGCCACCACGCCCGGCTAATTTTTTTTGTATTTTTAGTACAGACGGGGTTTCACTGTGTTAGCCAGGATGGTCTCGATCTCCTGACCTCACAATCCACCCGCCTCGGCCTCCCAAACCGCGCCCGGCCAAAAACCACCTTCTTAAAATGTATTTACTTTGTGTATAAAGATTTTCTGTCCTTAAATAACTTCAAATTATTATACTATTTTTAACCACTTAAAAATCAACATGGGAAGACACAAAAGACTCAACGTGTGCTACATCAAAATAACAGAAAAATGGGTAAGAAATATTGCTATGCTACATTTCACATTCATCTTGAGGAGTCAAAAATCATTTAATAAACAATTCTAAAAATTTTTTATTAAGGTGTTAAATTCCATTACTTAATTCACTCAATTTCTCAATGCTTTTGTTAGAGTCTGTAAAAAGATGATTGAAATGAATGATTAAGTTCCTTTCAGATCTGAGATTTTAAGATGTACATAACAATAAATATTTTTTCTCCTTTTTTACTGTGAAAACAGTTTCAAGAGAAAAAATTAACTTCTATTTCTAAATGGCACTGCTTTCTTATTCTTAAGAATTGGGGGGAAGAATTTACATATACAATTATGACTAGTAAAGTATCCTAAAATGAATAAAAGCACATAATTTTTCTTCATCTGTAAAGTATGTAAGTTATCATACCATGTGTTCCCATACCTATTTTTAAAAACATCTTTAATACTTACAGCTTGATTAGGTAGATTGTCAGTCTTAAGTTCTCTGTGATTGGAATACTGAATATAAACAGGCTGGCTTCGAAGGTGAGGAGTAATAGGAGTGTAATAATTCACCATAGTAACGGCAGCTTCCTCAGAAGCCATTTCTAAGAAAGCCTGCAATAAACACAAGAAGGTAAAGTTAAAGCTCATCTTTTTGAAAGACAGTTAAGATATATTTTGCCATTCTAGCTTGCTCTAAACCCATGCACTCTCAAGTAAAATGACATTTCCCCCAAGGGGAGGGAAAAACAAAAAAACACCTTTGCTTCAAAATATCATGGACGTTAATTAAAAACATCTAAAAAGTTGGGTTCACTGAAGAACTTGAGAAGCCAGGCGTGGTGGTTCACAACTGTAATTCCAGCTACTTTGGGAAGACAAGGTGGGAGGACTGCTTGAGCCCAGGAGTTCAACAGCAGCCTGTGCAACACAGCGAGAACCCATCTCTACAAAAAATTTTAAAAATTAGCGGGGCATGGTGGCACATGGCTGTGGTCCCAGCTACTTGGGGTGGGGGGGTGAGGGAGGGGCTGAGTAGGAGGACTGCTCAAGCCTGGGAGGTTGAGGGTGCAGTGATCCATGTTTGCATGACTGCACTGCAGCATGGGTAACAGGAGTAAGACACCGTCTCAAAAAAAAAAAAAAAAAAAAAAAGGATTTAACTGCCAGTTGATTAAGGGATTTTATGCAGTTTTCGGTTTTCCTTTTATTTCTGTTTCTTTTAAAATCCAGAAATAATTAAAAAGATGAAAATAAATGTGTACATCACCATTGTAAACGGATGCTTTCAGCGGCTGTGATTTAAGTTTATCATTAAAAACAGTGAGGCTAAGGCTGGGCACAGTGGCTCAGGCCTGTAATCCCAACACTTTGGGAGGCTGAGGCAGGTGGATCACCCGAGGTCAGGAGTTCAAGGCCAGCCTGGCCAACACAGTGAAACCCTGTCTCTACTAAAACTATAAAAATTAGCCAGGAATGATTGTCGGGTGCCTGTAATCCCAGCTACTCAGGAGGCTAAGGCAGGAGAATCACTTGAACCCAGGAGGCGGAGGTTGCAGTGAGCCGAGATCGCGCCATTGCACTCCAGCCTGGGTGACTGAGCGAAACTCTGTCTCAAAAAAAAAAAAAAAAAAAAAATTGATGCTAAAAGGCTACAATACATAAACAGATACAAAATTTAATGGGGGCAATTAGGGGGTAAAAAGGCTAAAAACCGTCTTTAGGGGAGGAGAAAGAAAAAAACAGAGGAAAAAACATTGAGAAACACTAATAATACCCAGAGTCTTAAACAGAGATGGGGCAAAATGGTTTATTCTCCTTTTACCCTTTTTAAAAACAGCCATTTATGAATAAAATTAATAGAGCATTCACTTTTCTTCAGTAAGAGTTTTATTATCTCATACTTTACCAACATATGTGATAGCAAGAAATGAGAACTAGCATGATATGGTAGAAAGGGAACTTGATTAAAATCTATGCCTGGCTATGACACCTTACTCATTAACACCTCTGAGCCTTAGTTTCCTCATCTAAAACATGAAGCACTGCCTAACAGGATCTTTAAGTCTCTTTGTAGCTCTAACATGAGATGATTTTTATTTGAGATCATTTTTAATTCCTGTTAATTGGACTGTATGGGATTTTTCAGAATAAAACTATTAAACTCAGCCTCTGAAAAGCATCCTTGTAAAATGGTGATCAATACTCTGGTTTTTCTTCAGATGGTATAAATCTTTCGCCTTCTACTCACATGATGGTGCACACTTTAGATTTGCCTTTTTAAGTGTTTCTAGGAAGAAACAAGAAAAAAACCAAGAACCACATAAAACCAGTTAATTAAGTGGCAATTTTCCAATTCCAAATCTTCTTTTTTTTTTTTTTGAGACACAGTCTCACTCTGTCACCCAGGCTGGAGTGCAGTGGCGTCATCTCGGCTCACTATACCCTCCGTCTCCTGGGTTCAAATGATTCTCCTGCTTCAGCCTCACAAGTGGCTGGGATTACAAGCGCATGATACCACGATCCCGGCTAATTTTTGGGTTTATAGTAGAGACAGGGAGTCGCCATGAAGGCTGGTCTTGAACTCCTGACCTCAAGCGATCCACCCCAGTCGGCCTCCCAGAATGCTGGGATTACAGGCGTCACCAAATCCTTCTCCGTACTCAATGTTTCAAATGCTTCCAATTAACACCCATGTTACATTTTGAAAAAAGGTTACACATAAATATGTAAAGGTATTTCCTGTATTTTACATGTTTATATACATACACACACGTGCACACACATATCAACATGGTATCTACATCTTCATGTCACATTTACTTGTATGTATGGAATCACACTAAACTGGCCAGAAAAGAGTGCTATTTGGGGAATATCAAGTTTTACTTAAAATAATCTACGCTTTTGAATTTTTTTAATAAACATACGAAGCATTTTTAATTTTTTAAAGGTTTCCCAAGATAAGAATCATAATTAAGCATTCCTTAAAAAGGCATCTGAAATTCCAGTCTAAAATAATGGGAAACCATGCGTGTAGCATTGACAGACAGCATTATCTTAAGTTACTAAGAATTCTCCCCATTCCACACCCTCTCTCTATCCTTCAACCCTCAAAAAACATTGTGAAGAAAATTTTTCAGTGATCTCCTTACCATATTACCCACCACTACCACCAACTGCCCCCAACTCAGACTCACATGGCTTTAGTGTTCCCAGGGCTTAGGTTCCTTTTTTTGTATTTGTTTGTTTTTTGAGTAGGAGTCTTGCTCTGTAGCCCAGGCTGGAGAGCAGTAGCGTGATCTTGGCTCACTGCAACCTCTGCCTCCTGGGTTCAAGCAATCCGCGGCTCACTGCAACCTCAGCCTCCCGAGTAGCTGGGATTACAGGTGCACGCCACCACACCCGGCTTATTTTTGTATTTTTAGTAGAGAAGGGGCTTCACCATGTTGGCCAGGCTGGTCTTGAACTCCTGACCTCAAGTGATCTGCCCACCTCAGCCTCCAAAAGTGCTGGGATTACAGGCAAGAGCCACCATGCTCAGCTTTAGGTTCCTTTTTAAGTACTGAGGCATTCATTAAAACATAGACATGCACATATATGTCATATTTAATTCTGAGGCACAGTCTGAGTATCCCTTATCCAAAATGCTTAGGAACAGAAGTGTTTTAGATTTCAGATTTTGAAATATTTAATATTTGCCTTAGATACTTACTAGCTGAGCATCCCTAATTCAAAAATCTGGAATCCAAAATGCTCCAGTGAGCATTTCCTTTGACTGTTATGGTGCTCAAAAAGTTTCAGATTTAGAGCACCTCATTTTCAGATTAGGGATATTCAACCTTTATCATAAAATAAAGACAGGCGTAGTGGCTCACGCCTATGATCCCAATACTTTGGGAGGCTGCAACGGGCAGATCACTTGAGGTTAGGAGTTTGAGACCAGCCTAGCCAATGTGGTGTAACCCCTTCTCTACTAAAATCACACACAAAAAATTAGCCAGGTGTGGTGGCAGGTGCCTGTAATCCTAGGTTCTCAAGAGGCTGAGGCAGCAGTATCACTTGAACCTGGGAGGCAGAAGTTGCAGTGAGGTCAAGATCACACCAGTGAACTCCAGTGTACTCCAGCCTGGGCAACAGAGCAAGACTCCGCTTCAAGAAAGAAAAAAAAGAAAAAGAAAAAGAAAATAGTTTATAATCTTCAAATACAGAATATTTTTTAAAAATAAGGGACAAAGGATCAATTATTCAAATTATGGAAATCTGAGAACTTCCTACCCTGAGTCAATATTGATTTAAGTCATTCAAGTGATTTGATATCTGTAGTCACTGTACTAATAGTAGATACCTGAAGAATGACTCAGGAAAAACTGAGCTGGCAAAAGCCCCTTGACATTTATATTTTATAGTATACATAGTTTCCTCTTAACAGGAATAAGATACTTACAAAGCTTTAAGGTGGTAGATTTTGTCCCCCATCTCACTCTTTTTATTTTTTATTTTTTTTTTGAGACAGAGTCTCACTACACTGGACCGCAGTGGCGTGATCTCAGCTCACTGCAACGTCCACTTCCTGGGCTCAAGCAATCCTCCCATCTCAGCCTCCCAAGTGGCTGGGACTACAGGTGGGTGCCGCCACACTTGGCTAATTTTTTACAATTTTTGTAGCAATGAGGTCTCACTATACTGCCCAGGCTGGGTCTTGAACTCCTGAGCTCAAGTAATCCTCCTGCCTCAGCCTCCCAAAGTGGTGGGATTACAGGCATGAACCACTGTGCCCAGCCTTTGTCGCCCTATTTTAATGATTAGTTATAAACTATAGACATTAACCGTTCTGAGTCCTCAAAATACTGGTAAGAACATCTCAAATTTAAAACGCAGGAACCACTCCTGATCCAAATCAACACAAATTTCTAGTTAGACAATTCAATTCTTTTTTTACTACAGAAGAACATATTTATTTATTCATCCATCCATCCATCTATCCATCCATCCATTTTTTTAACAGATAGGGGTCTTGATATGTTGCCTGGGCTGAAATGCAGTGCCTATTCACAGGCACGATCCCACTACTGATCAGCACAGGAGTTCTGACCTGCTCTGGTTCTGGTCTGGGCCGGTTCACCCCTCCTTATGCAGCCTGGACCATACTGATGCCAAACTTAGTGTGGATACCAGATCGGCTTAGTACACTACAGCCCAGAATGCCCAGACTCAAGCAATCCTTGAGGCAAGTGCCACCAAGACCAGGCACAAGAGCATTTAATTAGCAAGCATATATCAACCATTTCAACTTATGTATAAAACATTTACAATTTATAAAATATGCATTTGTTACCAACAAAATTTACTGAACACAGGAAATGGCAAGTATCTCTAAATCAAACTATTTGTTTTCAGTTACCTTATTTGTCAAATGTTTCCACATAAAGTCTAGAAAAGCCATATTAACTGGACAGATGTTAAACATGATGTATAACTGTACCAACCAAATGTAACAAGTGAACCAATGAAATGCTCCAAATGAACTACCAATGCTCTATGAAACAGTGATGTTAGCCATGTGACAGTGGATGAAACATCACAAATCAACCCACAATAAACAAATAAAACTCCCCAAATAAATAAAAATTGCACGATCTTAAAAGAGCAAAACTGACTTCAAGTCATTTATACTATTTAAAGGTAAAAATGTCCGTGATGTACTTTGAAGCCATTATCCACTTGTGTCAGTAATATATTTTTTCTAATTTTTCTAAGACAACAGGATAAAAATGATCAAGGTAGGAAAAACAGCTATGGCAACTAGCTTGTTTCTAACTGTTTTTAAATCATCTTTCAACAGACAATTTGTAAACAATAATATTCACTGTATGGGCATATTTCTGCAAACTCCTTTCTAAATGTTAAGAACATACTCAATTTCTAACATCAGTCACATAAAGGAAAAGCTAAACAATATATCTGGAATATGATTCTTGTCACAGGATTTCCTTTAAGTATACAGAACCGAAAATTTCATGTGCTAAAATAATTGCTTCCACTTAGAGTCCAGTAATTATTTACATTTTATTTAAGTATCTAGTCAAAAAGTCCAATTTTCATAGTACAGAGTGGAGAGACAGCCAAAAGTCACTACCCAGAGGAAGGCTGGGAAAAAGAATCCCCATTTGGCCCCTGACACTCCATCCTCCAAATGCCCTGAGAAAAGTTATCACTCAACAAGTAGATCTAGTGACTCAAATCAGAATCTCCTGCTTAAGTGCATTTACTAAAAAGATATTTTCTAAACAGGATTTGTGATCAAAACACAAGCAATTAACATAACACTTACAGTTAGCTTACCGATAAAAATAAACCCAGAATCAGTAGCAGAGACAAAGAAAATTATGATGTTGCCTGCTCAGCCTTTCACAGGCAATTAGCCATTAGACATGGCCATGTGGTCTCTGTTCAAATCATGCAAACCATACTATTCTCAGTAGTAGCAATTGTGTTAAAATAACGATCTAACTGGCAGGGATGCACGGTCTCCAAAGGATTTAAGACAAATGTGGAAATACAACAAGGGCCAAATATTAAGGCATGTTACTTAACTTCTCCAGATCTTAGTAACCTCATGTGAATTTAAGAGGATATTAAATAAGTGATTTACTAAATATAGGGAACTCAGACATCATCATCCAACCTCTTTCATGCCCAATGCTTACTAATCTATTTATTTATAAATGTATTTACCATGTGTTTCTTAAACCTATTATTTATCAAAAGCAGATGAAACACAGTAATACATCACAATGTACTACAAAATACCTAGGGCCTAGATTTGTTGTCCTCTTCTTTACAGTAATAAACAGTATAAAAGATTTTTAGGACAGCCAAAAACTTGCAAAGAACTAAAGAATTCATTCCAGTGGGGTCTGAGTTGGAACAAGAGGACATACAATTATTAAAATCAACATGACAAGTATTATATTTTTTGTCATGGTCACCACAGAAACAAGTTTCCTTATTCATCTTAAGAATAACCTGTTACCTTCTCAAATGAAGACTCTTTACAGTCTCTTCTGAATTATGAAAGAAGCCACATATTAATTCTATACCTAAAATAAACTGTTAGACTTTTTGAGAGGACATTATTTTGGACTAGCCTCCTGCACTACACCCCAGCAGACCAGTTCAAATTAAAATGGAGTCACTCATGCAAAGTAAAGCAGGTAAATCCCCAAACAAACCAGTTTCTCCTGAAAACAGGAGATTCACAGCAACCAATCAGAAAGAGCGTGGCCTATCTGAATCAGCACAATAAGTCCCTACTGCTTTGACACTTACTAGAAAAGTAAAATGCAATAACCCAATGTTAACAAATTCACTTTTTGAACAATTGTCACTTCCTTGTTCCCACCTTATAAAAACCAACTGTTCTGTCTTGCCCGGTGGAATATTCATTCTATTTTAAAGAATGAAGTGTTGCTCGGTTCTAGAATCACAAATAGAAGCCAATCAAATCATGTTTAAATGTGTTGTGATTTTGTCTTTTGACAATACTATACTTTTTATTTTTTTTTTTGGTGAGATGAGATTTACTCTTGTTGCATAGGCTGGAGTGCAATGGCACCATCTCGGCTCACTGCATCCTCCACCTCCCAGGTTCAAGCGATTCTCCTGCCTCAGCCTCCCAAGTAGCTGGGATTACAGGCATGTGACACCTCACCCGGCTAATTTTGTATTTTTAGTAGAGACGGGGTTTCACCATGTTGCCCAGGCTGATCTCGAACTCCTGACCTCAGGTGATCCGCCCACCTCGGCCTCCCAAAGTGCTGGGATTACAGGCGTGAGCCACTGCACCCGGCCGACAATACTATACATTTTTATCTAGATTTTTGAAAACTTAACTGTTCTTTAATTTGCCAAATGAGGTATAATTTATATCCTATCAGTGTTTTCTGCTAATCACAGGACATTTGATAAACCACTGTGTAATACAAAATATAAATAAAATTAAAAACAAATTTAAAAAAATATAAAATTTGTGTCTTAAGAAGAAAAAACATAAGTCAATGGATAAGAGAAATCCTGTTTCCTGTGTTACTACTGTTTGTTGCTTCCTGTTACACCCCCCCAAAAAAATCTACTTTTAAAACTAACTTATGTTCATAGTATGAAATTTTAAAAATACAGAAAAGCTCAAGAAAATAAAAATTATCAGTAATACTAACATCTGGAGATAATCACTCTTTGTCAATCTTTAAATATTACATACCTGGCTTTTTCCTTTCAACATCAAAAGATTAGTTACTTTGCCAAATGGTAGACCTAATGATATGATCTCTGCTTCGGTGACATCACATGGAATTTTTCGAAGATGGAGAACACGGGAAGGCGAACAGGGAGGTCTATCTCGTTTAAATTTCTTGCTGTCATTCCCATTAGCTAAAAAACATAAGATTCTTTTTTAAATTACTGCAACTAATTTGGGTTGACATACTACATTAATCATATTGTCACATTTAATCCTAAATGAGTTTTGGGTTTTGAACTTCAGGGAAACGTGGGGCTGATGGGGGTAGGTGGAAAAGGAGAGTAGAAAACAAAACCAACTACCTTTTAATAAACAGGTGCTTTTGGTTTTTCACTGTGGGTATTAAATTTTTTAAAACTGAAGTCTGATTTTTAACTTCAAGGAAAAGTATAAGGGTAAATGAATTACATTATTTCAAATACCTCTAAATACTCAACTTTTTCTTATGACTAGAGAACACTATTTATGATGCCTTTAATGTATTTTAAGGACATTTTTCTAATTTAGTCTATTGCTAAATAAATAAAATTTCAGGAAAGACTATGATAAAAATCTGGTATTTATCACATCCTAAGGAGATATGGATTTGAATTGTATATTTATTAAAATAAAGTTTATTTCTTGGGTGCTAATAGTCTTTATTTTTTAGAAGCTAAACTGTGGTTTCCTATGATAATCTTATTCCTTATTATATAACAATAATTCTTAACATTAAGTACCACCTTGCTGAAAATGGAAATTTCCAACCCCACCCAGACCTACTGAAGCAGAAGCTCCAGGAGTGGAACCCAACGACCTGCTTTAACAAGCCCTCCAGGAGATTCTATTTACCCTGAAGTTGGAGAATTACTGCTGTAAAGTAAAAAAATTCATTATCTAAGCTAAATTTATTTAAATCCTATTGTTTCAATACTGAGAATAACTAGAATTGACAAGCCTGTAAGGAACACTTAAGTTTATGCAAGTAAGATTCAGAAAAGTTTTTCTTCCAGAAATAGAACCAAAAGACTAAATACAAATTACTTAAAAGCTAAAAGTTTCATTCAATGTTGTTTGATCACTAAATACCCTATTTGCCACTACTCGGAGAAAAACATAATCTTTCCAAATGCCTAAAAATATCATTTCTCTAAACACTAATGAAACTTTACAATCAAATGTCTGTAACCCTAAACAAATTTCATGAGGACCAAATAAAAACTAATATAGCTATATTTCGTATCCATCCATATCTGTGGCACAGAACTCAACTTGTTTACAACTAGATAGGTTGACTTAATACCCAAACTAGCACTTGCTCCCAAATTCTCTATGTTCATGAATGCAAGCAGCATCCTCCCCAGACCTAAATGACTAACAATACCTAGAGGCCCATACAGGTCTGCGTACCTTTATATAGCAAATGCCTATGTCAGATTATGGAAAATAATTGGCACACAAATGTTTATCGGATTAATTAATCTGGAAGGCAAGAGATTCCATCTCCTCCTCTCCCTTATCAATCACCAAGAAATACTAATTTTCCCTCCAAAATGACTACTGATTATATTCTTTCATTTCCACTCTCAAAGTCACCAACCTCACCCTGATCTTGCCCCCACTTCAGCTCTCCCTTACTCTAATTTCACTCTCCCTGCTTCCCATATTCTGGGGATCCAGTATCATATCAACGTTAACTAAAATAGTGTATCAGGCCCGGCACAGTGATTCACGCCTGTAATCCCAGCACTTTGGGAGGCTGAGGTGGGCTGATCACCTGCAGTCAGGAGTTCGAGACCAGCCTGGGCAACAGGGCAAAACCCCATCTCTACCAAAAAAAACCAAACAAACAAACAAACAAAAAAATTAGCAGGATGTGCTGGCGTATGCCTGTAATCCAGCTACTTGGGAGGCTGAGGCAAGAGAGTCACTTGAACCCAGGAGGAGGAGACTGCAGTGAGCCGAGATTGCACCACTTGCACTCCCTGTCTCAAATTTTGAGACTCTGTCTCAAAATAACGTAACATAACATAACATAACATAACATAACATAACATAACATAACATAACATAACATAACATAATATAACATAACATAACATAACATAACATAACATAATGTATATCATGTCATTATTCTGCTCCAAAAACCTAAACAGGCACCAAATACCTAAACAGGCACCAAATACCTAAAATGTCATTTCACTTCTAACTTTCAAACTGTTTTCACTTACACTGCCTCATTTGAGTCTCACAAATACCCAAACTAAAGTGTAAAGGTAATTTCTTTTTTTAAACCACAAAAATTTCAAAGTGTCTTACTACTCCTAGAAAAAGGTAAGTGACTTGACACTGACAATGTAAATTTACAAAGGCTTACATGGATTGAGAATAACAAATGATAACACTGTCACTAGAGTAAAACAACAAACATCAGAGTCCTGGACGGGGGCGAGAGTTGAACAGGGAATGTCTTTTTGGCACCCTCCCTGCAGGCATAGAGAGCTAAACAATACCACCACCAACGTGGCCTTGCTCAACCAGCATAAGGAGTTACAGGACTGGAGAAAAGGACTGGAGAAACTTTCTAAAGGCATGAAGCTCCTATCAGTTTACCCAGAATATTCCAACAAGAATGAAAGAACACTAAGAAAGCTGTTTCTTTAACAGAGGTATTCTATGTTTGAGAAAATGCGAATACCGAACAAGTTACCCAAGCTCCCATTCGTGCTGCACTATCAAATAAAGACCTAAGATGACAAACTTTTACCAAGAAATGTGCAATTATAAATCACCATTTTAGGGTGTTAATTGTTCCGTATTATAAAATACCTGGGCTATGTTAAGAGCGCAGAGCTATGAAATCAGATATCCTGTTCTGAGCAAGTTATTTAACGTTACTAAGCCTCAGATTCTACTCCTGTAAAACGGGTATAACAAGAATATTTTGAAATTTTAATTTGTTCTTTTCAATATATTTTAAATGCTCAGCACAACATCTAGTACACTGTAATCAATAATACGTCTAGCATTTCTTAAGAACAACTGTTTTGCTTGGAAATTATGTTCTATTTTTTCCCAATCAAAATGGTAATTGTAAATGACAGTGATTTTTTGCACTTGATGTCCTTATTTGCCATAATTAAGAATTTGCCCCAAATTAACTGAACATATTATTACTATATGAAATCTCAAAATCTAAGAACGACTCATTTAGGTGACTGGGAAAGGGTTATATGTAAAGATTTGATAAATAATCTGAAGATGAAGAATGTATACCATTACAAGCAATTGTATGGCCATGATTTAAAAGCCAATAGGAAACAAGGAAATTCAAATGTATTGGACACATAAATTTAAATAATTATTTTCTGTACAAAAGGACAGTTTTCAAAAATCTTAATACAAAAATAAGCATTCAAAATACTTTGCTTGTATAAATCGTGTTGTATTTTACTAAACTATACATTAAAAACTACAAAATGCCCACTACATATCAGTCACGCTTCCAAAGAGCTTTGTGGAAGAGGGTTTTTAAAAATTCATAATATTCCCACCTCAAAACTAGAAGAATCTGTCAGGAAAACTACTTGCGAAACATGGATTCATTTTTTAAAAATCAACTTTATGAGGGTTTACTTTAGATAGAATAAGACATCCACCCACATTTTAAATGCAGGGTTTGATGAGTTTTGACAAATACACTCCATATAACCACCACAAAAATCAAGACATCCCAAAAAGTTCCCTAGTATCCCTTTGCAGTTAGTCCTCCCTACCAAACCCCCAACCCCCACCCCAGGCAATCTGAACCCTACAGATTACTACAGCTTTATCACCATTCTTGAAATGAGGTACCTATTTGGGGAGAATTCACATCTTAACATTTTTTTGAGTCATCTAAACCATAAACATCATGACATTTCTGCATTTATTTAGATCTTTTTAAATTTCTCTCAGTAAAGTTCTGTAGTTTTCAGTGTAATGGTCTCACACATATTTTGACACCTTTATCCCTAAGTACTTCATAATTTTTAATGGATCAGTAACACTTTTAAATTTTTTGTCATAATTAATAATTGATAATATACAGAAATACAACTGACTTTGATATCTTGATCTTATATCCTACACCCTTGCTAAATTCTTTAGTATTTCTACATACACAGTTTTCTTACTCTCAAATTTATATGCCATTTATTTATTTATTTATTTATAGATGGAGTCTTGCTCTGTCACCCAGGCTGGAGTGCAGTGATGCAATCGGCTCACTGCAACCCCCGCCTCCCAGGATCAAGAAATTCTCCTGCCTCAGCCTCCCTAGCTGGGATTATAGGTGCACACCACCACGCCCAGCTAATTTTTGTATTTTTAGTAGACACGTGGTTTCACCAAGTTGGCCAGGCTGGTCTCGAACTCCTGACCTCAGGTAATGCGCCCACCTTGGCCTTCCTAAGTGCTGGGATTACAGGCATGAGCCACCGTGCCTGGGCTGCTGTTTATTTATTATTTTTTTTTTACAGCTTTACTGAACTAGCCAGGATTTTCTGTCTGCAAAATGTTGAATAGAATCAATAAGACTAGGCATCCTTGCCTCGTTCTTGATATTAGGGGAAAAGCATTATCTTACACTATTGAATATAATAATGCTAAGCTGTAGTTTCATACCTTTATCAGGTTGAAAATGTTCCCTTCTATTCCCAGTTGGCTAACAATTTGGTTTATCACAAAAGGAGTTGAATTCTTTCAAATGCCTTCTCCAGATCTCTTAAGGTGAGCAGATTTTACCTTGTATTCTGTCACACTGATTTTCAAATGTAAGCACTTTGTAGAAACCCTACTTGGTCATGACACATGTACCATGATTTTTTTCCTCACTCTTCATACGTGTGTGTCTGTGTGTGTATGTGTGTGTGTGTGTGTGCATATATATATATATAGTGATTTTTTTTTAGTTTAGAGATCACTAGTTTGTTATAAGAGAGATACAACATTTACATAATGAAATATTTCAGAACTTCATTATTTCAGAAATAATGAAAGAATTATTTCCATGATGAAAGATTTCAGTGGGATGGGCAGCTTCATATTGATGCCATTTCAATGACGATTTATTTCAGTCTATATACTTTCCAAGAATGTCTAAATAAGAAAAAATCCTTGTTGCTGGGCACAGTGGCAAGTACCTGTAGTCTCAGCTACTCAGGAGACTGAGATGGGAAGATCACTTGAGGAAGAGTTTGAGACCAGCCTGGGCAACATAGCAAGACCCCGTTCTCTAATGAAAATTATTAATGCATAATCTCTATCATTTAGAATTACTTTAGTCCTCCACATTTTGTGAGTACAACTTTATCTCCAACTTTCATGCTAACTGGCTGAATCTCTCCATTCTTTCCTTCAGAGCCCAATCCAACAGCTACCAACTATTGCTTACAATACTTTTCCTTGAGAATTTTCTGTAAGCATAATGCCTATGGTTTTCGTTCTACTCTTTTCAACCAATACTCAAACAGAAGAAATTTACTAAATGCTTGTCCTGCCATGACTTCCACCGCTGCAGCTTGTACTCTGCTCTCACACTGCTACCACAAGCAAAAACCCCTGATTTTAATTTAATATCTTGCTAAACATTTTTATGTCAATATTCATGAAGGATATTAATCTGTAGTTTTCTTTTCCTGCAGCAGCATAATACTGGCCTCATAAGAAAAAGTGGAAAGTGTTCCCACCTCCTTTATATTCTGTACAGTCTGTGTAGGATTGGTATTATTTATTCCTTATATGTCTGATAGACTTCATCAATAAAGCCATATGGGACTGTAGTTTTCAATAACTAATTTGATTTTTTAAACAGCTATATGACTATCTGAGTTTTCTATTGCTTTTGTATCAGTTTGGGAATTTGTGTCTTTCAAAGAATTTGTGCACTTCATCTGAAGTGTCAAATTTATTAGCTTAAAATTTCATAATATTCACTGAATCTACTTAGTCAGTTAAGGCTACCACACAAAATACTACAGATTGGGTGGCTTAAACAAGAAAAATTTATGGAGGTTAAAAGCCCAAGATCAAGCATTTCTGGTGAGGGGTCTTCCTGTCTTACAAACAGCTGCCTATTTGCTGGCTGACTTTTCAGTGTCCTCACACAGCAAGGAGAGAGGACATGCAAGCAAGCTCTCTAGTGTCTCTTAAGTAGTCTAATCCAATCCCCTCATGAGGGCACCACCCACCTTCATCATGTAATCTAAACATTATTTCCCAAAGGTCCCAGCTCTAAATACCATCACATAGCGAGTTAGGGCTTCAACATACCAATTCTGGGAGGATACAAACATTAAGTCAATAATAATACCCTTTTAATGACTGTAGAATCATTCTTGATACTGGCAATTTGTGTCTTTCCTTTTTTTTGAGTCTACTTAGAGGTATTATTACTAATTTTATTTACCACATAAACAACTACTGGTTTCATTAATTTTTCTCTAGTTTTTTCTGTCACTGACTTTTGCTTTCATCTTTAATATTTCCTCTTTTCTATCTACTTGTAGGGTTTAACATGTTCTTTTTATTCTAGTTATAACTGGAAGCCTAGATGATTCACTTTAGACATTTTTTCTTTTCTAATATAAACATTTAAAACTACATATTTCCTTCTAAGAACAACTCTAGTGGAACCCCACAAATTTCATTAAGTTACGGTTTCATTTTATTTCTGTTCAAAGTAGCTTCGAATATCCCTTGTGACAACTTCTTTGATCAATGGGTTAAGTTTATTTTTATTTTTTTTTTTACTATTTGGGAAATTTTTCCTCCAGATATTTGAAGATCTTGTTTTGATTTCTAATAGAATTCTAATGAAGTCAGATAATTTTTATGATTTTAATCACTGTTTAAAGGACTAAACTTATTTTAGGACCCGGATACAGCCTGCCTATCTTGGTGATATGGTTTGGCTGTGTCCCCACCCAAATCTCATCTAGAATTGTAATCCCATAGTCCTGATGTGTCGAGGGAGGGACCTGGTGGGAGGTGACTGGATCATGGGGGTGGTTTCCCCCATGCTGTTCTTGTGATAGTGAGGGAGTTCTCGCAAGATCTGATGGTTGTATAAGTGTTTGAGAGTTTCTCATTCACACTCACTCTAACCTGCCACCATGTGAGACTTGCCTGCTTCCCCTTCTGCCATGATTGTAAATTTCCTGAGGCCTCGCCTGCCATGTGAAACTATGAGTCAATTAAACCTCTTTTCTTTATAAATTATCCAGTCTCAGCAGCTCTTTATAGCAGTGTGAGAACAGACTAATACAGTAAATTGGTACTGGTAGAGTGGGATACTGCTATAAAGATACCTGAAAATGTGGAAGTGACTTTGGAACTGGGTAATGGGCAGAGGTTGGAACAGTTTGGAGGGCTCAGAAGACAGGAAGATGTGGGAAACTTTGGAACTTCCTAGAGACTTGTTGAATACTTTTGACCAAAATGCTGATAGTGGTATGGACAATGAAGTCCAGGCTGAGGTAGTCTCAGATAGAGATAAGGAACTCACTGGGAACTGGAACCAAGGACACTCTTGCAATGCTTTAGCAAAGAGACTGGCAGCATTTTGCCCCATGCTAGAGATCTGTGGAACTCTGAACTCAGATGATTTAGGGTATCTGGCAGAAGAAATTTCTAAATAGCAAAGTGTTCAATAGGTGATAGAGCATAAAGGTTTGGAAAATTCACAGCCTGACCATGTGGTAGAAAAGAAAAATCCATTTTCTGGGGAGAAATTCAAGCTGGCTGCAGAAATATGCATAAGTAACCAGTAGTCAAATGTTAATTGCCAAGACGATATGGAAAATGTCTCCAGGGCATGTCAGAGATCCTCACAGCATCCCCTCCCATCACAGACCTGGAGGCCTAAGAGAAAACAACGGTTTCACGGGCTGGCCTGGGCCCTGCTGCTCTGTGCAGCCTTGGAACTTGGTGCCCTGCATCCCAGCTGCTCTAGCTCCAGGAGTGGCTAAAAGGGGCCAAGGTACAGCTCACTGGTTGCTTCAGAGGGTGCAAGCCCTAAGCCTTGATAGCTTCCATGTGGTGTTGGGTCTGCAGGTGAGCAGAAGACAAGAGTTGAATTTGGGGAACCTCCACCTACATTTCAGAGGATGTATGGAAATACCTGGATGTCCAGGCAGAATTCTGCTGCAGGGGTGGAGCCCTCATAGAGAAGCTCTACTAGGGCAGTGCAGAAGGGAAATGTGGGGTTGGAGCCCGTACATATAGTCCCTGCTGAGGCACTGCACCTAGTGGAGCTGTGAGAAGAGCGCCACTGTCCTCCAGATCTCAGAATGGTAGATCCATTGACAGCTTGCACCATGCGCCTGGAAAAGCCACAGGTACTCAACACCAGCTGCTGGCATTCAACACAGCCACAGGGGCTGAACCCTGCAAAGCCACCGGGGCGGAGATGCCCAAAGCCTTGGAAGCTCACTCTTTGCAAAAGCATGCCCTAGATGTGAGATGTGGAGTCAAAGGAGATTATTTTGGAGCCTTAAGATTTAATGACTGGCTAGACATGGTGGCTCACACCTATAATCTCAGCACTTGGGGAAGCCGAGGCAGGCAGATCACTTGAGGCTGGGAGTTCGAGACCAGCCTGGCCAACATGACAAAACCCCAAGTCTGCTAATAGCACAAAAATCAGCCAAGCATGGTGATGTGCACCTGTAGTCCCAACTACTCAGGAGGCTGAGGTGGGAGAATCACTTGAACCTAGGAGGCGTAGGCTGCAGTTTGCCAAGATCGTGCCACTGCATTCCAGCCTGGGCAACAGAGCAAGAATCCGTCTCAAAAAACAAAACAGAAAACAAAAAACAAAACAACAACAACAAAAACAAGATTTAATGACTGCCCCACTGGATTTTGAACCTGCTTAGGAGCCTATGGCCCTTGCGTTTTGATCACTTTCTCCCATTTGGAATGGGAGCATTCATCCAATGCCTGTACCCCCGTTGTATCTTCGAAGTAACTAACTTGCTTTTGATTTTATAGGCTCATAGGCAGAAGGGACTTGCCTTGTCTCAGATTAGACTTTGGACTTGGGACTTTTGGGTTATGTTGGAATGAATTAAGACTTTGGGGGATTGTTGGGAGGCATGATTGGTTTTGAAATGGAAAAAGGATGTGAAATTTGGGAGGGGCCGGGGCAGAATAATATGGTTTCACTCTGTGTTTCCACCAAATCTCATCTGGAATTGTAATCATCATGATTCCCATGTGTTGAGGGGGAGACCTGGTGGGAGATGGATGGATTATGGGGGTGGTTCCCCCCATGCTCTTCTTGTGATAGGAAGCAAGTTCTCACAACATGATGGTTATGTAAGCGATTGGCAGTTCCTCCTTCACACTCACTCTCTCTCGCCTGCTGCCATGTAATAAGACTTTGCCTGCTTCCCCTTCTGCCATGATTGTAAGTTTCCTGAGGCCTCCCCAGCCACATGAACTGTGACACAATTAAACCTCTTTTCTTTATAATTATCCAGGCAGTTCTTTACAGCAGTGTGAGAAAGGACTAATACAATTGGTGACTACTTTATATAAACTTGAAAATAAAGTGTATTATTCTGGTGTTGGGAAAACTGTTCTATACTGTCAATTAGATCAAGCTGGTTAAAAATTTCTATATTAGGGATCTACCAACTTTTTCTTAAAGGGGCACAAAAATATTTCAGACGTTGTGGGTCACAGGATCTCTGTCAGAACTACTCAACTGTGCAGTTACGGCATGAAAGCAGCTATAAACAAATAATATAACTGTGTTCAAATACAATTTTATGTATAGACACAGAAATTTGAATTTCATGAAAGTTTCGTGTGCCATTTAATCTTATCCTTTAGTATTTTTCACGATTTTAAATTTTAAAAACCACTCTTAGCTCATGGGAAATTTGAAAGTGGGCAATGGGATGGATTTGGCCCACAGGTAAGAACTTGCCAACCCCTGTTCTATACCTTTACTGATTTTCTGTCTACTATACCATCAATGACTGACAGCAGAGTGCTATCTCTAAATATACTTGAAGATTTATCTATTTCTGTTTTGTTCTATTAGTTTTCACTTTACGTGTTTTGAAACTAGGTAATTAGATTAAACAGATCTATATTTAGATTATGTCTACTCAATAAATTGACCTCTTTATCATTATGAAATGTCTCTCTTTATCCCTGGTAATATTCTTTTGCCCAAAGTCAACTTTTCCTGATATTAGTACAGCTAACTACTCCAGCATTTTTATGATTAGTGTTTGCATATATTTTCTTTCCCAACCTTTGGCTTTTTACCTGAGATTTCATATTTAAAATGGGTTTCTTATACACATCAAGTAACTCAGTCTTCCTTTTATCTAAACAATCTTTTAATTGAATTTTTTATTGCATTCCCACTTCATATAATTATTAACGTGGTTGGGTTTAAAAGCCCACCATCTTGTCATTTTTTTTCTATTTGTCCCATTTATTTTTTATTCCTTTTTTCCCTTGTTTCCCGGCTTCCTTTGGATTTTATTTTTTGGTATTCTATTTCATTTACATTATATGCTATCCCTTTTTACTTTTTTTTAAGTGACTCCTGTGGAGTAGACAATATACATCTTTAATTTATCACAGAGTACCTTCAAATAATATTAAAACACCTCAGTACACTGTAAGAACCTTCCAAAGTATACGTCTCTTTCCCTCAAGCTATCCTTTGTGGTACTGTTGTATATTTTGCTTTTCTCATATGTCATAACCGCCAAAAATGTATTATCTTACTTTAAGCAGTCAATAATCCTTTAAATTAACAAAAAAAGGAGGGAAAAGTCACATATTCACATATTTATCATGCTGTATAAAACTCAAGTTTCTAACTGGTATCATTTTCCTCATGTTTAAAGTATTTCCTTTACCATTTCATGAAATGGAAGTCTGCTGCTAACAAATGCTCTCAGCTCTTGTGTGCCTGAAAGAAGATTTTAACTTCATTTTTAAATTCCATATAGAATTCCAGTTTGATTTTTTTTTCCAGCACTCTAATGATGCTTCATTGTCTTCTGGCTTGCACTGTATCAAGTAAGAAATCTCTCTCCTCATTCTAATCTTTATTCTTTTGAAGGAAAAGTGGTCCCCCCTCATCCGTCTCCACCAATCCCCACCCCTGCCCAGCTCTGGCTACTTTTAAGATTTACTCTGCATTCCTGGTTTTCAGCAATTTAATTATGATAAGCCTGGGTGTGGTTTCCGTTGTGTTTATCCTGCTTAAGTTTCACTGAACTTCTTGATAAGTGGGTTTATGTTTTCCACATATATGAAGATTTAGGATAATTTCTTGAGATGTATTTCTGCTCCCTGCCCCAACCATTTTTTTCAGCAACTTCAGTTATACATATGTGTGTTTAGACTGCTTGATTTTGTCCAGAAGTTACTAAGGCTCTGTTCACTTCTTTTTCAGTTTTTTGTTTTTTTTTTTTTTTTGAGACAGAGTCTTGCTTTTTTGCCCAGGCTGGAGTGAAGTGGTACGATCTCGGCTCACTGCAACCTCCGCCCCCGGGGGTTCAAGCAATTCTCCTACCTCAGCCTCCCAAGCAGCTGAGATTACCGGTGCACACCACCACGCCCGGCTAATTTTTGTATTTTTAGTAGAGAAGGGGTTTCACCATGTTGGTCAGGCTGGTCTCAAACTCCTGACCTCAGGTGATCCACCCGCCTCGGCCTCCCAAAGTGCTAGGATTACAGGGGTGAGCCACCACGCCCAGCCTTCAGTTTTTTCTGTCTGTGTGCTTCAGTTTCTTTTGCTATCTTCAAATTCACTGATGTTTTCTTTTGTAGAATACAATGTGCTATGAATGCCATCATGTATTTTTTTCAGGTGTCTTATTTTTAATCTCTGTAAGTTCTATTTGATTTTTTCTCCTTCCTATGCTCATATTTTCCTTTAAATACTTGAACATACTTTTAGTAACTGTTTCAAAGTGCACAGCTGATAATTCCATCATCTCTGTAATTTTCTAGGTTTGTTTCTGTTGATTAATTTTTCACTTGTTTATGGGTCACATTTTTTTGGTTCTTAACATGTCTGGCAATTGGATGCTCCACATTAGGAGCACCAGAATTTGTTATTCTGTTGTTTTGTTATATTTGTTATTTTTCTTTTAAAGTGTTAGACTTCATTTTTAGAAAAACATAAGTTACTTTCAGATTAGCTACACTGTTTTGGAGTTTGTTTTTAAGTTTCATTAGGGTAGATTTGGATTTGCCTTCATGCTGGAGCTAGTTCAGTCCATGTCTCCTCTGGTGTCAGGTGCCCTTGAGTGTGCTTCAAGTATTCAACAAGGACTCTCTGTTGTAGTTGGCTATCACTCAAATATCTCTCCCAGGCCTGTGTGAGTCCTGGAAAGTTAAGCTTATAGCTCTCTGGTTGTTCTTTGCCTGACCTCACAGGCATATGTACTGTGCATATGTGGCTTAATAATATTCAAACAACAGATTCAAAGGTATTATTTCTGAAGCACTTTTTCTACACAGGCCCTTCTCTTTCATACTCTGCTCCCATACCTCCCAGGTAACTCAACCTTCCCAAACTTCAATCTGTTTCTTCAACTCAGCAATTGTGCCATGTCTGCTTGGTTCCCCCAACCCCCACAGTCTAGAAAGAAAACTAGGGTGACAATAGCATTACCTCAATTGTTTCCCTTCTGAGAGCACAATCCTGTTGTACTTGTTCTCCACTGTCTAAAAACAACTACCAGTAAGTCCAGTCCCAGTTACTCTATCATGGTTGAAAGCAGAAATCTACAGATCTTTCACAAATTAGAAAAATTAAATCACAAAATGTATATGGATTAGCATTAAGACTGCAGGTGAGTTTTCTTTAAACTTACTAATTCTTAGAGCAGCTTTAAGCTATTGCTTAATAATTTGATGGATTTAAGAGTTATTTATCAAGTACGGAGCTTAGTGTTTACAATTCTTCATATGGTTTTATTTAAAGCAACCCGCATTTCTTGCTATGAAAAGCCAAGTACGCAAATTAACTGATCAGAGAAACTAGTGTTTATTATTAAATCATAGCCTTCAATACCAGTGGCAGAGAATGCAAATTTGTTTTCCAACGTTTGTTTTCTACGTAAACCCACCTATTTTTAGCTAAGCACGTGCCTATCAGAAAAAAGGACTACATTCTTAGCTTCCTAAGTAGCTAGGTGTGGCTGTGAGACTAAGTAAACAGGATGTAAACAAAAATGATACGCGCTGCTTTTCCCTTAAGTGTCTTTATAAGGAGGGGGTATGTTCTTTTCTTTTCTCTTTTTCTCTTCTTTTTGTACGAGCTCCAATAACCTCCAGGATCATTTGCTAAATCTGAAAATAGACACCATATACCTTAGAGCACTGACTACTTCAGAATTTGTTGAACGTGATGAAAATAAATTTCTGTCTTCTACATTGCTTATATCATCTTTGCAGCCAAATTTAATACTGAGTTCTTTAAAAAGAGGCCATTTAAGTTTTATTTGATAAAAGGAATTTCAAGAAGACAAAAAAAAAACCTAGCTATTTGCAAACCAAACAAGCACATTAACAGTTTATAAGTATTTTGGTCAACAGAAGTACCAGGGGGCCAGGCGCCGTGGCTCACACCTATAATCCCAACACTTTGGGAGGCCAAGGCAGGAGAATTGCTTGAGCCCAGAAGTTTGAGGCCATCCTGGGGAACACAGGGAGACCCAGACTCTACAAAAAAATTTAAAAATTAGCTGGATGTGGTGGCATGTGCCCATGGTCCCAGCTACTTGAGAGGCTGGGGTGGGAGGATCTCTTGAGCCTGGGAGGTCGAGGCTGTAGTGAGCTGTGATTACGTGATTATGTGATTACATCTACACACATATAATACTTATTTTGTGTGTGTGTATATATACATATATATAAAAATACAAATTATTCAGTTTGTTAGCAGTGGCATCCTGCTTAGGAATATTATTAACCCATATCATTTTTATTTGTAAATCAATTAGATTTCTTTAACATTCAGCTTCATAAGACATCAATAATTATACATACAATGGTTTCAAAAGAAAAGACTTCTTAAGCTGAGAAAGAAATGTTAACATTAATCAATTTGCAGACAATTGAAGAACATTTCTAATAAGATGCAAAAAATGGTAGCCATTAAGGGAAAAACATGAAGTATTCTACATGAAAAAGAACAATTTCTGTTTAACAAAAGCCATCAAGTATAAATTTGTAAATTATAGTGTCAGAGGGTATCTGCATACACGTATAACAAAGTATTCATATTCAGAATATATAAAAAACAAGTTAAAGAGAAAAAGCAAACAACCCAATAGAAGAATAGGCAAAAGATCTCAGTAGCCACTTCATTAAAAATATCCAAATGATCAGTAAGCATATGAAAATATAATCGATTTCATTAATATTTATGCAAACAAAAGTCACAATAAGCTATCAATATATGCTTACCAGAACAACTAAAATTAAAAATACACAATATCGGCCAGGCATGGTGGCTCACACCTGTATTACCAGCACTTTGGGAAGCTAAGGTGGGATTACTTGAGGTCAAGAGTTCGAGACCAGCCTGGCCAACATGGTAAAACCCTGTCTCTAATAAAAATATAAAAATTAGCCATGTGTAGTGGCACGTGCCTGTAATCCCAGCTACTCAGGAGCCTGAGGCACATGAATCGCTTGAACCCAGGAGGCGGAGGTTGCAGTGAGCCGAGACCACGCCACTGCATTCCAGCCTGGGTGACAAAGTCAGACTCTGTCTTTAAAAAAAAAAAAAAAATATATATATATATATATATACACACACACACACACACACACACACACACAATCAAGTGTTGGCAAAGTTCTGGAATAACTAAACTGACATATTTCTGGTAAGAGTATAAAATCACTTTTGAAAATTAGTAGACTCTACTAAAGATAAGCACCTGCATATCCTAGGACCCAATAATTCCACTTCTAGACACATACCAAGTAAAATGCACACATGTGTCCACAAAAAGATTTGTCAAGAATATCCATAAATGTGGCCGGGCACAGTGGCTCACACCTATAATCCCAGCACCTTGGGAGGCCAAGGTGAGCGGATCACCTGAGGTCAGGAGTTTGAGACCAGCCTGGCCAACAAGGTGAAACCCCACTTCTACTAAAAATACAAAAATTAGCTGGGCATGGTGGCGGGCGCCTGTAGTCCCAGCTACTTGGGAGGCTGAGGCAGGATAATCACTTCAACCTGGGAGGCGGAGGTTGCAGTGAGCCAAGATTGTGCCATTGCACTCCAGACTGGGCAACAAGAGCACAATTCTGTCTCTGTCTCCAAAAAAAAAAGAAAACACATCCATGTTCATGGATTGGAAGACTTGAAATTGTTTAAATGTCCATAATATTCAAAGTGATCTACAGGATCAATGCAATCCTTATCAAAATCCCAATGGCATTTTTGCAGGAAAAAAAAAAAAAATCCTGACATTCATATAGAACACAAAGGATCCCAAATCGCCAAAGCAATCTTGAGAAAAACAAAGCCGAAGGCCTCACATTTCCTAACTTCTACACATTACAAAGCTATAGTAATTCAAACAGTATGTTACTGACATAAAGACAAACATATAGACCAATGGAACAGATTAGAGAACCCAGAAATAAACTCTCACTTACACGTTCAAATGATCTTCAACAAAGATGCCAAGGCTACACGATAGGAAAAGAACAGTTTCTTCAACATATGGTGCTGGTAAAATGTATATCCACATTTATAAAGAATGAAATTGGACTCTTACTTTACACCACATGAAAAAAAATTAACTCAAAATGAATTAAAGGCCTAGACATAAGACCTGAAACTATAAAAGACCTATAAGAGACAAAGGGGGAAAGCTTCATGACAGTGGATTTGGCAGATTTCTTGGATATAACACCAAATGCACAAGCAACAAAAGAAAATATGAACAAATGGGGCTAATATCAAACTCAAAACCCTCTGCACAGCAACGGAAATAACAGAGTAAAAAGACAATGAAAGAAATGGGAGAAAGAAATCATAAACTACATACGTGATGGGGGTTAATAATCAGAATACATAAAGAGCTACTACAACTCAACAACAAAAACAATCCAATCAAAAAATGGGCAAATTGAAGTCTGGGGACAGTGCTTATTAGAGAGAAAATTTTAAAATTAGTAAAACAAAACAAAAAATAGGTAAAGGACTTGAATAGACATTTCTCTGAAGAAGATATACGAATAGCCAACAAGCACAAGAAAAGATATTCAGCATTACTAATCATCAGGGAAATACAAATCAAAACCACATATCACCTCACATCTGTTAGGATGGCCATTATTTGAAAAAATTTAAAACCCAAAAAATAAGTATTCACAAGGATGTGGAAAAACTGAAACCCCTGTGTACCACTGGTGGGAATAATGGTGCAGCCACTATGAAACACAGTATGATGGTTCCTCAAAATAATAAAAAACAGAATTACCACATGATCCAGCAATCTCACTTCTGGTATATACCAAAGAATTAAAAACAGGATCTCAAAGAGATATCTGCACACCATGTTCACTGCAGCGTTACTCACAATAGCACAATAGCTAAGAGGTGGAAGCAACCTAAATGCCCATGGACAGATGAATGGATAAATAAAATGTGGTATATACCTACAATTATTCACCCTACAAAAAAGGGAAACCCTTCCATTTGCTGCAACATAAATGAACCTTGAGGACACTATGCTAAGTGAAATAAGCCAGTCACAAAAAGAAAAATGTTGCATGATTCCACTTATATGAGGTATCTAAAATAGCCAAACTCTTGGAAACAGAAAGCAGAATGGGCTAGAAGAGAAAAGGAAGAGTTGTTGCTAAATGGACAGAGTTTCAGTTTTGTTAAGATGAAAAACTTCTAGCGATCTGTTGTACAACAATGTTCCTATAGTTAACATTACTACACTGTATACTCAAAAATGTACAAGATGGTAAATTTTGTATTTTTGACCAAAATGAGAGATAGAGGGCACACAAGCAAACACGGTGAAACACACAAAAAGGGAATATTCATAGCAACACTACATATAAAATGGAAATAATTCAAATATCCACTGATACAATAAAATACTATATAGAAATGAGAAGAACGAAAGGGATTGGGGCAATACACAACACAAGTTACTCTCACAAACATAATGTTGAATGAAAGAACCCAGACAGGAAGGACGATATACTATATTTATTGGCTTATTCATATAAAGTTTAAAAACACAAAAAACTAACTTATGATGTTAGAAGTCAAGCTAATGAATACACTTGGAAGGAGGAAATGAATGAAAAAGGAAAGAAGGATTCCTGTGAGTATTAGCAATGGCCTGTTTCTTGCTCTGGATGCTGATTATATGGTATATGTATGTCATAATGTTATGGTAACAGTAATACTAACCAATTAGAGTACAAAAAGAAAGCAATGAAGAAATATTTTATTAATATAGCTGTGAAAATTATAAACATACACAAAATACAGTACATATGTGGTTGAATGCATATGTGATTGAGTGTCCCCTTCAATATCTCTATTCTCCTTCCCTTGTAAAGTAATAGAACTCCCTCAATTATGATTAGACAGGACACACCAGAATAAAGACCAATTTCCTAGACCCTTCACCCTCGCCCCCTTGAAGCTGGTGTGTCAATGTGACGAAGTTCTAGCTAACAGAATGAGAAAAAAGTGCAACTTCTCAGTCTTGTCCCTACAATGGACTCAGCCTCCACTTCTCAACTCTCACCCTTAGTGTGTAAGTCTCATCATTATGGCCCAAGATGGAGGAAAAAGTTCAGCTTCAACTGTCCTTGTTACCCTTCCTGTGGGTATGATGGAAAGAGAGTACTATTTTCTATCTTGAGAAGGTAGTCGTGTTGAGGATAAAAGAACAACAAAAGAGAAAAAGTCTGGTCCCCAACACAATTCAAGAAACTAAGTAAGCCCCTGACTACTTACCCAGACTTCAGAAGAACTTAGAAATAAACTTAAATCTGTATTTTTAGGTCTGTATTACGGTTCTATTAGCCATCTAACCTATAACTGAATATAGCATATCAAAATACCCCACGACCAAGTTGGTTTATTCCAGGCATGCAATAATGGGTCAACATCAGGAAATTGTATTTCACTACATCAAAAAATTAATGGAGACCAAATCTCACAATTAACAGAAGCACAAAAGATGATGGTAACATTTATAGCCATTGATAATAAAAACTAAGTAAAATAGAAAAGGAAGGAACCGATTAAAGTATGATGAAGGATTATTATCAAAACCTGGCAAGGTACAGTGGCTCATGCCTGTAATCCCAGCACTTTAGGAGGCCAAGGAAGGAGGATTGATTGATTGAGCCCAGGAGTTTGAGACCAGCCTATGGACAACATAGTAAGGCCCCATCTCTACAGAAAATAAAAAATTAGCTGGGTGTGGTGGCACATGCCTGTAGTCCCAGCTACTTGAGAGGCTGAGGTGAGAGGACTGCCTGAACCCAGGAGGTTGAGGCTGCAGTGAGCCGTGTTTGTGCCACTGGACTCCAGGCTAGAAAACAGACCAAGACCCTGTTTCAAAAACA
Organism: Homo sapiens; assembly: GCF_000001405.40. Taxonomy (NCBI): domain Eukaryota; kingdom Metazoa; phylum Chordata; class Mammalia; order Primates; family Hominidae; genus Homo; species Homo sapiens. The sequence goes on from NC_000009.12 coordinate 112,294,525, forward strand.
AAACAAAACAAAAAATCCCAACAGCAAACATTATATTAAAAGATTAAATAATAAAGCCACCTCCATTGCAATTAAGAACAAGACAAAGATAATCACAAATTACCACTGTTATTCAACTCATTTATGGAGGTTCCAGTGAATACATAACAAGTTAACAAAACAATCCATATATTTATATACTCGAAATTATCTTTATTTGAAGACACATCATTGAATAATTCCAAAATTCAAAAGACTAATAAAAAATTACTAAGACATTTTAGTTAAAGTAAGTATACATAAAATAAATATTCAAAAATCAATAGGTCTTCTCTGTACTAGCAGTATCCAGCTAAAAATGAAAACAGGAAAAAAAAATTCCCATTCAATAATAGCAAAAATACTAAATTAAGTTTAGCTGTATATAACAATATTTGAAGTAATAGTTACTTAAGAAGTTAATCTCAGGCTCACGCCTGTAATCCCAGCACTCTGGGAGGCCAATGCAGGTGGATCACTCGAGGTCAGGAGTTCGAGCCCAACCTGGCCAACATGGTGAAACCCTGTCTCTACTAAAAATACAAAAATTAGCCCGGCACGGTGGCAGGCGCCTATAATCCCAGGTACTCAGAGGCCGAGGCAGGAGAATCTCTTGAACCCAGGAGGCGGTGGTTACAGTAAGCAGAGACTGCGCCACTGCACTCCAGCCTGGGCGAGACAGAGCAATACTCAGTCTCAAAAGAAAAAAAAAAAAAAAAGAAGTTAATCTCTTGCTCACATGAAAAGTCTAAATGTAGGAATTCCAGATCTGGAATGGTGACAATGTTATCAGGCTCTAGCTGTCTCTGTTACAGATGCCTGTCATTCCCATCATTATCTAAGAAGCTGGAACACCCACAGGCAATAAGATTGGAGGAAAAAAAAAAAAGGAAAAACAGTGTACCCATGTAGAGATGCCCTAAAAGTTTCATATTACACTTCCACTTATACCTTGTCAAGACTTAATTACATGACCACATCTAGCTATAATGAAGAACAGAAGAGTAGCAGTTTCATCTGGGTAGCAATGTGTCAGATAAAAATTGAGGTTCTGTTGGTAAAAAAAAAAAAAAAAAAAAAAGAATAGCATTGGGGTACACAATAAACAATCTCTGCCATTAATTCCTAAGATACATTTTAAAAGAAAACTATGTGATTTATATGGAAAAGTGTGGAACTTTTTCAAAATTGTCAAAGGACATAAAATAGAACCTAAAAACATGGAATCATAGGTCATAATCCCAAATGGAAAGATAATACCAAAAAATGATCAACATTTCACATTAACATATAACTCTAACATAATTCTTATCAGAATCCCTAAGATATTGTAGGTAAAGGTTCGGGGAAGAAGGATTCTTTGTTTTAGAACTAGATCAAGCTTGTCCAACATGCAGCCTGTGCACAGCATGCAGCCCAGGACAGCTTTGAATGCGGCCCAAAACAAATTCGTAAACTTTCTTAAAACGTTGTGAGACTGTTTTGCAATGGTTTTTTAGCTCATCAGCTATCATTAATGTTAGCGTATTTTATGTGTGGCCCAAGAGAATTCTTCCAATGTGGGTCAGGGAAGCTAAAAGATTGGACGCCCCTGAATTCGATGAAATAATTTAAAGCTGACATGGAAAAAGACATGCCCACATTAAGCTAAGAGAATTTTTTAAAACAACACCTAAACAGAATTTTAGTGTTAGGTGACAGAATCAGATGTTAACTTTTTAATAACAACACCTAAATAGAATGACTGTTAAGTCCTAGTTTGCCTGAGGCTGTCACAATTTCGTACCATTGTTCTAGTATCCTGTATGCTTTAACGCTTTCATTTTTAAAAAGAATTATTATTAATAGTTACATTAAAATAAGCTAGAATGAGCTTGGTAGATCCAGTTCTTTTCATTCTGTCTCTATACTTGTTCACTTTCCCGAACATCTATGTTCCCATGGTCCCAAACACCATATAAGCTCCTGGTCTGGAAAAGGAGGTCCATTCATCCCCACCTCCCTACAACTCCAAAAACATCTGGATAAAGAAACCCTCCCTTCTCTGAAACTCTCCATGTCCATGGCTTCAGTTGTCAACTGTGTATGATACTATCAAATTTCTTTCATGATGTTGAGACCAGGGACCCACTGCCTATCTGTCATTTCCATTTGGATGTTCCAAAGGAAACTCAAACTCAATATATACAAATCTGAACCTGTGTCGTCCAACTCTGTTCTTCCTACATTCGAATAGAAATGAATGGCACAACCATTCATTACCATTCATCTACCCAATTATCTAAGTCCAAGTTCAAAACCTGGAAATCAATGGTGATATCCCTTATTCAAACATTCAATTAATCATCAATTACTATCAATTTTATCTTCTATAAGTTATTCAATTTTCTTCATCACACTACCACTGCCACAGTGCCAGTTACCATCCTTTATTAGGATTACAGCAATAATCCAAATAAAGGATAATAATAATAATAATAAATCCTCTTCACTGCTCACTCTCTTTCCAGTACTGCACTCCTTCAATTCACTTTACGGCCACTAAATTTCAAGAACATTTATTTTAAAATCACGTGGTACCTTATGGTACGTAAATTACTTCAATTTTTAAAACGTATCGTCTTATACTTTAATACTTCTATTCAAGTCCATCATCACTCAAGTTTTGTTTTTTGTTTTTGAGATGGAGTCTCGCTCTGTCCCCCAGGCTGAAGTGCAATGGCACGTTTCGGCTCCCTGCCACCTCCGCTTCCCAGGTTCAAGCAATTCTCCCTGCCTCAGCCTCCCAAGTAGCTGGGATTACAGGTTCCCGCCATCACACCCAGCTAATTTTTGTATTTTTAGTAGAGACGGGGTTTCGCCATGTTGGCCAGGCTGGTCTTGAACTCCTGACCTCAGGTGATCAGCCAGCCTCGGCCTCCCAAAGTGCTGGGGATTACAGGCATGAGCCACCACACCTGACTTCAACCCAAGTTTTAGATCTAGCTCTTTTACTCAATAGTTCTGGGTCACCAATTTATTGACAGTATTTTTATCAAAATTATGTAACACAAAGAACATCAATCAAAAAACTGAATCATCAAATTAGATCCAAATGAATCCTTAAAATTTGAGAGGTATAACTAGTGATTTCACCTATGTAAACAGTATATAGTACTTTACCGAAACAAATTTTAGCTTTTGTTATGAACAGTGGCACTTCAACATGATATAAGCAAAATAAGAGCATTGTAAAAAAACAATTTGAAACCCACAGAAATCAAATATTAAAAAAAAAAAAAAAACTCACCATACACACCTGTAGAAGGAGTAGAACTATTCATGGTAAAAGGTCCGTTAATGATGCCAGAAGAAAGAAGCTCATCAGATCCCCGCTGAAAAGCAAAACCAATGTTTGGTTAATAAACCAAGTTTTAGATAATGGTCCATATTTACTAAAAGTATTAAAAGCTAATAATATTACTTCATCTTTGTATGAAGACATTAAAGGGGGAACTCCTCAAGAATCACAAAATCAAATGAACTGCATAGCAAGAAAAAATTACTGCAAATCCACAACTATATAAACACAACTGCCACCACAGAAATGGGGACATAATCTTTAAATTCTTTCTAACCAAACGCAGGTTTCCAAAACATAACATCTGAAAGTGCCAAACCATATTTAGGGGGTTGCATTATGACATTGTTTTTGTAGCATATATTTGTATGCAAATAGTTTGTACAGTCCTCCCTAAGAATCCTGACTTTTCAATACCAACGTATTTTTTTAAGTAGAAAATATACTTCATTTCCATACTGGCCAAATTCTTTATAATCAATAACTTTTTATCCATTAATCCTCCAAATGATCTTTAATGCAGACTATTTCTTAAACAATTGTTTAAGTAATTTACTCTTTTTTTCAGGTAAGAGTTTTGATCAACTTCCAAATCTGAACTGGCAACACTAAAAAGTAACTCAGAGAAGTCTTTTCATTGTAATGTAAGATCTACCACCAACATTTAAAAGATTACTTTCAGGAAGGACAATAAATACTATGTACAAAGTTAAAACCAACCTATTTTAAATAGTACTATTGGTTTACCTTGGCCAATTTTTAAGAACAAGTGTTTTGATACACTGGATAATAAAAATTAATCCCCAAACAATCCTACAAATATTAGAACAGCAATAGTGCTACAGCACATATTTAATGTTTAAGTGTAGGTGCCACTTCTGTAGGGAACAACTTTAGCCTTTGCTGAAGAAAGACAAACCACCAATATATCTATATAATAGAAATACAATTATTTAAACAAGTCCTGTATTTAAACATCCAGAAATTACTCCCTTTGGATCTTTCACTGGAAGTTTATAGAGACATCTGGGAATAAGAAGAAGGAATTAAGTAAGCAGGATAAAAGAAAACTGAAAATCTCAACTCCCAGAAAAATCAAGATTAAGGCCTCACTTAAAGCACAGGTCTTCCTAATAAAATCTGAGATGTAGATATTATCAGGCTACATATGATAATTAACAGACTGTGGTTTGCTGGCTACCTGCAGATAAAGACACATTTTCACAGCTTTAAATGTATTAATAGTAAAAATTAAAACATACACAACATGATTTTTATATATGAGGAATTTGGTTAAATGCATTACTAACAGATATATCTTCCACACATATGAGTTAGCATCAGTATGTTTCTACCTATAAATCAAGTTAATATAAAGTTAGAAACCACTTGAAGGTGGTCACTTTAGCTCTTTCGAGATTTGCAGAAATGTATTTTTTCAAGAATAACAAAAAGCACAAGTATAAAGCAAAAATACTGATAACCTAGATAACATTAAAATTAACAATTTTATTTAACAAAAGACATCATTAGGAGAATAAACAGACAAGTCATGGAATAAGAAGATATCTGCGATATGTAAAACCAACAAAGGGTTTATATCCAGCACGTACTAAGAAAAAGAAAAAAGGAAAAACAAAACACTAGAAATCAGTAAGAAAAACCCAAGATAACAGAAAAATGACAAGAGACTTTAACAGCCATCTCACAAAGTGGTGGACTATGTCACTGTTCCAGAGTATTTGTACCCTCTCCTTTTCCTGAACAAGAATTATTCATCCCCATCCATGGCCATGTGACTTGCAATGCCTCCAGTGGGAAGAGTATAACTCCCTCCCCCCATTGACAACACAGTTTTGTAATATCCTTTGGCAAATGGAACATGAATGGACATGACCTATACTTAATCCAAACAGTAACTTCAAAAATCAGTCATTTCTGCCAGTTTTTTCTCTTTCCCTCTGAAATAAGAGCATATCTCAAATAGGAGGTACTCTTTCAGCCTGATTCTCAGAATAACAAGTGTAGCTCCATAACAGCTACCACCATTGTAAGTGAACAAGAAATAAATGTTTTTTTAAACAATTTATAAATGACTAATACCATATCCAATCAAACTAAAGATATTTGACCGCATCCTCATTGGTCATCAGGGAAATGCAAGTTAAAACCACAATGAAATACTGTAAAATTAAAAAGATGGACAATATCATGTTAGTAATAATGTGGGGTGACAAAAACTCTTATATGGGAGTTAAGTATAATTTAGTGAGAGTGTAAATTGGTACCACTTGGAAAACTGTCTGATCCAATCTATTAAAGTCAAATATATGAATATCCTAGGATCCTTACATAGTCTACTCCGATGCATAAACCCCAAGATATTGCCTGCTTGTGTGCACCTAGACATATAAGATTGTCTTCAGCAGCATTATTTGTACTCGTCAAACTGGAAACAACTAAATGCCATCAACTGCAGAATAACTGAGTAAATGTTTGTAAATGCATGCAATGACTATACAACAATGAGAATGAACTACGGCTCCACATAACACAGATAAATCTCACAAACCTAAAACGTCAGTCACGGCCGGGCGTGGTGGCTCACGCCTGTAATCCCAGCACTTTGGGAGGGCTTGGCGGGCGGATCACAAGGTCAGGAGATCAAGACCATCCTGGCTAACATGGTGAAACCCCGTCTCTACTAAAAATACAAAAAATCAGCCTGGCGTGGTGGCGGGCGCCTGTAGTCCCAGCTCCTCAGGAGGCTGAGGCAGGAGAATGGCGTGAACCCGGGAGGCAGAGATTGCAGTGAGCCGAGATCACGCCACTGCACTCCAGCCTGGGCGACAAAGCGAGACTCCGTCTCAAAGAAAAAAAAAAAGTCACAAAGAATACACGCTATATTGTTGCATTTATATGGGGTACAAAAACCCGGGCACAGTGGCTCACACCTGTATTCCCAGCACTTGGGAGGCCAAGGAGGGAGGATCACTTGAGGTCAAGAGTTCAAGACCAACGTGGGCAACATAGGGAGACCCCATCTCTAAGTAAATAAAAATAAAAACAAAAAAAATGGATTATCAAAACCAAAAGCACGAATGGCAATAAATAAATAAATAAATAAACTGAACTTTGTCAAATATAAAAACTTTTGTGTTTCAAAGAACACCATCAAGAGAATAAAAAGACAACATGGAGAATGGAAGAAAGTATTTACAAGTCACACATCTCACAAGAAACTGGTACCTAGAACACCTAAGAACCCTTAAGATCAACAATAAAAAAAGACAACCCATTGGATTTGAAAAGGTATTTCTCCAAAGAAGGCCAGTAAGTACATGAAAAGATGCTCAACCTAATTAGTCATTAAGGAAATGCAAATCAAAAGCCACTTCAAGGAAAAATTAAGACCATGATACTACCACTTAACTATCAGAACACCTAAAATAAAAAGTTACAATATCAAATGCAGACCAGGATGTGGAAAAAATAGATCTCTCATACATTGCTGGTAGCAATGTAAAATGGTACAGACACTCTGGAAAGTAGTTTGGTGTTTTCTGAAAAAAAGAAAAAAAAAAACAAACAAAAAAACTAAACATACACTTAGCAACCTCAAAAGATAATATGCTCTATGATTTCACCTACAGTATTCTCAAAATGACAAAAATTATAGAGATGGAAAACAGATTAGTGGTTGCCAGGAGATAGAGATGGTTGGGTGGAGGTGGTAGGTGATTATAAATGGTACCATAAGGAGATCTTTGTGGTGATGGATTAGTTCTATATCTTGACTGTGATGGTAGTTATGTGAATCTACATATGCAATAAGATCAAACAGAACTATATACAGGCACTGTCCCAATACCAATGCTTCTGTTTTGATGGTGTACTATAATTATATAAGATGTAACCACTGGAGGAAACTTAGTGAGGGGCACACAGGACCTTTCTGTACTATCTTTATAACTTGCCATGCATCTCTAATTGTTTGAAAAGTTTAATAAAATTAAAATTAAAAAATAAAATATAGGACAACAGGTACTTCATTCTCAGCCAAAGGATTCCTACTGGCTTGAGAGTCCTGCTGTCTTCACTAACAGTCATCACTAACACCTGTGTTCAACCCTGCCACAGCCCGCTGTTACAGATCATCCTCAACACTGTGCTTCTGTACAACAGTGGTCCAGAAGGCATCCCTTCAAAGATAAGCAGAACAAAAAGAAAAGAAAGGAACATTACAAAACGCAGATAACATATACCAGAAACTACACAAATTTCAATTGACAGCAAATAGCTTTTTGTAAAATGAAAAAAAACATTGACCTAATACCCTCTCTACAACAAAACTATAAAGGGATACAACAGCTCAAGGGAAAGGCAAATAAGAAATCTACCAAAAGAGTTAAAGGAAAAATTGACGAGAAAAAAGAATACGGCAGTATCTTGAAAGTCAAACATTTGAGAAGTCAAAAGCGCAAACACCTTTCTACCATCCAAACAAGTTACCTGCTGTGAGGAACCAACTCTTTTCATATTTTTGACATAAAAAAACTGGAAAGAAGAAATGTACAGGAAAGCACTTTATCTTAGAGACACTTGAGATTACCAGAAAGGCACCTAGACGAGGTGTTAAACTGTTAACACAGGCCCCAGACAAGGGCTAAGAATCCCAAAAGCTGACTATATTCTTCATCTTTTTTTTTTTTTTTTTTTTTTTGGAGACAAGGTCTTGCTCTGTCACCCAGGCTGGAGTACAGTGACACGATCTTAGCTCACTGCAACCTCCGCCTCCCAGGTTCCAATGATTCTCGTGTCTCAGCCTCCTGAGCAGCTGGGATTACAGGTGTCCGCCCACAACACCCAGCTAATTTTTGCATTTTTGGTAGAGACAGGGTTTCACCCTGTTGGTCAGGCTGGTCTCGAACTCCTGACCTCAAGTGATCTGCCCACCTCTGCCTCCTAAAGTTCTGGGATTACAGGCGTGAGCCACCACGCCCAGCCTGACTATATTCTTCTTAATGCACACATGCCATTTCAGTTTCAATTTGGGGAGAAAAGTAAGTTACTCATGTTTTTTTTCTATTTTTTTCTCATTCGATAAACTGTTACCTACTTTCCTACCAAATAAATTTCCAATCAACCATTAATGTGAAATTATTCCACTGGTTACTGAATCAAGTCTAAATGTCCTGTGATGGCAATGAAACAATCTTTCTAATCTGGATCTCTTGCTCACAGTAACACTCCCCTGTCATGTAATTTTCTCCAAATAAATCATACTTATTCTGCATCTTTTTATGATATTATCCTGCTTCAAGCACTATCCCTTTGCTACATACCCAATCCTATCTACTAGTCACAGATAAAATGGCACCACATCCTTGAGAATTTTTCTATCCCAAGTGAAAAGGTTCAACTTAATTTTTATCATCTTTCAACATTAAAATGTGTATGGTTCCAGAATGTTAGTTCATTAACATGATATATTCTTCCTGTATGTATAATTATCAATAACATAATTTTGTCAAATATGTACACAAAGTTAGTTCTCAGATACCTTGAGGTCTCTTATTTGTGCCTTATACTAGATTATATTCTTCCAGAGCCTATAGCAGAGTATCAGGTGCAAGATTAACAGCCCTCTGCCTTGGCTAATCAATACAATCGCATGGGCAGCTTGAAAATAAATACTACAGGCTGGGCGCGGTGGCTCACGCCTGTAATCCCAGCACTTTGGGAGGCTGAGGCGGGCAGATCATGAGGTCAGGAGTTCAGGACCAGCCTGACCAATATGGTGAAACCCCGTCTCTACTAAAATTACAAAAATTAGCCAGGTGTGGTGGTGTGCAACTCTAGCCCCAGCTACTCGGAAGGCTGAGGCAGGAGAATCACTTGAACCTGGGAGGCAGAGGTTGCAGTGAGCCAAGATCACACCACTATATTCCAGCCTGGGCGACAGAGTGAGACTCCGTCTCAATCAATCAATCAATACTACAGGCTGGGCACAGTGGCTCACACCTGTAATCCCAGCACTTTGGGAGGCCAAGGCAGGCGGATCACTTGAGGTCGGGAGTTCAAGACCAGCCTGGCCAACACAGTGAAACCCTGTCTCTGCTAAGAATACAAAAATTAGCCAGGTATGGTGGTGCATGCCTGTAATCTCAGCTACTCGGGAGGCTGAGGCACGAGAATCACTTGAACCCAGGAGGCAGAGGTTGCAGTGAGCCGAGATTACACCACTGCACTCCAGCCTGGGCAACAGAGTCAGACTCTGTCTTAGGAGGAAAAAAAAAATGTATCCATTTTTAGTACCAGAGTCCAATTGTACAGAATTGTATGGGACATTTATTAAAGTCTCATTTATGGTTAACCTTTCAGAAAAAGAATAAAGCATGTATCTGCCTATGCATTTGAATTTTTCCTGTGAACACTGTGATGAGATTTGTTTAGAGAAAAAAAAGGAAAAATTTTCACTGTAATCACCTTATTTAAGCATCTTTACCTACTTATCCAGTTATCTCAGAATAAATCTATAAATGTGAAATGGCTGGATCATATTTCATTTTGATAAATCATTCATCTTAATATGAATTTTACAAAGTTATAATATGAATCTATGCTCCGCTCTATTATCCTTTTAACTGATAAGCTTTCTCCATGTTGTTAGTCTGTCATTATTCATTTATTTATTTTTGTGAGACAGAGTCTCGTTCTGTCACTCCGGCTGGACTGCAGTGGGATGATCATAGCTCACTGTAGCCTCAACCTTCCAGGTCAAGCAATCCTCACACCTTGGCCTCCCATGTAGCTAGGACTAGAGGCATGCATCACTTTGCCTGGCTGATTTTTTAATTTTTGTAGACAGAAAAATTTTTTTTATTATACTTTACTCTACTGATTGATCGCTTATTTTTTATTTTTTTGTAGACTCTTGCTATTTTGCCCAGGCTGCATCACAATTATTTTTAGTAGATTATTAAAATTCTATAACAACATCCTTAACTATTCCCCTATTTTAAATTATAGTGTTTTGTCTTTAATATAGCATTTTTTCAGGATAAATATTCAGAAGTGAAACAGACAACTTTTCTTTTTTGAGGAAAAGATAAAACTACAAGAAATCTCAAATTCCTATAGCAAAATGTAGGGTAACTTCGAGTTACTACTGCACTACAGGTGATGACTAAGAAGCATTTTTATTTTTACAGGAGTTTTTCAAATACTGTTAAAATTAGCAAATGACTGCCTTATTTTAATATGGCCCACAGTTTGTGTAGTAAAAAACTTACCTTGTCCAAAGAAAGGTGTGGCTTTTGCCCTTTCCTTCCTAGAGGTAATCTCTAAGTCCTTGAAATATCATGCCTGAAAGGACTTTTTTTTTTTTTTTTTCTGCCTAGTGGCCTTGGGTCACCAGACAGTCATAGGGTAAGGAATAGCCATGCCAGAAAGATCGACAATGTGATTTAGGGTAGGAGCTTTGGGTCACACCTGAAGGGGCTGGAAACTAGACTGAAATCAGCCTCATGAACAATAAATTATTTATGCCTATATAATAGAGTTCCAACAAAAACTGTAAACGCCAAGGCTCCAGTGAGTTTCCCTGGTTGATAATACTCCTTGCCTACTGCCACACACTGATGCTGGGGAAGTAATGTGTCCACTCGACAACAGTACTTCCCAGGACCCTGCCTTAGGCATTTCTTCCCTAGGCTTGATTTTAATCTGCGTCCTTTTCCTCTAGCAAACCATGCTGTGAGTATAAGAGCTTTCAGCCGGGCACGGTGGCTCACGCCTGTAATCTCAGCACTTTGGGAGGCCGAGGGGGGCGGATAATGAGGTCAGGAGATAGAGACCACCCTGGCTGACACGGTGTAACCCCGTCTCTACCAAAAATACAAAAAATGAGCCGGGCGTGGTGACGGACGCCTGTAGTTCCAGCTACTCGGAAGGCTGAGGCAGGAGAATGGCATGATCCCAGGAGGCGGAGCTTGCAGTGAGCCGAGACCGCGCCACTGCACTCCAGCCTGGGCGACAGAGCGAGACTCTGTCTCAAAAAATAAAAATAAAAATAAAAATAAATAAAAAGCTTTCAGTGACTTCTGTGAGTCTTTCTAGCAAATTATTGAACCTGTGGGTAGCTTCGGGAATCCCCTACACTTGCAATTGGTGTCAGATGTAAGGGCAGTCTTGCATGGACCTTGTCTCATAACATCACAGTTGGCCTAATTCTTCACATGGTTAAATAAATATAACAAAATTATTAATTTGCTTAATATTTTTTAAACTTTTTTTTTGAGACAAGGTCTCACTCTGTCGCCCAGGCTGAAGTGCAGTGGCATGATCACAGCTCACTGCAGCCTCAACCTCCTAGGCTCAAGCGATCCTTCCACCTCAGCCTCCTGAGTAGCAGGGACCACAGATGCACACCACCATGCCCAGCTAATTTTTGTATTATTTTGTAGAGATGGGGTTTCACCATGTTGCCCAAGCTGGTCTCCTGGGCTCAAGCTATTTGCCCGCTTCGACCTTCCAAAGTGCTGCGATTAGAGGCCTAAACCACTGTGCCTGGGCAAAAAAAAAAAACACTATTCTTAACCTCTGAATTACCATTGGACTTCCATCTGTAAAGAAAAACAGTAGTCTGAAAATATGATCAAATATTCAAGTACAGAAAAACCAGAAAATTAATTTAAATTTGTATATATATATATATATATTTTTGTTTGTTTGTTTGTTTGTTTGTTTTGAGACAGAGTCTTGCTCTGTCACCCAGGATGCAGTGCAGTGGCGCTACTGGGTTCACTGCAACCTCTGCTTCCTGGGTTCAAGCGATTCTCCTGCCTCAGCCTCCCAAGTAGCTGGGATTACAGGCACACACCACCATGCCCGGCTAATTTTTGTATTTTTAGTAGAGACAGGGTTTTGCCATGTTGGTCAGGCTGGTCTCAAACTCCTGACCTCAGGTGATCCACCCACCTTGGCCTCCCAAAGTGCTGGCCAAATTTGTAGTTAAATGAATGCAACATCTTAACTGTCACATTCAAAATATAAACTCTATTTATAAGGACATGGTGAAAGTTGCAAAGTCTTCAAAATAAACAATTACATTTGATAATTCTACTTCAATTCTATTTCAATGATATTAGGAAGAGCTTTTTGAAAAGAATAAAACATGCCTAAAATAACACATAAGTAAAGGGGACCCTAGTATCAACTGAAGTGTTGGAATTGCTATTTTTATTGTCTTATTACACATCAAGAACAATTAAAATATAAGATATTTGCCAGGCGCGGTGGCTCACGCCTGTAATCCCAGCACTTTGGGAGGCCAAGGTGGGGGGATCACTTGAGCTCAGGAGTTCGAGACCAGCCTGGGCAACAGAATGAGATCCCATCTCTACCAAAAACACAAAAAATTAGCCGGGCATGGTACCACACACCTGTAGTCCCAGCTACTTTGGGGGCTGAGGTGGGAGGATTGATTGAGCCAGGAGGTCGAGGTTCTGTGAGCTAAGATCATGCCACTGCACTCTGGCCTGGGTGACAAAGGGAGACCCTGTCCCAAAATAAAAAATAAAAAAGATAAATAAGATCATAAAGTTTCATTCCGGGAAATGTTTTATCATTCTTTATATAAAATAAACAAGACGTTTCTGAAGCAATTATGACACTTTTAAAAGCTGGTAACTTTCTCCCCCTAATAATTTCAGAACATGAAAAACAAAAGACAAAGAGAACAAAAGAAACTTACATTTGAAAATTAGTCATAAAAAATAATTCTGATAACCACAATTTTCTAGCCAAGTTTTTTCCCAAGAACTCACTTTCAAATTACAGAAAACAAAGGCTTTTTTGATATTATGAAGGCTAAATCCCAAGAGTCACACTACTTTGTAAAACATTGTAAAAGATGAGGAAAACAGAGTTATTAGTTCTGTATTATTACTTTAAACCAACCTTGTCCAACATGCAGCCCATGGGCCACATGCGGCACAGGATGGCTTTGAGTGCCGCCCAACGCAAATTCATAAACTTTCTTAAAACATTAAGATATTTTTGGTGTTTTGTTGTTGTTAGCTCATCAGCTATCGTTAGTGTTAGTGTATTTTATGTGTGGCATAAGACAATTCTTCTTCCAGTATGGCCCAGGGAAGCCCTGCTTTAAACATTCCCTTTTTTTGAGACAGGGTATTGCTCCATCACCCAGGATGGAGTACAGCGGCATAATCAGGGCTCAAGCCATCCTCCTGCCTTGGTCTCCTGTGTAGCTAGGACTAGAGGCATGCACCACCATGCCCAGCTAATTTTTTTTATTTTTTGTAGGGATGTGGTCTCACTTCGTTGTCCAGGCTGGTCTCAAACTCCTGGGCTCAAGTGATCCTCTGGCCTAGGATTCCCAAAGTGTTGGAATTACAGGCTTGAGCCACTGCACCTGGCCAATGTTAAACCTACTCCTTTTATTTAAAAAAAAAAAAAAAAAAAAAAAAAAAAAACTTTTCTTTCCTAGACATAAATTCTTTCTCCTGAAAACATATCACTGCATTTAATTACAGACTACTTCAATATAAAATGAAAAGGATTTCTCAAAATTATACTTAATATTTATATCCTAAGTGTCTCAAATGCAATTTTCCGTAAGGTTTGACTGCTATGATAACAGATTACGGTTTAAGGGAAGAATGGAAGACAATCAAGCAGAATGAAGACATTTTTAAAAGGAAGGAAAACTTGGACAAGTGAATGCAGACGACCAAAAGAATAAAAGACTGTACCACGGGTAAACAAATTAATGTATACAAAAGAAGGCCTTAACTAGCAAAATGTGAAGACATAGGGGAGTGGCGGGGCAGGTGCTGGCTGCAAACAACACTGTGTGTTTCTAAGGAGACTGTCCTTAGAAACACACAGCAAATTTACATAAGTCCAGCAGTTGCTCTGTGGACTTGTCAGCTCTCTGGCTAAGTCAGCACACAATCAGCTTTACTGGCTCAAGTATCAATTACTGAAGCTCTCGCCTGCTGATGCATAATTCACGGGGCTAACAAAGCAAAGAAATACTGTAATTAAACAGCACAAATAAGTGTTTCATCATCAAATTTGATAGGAATTGGTTTTATTTAGCATTAAAGACGTTGAAGTAACATGTACGGATGATTCTGAAAATAAACCATTAATTCATGGTTAAACTTCATGTATCTAAAATGCATATGAAATTCAAGAAAAGATATTTGTTTTAATCTATCAAGATACTACATGACTATACAAAAGAGGCTATCAAAAAACTACTTCATAATTTTCCAGAATCCTAGACCTTTTTTTTTTAAATTAATAGCATCTTAAATACTGAAATATCCAAGTCCTACCTTTTTCTAACAGATAGTCTAGTGACCCCGTGTGAACACTTCCCAGGACAGAAAACTCATACTGGTTCTGCTCTAAGTTTTTCCAAAAACAGAAATAAAAGTGATATTGATATGGAGTTTCACTATACCATATGCATGTATTGATTATGGTCTCCTGATTACTTACCTTTATATACTCCTCTACAGAACCTACTACAATGTTTCATATATAATCGATGTTCAAAACTTTTTTTCTTAAAAAATAAGTAACAGGCCGGGTGTGGTGGCTCACTCCTGTAATCCCAGCACTTTTGGGAGGCCAAGGCGGGCGGACTGCCTGAGGTCAGGAGTTTGAGACCAGTCTGGCCAACATGATGAAACCCCGTCTCTATTAAAAATACAAAAAAATTAGCTGGGCGTGGTGGTGGACGCCTGTAATCCCAGCTACTCGAGTAGCTGAGGCAGGGGAATTGCTTCAACCAGGGAGGTGGAGGCTGCAGTGAGCTGAGATTGTGCCACTGCATTCCAGCCTGGGCGACAGAGAGAGACTCCGTCTCAAAAAAAAAAAAAAAAATTGAGTAATAACTATAGAGATAAAGGAATAAACAATAGTCAATAGGGGGTCTGCATTCATTGCGTGGCACTACCTGAAACTCCAAGGGTTTTGTTTTGTTTTAGACATTTAGCCTTTTAACATTCACCTTTCCATAGCCTCCTGTAACTATAAACACATCTAAACCTAAAGACATTTGCTATTGGTAACTCTACTGACTGACCCATTTGAATGAGATCACATTCTCACATACACTGTGGCCCCATCAACACCTTTCATCTACTGAGTGTGATTATCCCTAAATATTCTCTAAAGAATAGTTACCAAATTGTTCATTTGTGACATTTTTATTCCAAGACTGCCACTGTTGAGATTCTAGGGCAGTGGGAACAAAAAAGAATAGTTAAAGGTAGAGGAAATTTTTTCAATGAGCAGCTGTGGCAATGTTTAAAAACTACTGTTTGGACACAGTTTCAATAAAATGATTCTGACTGCCTTCATTTTATATGGACATCTTAACAACAAAATATCAACACTTTTTTTGAAGACAGCATATTGAATATTTTCTTTAATGCCTGCAAGTAATTCCTCTAAAAAGCCTTCTAATTCATGATATCCAATCAAAAAGACATTCATTTGTATATTTATTCAGTTCTTACCATACAGGTATAGCCCATACATATTGAATTCAGTATGTATAAATGTGTTAGCAATAATATTCATTCATTCAACAAATTCGATAAATATTTACTGAGCCACCAGCTATGTGCCAGGCCTTTAACCACTGGGGAAGATTAGGGAACAAACGAAATCCCTGCCCTTACCTTAATGGAGCTTACAATCTTGCACAAAGAAACATAATAATCAAAGTAAGTAAATTATGTATTATGTCCTAAAGTCTTAAGTGCTTCTTAAAAAGTAGGAGAAAAAGCATCAGGAGTGCCAGAGGTGAAAAGAATTTCAATTTCAAATAGGACAGCAAGGTACGACTTAAGAGAAAAAGGCATTTAACCAAAGTCTTACAAGTAGTAAGGAGTAAGCATGTAGATATCTGAGGGAAGAATGTTGTAGGTAGAGGAAACAAAATGCCTTGCATGTTCTGGAAAAACAGTAAGGAGGCAATTATGGCTGAAAGAGAATGAGCAAGGGGAGAAGTAAAGAGATTAGAGAGAAGGTGTGTCATAGCATGCAGGGCCTTAACGGCCATTCTAAAGAACCTTACTCTGAGCGAAATGAGGGAAAGAGAGTTTTGAACAGGAGTGAAAAGATCAATTTGCTTTTTTAAAGGATCACTCTGGCTGCTGTGTTAAGAACAGTCTTTAACAAGACAAAGAGGGAAGGACTCTGGTTAGGAAGCTGTGATGATAATCCGGATTAAGGGCCAGGGCAGTTGCAGTTATGGTGGAAAATGTGTTTTTTTTTTTTTAATATACGATTGGCCCACCGTATCCATGGGTTCTGCATCTGTAGATTCAAACAATCACAGATTGAAAATATTTGGAAAAAAACTGCATCTGTATAAACATGTACAGACTTTTTTTGTCATTATTCCCTAAGCAATACAGCATAACAACTATTTACATAGCATTAAATCGTATTATAAATAACCTAGAGATGACTTAAAGTATTCAGAAGGAACTGAGTTAAGTTATATGGAAATACAGTTGACCCTGAACAACATGAGTGAGTTTGAACTGCCCGAGTCCAAATGAGGATCAAAAATACAGTATTCCCAGGATGCAAAACCCAGTTATATGAAGGTTGACTTTTTATACATGCAGGCAGACTTCACCTATACAGAGCCAACTGGAGAACTTGAGTATGCATGGATTTTGGCCCCCCCTAGATACTGAGGGACAACTGTACTCTGAAACAGATTTGCTAGCCAGGCACAGTGTATCAGGCCTGTAATCCCAGCAACTTGGGAGGATGAGGCAGGATAGCTTAAGGCCAGGAGTCTGAGACCAGCCTGGACAAGAGCTAAACCCTGTCTCTGAAAAAAAACGGTTTTTTAATTAGCCGGGTGTGGTGACTTATGCCTGTAGTCCCAGCTACATGGGAGGCTGAAGCAAGAGGATCATCAGAGCCCAGGACGTTGGAGGCTGCAGTGCTCTAGGATCGTGCCTGTGAGTAGCCACTGCACTTCAGCCTGGGCAACATAGTGAAATCCCACATCTTTATTTTAAAAAGAAAAAAAGAGTCAATGTAATGAAACAAAAAGACTGAGGACCTATTTCAGATTAATTTCCTGATTTTGTTAACTGTATCACAGTAATGAATGGGAAATTCTTTGTTTATAGGTAATACACTCAAATATTTAGGGGTTAAAGAATAAACTCTAGTCTCAAAGCATCTTCCAACAAATCATTGATTACGAAAAGAAAATTGGTAACTTTACAATGGAAAAGCCTGGCAGAAAATCACCTTAACCAAGTGATTAAGACATAAAAAAAAGTGGGGAAGCTAAGGCAGGAGGATCACTTAAGGCCACGAGTTCGAGACCAGGCTGGGCAACATAGTGAGACCCTGTATCTACAAAACAACAATAACAATAACAACAACAATTCACTGAGCGTGGTGGTGCATGCCTGTGGTCCCCAGCTGTTCAAGGACTGAGACAAGAGGATCACTTGAGCCCAGGAGATCAAGGCTGCTGTGATCTGTGTTCATACCACTGAATGAACGAGACCTTGTTTTTTTTTTTGTTTTTTTTTTTTAAAAAAAAAAAAAAGGACGTGTGTGTGTGCGTTTACATCTATAGAAAGACTATATATGGAAGGGGAAATGGTAAGACAATCGGGGAAATGATAAATGAAAAATGGTGCAAATATGAACTGGGTAAAGGATATACGAGTTCTTTGTACTCTTCTTATAATCTTTCTGTAACTTTATATTAAAATAAAATTTTAAAAAATAATAATAAATCAATGAAATTCACCACATTAGTACACTAAGAAAAAATAAACTGTTAAAAAGCAGGCCGGGCACAGTGGCTCATGCATGTAATCCCAGAACTTTGGGAGGCCAAGGTGGGCACATCACTTGAGTCCAGGAGTTGGAGACCAGCCCAGGCAACATGGCGAAACCCTGTTTCTACAAAATACACAAAAATTAGCCAGGTATGGTGGTGCATGCCTGTATTCCCAGCTATTCAGGAGGCTGAAGTGGGAAGACTGCTTGAGCTCAGGAGGTCAAGGCTGCAGTGAGCTGAAATTGTGCCACTGCACTCCAGACTGGGTGACAGCAAGACACTGTTTCAAAGAAAAAAAAAAGGAAAAGGAAAATCAAAGTACATATGTGGTATGTACACACTATGGTAAGCTATCAGATAAAGATAACATGATCATATAAGAAAGTCTTACCCATAGTAATTTACAACAAAAAAGTACTTGCACTTACATAATCTTACTCTGACATTAATAAGACTTTTTTCTTTTAAGAGACAGGGTCTCGCTCTGTCACCCGGGCTGGACTGCAGTGATGTAATCACAGCTCACAGTAACCTCCTCTCATGGGCTCGAATAATCCTCCTACCTCAACCTACCAAAGCACTGGGACTACAGGTGTGTGCCACTACACCCAGCCTAATAAGTTATTTTTATATTCATTTCTTCAATATTTATTCACCATTGTGAGCAGGCAGCTGTATTGTTTATCCATGCCTGGATAACTAATTACTCCAAAATTTAGCAGCTGGAAAAAACAAATATTTTGTAACTTAATTTGTGGAAGTCAGAAACCTGGACATGGCTTAGCTAGGTCCTCTGGAGAGTCTATCACAGACCGGAATCATCTCAAGGCTTAACAGAACACATGAAGGATCCACTTCCACACTTACTCAAGTGGTTGCTGGCAGGACTCAGTTTGTACATGGGCCTGTCCATAAGATAACTTACAACATGGCAGCTCACTTTTATCAGAGTGAGCAAAAAGAAAGCAAAGCCCAAGTCTTTTGGAAGCTAATCCTTTTAAGTAGATTTAAGTCCACCATCTCGCCATTTGTTGTCTTTGGCTCAACTGTTCTTTAACCTATCTTAAACATAGATAGATTAAAAGAAAAGGAAAAGGAATAGGAAAAAAATACAGTCAGCTCTCCATACCGATGAATTCATCCATGGATGAACCAACTGACGACGGAAAACATTTGGGAAAAAAAGTTCCACAAAGTTACAAAAAGCAAAAGTTGAATTTGCCATGTGCCAAATACTACCTTAAATGAATCCACGCAAATGAGGTTATGTGTAAGCACTGTATTAGGCATTCTAAGTAATCTAGAGGTGATTTAAAGTATACAGCAGGATGTGCTATAAGTTATATGCAAATACTGCTCTCTTTATATAAAAGACTTCAGCCTCTGCATCCACAAATTTTGGGGTCCTTGGGAAGTACTGGACCAATCTCCCAAGGACAAGAGGGACAAATGTATACCACACAAATACCAATCATAAGAAAGCTGGAATGGCTACATTAACATTAGACAAAGTACACTTCAAGATAGGAACTATTACTGAGATAAAAATGTATATTTCACAAGGAGACAAAAGGTCAACTCATCAAGATATAACACTCCTAAATGTGAATACATATAGTAACTGAGCTTCAAAACACGTAAAGCAAAAACTGACAGAACAGCTGGGTGCAGTAGCTCGTGCCTCTAATCCCAGCACTTTGAGAGGTCAAAGTGGGAGGTTCGCTTGAGCCCAGAAGTTTGAGATCGGCCTGCACAACAGAACAAGGACTCATCTCTACAAAAATTTAAAAATTAGCCAGAGACAGCGGTGTGTACCTTCAGTCCCAGCCACTCAGGAGGCGGAGGCGGGAGGATCCCTTAAGCCTAGAAGAGAGCCTGGGCTAGAGAGCGAGACCCTGTCTCAAACAAAACAAAACAAAACAAAAAAACAAAAAAGAAACACCTCACAGAACTACAAAAAGAAATACACAAATCTACAATTGCGGACAGAAATTTCAATATTTCTCTTCTCTTTAACAGAATAAAAAATCAGTAAAGATACAGAAAACCTGAATTTCAACCAGTCTGTCCCACTGACATTTTTTTTTTTTTTTTTGAGACGGACTCTTGCTCTGTCACCCAGGCTGGAGTGCAGTGGCGCGATCTCGGCTCACTGCAAGCTCCGCCTCCCGGGTTTACACCATTCTCCTGCCTCAGCCTCCCAAGTAGCTGGGACTACAGGCACACGCTGCCATGCCCGGCTAATTTTTTGTATTTTTAGTAGAGACGGAGTGTCACCGTGTTAGCCAGGATGGTCTCGATCTCCTGACCTCGTGATCCGCCCACCTTGGCCTCCCAAAGTGCTGGGATTACAGGCATGAGCCACCGCCCCCGGCCCCCACTGACATTTAAAAGGCACTACACCCAACAAAATTAGACTACACATTCAAGTGTACACAGAACATTCATAAAGACAAACCATGTTTAACATAAAACAAACTTCTGGATACATAAAGGGACCGAAATGATACAAAACATCTTATCTGATCAAAGTAGTAAGCTTTAAAAAAAAAAAAATCAGTAACAAAAAGATATCTGGAAAACCAAAATATTTATAAATTAAACACATTTATAAAAAATCATGGGCCAAAAGAGAAGTCCCAAGGAAGAACACAAAATATTTTGAACTAAGTGAAAATTAAAGCCCAGCCATATCAAAAGTTGTGGGATGCAGCTAAAGAAATAGAAAATTTGTACTCAGGAGGCTGAGGAGGAGGATCACTTGAGCCCAGTTCAAGGCTGTAGTGAGCTATGATAGCGCCACTGTACTTCAGCCTGGGTGACAAGGTGAAATCCTGTCTCAAAAAATAAAAATAAAAAACTATTTTAAAAAAGAAAGAAATAGAACATCTGAATAACATGGTTTTAAAAACTTAATTCATAATTTAAAACCTTCCAACAAAGAAAATACACTCACAAATAGCTACACTGATGAATTCTATCAAAGAGTTTTAAAAGAAATAATACCAATCTTACACAAATTATTTCAAACAGAAGGGAACACTTTCCAACTCATGTCAGTTGTGGTCATCTAACAGTTCCTTGTCTTTCAAGGAATTTGTACATTTGGTCTAAGTTACTCATTATTTCCTTCCTTCTACTTTCTTGGAATTTAATTTTCTCTGAATAAAAATGAAAACAGGATAAAAATTTTGAGATAGTGCTAAAGCCGTGCTTACAGGGAAATTTATATCATTAAATGATTACATTAAAAAAGATCTCCAGTCACAACAGCAAGTGTTGCCAATACATTGTTAACAATGGTAACTCTCATACATTAATAGACAGTACTCTGGAACCATCTAGTAAAGTTAAGCATATGCATTACACCTGGATCATCCAGTTTCTCTTGTGGCATGGTAGGCAGACTTCTAAGGTGGTGCCAAATGATCCCCATCTCCTAGAATTCATGTCCAAGTGTAATTCTCTCTCCTAAAGTATAGGTTGCACCTAGAGACTCGCTTCTACTGAACAGAATACAGCAAAAATGACGGAATGCCACTTCTGAAATTAGGTTTCAAAAGACTTTTACCTCATACTCTCTCACTCTCTTTTTACATATTTATAAGAAGCAAGTTGCCCTAAGGAGAGAAGCACATGGCAAGAAATTGAGTGTGGCTTCCAGTAAGGCCTTTAGCTCAAAGGCCCAGGAGATGACTCCTGCCAACAACCACACAAGTGAGCTCGAACATGGATTCTTCCCTGGAAGATGACTGCAGCACCCACCAGCACCTTGTAAAAGTTCTAGAACCAGAAAACCCAAGTAACCCACGCCCAGATTCCTGACACACAGACACTGGCAGATAACAAATTTTAATACTAACAAATAAATGTTGTTTTAAGCTGCTTAAAAAGAAGGTATCAGGCTGGGCACAGTGGCTCACGCCTGTAATCCCAGGACTTTGGGAGGCCGAGGCGGGTGGATCACTTGAGGTCAGTGAGTTAATTAATCATTTAATGCTAAGGTCAGGAGGTCAAGAGTGGTGTGGCCAACATGGCGAAACACCGTCTCTACTAAAAATATAAAAATTAGCTGGGCATGGTGGTGTGCACCTGTAATCCCAGCTACTTGAGAGGCTGAGGCAGGAAAATCGCTTGAACCCGGAAGGCAGAGGCTGCAGTGAGCTGAGATCATGCCGCTGCACTCCAGGTTGGGCGACAAAGTGAGACACCATCTCAAAAAAAAAAAAACAGTAAAGAAAAAGGCCAGGAACAGTGGCTCACGCCTGTAATCCCAGCACTTTGGGAGGCCAAGGCAGGAGGATTACTTGAACCCAGGAGTTCAAGACCAGCCTGGGTAACATGACAAAACCCCATCTCTACAAAAAATGTTTTTAAAACATTAGCTGGGCACGGTGGGAGGACTGCTTAAACCCAGGAGGCAGAGGTTGCAGTGAGCTGAGACTGCATCACTGCACTCCAGCCTGGGCAACACAGTGAGACCCCATATCCAAAAAAAAAGAAAAAAAAGAAAAAAAATTAGTGAGGCACAATGGTACATGCCTGTAGTCCCAGCTACTTGGGAGCTGAGGTGGGAGGATCACTTGAGCCCAGGATCCACCACTGCACCACTGCACTCCAGCCTGGGCAACAGAGCAAGACCCTGTCTAAAAGAAAGATATCAAGTCAAGAAAAGCAAATTAAACTCAATGTAAATAGAAAGAAGGAAATAAAGAGTAAAACTGATGAAATTCAAGAGTCAATCAACACAGGAAATGAATAAAACCGAAAGCTGCTTTTCAAATAGACCAACAATACTGAAAGCTAGACCAATCAGGAAAAAAAGAAAATATCAATTATGAATATCGGTACTGAAAAGATGAAAATTACTACAGATCCTACAACATTAAAAGGATAGTAAGAAAACATTATGGGCCGGGCACAGTGGCTCACGCTTGTAATCCCAGCACTTTGGGAGGCCAAGGTGGGTGGATCACGAGGTCAGGAGTTTGAGACCAGCCTGACCAACATGGTGAAACCTTGTCTCTACTAAAAATACAAAAATTAGCCGGGCATGGTGGTGTGCGCCTATAATCCCAGCTACTCAGGAGAGGCAGGAGAATCGCTTGAACCCGTGAGTCGGAGGTTGCAGTGAGCCAAGATCGCGCCACTGCACTCCAGCCTGGGTGACAGAGCTAGACTCAAAAACAACAAAAAACAAACAAACAAATCCATTATGAACAACTTTACATGCATAAATCCCAACAACTTAGTTGAAATACAAAAATTCCTTGAAAGATACAAATCCAACACCCATTAATGTTACCAAAGAACAACAAACAAGAAATAAGAAATGTTTCCAACTTAAAAAAGGGCATCTAAGAAAAACCTACAGCTAAGAAAAACTGCCTGTTTTCCCGTAAGGAGCAGCAGTAAGGCAAAGATACATAGAAGTCAGAAAAAGAAATAAAGGTCACCCAGATTAGAAAAGAATAAAACTACATTCTCAGATGACATGATCATGTACATTAAAAATCCTAAGAAATTTACCCAAAAAAAGGTAATAAGTAAGTTTTTATAGCAATATCACAAAACACAAGATCAATATGCAAAGTATTTCTATATATTGACAATAAAACACCATTTACATTAGCAAGAAAAATGGCATACATGTGCAAAACCTGTACACTGAAAACAACAAAACAACATTGAAAGAAATTAAAGACGACATAAAAGAATTTGAAAGCTGGGTGCAGTGGCTCACACCTATAATCCCAGCACTCTGGGAGGCCAAGGTGGGCAGATCACTTGAGGTCAGGAGTTCAAGACCAGCTTGGCCAATATGGTGAAACCCCATCGTGACTAAAAATATAAAACTTAGCTGGGCATGGTAGCACACACCTGTAGTCTCAGCTACTCAGGAAGCTAGGGCAGGAGAATCACTTGAACCTGGGAGGCAGAGGTTGCAGTGAGCTGACATCCCACTACTGCTCTCCAGCCTGGGCAACAGAGTGAGACTGTCTCCAAAAAAAAAAAAAAATTGAGATATTGTTTCATAAAAGACTCAATATGCTTGAAATGTCAAAAAGAAATTAAGAAAATTTCATTTATGGGCCGGGCACAGTGGCTCACGCCTGTAATCCCAGTACTTTGGGAGGCCAAGGCGGGCAGATCACCTGAGGTCGGGAGTTCAAGACCAGCCTGACCAACATGGAGAAATTCCGTCTCTACTAAAAATACAAAATTAGCTGGGTGTGGTGACACATGCCTGTAATCCCATCTACTCGGGAGGCTGAGGCAGGAGAATCTTTTGAACCTGGGAGGCGGAGGTTGCAGTGAGCCGAGATCATGCCATTGCACTCCAGCCTAGGCAACAACAGCGAAACTCCGTCTCAAGAAAAAAAAAAAAAAGAAAGAAAATTTCATTTACAATAGCTACAAAAAAAAAATACTCAGAAATAAATTTAACCAAGAAGGGTACATCAAAAATTACAAAACACTGAAGACGGAAATTGAAGACACAGCCAGGAGCAGTAGCCCACACCTGTAATCCCAGCATTCTGGGAGGCCAAGGCAGGAGGATCACTTAAGCTCAGCAGTTCGAGACCAACCTGGGCAATACAGAGAAACTGCGACTTTACAAAAATAAAAAAATAGCCAGGTGTGGTAGCGTGTGCCTATAGTCCCAGGTATTCAACAGCCAACAGGTATATAAAAACGTGTTTAACATCACTAATCATCAAGACACTACAAATTAAAACCACAAGGAAATATGACCTCACATCTGTTAGAATAGCTATTATCAAAAAAGGAAAAAAAGAAACCCTTGTACACAGTTGGTGGGAATGTAAATTAGTACAGTCATTATGGAAAACAGTATGGAAGTTTCTAAAAATATTAAAAATACAACTACCATATGATCCAGCAATCTTTCTACTGGGTATATATCCAGAGGAAATGGAGTCAGTATGTTGAAAAGACATCTGCATTCCCATGTTCATTGCAGAATTATTCACAATAGCCAAAATATGAAACCAATCAAAATGTCCCTCAGTGGATGAATGGATAAACAAAATGTGGTATACATGTACAATGGAATATTACTCAGTCTTTAAAAAGAAGGAAATCCTGTCATGAGACAACATGGATAAACCCGGAGGACACTGCGTTAAGCAAAATAAGCCAGGCGCAGAAAGTCAAATGCTGCATGATCCCACTTACACGCAGAATCTAAGAAAGCTGAAATCATAGAAGCTGAGAGTATAATTGTGGTTACCAGGGGCTGGGGGTGAAACTGAGGAGATTTTGGTCAAGGATACAAAATTTCAGTTAGCAGAAATAAGTTCGAGAGATCAATTGTTTAACATGGTGACTATATACTTCAGTTTTTAAAATTAGCTGGGCATGGTGGCATGCACCCTATAGGCCTAGCTACTCAGGAGGCTGAGGTGGGAGGATCACTTGAGCCCAGGAGTTCAAGGCTGCAGTGAGCTATGATTGCACCACTGCAATACAGCCTGGGCAACAGGACGAGACCCTTTCTCTTAAAAAAAAAAAAATATATATATATATATATATATATTTTTTTTTAAGTGTTATCACCAGAAAAAATGATAAGTGACAATGCATATGTTAATTAGCTTGATTTAGTCACTGCACAATGTATATTACAAAACATGTTGTATATCATGAATATATACAATTTTTGTCAATTAAAACTAAAAAACACATTTTAAAAAATAAAATGTCAAACATCAAATGACCTGTAGATTTTAATCAATGCCAGGGAAAATCACAGCTTTGTCTATATAATATGACAAGCTGACTTTAAATTTTAAAATGAAAATCAAATGATCTAGAATAGCCAAAGCAATTTTGATAAGAACAAAACAACTCGACTTTAAGATATACTATAAACCCACCGTCATCAAGACAGTGTGATATTAACATAAGAATGGAAAACTAGATCAAGGGATAAGAATACAGTATACAGAAACAGACCCACTTACGTATGGTAAGTTGATTTTCAAATAACAGTGCCAACACAATTCAGTCTGGAGAGGAAAATCTTTTCAACAAATGGTGCCGAACTACCTGGACTGTTTACTCACGCCATACACAAAAATAAATTTGAGATACATCTGAGACCTAAACCATAAAAGCTAAAACTACAGGCTTCTTAAAGCAAATAAATGAGAAAATCTTCCTTCTCATCTTTGGAATAAGCAGATTCCTTAGCTAGATGAGACATACAAAGCTATAACCTAAAAGGAAAAGAAATTAAATGTATCAAAATTAAATTCTTCTATTTATCAAAAGACACCATTAAGGAATGAACAAACAAGCCACAGACAGGAAAATATTCACAATACATACACCTGACAAAGGACTTATATTCACAATATATAAAGAATTCTTACACTCAATAATAGAAATATAAACCCTATTTGAAAGAAGGGGTAGGACTTCCTAGTCAGCTTGGAAGTTGTCACTTTTGCCTTTACAAAAAGAAAACTGGCCGGGCATGGTGGCTCATACCTGTAATCCAGCACTTTGGGAGGCCGAGAGGGGTGGATCACGAGGTCAGGAGTTTGAGACCAGCCTGACCAACATGGTGAAACCTTGTCTCTATTAAAAATATAAAAATTAGCTGGGCATGGTGGCACGCACCTGTAATCCCAGCTACTCAGGAGGCTGAGGCAGGAGAATCGATTGAACCTGGGAGGCGGAGGTTGCAGTAAGCCAAGATCGCACCACTGCACCCCAGCCTGGGCAACAGAGTGAGACGTAGTCTGAAAAAAAAAAAAAAGAAAGAAAGAAAATCACCTAACAAACTAAAATTCATCAGCTATTCTTGGACCAATCAGGGAAGTAAGGTCATGAGGCAAATCACCACATCAAAATCTGAAGACTGCCGAATCCAGAGTCACAATCGAGGTATCCTTGTCTGGAGCAGAATCTGCTGGAACTATAAATTGACAGGACTACTTAAATGGTAACTCTGACAAACTGCTGAGTATGAACTAACATACAAGTAAGAAACCCTCAGAGCCTGTAGTCCTAAGGGGCCCCCATACTTCCCTAGGCTTTACCCTCCAGGAACCCTACACCAAGTTCTCAAGGTGAAGATACAAAAAGGCCCTTGTAATCCCAGCACTTTGGGAGGCCAAGGCGGGCGGATCACAAGGCCAGGAGATCAAGACCATCCTGGCCAACATGGTGAAACCCTGTCTCTACTAAAAAATACAAAAATTAGCCAGGCATGGCAGCGTGTACCTGTAGTCTCAGCTACTTGGGAGGCTGAGGCAGGAGAATTGCTTAAACCCAGGAGGTGGAGGCTGCAGTGAGCTGAGATCGTGCCATTGCACTCCAGCCTAGGAGACAGAGCGAGACTCCATCTCAAAAAAAAAAAAAAAAAAAAAAGAAAGGCCCTTTCCAGTCTCTAGCAGGAGGAGGGGGAACAGTAACCTCTGTGAAATACACCCAAGAGCAAGAGCTTCCTTCAAAATTATAGTCTTATCCTGATGTTTTCAAAAAACTTTACTTAGTCCAATCTAGGGAATGGGTATTTCCTAAACTCCAGTCCCTTCTGGCTTACCTGGCCTACCTAAGGGGGAAAAAAACTGTGAAACACTTGTGAAAGTCACATATCAGAGGCACAGACACAGGCCTGGGGAACAGCTGATATTAATCAAAAGGCTATGGAATGCTTCTCTCCCCAACACCTTACCACATCTCAGGACTCTAGTATAGCAAAGGATTATAGCTCAAAGAGCTGCAAGGCTCAGACTCTAGAAGAGGGGCCAAAAACAAGGACACTGAAGAAAATCCTAGCCAGAATAACATAAAACTCACACTAAAGGCCTTTTACCTCAGTTCCTATTCTCTGATACAACATGTCTGGCTTTCAACAAAAAATTACAAGGTGTGTTTAAACCTTTTAAGAAAAAACACAGACTAAAGAGACAAAACAAGCATCAGGACCAGATTCAAACAGGACACAGATTTTGGAATTATCAGACATGGTTTAAAATAACAACTTTAACCACAGAACCAACCCAACTTGGTCCACCTTTGTGTAATAAGATGGTGAGTTGTTTTTCAGTTGCTATGGACCCCGAGGTGGTAGGTCACATAACACGGACATGTCCAGGTGAACCAAGCTTGCAACCATGGGTGGAACCCAAGAGTCAGGACCAAGGAATGGAGACTGAATTAAGAAGCAAACATCTGAACAGGTGTGGTGGCTCATGCCTGTAATCCCAAGACTTGGGGAGGCTGAAGCAGGAAGATCACTTGAGGCCAGGCATTCAACACCAGACTCAGCAACATAGAGAAACCCAGTCTCCACAAAAAAAATTGTTTAAAATTAGCCGGGCATGGTGCCATGTCTGTGTAGCCCTAGCTACTGAGGAGGCTCAGGCAGGAGGATCACTTGGACCCACACGTTCAAGGCTGCAGTGAGCTATGATTCATGCCACTGCACTCTAGCCTGGGAAACAGAGCAAAATCCTATCTCAAAAAACAGACACCACATGGGAGGATCCAGTTAAATCCTGCCTCCTGGAATCACCTCGGATCATGCCTCATTGCCCAATGCCTATAAAACCAATGCCATCCCCCAGCTAGAGGAGACAGGTTTAAGCATTTCCTTCTGTCTCCTTGCCATTCAACAACAATAAAGCTTTTCTTTTCTCAAAAAAGAAAAGTGCCATGGTATTGGCCTCTATGCACATCAGACAGCAAGCCCACTGATTGCTTAGCAATATGACGGTCAATATGTCACTGGCTGTAATGGAAAATGTAGATAACATGCAATAAAAACGGATAATATACCAGAGACATGAATGCTCTGTAAAAGAACCAAAAGGAAATGCTAGAAATAAAAAACACTGTAACAGAAATGAAGAATACTTTCAGTAGGCTGGACACGGCTGAGGAAGGAATCAATGAGCTTGAAGATATTCCAACAGAAACTTTCCAAACTGAAATGCAAAGGAAAATAATTAGAGAATGTCCAAGAACTGTGGGACAATTTCAAATGTGTAACACAGAAGTAACTGAAATATTTTCTGATATTTTCTAGAAAAAAGAGAGAGAGTACAGGGCAGAAGAAACATGTAAAAGTAATAACAGCCAAGAATTTTCCATAATTAGTGATAGCCAAACCACAGAACCAGGAAGCTCTGAGAAAACCAACCAGGATAAACACTAAAAAATCCATACCTTGGCATATCATTCAAACTGAAGAAAACAAAAGAGAAAATCAAGAAAGAAACCAGAAGAAAAAACACCGTACCTATGGAGGTACAGGGACAAGAATTACAGAGGTTTCTTTCTCATCAGAAACCATACAAGCAAAAAGAAAGTGAAGTGAAATATTTAAAGAGTTTTTTTAAAAAAAGGAAAAGAAAAAAAAAGACAACCTAGAATTCTGTATGCAGAGAAAAAGCATCCTCGGAGTAAAGCAGAAACACAAAACCAAGAGAATTCATGTCAATGGACCTGCGAAAAGTTTTTTAAAAGTTCTTTAAGGGGAAGGAAAACATTATAAACTTAGTAAATGTATATGCTACAATGTATACAGCAACCACTAAAAAAAAAGTTAAAGGAAATATAATTAATATGTATGTTGAGGGCCTGGTGCAGTGGCTCACATCTGAAATCCCAGCACTTTGGGAGCCCGAGTCTGGTGGATCAGTTGAGGTCAGAAGTTCAAGATCAGCCTGGCTAACATGGTGAAACTCTGTCTCTACTAAATACAAAATTAGCCAGGCATGGTGCTGCACACCTGTAGTCCCAGTTAGTTGGGTGCCTGAGGCACGAGAATCGCTTGAACCTGGGAGACAGAAGTTGCAGTGAGCCAAGATCGCACCACTGCACTCCAGCCTGGGTGACAGAGCGAGACTACCTCTTTTTTTTTTTTTTAAAAAAAAACAACTTTAAAAGAATAGACAAAAGACTTAACATTCACAAAAGAAGATAAGTGAATGCCTATTAAGCACATAAAAAACTCACCACCACCAATCACTGGATCAATAACAAAATTAAAATGAGGAAATACTAGTCCACAAGAATACCTAAAATTAAAAACTGACAACACCCAGCGTGTTGTCAGTTTGGCTGACACATGAGGCAAATGAACTCTAATATAAAGCTGATCAGAGTGTAAGGTGGTACAGCACTTTGAAAAACAGTTGAACAATTTCTTATAAAGTTAAACATCTACATATCCTATCACCCAGCAATTCTGCTCCTAGTCATGGATTGAATGAAACATACATATACCCAAAGACTTACACATAAATGTTCGTGGTAGCTTTATTCATAATAGCCCCAAACTGAAAAGTGCCCAAATGTCCATCAACATGAGAATCAATTTTTAAATACTGTTATATATTTGATAAGAGTCAAGAGACGGCAAAATGCCTAGGCAAAGAGGGAAGGGTCCCCGGAGAACCTTCGACCTGCCCAGGTCATCATGCACAGGAGGCTTGCCTAAATACGCCCACAGTGAAAAATTCCATCACTTAACATATGTGCAGTAAGGGAAATAAATCAACGTGGAGCGGCTCAGACTAAGGGCCCGTCTGCACACTGGGGGAAGGGGGTGGAGCCACCAGGAATTCACGCCTTAGGCTAGGGAGTGTGGTGGCCTGGTATTCAACCTGAGGTGGAAGCCAGCTGGCGGGACCCCTCTCTTTGCTGAGAGCTCCCCTTTCGCTTAATAAATTCCACTCTCCTCACCCTTCAATGTGTCCATATGCCTAATTTCTCCTGGTTGTGAGACAAGAACCTGGATTTAGTTGAACTAAGAAGCAAAAACCCCTGCATTATATTCACATAGTGGAATTCTCACAGAAATTAAAAAAAAAAAAAGGAACTACTGATATATGCAAGAACAAAGATGAATCTCAAAACCATTTTGCTGAGTAAAAGAAATCAGACATCAAAGAGCTTTTATGCTCTATGATTCCATTTATATGAGGTTCAAAAACAGGTAAAACTGGACAAGCACGGTGGCTCATGCCTGTAACCCCAGTACTTCGGGTGGCCGAGGCAAGCAGATGGCTTGAGCCCAGGAGACCAGCCTGGCCAACATGGCGAAACCTAGTCTCTACAAAAAACACAAAAATTAGCCCGGAGCGGTGGAGCGCACCTGTAGTACCAGCTACTCAGGAGGCCGAGGCAGGAGGATCACCTGAGCCCAGGAAGTTGAGACTGAGGTAAGCCTTGATCACACCACTGCACTCCAGCCTGAGCTACACAGTGAGACCCTGTCTCAAACAAACAAAACAGGTAAAACTAATCTCTGGTGATAGAAATCAGAAGAGCTGCCTAAACTGGGTCTGGAAAGAGGCAACAGGGAACTTTCTAGACTGCGTGTTCTATTATCTTGAATGAGGTATACAGGAAACACTAGTGGATACAAGTGTCAAATTTTACTGAATTGTACCCTTAAGACATGTGCATTTCATTCTATGTAAATTACAGCTCAGTTTAAAAGGAAAAGGATTGCAGCAAATGCCTTCTACATTTCCTATAGCTCAAGCACAGCAGCAGGCAAACGTTTTCTGTAAAGGGCCAGAGAGTAAGTATTTTAGGCTTTGCAGTCTCCACTACAACTACGACTGCCTTTGTAGTGTGAAAGGAGCTACGGACAATATGAATGAGCACAGCTGTGTTTCAGTAAAACTACAAAAACAGGTGGCAAGCCAAATGTGGCCCATAGCCATAGTTTGCCAACCCTTGGTCAAGCAAACAGAAAACTAATCCTCAAAATTAATTTAAATATGCTATATTGTTCTCTTCTATATACTGACAGGCATGATAATCACTAGAAGTCCTTCCCATATATGTGAGTTTTTCATACTCATCTACTCACTTAAAATAGGAAAACCCAGAAAAAGTCTAAAACATATTTGATATGTAAGACTGTCATTTTCTTAAAATCATACTCTAATCGCTACTACAGTATTTTGAAAAAATAACCAGGATTATGAGGAATATTCAAGTTTAAAATAAGCCAGCCAGTTAATAATTAAAGTATAAGCTGTACACACACAAAATGCTATGTTATCCACAGTCTGACACTTTGATTTATCTGGTATAATAAAGTTCTTAAAACATGTACAGTTATCACTCATTATCATCTAGTTGGTTCTTCATTTAAAAGAATTCAAAATTAAAGACAGCAATTATGCTTGGGTGTGGTGGCTCACACCTGTAATCCTAGCACTTTAGGAGGCTGAGGCAGGAGAATCACTTGAGGCCAGGGGTTCAACACCAGCCTGGACAACATGGTGAGGCCTTCGTCTCTACAAAAAAACTTAAACATTAGCTGGGTGTGGTCCTAGCTACTCAGGAGGCTGAGGTAGGAGGATCACTTGGGCCTTAGAGGTGGAGAATGCAGTGAGCCATGATTGTGCCACTGTACTCCAGCCCGGGCAATGACAGAGGTAGAGCCTGCCTTCAAAGAAAAAAAAAAAAATAGCAAATACGTCTCAGTTTCCCAATAAGCATTTCAAAATATAAAAATTACATGAAGAAGGCCGGGCACAGTGGCTCACGCCTGTAATCCCAGCACTTTGGGAGGCCGGGCAGATCACGAGGTTAGGAGTTCGAGACCAGCCTGGCCAATATGGTGAAACCGTTTCTACTAAAAATACAAAAAAAAATTAGCCGAGCATGGTGGCGTGTGCCTGTAGCCCAGCTACTCAGGACGCTGAGGCAGGAGAATCACTTGAACCCAGGAGGTGGAGATTGCAGTGAGCCGAGATTGCGCCACTGCACTCCAGCCTGGGGCAACAGAGGGAGACCACCGTCTCAAAAAAAGTACATGAAGAAATAGAACAAATTTTTCATGAAAGTAGTATTAGAAACTAATTTTCTTAATTTTGGCAAGGCTCAAAAAATTGTAACACCACAAATAACATCCAAGGTATACACTTAGGTATAACATGAGACAGCCCTAAGCTGCCTGAAAAATGTTACCTGTCTTCAAGAAAATTCCAATTTAAAAAATGAAATGATTTCTTTCTCACCATAGTATATGACTAATAGAGGAAAAAAAAAAAAACACTAGCAAAATGAGAAAGCTTAAGTTCCTGTATAAGTATTCTACCTAACTAGCCATGTGACAATTTGGCATTCATTCACTCATCAAGTATTTCTGAGAGCTTATTATGTGACAGACACTGGAAACACAGTAGTGAAGAAAATAGCAAAAATCCCTGCCCTCATGACACATTTTGGTGAATCACTTAATCTCTAAAAACAACTCAGTTTTCTTTCTCTAAAACGATGGATTTTATATTATACTACAGAGTATTTTCAATTCTTTTTTTAAAAGTCCATATTACTCTTCTGAATCCAGGGAAGCAACTTATGGAAGATAACCTGAAATCCACTCTTGCCACTGGCTGAAACCATTTGTTGTGTCATCATATTCAGATGGCATACAAGGGAAATTAAGTAACTGCTAGATTATCTTTCACACGATCTAGATGAATTATGAGCCTTACTGGCCTCTTAGTATTTACTTGGTAATTAAGATTCCTTGGATGGAATCCAAAAAGAACAATCTTAGAGAAATTTCTCCAGATAATGCATAATTTTACATTCCCAGATCTAAGCCTATAAAAATATAGATTGCTACTGAACCAACTAATAAGCTTATCTTCTCTTCAGAGTAGGATCTGACCTTTGTTTACAAAGTGCTTGCTAAAAGCAGGTAGTCAGAAAGCCAAATTTTGTATTCAAATATGGTTCCTGCATCTAACATTTAAATCTTCTTTCACTTATGAAGACATATCTTTAGGGCAGGCACAGTGGCTCATGCCTGCAATCCCAGCACTTTGAGAGGCCAAGAGTTTGAGACCAGCCTGGGCAACACAGCAAAATCCCAGCTGGGCATGGTGGTGCACGCTTGTAGATTTACTAGCTACTTTGGAGGCTGAGGTGAAAGGATGGCTTGAGCTCAGGAGTTAGAGGCTGCAACGAACTATGATCATGCCACCACTGCACTCCAGCCTAGGTGACAGAGTTAAAAACAAACAAAAAACCATGAATGAACACCACTGTCAGGTCCAACAAATGCAAATAAAGTAGGAGCACTGAAATTTGCTAACAAGAAGAGATGATGAACACAGATGGACCCAAAGTGGTGGAACAAATTTACATAAGTCAATCTATAATGTGTAAGACACATATAAACAAAGATGAATTATTTCTTTCTACAATAATTTGAACTGTAAGTGGCTTCTAGAACTAGATTCTCAACTCAGCTATATCAAATATTAAATTACTAAGGGAACCTTTAGAACACCCAGATATTTTAAGTCTCATACAGATGAGCACTGTTTACTTAATTTATATTTAAAAATCCAATAAATGGGCCGGGTGTGGTGGCTCACACCTGTAATCCTAGCACTTTGGGAGGCCAAGGAGGGCGGATCACCTGAGGTCAGGAGTTGGAGACCAGCCTGGGCAACGTGTCGAAACCCCGTCTCTATTAAAAATACAAAAAAATTAGCCAGGCATGGTGGCATGTGCCTGTAATCCCAGCTACTCAGGAGGCTGAGGCAGAAGAATCACTTGAACCCCTTTGAAGGTGGAGGTTGTAGTAAGCCAAGATTGTACCACTGTTCCCCAGCCTGGGCAACAGGGAGGCTCCGCCTCAAAAAAAAAAAATCCAATAAATGAAAAGACTTTGGTAAAACTGAAATGATTTATAACCTAGAAGAATCATTATTATAAAATACTAATTATCCAGCTCTCTGGATGTTTGCCTTTTAGACAGAACTCTCATTGCTGACAGCTAGGTATAACGAAAAAAAAGTCAGGCTTTGGTACCTGGAAGACAAGAGTTTGAACACTAGTGCACCACATCTTGGACACAAACTTTCTAAAGCTATTTTTTCACCTCTAAAATGGGAATACTGATTACCTACCTTGAAGGATTGCTATGATTGGTAAAAATACATGTAAAGCACCTGACACATAGTAGGCACTGAAGAAAGAAGTGTCAGCTGCTTATTCTCATAAGCACATCCATGAAAGAGGATATAAGAAAGGACATGGTAAGAAGATAAATCAGAGCCTAGGCTACACTTTTTTTTTTTTTTTTCTGAGACAGTTTCTCACTCCCATTGTCCAGGCTGGAGTGCAGTGACACGGTCACACTCACTGCAGCCTTGACTTCCCGGGCTCAGGTGATTCTCCCACCTCAGCCTCCCAAGTAGCTGGAACTACAGGCACGCACCACCATGCCCGGCTAATTTTTTTATTTTTATTTTTAATAGAGATAGGGTTTCACTATGTTGCCCAGGCTGGTCTCAAACTCCTGGGCTCAAGCAACCCGCCCACCTCTCAGCCTCCCAAACTGCTGGGATTACAGGTGTGAGCCACCGCACCCGGCCTAAGCCTAGGCTACATTTAACTGCTAAAACAAAGCAAACAAAAAGCATCCTGATAATTTAAGTGAAACTTTGGGCTAAATTTTTTGTTCACATTTTATACACATAATACTATAGTTCCTCCTTATAAATACGTAAAATCCAAAGTTACCTCAGGTCTACTTATTTTGGAGCTAAGTAAAAATTAAAGACTTTTACACAATAAAGCAGATAATTTTATGAACAGGTGAGACTGAAAATATGCCAAAAGATATAAAAATGCATATGAAAGGATAGTAAAAGATTCCTACCTTTAAACCGACTGTTATAAGATCTGTAACAACACTGTATGGAAAAAGTAAAAAGAGAAAATGGAAAACAAAGTTAGAGAACAAGTTTTTAAAAGACAGAGATAGTAAGAATAAAGGGGAAAAAGCATTATAATAACAAATAATAAAAATAAGAATGTGATGAGTTGTGAAATATTAATACAAAGAAAAATGATGAGACAGTCTAGCAACAGCAGAGTGCAAAAGCAAATCCTTACTACCAATGCAAGAAACAAATCCTGTTATCTTTTAGTATTTAGGAAAGTATAGTCAAACTTCAATAAAAATGAGTGTTTATCCATTTACCTCTATTTAACAAAGCCAAACCAAAACTTAAAATCACCAAAGTTTGTTCTTTTAAGTCACTGGCATGAATAATCGTGTCTGAGGTTTTAAATGAAACAAAACCAGTGCTTGGATTTTACAGAAATAGAAGGCATCTTGCAAATCTGCATTTACCACCCAAAATTGCTCACCAAAATATAGTTAAGACAGTCTCTCAGAACTAAAATAAATACAAACATCACATTTCAGACATCAAAATTTTCAAAGATTTGCTTTTTAAAAATATTCTATCACGTCAAAACTGTGTTTAAGTATAAATTATCTCTTAGGAGGAAACGAACACACACACACACACACACACACACACACACACACACACACACGAGAGACAGTTGGGATTTGAGGAGGAACTAGAAAGATATGTTGACTGGTGGCTTGTGGTTTGTTTTTTAACTACCCAAATAAGGAAAAAGGATCTTTTTCAGGCTGTTGGAAAATGTAGAAATTTAATTAGTCTCCTGAAGGCAAAAATGCACTGTATTCTTAAACCACATCCCTTAAGACCAGGGTGTGAAAATCCCCTTTAAAGTCCTGCCATACAAAAATTCTTCTCTTCTAAGCCCCAAGAAACTGTCTTCGATTAATGTTTTTCTTCATATCTCCTAGAAGAAAGCTACGAATACATTCTACATATTGTTAATAACCTATGTCATCATTACCTCATAAAAGTCAACGAATAAATGACTCTAGATGATGTAAACTGTTTTTAAAATACCACGTAGATTTTTTATTTTTCCTTGTAAACTTCTGAAACTTGAAATTCATTTGTCTAAAATTTAAATGTGATAAGTAACTGGACGCTTGCTGCATAAAAAATAAAATGGTGTAACACTATGGTTATTGGTTCTGATACAAAGGGCAAATCATGCTCCGACTTGAACTTCCAAATGAACTTACCTTCCAGTCAGTATCTGTATAACTGCCTTGCATATTCAAACCAATAAACCCATTACTACCTTTAAAACCACAAATAGCGTGAAGGGAGAGTAAACTTCTTAAACACTATCAAAAAGTAAGTTTGCACTTCACAGTTATCCTACAGTTTAACAGCAAAGACGCAAAATTCAAGAGTCCTCTTTATTATAACTATACATTTTACGACACAAAAAAATAGCCTGCTTCCATTATTTAAGTCAAACCTTCCAGACAATTAACTACACATAATGAAATGCTAAATTCACAGCCTGCCTGAACCAAAATATTAGTGACACAAATCTTTACGACCACAAAATTTTTCAACATATAAAATGCAACTGAATAAGGTAATGTGAAATAAGTTTTCAACAATGTTCTCGAAGAAACTTCAATCAAACAATAAAAACAGCTTCAATTCCCCCCCAAAATATATACACCTACTGTGTACCCAAAAAAGTTATAATTTTAAGAAATTTTTTGAAGCTTCAATCAAATAAAAATAAAGAACATCACAATCATGAATAAAATCTAAAACTCCACTTTGATGTCTGTAGCAGTGTGCAATCTGCATTCAAATGAATCAATCCGAAATGTCATATACACTTAATATTGTGAAACTAAAATAAATGAAATCTAATGAGGTCAAAAGCTGTTGGAAGATTTCATCTTCAAATAGCATATCATCAACTGTATGGCAACATGTGAACGACTTTTACTGTTCTAGCAAGTTGCATATATTCCACAACCTCACAGAAATCTTGTCATCAAAAGTAGGTAACAAGCTAAAAAAAACCTCAAATACATAATGGGAATAAACCGAGTTGGAGATTTTTTTTTAATCCGTAGGTACAGATACTACAACCTTCAATTAATTCACCAAAATCCTAACATAGTTGTTACTTTAATTACCAAAATATGTCAAGTCCCACCCCATATCCCTGAGTCCCCAGAGAACAGTTTATATACATAGACTCTAAATCTTTTTATTTTGGTCACGGACCCCCATTAAATTTTTGAGCATTTGAAATGCCCCCGAAAATCGCTCGTACATCATATTTTACATACACGGGCAGATAATTCATTAAGTTTCTTGGGGAGAGAGAAAGGTGAGGGGGAAGCGTCCATGGTCACTAAGTCCAGACCCCTGGTGTCGAGAAAGCGTTAACGTATCTCACAGCACAAGTCGGGAGACCTCGGCCAAGTCCCGCGGCGGCCCTGGGACCCCGCGTGGGACCATGGCTTGCGACCAGGTCGCCGCCCAGACGTGTACCGACGCGTGCACCCGCCGTCGGCCGCTCGCCCCACCTCGCCGGTAAACAGCAACTCCCCCGGCAGGAGGACGCCCGCCCCGCGCGCCGCCTCCGCCTCCCCCAGCGCCGCGCACCATTTTCTGAGAGGAAGTGTCGGGAGGCCGAGCTGGGCTCCCCGGACTCGGGGCGCGGAGGGCGGACCTCGGCACCGCGGCCGGACCGGGCTTTCCTCTGCTCCCGGGTGTGTCGAGTAAGGCTAGGAAGCAGCGGACGTGTCCGGGGCGCCGCGTGGGGAAAGGAGAGCCTGCGGCGGACGGCAACTCCGCGATTCCGGGATCCCCACCGAGACGCCCGGAAGCCCCGCCGTCGGGCTTGGCCGGGGCCGCTCCTCCGGCCGCCGGCGCCGCGCACTGCTCCCCAGCCCTTACGCGTCCCGCGGAGAGCCGGGTGGAAGCGGCGCCAAGGCAACCCGGTGCGGCCGCCGCGCCGCCTAGTACTTACCCATCCATGGCCCAGATGGAGGCGCGCACAGAGCAGGGACTGACGGGCTAACCGCGAGCAGAGGAAGCAGGCGGCGGCAGCAGGGCGGTTCCGGGGACAAGCGAGCTTTGGCTCTGCGGAGCCCCGGCCGGTCCGAGGTGGAAGGAGAGTGGGAACAGGGGCGGGGACCGGGCACGCTCCCGCCACCGCCGCGCCCCCGCCTTCCCCACCCCGCGAGCGCGTCCCCGCCTAGCCCGACCCCGCCCCCTCACCGTCCCCGCCCTCCCTCGGGGCCCGCCCCTGCGCTCGCGCCCACCCTCGCCCCGCTGGCAGCCGGCCTCCGGCTCAGCTCTGGGGCGCCCTCTTCCCGCGGTCGCTGTAAGACCCCGCCTCTCGGCCCCTCGGCCCGGCGCGCGCGCGCGCCCCCAGCCTCCCTCCTGCGTTCGCGGGAGCGCGCGCCTTGTGCTTCCCGCTCCGCCGCGCACCCCGCCCGCCCTCCCGCGGCCCCGCGGGCCTTCCGGCTTCGCAGA
Source organism: Homo sapiens (assembly GCF_000001405.40). NCBI lineage: Eukaryota > Metazoa > Chordata > Mammalia > Primates > Hominidae > Homo > Homo sapiens. Next base: position 112,333,979 of record NC_000009.12, read on the forward strand.
CCGGGCCTGCCAGGTTTGAATGCCTCCCTCTGCCGGCAGGAAAAGCTATGGGGACCTGACTCCCAAGAGTAGGAAGGAATGTCCCACAAGGACCCCAGAAACGAGGTGGAATTGCCCCGGGTGCGCGAGGCTGTAGATGACACGTCCAGGGACCAGCCTCTGGCAGCCCGGCGCTGGAGTCGACCGCTGGGACCGACACCAGCCCCATAGGTGTGGCTGGGACGATGAATGAGGTGAAAGAGGCTGCCCGGACTGGAATTTGTATACAATTTAAGTATCTGAGTGCATTTCGACCTAACCGTCTAGTATTGAATTTATATGAAAAATTCATTGTACAAACATGGAATGGCTATATTCCCAGCATTTTTTAAAAGTTTACTCATTATTCCCTTTTTTCAGATGAAAATACATATACAAAGAGAGTGATTTGCTCACAGTTTCACAACCAGGAAACGTTTGCACCAGAGCCCTTCCCTCTGGTCTGAGCAAAAAGTATATATATAATATAACGAGTGACAACACGCTTGCTTTTTTCCCTTTTTAGTGAGAAATTGAGTACTTTTTCAACTCACAGATCACCAAAATGTAACCCCCTAAACTGTTAAGCCAAATTCTTAACCTACTGAGTAAAAAAGAGCGGGGCTCCTCCCCGTGGCTTCGTCATTTGAAAAGCAACTAACAAGAACCTCAAACATCTATCCTTGCTAATTTCCTGCTTTCAGATCAGTAGGTGCTGCTAAAAAGATCTAAACTGTGGACTCATTCATCATTCAGTCAGTATTAACCTACTATGTGCCGGGCACTGCATGAATACACAAGAAAATCAGGTTCCAGCCGTCACTGTTGAATGGATTCTTCAGTCCGTTTATGTATATTTTTGACATACAACTTTTCAAATAGGTAGAGTAATTCGGTGAGGTAATTCTTAAAGTCCTGTATCTAACCTCAGTCCCCTTCCAAAATGTCAAATACATTTTGTTTTGTATATTAAATCTAAATATTAAGTTGCATTTGTAAACATTGCCAGATGGAAATGTAGAATATCAACAAGATAAGTAGCTGATGCAGTCTTTCTATCACTGTATTTGGGATATATTCTGTTGATGAAATTTCCTTAACCCTTTTTTTAGCTACACAAGTAATATCAGCATAAATGCTCATTTTGGAAAATTCAAGCACTATAAAATATTGAAAAGTTATCATTAATATTTTTCTTCCCAAACCACCCCCTGCCCATGACTACCACTGTAACAATTCTGCGTGCATCCTTCTGGACCTTACTTTTTTTTGTTGTTTGTTTTTTTGTTTTTTTGTTTTTTTGTTTTGAGACGGAGTCTTGCTCTGTCTCCCAGGCTGGAGTGCAGTGGCACAATCTGAGCTCACTGCAACCTCTGCCTCCCGAGTTCAAGTGATTCTCCTGCCTCAGCCTCCTGAGTAGCTGCGATTACAGGCGCCCGCCACCACGCCTGGCTAGTTTTTGTGTTTTTAGTAGAGACAGGGTTTCACCATGTTGGTCAGGCTGGTCTCGAACTCCTGACCTTGTGATCCACCCACCTCAGCCTCCCAAAGTGCTGGGATTACAGGTGTGAGCCACCGCACCCAGCGACCTTTACCATTTTTCTTTTTTTTTTTTTTTTTTTTCACCTAAAAATCCTGGATTATAGCTGGGCATGGTGGCTCACACCTGTAATCCCAGCACTTTGGGAGGCCGAGGCGGGCAGATCACTTAAGGTCAGGAGTTCGAAGCCAGCCTGGCCAACATGGTGAAACCCCCCATCTCTACTAAAAATAGGAAAATTAGTCTGGCTTGGTGGTGCACGCCTGTAATCCCAGCTACTCAGGAGGTTGAGACAGGAGAATCTCAACCCGGTAAGCAGAGGTTGCAGTGAGCCGAGATCACACCACTGCACTCCACCCTGTGTGACAAAGTGAGACTCCAGGCTGGAGTGCAGTGGCACAATCTCGGCTCACTGCAACCTCTGCCTCCCAGGCTCAAGCAATTCCCCTGCCTCAGCCTCTGGAGTAGCTGGGATTACAGGCACCTGCCACCCTGCCTGGCTAATTTTTGTATTTTTAGTAGAGACAGAGTTTCACCATGTTGGCCAGGCTGCTCTTGAACTCCTGACCTCAAGTGATCCACCCACCTCGGCCTCCCAAAGTGCTGGGATTATAGGCATGAACCACTATGCCCAGCCTCATAATTTCATTTCATAATTTAACCTTTTCCAAAACAGTGGAAATTACGTTGTTTCCAAGTATTCAAAATAACTAACACTATTGCAGAAAATATCATGAATGTATGAGTATCTTTGCACACATATTATTACATCTGAGGAATAGATCCCTAGAAGTAGAATTGAGAAACAAAGGACATAAGCCTTAATATCCTTTATATAATTCAACAATCCTTTATATAAAGCCTTTATAGCCTTTATAATTCAAATTTGATAAATTTTTTGAAAATGATTCCAAAAAGGCTGTACCAATTTACAGTTTCTTTATTTAAAAAAAAAAAAATTTGGCTGGGCATGGTGGCTCACACCTGTAAATCACAGCACTTTGGGAGGTCAAAGCGGCAGCATTGCTTGAGCTCAGCAGTGTGAGACCAGCCTGGGCAACATGGTGAAACCCTGTCTCTATATTTTTATAAAAATAAAAATAAATTATTAAAGTTATGTCTCTCTTACCCTTTGCTTTAAGCTAACAAATTTTAATATTAAAAAATAGCAGAGCGTGACCCCTATCTTTGCTATTCCAAATTTCAATATTAAAAAATAATACAGGAAGACCCCATCTCAATAAATAAAGGTAAATATAAAGTGTGTCCGAAATTTATTGTTCATACTAACAATAATTCCGAGAAGTCTGCAATGTAAAAACAGTGCACCTGACTGAAATTAACAAAACTGTTTGGCATTTCCTAAATACTCAATGTCCAGCTTTACAACAGAAGCCTAGATATAAGAAAACAGAAAACAGTTTACAACAAAAAAGGTGAAGCCTTAACTCTTTCCCCTGCCCCTTGGTTCTAAATTCAAAGAACTTTTTGTTTGTTTGTTTGTTTGTTTGGAATCAGAGGCTTGCTCTCTCACCCAGGCTGGAGTGCAGTAGCGCGATCTCAGCTCACTGCAACCTCTGCCTCCCAGGTTCAAGCAATTCTCCTGCCTTAGCCTCCCTGGTAGCTGGGATTAGAAGCGTGCACCACCACACCTAGCCAATTTTTGTATTTTTCATAGAGATGGGGTTTCACTGTGTTGGCCAGGCTGGTCTCAAACTCCTGGCCTCAAGTGATCTGCTTGCCTCCACCTCCCAAAGTGCTGGGATTACAGGCGTGAGCCACCGTGCCTGGCCAATTCAAAGAACTTATAGATTAAGCTCCATGGGTTTGTGAGTCACTTTGATTCAAAAATAGTAGGTAGCATAGAGTTTAGCTCCTCAAGAACCACTTTGAGAAACCTAACTGTTCCCATAGCCTACATGATGTGGAAGAGCCACAGCTTTCTATCATCTCCACAGAAGTTTCTGGAATCAGATATCTCAGATATCACCTACATGACCTGGTTTGACCTGAAACTGATGGGTTCTATATACTGGCTTCTTGATAGTGAAGAGAGTTACATTTTCTCTATTTGCTAATTGCTCTGTGCTTTGAAAAGGAAGACAGATACAAATAATTTAGTTTATAATTTTTCTAACATTTTCTCTTGTGTTTTTGTTCTGATTTGACTAAGAAATTCCCCTGACACACCTTTTTCTGATGAGAGACACCACCCCCATCACGATTATCTTTGGACAACATGTAACCTTTGAACACTTGCCTTAAGGCATTCCAGTAGGCAGTGGTTAGTTAACATTTAACCAACATAACCCTATTTCTGTTTACAGGTAAGACTTCTTAATATATAAAATAATACAAAGATGCCAAATAAGTCAGAAATAATACCAGCTATTAGGTGAATCTAGGAAGCTGGACATTTTAATATCATTCTATCCCATGACAAATACAAAATCATCATAATTAACATTGCATTTCCCAAAACAGAAACATCTGAAATTATACTAAATGAAAAAAGCCAATCTCAAAAGGTTACATGCTGTATGATTCCATTTCTATAACATCCTCAAAATGACAAAATTATAGAGATGGAGAACAGATTAGTGGTTACCAAGGATTAGGAAGAGGGTGGGAGCAGATGGAAGAGGATACAGACAACTGTGACTACAAGGGAGTAAGAACGGGGATATTTGTGGTAATAAAACAGTTCTGTGTCTTGATTATGGGGTGGTTATACAAATCTACACATGATAAAATTGCATAGAACTTTAGATAAACACATGCATGAAAAAGTGACAAAATCTGAAGAGAAGTTATGGATTGCACTGTGTCTGTGTGCTGCTTTTAATAGTGTAATACAGTTACTAAGATGTTACTATTGGGGGAAACTGGTTGAAGGGTACACAGGACCTCTTTGTACTTATTTTTTAAATTTCCTGTGAATCTACAATTATTTCAAAATAAAGAAACCTTGGCTGAGTGTTCCCTTAATATTTGTTGTTATTTGTTCAATAATTAAACAATAACAAACATCAAAGGCTTAAGCAAAATGGCATGTGAGTATAATTTATAGTTTTCAGGCTGTATCACCTTGGTAGTCAAATAAGGTTGTAACAGCTGACACACACTGACTCTGACCGACTCTGCCCAGTCTGTTGAATTATGAGCCTTTCTTCAAAGTCCTTCCCAACTATTTGAAGAGGCGGCATGTAAGTGTCTCCTACATGCTCACTGACTTCTCAGCAGCTATGAATCACGTCCATTTTTGTCATCCCATGCCTGGCCCTGATGTAATCATCTCCACATGAAGTTCTTAATATGGCCAGTGCCTGGCACAGAGGACTCATGTCTATGCTGAAGGTGCTGTCCCTTGTCACTGTCCTATAGTATAATTTGCCAGCCCATGCCAAAGTTGCATTGGGCTTTCTGGAGCACTTTTCTGAAAAGGGGAGTATTCCTCTCCCTGTTTTTTGTCATACTATATCACCTAGGTTCCAGTGTCTCCCAGAATTTTTAATGAAACAGCCTTTTTTATTTAAATTCACAGAAAATCATCCTTTAAGATTTAGGCAAGGGCGAAATGCCGTCTCTACTAAAAATATAAAAAATTAGCCAGGCGTGGTGGCTCATGCCTGTAGGCCCAGCTACTCAGGAGGCTGAGGTGGGAGGATCACCTGAGCCCAGGAAGTTGAGGCTGCAGTGAGCTGAGATCGTGACACTGCACTCCAGTCTGCCTGACACAGCAAGACTCTGTCTCAAAAAAAAAAAAAAAAAAAAAAAATACAGGCGTGAATCCTAAGGGGCTAAGAAAATCTGAATGATAATCACTACAGTGATCTAAGAATCATCATTGCCCTTTAAAATTGACTTCTTTTTGTCCTTAAAACTGTTGTCCCCCACTCTCTATCCTGAGGATGAATTTCTTAACCTAGAAGTCTCCCAGACCCCACTTAGAAGTAAATCTCTTGGATTGTTGTTATTTTTTTTCTTTACCTTTATTTACTTGCCATTTTTATTTTTTTTCTTTTCACTCTTTTTTTTTTTTCTTTTGAGACAGTCTCACTCTGTCACCCAGGTTGCTGTGCAGTGGAATGATCTCGGCTCACTGCAACCTCTACCTCCCAGGTTCAAGCGATTCTCCTGCCTCAGCCTCCCAAGTAGCTGGGATTACAGGTACACCCCACCACACCCAGCTAATTTTTGTATTTTTGGTAGAAATGGGATTTTGCCATGTTGGCCAGGCTGGTTTCCAACTCCTAACTTATCAGGTGATCTGCCCGCCTCAGCCTCCCAAAGTGCTGGGATTACAGGTGTCAGACACCATGCCCTGCCTGCCCAGCCCAATTTTTAAATGATATAAATTTCTATCAGGATTATAACCATGACACTAAATGTTATAAAAATTCATATTTATTTAAACATGTTTATTTTTTATTTATTTATTTTCTTGAGACAGGGTATCGCTCTGTCACCCAGGCTGGAGTGTAGTGGTGCAATCGTGGCTCACTGCAGCCTCAACCTTCCAGGCTCAGGTGATCCTCCCACCTAAGCCTCCTGAGTAGCGGAAACTGTAGGCATGTTCCACCACCACACCTGGCTAATTTTTGCTGGTGTGTTCTTAGCAACCAGAACAATGCCTACTACATAATAGGCAGCCAATATTTTATTAATTGAACATGTGAAACAGCTTGTGCCTTGCAAAGACAATCTTCCTTTTGTTTCTGAAACTGTTTATTGTATTAATACTAAATTTGTATTTCTGGTAAACTTGCCCTATATTCTTCCTCAGCATTACCAATTCGTTATTTATTAGATCTTCATTCTATTACATATTTTTCTTTAATGTCTTGTGTTTGTTTTTTCTTAATATTTTATATGATTTTCTCAAGTCTATTCTCTCCAATCATAGTTCAGATTTCTGCAGTATTAGTTTGATTCCCTGCTATTTTAACGTGTTTTTAAATAACATAATAATTTTGTTTTCTCCTCTTCTCTTTCATTTGTTCTGCCAGCTTTTTTAAAATGTCATGTTATTGTCTTATCTATGTTTTAAAATCTCTTGTTTAGGGCCGGGTGCAGTGGCTCACGCCTGTAATCCCAGCACTTTGGGAGGCTGAGGCGGGTGGATCACCTGAGGTCAGGAGTTTGAGACCAGCCTCAACATGGAGAAACCCCGTCTCTACTAAAAGCACAAAATTAGCCGGGCGTAGTGGTGCACGCCTGTAATCTCAGCTACTCAGGAGGCTGAGGCAGAATTGTTTGAACCCGGGAGGCGGAGGTTGCGGTGAGCCGAGATCGCGCCATTGCACTCCCGCTTGGGCAACAAGAGCGAAACTCTGTCTCAAAAAAAAAAAATAAATAAAATAAAATAAAATCTCTTGTTTCATGGACTCCATATTTAATTATCCAAAGAGGATAAAGAAGTATTTTGTCTAATGTTTTCTTCTTATCCGTTTTTGTTCCTCTTTAAAAGTGTAATTTTCATGTTTTTACATATTATATTCTTCTACTTCATTTGGGTGTTTTTGTTTTGGTTTGGATTTCTTGTGGGGTTTTTTGTTTTTGTTTTTGTTTTTGGCAAGATCTCTGCTAGAATTTGTTTTGTTTTGTTTGTTGAGTCAGGGTCTGTCTCAAGTCGCCCAGACTAGAGTGCAGTGGTGTGAGCTCGGCCCACTGCAACCTCCACCTCCTGGGTTCAAGTGATTCTCCTGCCTCAGCCTCCCGAGTAGCTGGGATTACAGGTGCACACCACCATGCCTGGCTAATTTTTGTATTTTTAGTAGAGATGGTGTTTCACCATGTTGGCCAGGCTAGTCTCGAACTCCTGACTTCCAGTGATCCGCCTGCCTCGGCCTCTTGAAGTGCTGGGATTACAGGCATGAGCCACCATGCCTGGCCTCTGGTAGAATTTTATTCCCTTGTTTGTATCCGGCAAGAAAAGTGTTTTTGTTTTTCGTTGGGTGTGTGTGTGTGTGTTGTTGTTGTTTTTGTTTTTGTTTTGAATGATGGCAGTACTACTTTGATCTGCAGCTTACTAAAGAATAGTGTGAGTTGAGGGCTCACAAATCTCATCTCAGCTTTTCTGTGCGTTATTGATTTTTTTTGTTTTTGTTTTTAAGTCACTTGTAGGTCTAGATATCAATGGTTTATATTCTTGTTTCATCTTTCAATTACTTGGTGGGGATGGTGAAGTGGGAAGTGACTGTGAAGTGACTCCAATAAGTAGATAGCCATCAAGTAAGGTGTGCTTTCTCTCAGAAACTTCACAAAATTCTTTACATAGTTCTGCTAAATATCCACATTTGGTTTGGTTTGTTTTCCCTGAATTCCTTTAGAATGACTAGGTCCCTGTGATGGCTAATTTTAGGTGTCAACTTGCCTGCTTTAAGAGACAACAAGATAGCTGGTAAGGCATTATTTCTGGGTGTGCTGTGAGGGTGTTTCTGGAAGAGATTGGCATTTGCATCAGTGGACTGAATGAGGAAGATCTGCCCTCACCCAATGTGGGCAGGCATCATCCAATTGGCTGAGGGCCTGGATAGAAAAAAAAGGCAGAGGAAAGGCAAGTTTTCTCTCTTCTGGAGCTGGGACACTGTTCTTTTCCTGCCCTTAGACATAAGAACTCCAAGTTCTCCAGCCTTTGGACTCCAGGACTTGCACCAGCAGCCTTCTAGTTTCTCAGGCCTTTGGATTTGGACTTAGACAGAGCCGCATTACTGGCTTCTTGGGTTCTCCAGCTTGCCGATGGCCTATCATGGAACTTGGCCTCCATAAGTCTCCTCTCATATGTCTCTGCGTGTGTGTGTATCCCATTGGTTCTGTCTCTCTAGAGAACACTGACTAATACAGTCGTCTTCACAGAAGCCTGAATATACTCTATAACATATAATATAAGAGGTTAGACTGGACACAGTGGCTCACGCCTGTAATCCCAACACTTTGGGAGGCCGAAGTGGGCGGATCACTTGAGGTCAGGAGTTCGAGACCAGCCTGGCCAACATGGTGAAACCCATCTCTGCTAAATATACAAAAAGTAGTCGAGCATGGTGGCACACACCTGTAATCTCAGCTACTCAGGAGGCAGAGGCAGAAGAATCACTTGAACCCAGGAGGCAGAGGTTGCAGTGAGCCGAGATTGCACCATTGCACTCCTGCCTGGGCGACAGAGCGAGACTCCGTCTCAAGAAAGAAAAACAAAGAAGAAGAAGAAGAAGAAGAAAGAGAGATTAAAAATAAACGTGTAGGCATGGGCTGATATATATACTTTTGTTTACAAGTTCTACCTATTGAGAGGATCAAGGACCAAACAATGACATCACAGTAACTTTTTTTGTGGGGGCGGGGGTGGGCAGTCTCACTATGTTGCCCAGACTGAACTCAAACTCCCATGCTCAAGTAATTCTCCCACTTCAGTCTCCTGAGTAGCTGGGACTACAGGTGTGCACCACCATGCCCAGCATTGCCCATATCTTAGTTTCTAGACACCATTGGCTGATAAAAAAGGAACCAAGACTCCTCAGAGAAGTTGTTGGTTCCAGGGCTGGATCGGGGAAAATGCAGGATGAGCCTAGAGTATCTTGAGGCTCATTTTGAGGACAGAAAGTAAAAAAGTTACTTGCACGCAAAATGTTAACATTAGGGGAATCTGGACAGTGGTTATTCAGATACACTCTGAACAATTTTTTTTTTTTTGAGACTGAGTTTCGCTCTCGTCACCCAGGCTGGAGTGCAATGGTGTGATCTCAGCTCACTGCAGCCTCTGCCTCCCGGGTTCAAGTGATTCTCCTGCCTCAGCCTCCCCAGTAGCTGGGATTACAGGTGCCTGCCACCACACCCGGCTAATTTTTGTATTTTTAGTTCAAAGTGCTTTTTACCAGTTTTCACTACCACTACAAGCGTTAGCTCATATCCTCAACTGGTATTATCCAACTTTAAAAATTTTGTCAAGCAGTCAGTTTAAAATATCTTACATGCAGCTGGGCGTGGTGGCTCTCACCTGTAATCCCAGCATTTTGGGAGGCCGAGGTGGGCAGATCACCTGAGGCCAGGAGTTTGAGAACAGCCTGGCCAACATGGTGAAACCCCGTCTCTACTAAAAATACAAAAAATTAGCTGGGTGTGGTGGTGGCGCCTGTAATCCCAGCTACTTGGGAGGCTGAGGCAGGGAAAATCGCTTGAACCCAGGAGGCGGAGTTTGCAGTGAGCTGAGACCAGGCCATTGCACCCCAGCCTGGGCAACAGAGCAAGACTCTATCTCAAAAAAAAAAAAAAAGAAAAAATCTTACATGCCCTCATTTTTCATTTCATTTCATTAATGCAATTGAATTTCATTTCACATGTTATTGGCCATTCATTGATAAATCTCCTTCAGTAAAGTACCTGTTCATATATTTTACCCATTTTTTTTCATATTTGACTATACATTCTTTACTTATTGGTTTGCAGGAGCTACACACACACATTTTTTTTTCTGACAATATTTGCAGACAGTTCTTCATCCAGTATGTTGCTTCTCTTTTGCTTTTCTTTATGGTGTCTTCTGATAAACAAAAACTTTTCATTTTAATTTTAAAAGGTAAAATTTATCAATCTTTTTTTATTTATGTTTTGGGCCTTTTGTTTAAGCTTCTATTAAGTATTATACCTTAGTTCTTGTGCAGTAAGACAAGAAACAGAAATAAAATATATATGCTACAGTTTAAATAGTATTTGTCCTCTCTGAAACTCATGTTGAAATTTGATTATCATTGTGGCAGTGTTGGGAGATGGGGACCGTTAGGGGGTGATTAGGTCATTAGGGGGAATTAATGCCATTCTTGTTGTAGCCAATTAATACTCAAGAATCCATTAGTTATCACAAGAACAGGTTGTTATAAAGCAAATTGGGCTTCTTTGGCTCTCTTTTGCTTCCTCTCTTGCCACATAATTCCTTCCCTTTTCTGCCATGCTATAAAGGAGCACAAGGCCCCCACCAGATGCAGCTGTCCAGTCTTTGACTTCCCAGCCTCCAGAACTGCAAGCTAAATAAATCTCTTTTCTTTATAAATTATCCAGTCTCAGGTATTCAGTTATAGCAACAGAAAACCTGCTAAAACAATATGAATATTGGAAAGGAAAAATAAGTTGCCATTATTTGCAGCTGATATGATTATCTATGTAGAAAATTCAAAAGTATATCAAAAGTTTTAAAATTAATGCAAAAGAAAAAAATTAATGAGAGAGTTTAATAAGAAGTCTGGGTATAAGATTAACATATGAAAATTAGTTGCATTTCTATATACCACAAAAACAATTAGATAATATTATTTAAAAATGGCTAGCCAGGCACGGTGGCTCACACCTGTAATTCCACACTTTGGGAGGCCGAGGCGGGTGGATCACCTGAGGTCGGGAGTTCGAGACCAGCATGACCAACATGGAGAAACCCCCATCTCTACTAAAAATACAAAATTAGCCGGGTGTGGTGTCACATACCTGTAGTCCCAGCTACTCGGGAGGCTGAGGCAGGAGAATTGCTTAAACTGGGAAGGCGGAGGTTGCGGTGAGCCGAGATGACACCATTGCACAGCAAAAATAATAATAATAATGAAAATAATACCACTGCCACAGAGCTATATACTTTAAAATGGTTAAAATGGTAAACTTAAATGAGCTAAGCATGGTGGCACACACATGTAGTCCCACCAGCTACTCCTTGGGAGGCTGAGGCAGAAGGATTACTTGAGCCCAAAGAGTTCCAGGTGACAGCGAGTTGTGATTGTGTGCCATTGTACTTCAGCCTGAGAGACAGAGTAAGACCCTCATCTCTAAAAAAAAAAAAAAAAAAAAAAAAAAAAAGGAAAAAAAATTTTTTTTTTTTGAGATCAGAGTCTTACTCTGTCACCCAGGCTGGAGTGCAGTGGAGTGATCTCAGCTCACTGCAGCCTCCACCTCCTGGGTTCAGGTGATTCTTGTGCCTCAGCCTCCTCAGTAGCTGGGACCGCAGGAGCACACCACCATGCCCAGCTAATTTTTGTATTTTTTTTTTCAGTAGAGTTGGGGTTTTACCATTTGGCCAGGCTGGTTTTGAACTCCAGACCTCAAGCGATCCACCCACATTGGCCTCCCAGAATGTTGGGATTACAGGCGTAAGCCACAACACCTGGCCAAAAAAAAGTAAATTTAAATATAAAAATTAAAAATAAATGACTTCTAGAATAGCTCAGACAGTCTTAAAGAATAATAATGTGGGGACTAGCTCTATCTAATATTAAAATTTGTATATCATGAAGTCAAATAATCAAGAAAAAATGTAGTATTGCCATAGGAATAGACAAATTTTCTTTTTTTTTTTCTTTTTGAGACAGAGTCTCGCTCTGTTGCCCAGGCTGGAGTACAGTGGCATGATCTCGGCTCACTGTAACCTCCACCTCCCAGGTTCAAGCAATTCTCCCTGCCTCAGCCTCCCAAGTAGCTGGGAGTATAGGTGCCCGCCATCATGCCCAGCTAATTTTTGAGACGGGGTTTCGCCATGTTAGCCAGGCTGGTCTTGAACTCCTGACCTCAGGTAATCCACCCTTTTTGGCCTCCCAAAGTGCTGGGATTACAGGCGTGAGGAGATCTTGGCAAATATAAAAACTTTCTTTTCTTTTTTCTTTTTTTTCCTTTTTTCTGAAACGAAGTCTTGCTCTGTGGCCCAGGCCGGAGTGCAGTGGCGTGATCTCAGCTTGCTGCAACCTTTGTCTCCTGGGTTCAAGCGATTCTCCTGCCTCAGCCTCCCGAGTAGCTGGGACAAAGGTGCGTGCCACCATGCCCAGCTAATTTTTGTATTTTTAGTAGAGGTGGCATTTCTCCATGTTGGCCAGGTGAGTCTCGAACTCCTGACCTCAGGTGATCCACCTGCCTCAGCCTCCCAAGGTGCTGGGATTACAGGCATGAGCCACCACACCTGGCCGGCAAATATAAAAACTTGATGTAGGACACAGGAGGCATTTAGGGGAAAAAAATGGAAGTTATTTTCTTCTTCATTCCAAATACAGGTACCAACCTCATACCCATATACAATGAGCAGCTCCAGATGACTTACAAATTAAAGGGAAAACTTTTAAGGTTTTAGATGGTTTAGGAGACTATATGACTTTAGGATATAAAAGGTGTTCTTAAACACAATTTCAATTTAAGGTTAGAGACATACACACTTTAGCAATTCTTTGCTTGTATGTTTGTTTTTTCCTGAGACAGAGTCTCTTGATCTGTCACCCAGGCTGGAGCGCAGTGGCGCTTTCTCAACTCACTTTGCCTCCCAGGTTCAAGTGATTCTCCTGCCTCAGCCTCCTGAGTAGCTGGGACTACAGGTGCGTGCCACCACACCCAGTTAATTTTTGTATTTTTAGTAGAGATGGAGTTTCGCCATGTTGGCCAGGCTGGTCTTGAACTCCTGACCTCAGGTGATCTGCTCACCTCACCCTTCCAAAGTGCTGGGATTACAGGCCACTTTAGCAATTATAATCCTAGATGTATATAACCTAGAGCACCAGATGTATATAACCTTGTGCACCAGAAGATGTATGAAAAAATATTCATAGCATCACTGGTTGTAATGCAATATATAAATAGCCTAATGCTATATATAAATAACCTAATTTATCTATTTTATTGCAATATATAAATAACCTAAAAGCCTATCAACAAGAGAAATGGGCAAATAAATTGTGGCATATTCACACAATGGAATACTATATCACAGTGAAAATGAATAAAATACCATAGGCAATGATATATAGAAATCAAAACAAAATATTGAATTAAAACTATATGTACTGGGATACCTTTTTTTTTTTTTTTTTGAGACAGGGTCTCACTCTGTCACCCAGGCTGGAGTGCAGTGGTATGATCATGGCTAACTGCAGCCTTGACCTCCCTGGGCTCAGATGATCCTCCCACCTCAGCCTCCCCAGTAGCTGGGACTACAGGCATGTGCCACCACGCCTGGCTAATATTTGTATTTTTTTGTGGAAACAGGGTTCTGCCGTGTTGCCAAGGCTGGTCTCGAACTCTTGGGCTCAAGTGATCCACCTGTCTTGGCCTCCCAAAGTGCTGAGATTACAGGTGTGAGCTACTGTACCATTTTTATAATGTTAATAATCAAGCACAACTAGGCAAAACTCATCAATATATTGTGTGTGTATGTGTATCTATACATAAATACATATACATATGTATAGACACACAATTTTATAAAACATGACAAGGGATTAATACAAAACTCAGCATAGTGGTTACTTCAGGGGAGGAGGCAGGGAGATGGAATCAAGAGAAGCACAGGATTTCATCATCTCTAGTCCTTTAGCTGGTTGTTGGTTTCACAGGTGTTTACTATTCTGCCTCATAATTTATATATATTACACATATTTTGAATGTATCAAGTATTATGCACACACATATCCACAAAATTTAGCCTATTTTTGTCAGCACTGACGTAGGTTCCAAGACCTCATGCCTCAGAATAGGGTTTCTCAACCTCAGCACCACTGACATTTTTAATTCTTTGTCATGGAGGGGAGGGACTTCCCAGTGAATTATTGGATGTTTAGTAGACAGTGTATTATTGCATATTTAGACTCTATTCACTAGATGCTAGTACTGTTAGAGTAGGTAGTTAGGCAGGCATGAGCAGGGCAGGAGACGGTGTCCCGTCCAAGGAATGTCGGGCGGCCATCAGATGGTCAGGCAGTTGGTAAATTATTTCTCTAAAATGATAATTGGCCGCAGCCAGCGCCAGGAAAAGGTAGTTTCCCAAAAGACAGAAAACACCTAAAACTGGTGATCAGCAGCTTCCCGATTAGATATCTGGAGTTGGGCCAGTGGCCTCGAGCATGTGCACTAAGAGACAAAATGGCGGAGCTTAACTGGTATATGATGACCTTTCTCTACCAACAATGAACTGGTAAGGGAAAAAAATGCCTCAGATGAGCATGTGCACAAGTTCGGTAAACACACAGAGCATGTGGCCCCTCCCAAGTGTTAGCAAGCCACTGCGCATGCGCACAGCCCACTCCGAAGGAAGAATCGGGAGAGCGGAGGCAACCGCCCGGAAGCATCACAAGTTATAAAACCCCAAGTCAAAGATCAAATCATACACCTGAATCTCTCAAGTACCCGGCTTGGCCCTCTTCCAAGTGTACTTTACTTCGTTTCATTCCTGCTCTAAAACTTGCCTCCGTCTCTCCCTATGCCTTATGCCCTTCTTTCAAATCCTTTTTTCTGAGGAGGCAAGAATTAAGTTGCTGCAGATCCGCTAACAATACCACCCCCCCTCCCAGATGTGACAACTAAAAAGGTCTCCAGACATTCGCAAACATCTCCAGGGCAGCAAACTCCACTCACGGGTTGAGAATATTGCCTTAGGGGATTTCCCTTATTTTCTTCCAAATTCATTCAATCATTTAAAATGGTGTTGTGGTATAAGAAATATATTTAGTCTTTGTCCCTGGTTCCTGTCACGGACTTCCTAAAACCCTGGGAATTTCCTGAAGGAGAGGAGTGTCTTTTGTTATTTATCATGAGTCTCTTTCATAACCTCTGGGTTTATGCTAATAGGGTGATTTAGGGTAGATCCTCTAGGTAGCCTCAGTATGGTGTCAGTAGGAAAGGAGGGGGCTGGATATTAAGCTCTATAAAAACTCTTGAACAATCAGATTTGATGAGCTTCCGGGTTGCTAGACATATGGAGGCGCTGGGAGGTTGGCATGCCCAGAGAGGGTATGGAAGTTCTGTACCACCACTCCTCATATCTTGCCCTATGCATCTCTTCCATCCGAGTGTTCCTGAGTTGTGTTCGTATAATAAACTGGTAAATGTAAGTAAAGTGTTTTCCTGAATTCTGTGAGCCATTCCAGCAAACTATCTAACCTGAAGAGGGAATCACAGGAACCCCCCAATTATTATAACCAGTTGGTCAGAAGCATGGGGACTTGCGATCGGTGTCTCAAACAGGGCTGTGTTATGGGACTTGAACCCTTAACCTGTGGAATTTGACACTATCTCTACATATAGTGTGCAATTTACCAGGCGCGGTGGCTCACACTAGTAATCCCAGCACTTTGGGTGGCTGAGGCGGGTGGATCACCTGAGGTCAGGAGTTCAGGACCAGCCTGGCCAACATGGTGAAACCCTGTCTCTACCAAAAATACAACAATTAGTCAGGTGTGGTGGCAGGCGGGGCGCCTGTAATCCCAGCTACTCGGCAGGCTGAGGCACGAGAATCGCTTGAATCTGGGAGATGAAGGTTGCGGTGAACCGAGATTGCGCCACTGCACTCCAGCCTGGGTGACAGAGTGAGACTCTGTCTCAAAAAAAAAAAAAAAAAAAAAAAAAAGAATTCAGTTGAATTACAGGACACCCAGTTGGAAATTGCCTGTTGGAGAATTGTTTGTCTGTGGGGAAAAACCCCCACACATCTGGTCACAGAAGTGGTCTGTGTTTTATGAAAGTGTAGAGAATATGAGTGTGTTTTCCTCAGATGGTTTTTTTTTTAAATTTATGTACCATTTAAAGATTTTTAAATTTTTAAATTGAAGACCATTATTCTAAGTGAAATAACTCAGGAGTGGAAATCCAAACATCCTATGTTCTTACTCATAAGTGGGAGCTAAGCTATGAGGATGCAAAAGCATAAGAATGATACAATGGACTTTGGGGACTCAGAGGGTAAAGGGTGGAATGGGGGTGAGGGATAAAAGACTACACATTGGGTTCAGTGTACACTGCTCGGATAATGGGTGCCTCAAAATCTCACAAATCACCACTAAAGAACTTATTCATGTACAAAAATAAGTAAATAAGAAAAAAGATTTTAAAATTTTTAAAATAAACTTTATTTTTTATAGCAATTTTAGATTTATGGAAACATTGTGATAGTACAGAGCATTCTTCCACGCCCAGTACCCAATTTTTGCTATTAACATCTTAACATTAGTAGAGTACATTTGTTAATAAACCAATACTGATATGTCGTTGAGAAGAGTGGAAATATTTTAATAAAAATCATTAATTGTTACAAAATTTCCGGGGAAGATGGTAGTCTAGGAAAATAAAAAATGAACCAGAACCAGAAAAGAAATTTCTCTTCTTTTCTTAATATGTTGTTGTTAATTCTCTCTCACACTCTGTCTCTCTCTCTCTTTTGGCATAAACAACAAACATTATCTCACACTGTCTTTAGGTCAGAAGCTCAGAAATATCTCAGAGTCTCTCATGAGGTTGCACTCAAATAATTCTTCTTTCCTTTTTTTTCTTTTTTCCTAAGACGAAGTCTCACTCTGTTGCCCAGGCTGGAGTGCAGTGGCACAATCTCAGCTCACTGCAACCTCCGCCTCCTTGGTTCAAGTGATTCTCCTGCCCCAGCCTCCCGAGTAGTTGGGATTACAGGCACCCGCCACCACGCCCAGCTAATTTTTGTATTTTTAGTACCATGTTGGCCAGCCTGGTCTAGAACTCCTGACCTCAAGTGATCTACCTGCCTCAGCCTCCCAAAGTGCTGGGATTACAGGCATGAGCCACCGTGCCTGGCCCAAGTAATTCTTAATTTAGTTATTAATTAAAGTCCATACTTTATTAAGATTGGATTCATTTTTACCTAGTATTATATTTCTGTTCCAGGATCCCCTCCAAGATACCATATTACATTAAGCTATCATGTCCTCTTGGCTGTGACAGTTTCTCACTTGCCTCGTTTGTGATGACCTTCACAGTTTTAAGGCGTACTGCTCAAGTATTTTATGGAATGTCCTTCAAGTGGAACTTGTTTTTCTCATGATTAGACCAGGGTTATATGTTTTTGGGAGAAAGACTACAGAGATAAAGTGCCATTGACGTCATATCAAGGGTCCTATTGTTAACATGACTCATGATGGTTAATGTTGACCTTGATCATCTGACTGAGGTAGTCTGTCAATTTTCTTCACTCTAAAGTTATCTTTCCTTGCCTTTCCATATTGTACTCTTTGGAAAGAAGTCATTATGCACAGCCCACACTTAAGGAATGGGGAGCTATGCTCTACTTCCTTGAGTAAGCAGTGTTTACATAAATTATTTAGAATTCTTCTGTACAGATGATTGGTCATTCTCCCTCATTTACTTATATGTTCAATCATTTAATTATATCAGTATGGACTCATGAATATTTATTTATTTTATACTTTGATTATAATTCAATATCATTTCATTTTGTTGCCCAAATTTTTCCAGCTTTGGCCATTGGGAGCTCTTACAGTTGACCTATGTGCTCCTTTGACATACCCCTCATCAATGTGGGGGTTTTTTGGTTTTGTTTTTTGAGCACTTTCTTACTTTATGGCACAACAAGATGCTCCAGGCTCATCATGTACATTTACTACCTCAGTCCTAGAATCAGCCATTTCTCAAGGAACTCTAGTTCCTTTTTTTTTTTTCCCCCAAGACAGAGTCTCACTCTGTTATCCCACAGCCTCAACCTCCAAGGCTCAAGTGATCCTCTTGTCTCAGCCTCCTGAGTAGCTGGGACTACAGGCAGCTGCCACCACTCCCAGCTAGTTTTTAAATATTTTTTTGTAGAGAAAGGGTCTCACCATGTTGCCCAGGCTGGTCTCCAACTCCTGGGGCTCAAGCAATACTCCCACCTGGACTTCCCAAAGTGCTGAGATCACAGATGTGCCACTGTACCCTGCCTGGTTCCTTTTATTAAAGTACAGTATTTGAAAGTAAAATCTAGGTACTAGGAGTTCTCATTGTTACTGGAATTAAGGTTTTACAGTTTTTTAAATTTTTTTTTAGTTTGAGAGTGTCAGGAGGTCTGGCCTGTCATAGGATTTTAATCTTCTAGTGCTTATTTACTCTGCTCAGTTTACTTTGGTCAACGGTTGCAGGTCTGCCTTGCAGGTCACTGTTAACCCTTCAGCCTCCCTTCACTTCCCAATTTTCAGTCATGGGTCAGCAAACTGAGTCCTGAAAATAAATAAAAATGCAAGATACATCTTCTCTTCTTCAGTCCTACCTTCCTTAACGTCTGAAAATGAACCCCAGGGTGTATTTCTTAATTTTTCCGTGGTGCACCTAGGTCCCAGTTCTTATTTCTTCACATTTCAAATTGCTTCTGGGCCTTCAGGAACATCTCGTTTACTCACTAAAAATGGCACGGAGTGACTATTTGGAGGAAATGTTTGTCAAATCTCACCGCTTTCCTTGATTTGGGTACAAATTGAAGTTATTCTTCACAGTCTGTAATGGGTCATGTCAGTTGCATAGTTTGACTATAGTTGAAATTTCTTTTTTGGTTCTGGTTCATTTTTTTGTGTATTTTCCTAGACTGCCATCTTCCTTTGAAGTTAAGTACCAATTAATGACTTTCTTTTTTTTCTTTTTTTTTTTGAGACAGAGTCTTCTGCTCTTTCCCAGGCTGGAGTGCAGTGGTGTGATCTCGGCTCACTGCAATGTCCACCTCCCGGGTTCAAGCGATTCTCCTGCTTCAGCCTCCTGAGTAGCTGGGATTACAGGTGCCTGCCACCACGCCTGGTTA
This sequence comes from Homo sapiens, assembly GCF_000001405.40. NCBI lineage: Eukaryota > Metazoa > Chordata > Mammalia > Primates > Hominidae > Homo > Homo sapiens. The sequence continues at coordinate 112,353,067 of NC_000009.12, forward strand.
ATTTTTGTATTTTTAGTGGAGACAGGGTTTCACCATGTTGGCCAGGCTGGTCTCAAACTCCTGACCTCGAGTGATCCACCCACCTTGGCTTCCCAAAGTGCTGGGACTACAGGCGTGAGCCACGGCGCCCAGCTGATGACTTTCATTAAAATATTTTCACTCTTCTCAAATAGCCATGGATTCTCTCCTTTCACCAGCCCGTAACATGATTCTCCCCTAACTTACCTAGTCCAAACCAGTTCACTAGCTTGTGAGTTACCCTAATCTTTTCAAAGAAGTGAAGGTGAAAGAGACAGCTGTGAGTAAGGTAGCAGAGAAAAAGGGACAACTCTCTTTCTTTTCCTTTTTTTTGTAGTTTTTGTAGAGGCGGGGTTTCACCATGTTGGCCAGGCTTGTCTCAAACTCGTGACCTCAGGTGATCCACCCACCTCGGCCTCCCAAAGTGCTGGGATTACAGGTGTGAGCCACCGCGCCTGGCCTCTTTTCCTTTTTTTCCCCTCTTTTCCACTTAACCTGTTATGTATAACTCTTGCTCCCTGACCTGAAGTTAGCCTTCTGTGCTAATAGAGTTGATTTACTTTTCCTGTCTTGGCATTCTATTTGTCTACAGATATTTGAAGTAAATAAATATAATATAGATGCTCTTTGGGAGGCTGAGGCGGGCTGATCACCCGAGGTCAGGAGTTGGAGACCAGCCTGGCCAACATGGTGAAACCCCATCTCTGCCAAAAATACAAAAAAATTAGCCAGGCGTGGTGGCTGGCGCCTGTAATCCCAGCTAATCGGAAGGCTGAGGCAGGAGAATCACTTGAACCCAGGAGGTAGAGGTTTTAGTGAGCCAAGATCATGCCACTGCACTCCAGCCTGGGTGACAGAACAAGACTCTGTCATTAAAAAAAAAATATATATAGATGCTTATAATATTGTAATTGCTATTATAATGGACAAAATAGTTCCTTTTCGGCTATCTGAGACCACATCACTAATAGGAACCATACATTTTATTTTACAACTACAACAAAGCCTTCATTTTGGCTACAAATTCAAACCTCTCCTCTAAATCTTTTGACATATCTGTTCAACAAGGAGCCAGATAGATTGGTTAGGGTATATCTGTTTTATGTTTCCTGATTTGTCTTTAGTGGAAATAATAGCCCTGTGCAAAAAGCAAACCACAGCCCACAAGGTCAGTGGTAAAGCTCTTGGGTTACCAAACAACTGGGTGAAGCTGTTGTTCTCCCGTATCAATATGGTTCTGAAAAATATTTCACTGCAGATGATCCCACAGGGCACTGGCAAATGTTCAGCCTTGAACAGGCAAACAAGCAAAAAGTCAGTAGCAGAAAAACAAAACAAAACAACAAAATACAGCCTGGAAAGCTGCTCTGTGAAGAATATGTTATTTATGTAACTGGAAAAGCAAACCTCCTCTCCATACCACCCCCCTGGGGGTGGAGGATTACTTGTATCAGAGGATAATAAGTCCTCATATTGCCTCTGTTCTGGAGCAGTGGGAGTATGAGACCTTAATCAAGAATTTAATTTAGTAGAGGGTAGTAGGAGGATGACACCTACAAAAATTTAATTTGGCACAGAATAAATACATGGGGTATTTCCAAAGCTTGATCTTGGTGTAGCAAAGCAGTAACAAGAAAGAGAGATGGATAGCTCAATTTGGGGGCCTGATTTTTAAGCTAATTTCAAACATCTTTTTATTTTTTTTAAATGCTTGGTTAGGCACAATCTGAAAACTAGAAGATAAAAAAGAGCTGACATTGTTCTGCAAAATAAAATGCTATCTTGATAGTGAGCAGGGGTAAAGTTACATTGATTATAGGAGTCAAATGTTTCTCTTTCTCAGCGTGGAAAACGTACATGTACTCACAGTGTAATACCGTTTCTCAGAATTAATGCCTGTCTTTGGGAGATGTGGGTGTGTTTAACATAATAGTTATTTACTGGGCACCAGGAGGAATTAGGTGGAAATATCTCCAAGGGAACTGAACTTGGACTACCCACACCCACCGTGGATTTTCTTGCTAGAGCCATATTTTAAATCAAATGAATAATTCAGACCTGAGAAAATGCTTGGCTTGGGAAAAGAGGATGGATCCTGGTATGAGACCAACCCCTGTGAGTGGGGCCTGGAATCTACTGAAAGGAGGAGGGAGATATTAAAGGAAATGTTGAAGAAGGAAATTTGAACAACATCAATGCTCTGAGAAAGAAATGCAGATGTGAAGACAAGGGGCAATAGTAGGGATCCAGGTGTGCTCAAGGCCTTTGCGATGGTTTATATTCTTGTGATAATTTTATCTTCAGACTGAGTATCATTTAAGAGTTAGGTCCAGCTGCATACAACAGAAAACTCAGTAACAAGATAAACTAGATACAAATGTATTTCTCATGCAAAGGAAGTTCAGAAGTAGTGGTTTCAGGGCTGATATGACACTCCATTTCATGTTCATCAAAGACCCGTCTTCTTTTGTTTCCATTACATAAGCATATGGCTTTCATCATTCTTAAGATTACAAAATGGCTAAGAACTCTTTTTCTTTTTTTTTTTTTTTTTTTTGTGGAGGGTGGGTGTTGGGGAGTTGCCCAAGCTGGAGTGCAGTGGCGTGATCACAGCTCACTGCAGGCTTGACCTCCTGGGTTCAAGCAATCCTCAGCCTCCTGAGTAGTTGTGATTACAGGCATGCGCCACCGCGCCTGGCTAATTTTTGTATTTTTTTGTAGAGACAGGGTTTCGCGTTGGCCAGGCAGTCTCAAACTCCTGGACTCAAGCCATCTATCCGGCTTGGGCTCACAAAGTGCTGGGAATACAGGCAGGAGCCACCACACCCCACCTGGAAATAAAAGTTTCTTTCTTTTCTTTTCTTTCTTTCTTTCTCTTTCTCTTTCTCCTTCCTTCCTTCTTTCTTTCTCTTTCTTTTCTTTCCTTCCTTCTTTCCTTCTTCTTTTCCTTCTTCCTTTCTTCCTCCCTCCCTTTCTCTCTCTCTCTCTCTTAGATGGATTCTCCTGCCTCAGCCTCCCAAGTAGCTGGGATTACAGGCGCACACCACCACACCAAGCTAATTTTTTGTATTTTTAGTAGAAACAGGATTTCACCATGTCGACCAGGCCAGTCTAGAACTCCTAACCTCAGGTGATCCACCCGCCTCGGCGTCCCAAAGTACTGAGATTACAGGTGTGAGCCACAGTACCGGACTGGAAACTCTTTAAAGCAGCTTTCCCAGAAGTCCTTCCCAGCATCTTCCACATACGTCTCATAAGCCGTAATTTGGTCATGTGGCCATCCCTGGCTGTAAAAGTGGCTGGGAGGTGCAGTGTTTTTGCTGGTTATATTGTCACCTCTAAAAATAATGTTGGTAAGAAGTAGTGGGTAAGCCACTAGCAGTCTGTGTGACATAGCAGTTGTCATATAGTTAAGATTTTTTTCTCTTATGCAATAATTCCACAACTCTTTGGTGAAGAGTTGTGTGGGGCTGGTGTGGTACATAAAGCAACAGAGCAAAAAAAAAAAATGGTGAAATACAGCTTGATCCATGTAGTCACTCCGCTGCTTGTGCTCATATAAGGGAGCAATTGTCTACTGAGGGAATTGTTTTCTAGAATTCCAGGTATCTAGCTCCAAGTTGAGGAAAACCCACAGTGTACTTTGGAGCAGTGGGATTGTCAGAGATATAAGGGAAAGACTCAAGAGGCTTTTGAGACAATTGCGTGTGCGCACACACACACACACACACACACACACAATTTGGCCCCAACCATTTCATTTCAGAGCAGGTGTATATTCATTTCCCTCTTTTTTTTTTTTTTTTTTTTTTGAGACAGAGTTTCACTCTTGTTGCCCAGGCTGGAGTGCAATGGCGTGATCTCAACTCACTGCAACCTCCACCTCCCAGGTTCAAGCGATTCTCCTGCCTCAGTCTCCCGAGTAACTGGGATTATAGGCACCCGCCACCACACCCGGCTAATTTTTTTGTATTTTTAGTAGAGACGGGGTTTCACCATGTTGGTCAGGCTGGTCTCGAACTCCTGATCTCAGGTGATCCGCCCACCTCAGCCTCCCAAAGTGTTGAGATTACAGGCATGAGCCACCGCACCCGGCCTCCCTCTACCTTTTAATACTTCATACTAAGACGTGGAAATTCTCTTGCATAACCCAGCAGAGTTGTCAAATCAGGAAATTCATTACTGATACAATACTTTAATCTCTACTGCATATTCCAATTTGTTAATTTCCAGTAGTGTTCTTTTTGTGTTGTTGTTGTTGTTGTTTTGTTTGTTTGTTTTTTCTGAGCAGGGTCTTGCTCTGTCATCCAGGCTGGTGTGCAGTGGTGCAATCACAGCTCACTGCAGCCTCGACCTTCCTGGGCTCAGTTGATCCTCTTACCTCAGCCTCCTGAATAGCTGAGACTACGCGCAGGCAGCCATGCTTACTAATTTTTGTATTTTTTATAGAGACAGGGTTTTATCATGTTGCCCAGGCCGGTCTTAAACTCCTGGGTTCAAGCAATCTGCTAGACTCAGCTTCCCAAAGTGTTGGGATTACAGGTGTGAACCACTGCACCCAGCCTGCCAATAGTGTTCTTTATAGCAATTTTTTTTTTCTATACAGGAACCAGTTCAGGATTATGTGTTGCGTTGAATTGTCATTTCTTCTTTATTGCAGCTTCTTAGACTTTCTTTCTATTTTTTTATGACATCGACATTTTTGACTTCTTATTCACCTTGGAGAAGGTGTAAACAACTGGAGCAATTTTGCCTCCAGAGGACATTTGGCAATTTCCAGAGACATTTTTGGTTGACAAAACTGGAAGAGTTGGAGATAGATGGGGTGATGGTTGCACAACAATGTAAATGTACTTAATGCCGTTGAACTGTACACTTCAATATAGTTAAAATGGTAAATTTTATGTTAGGTATGTTTTACAAAAATAAACAAAAAAATTTGGCCAGGCGCGGTGGCTCATGCCTGTAATCCCAGCATTTTAGAAGGCCAAGGCAGGTGGATCATCTGAGGTCGGGAGTTCAAGACCAGGCTGGCCAACGTGATGATACCCTGTCTCTACTAAAAAAAATAAAAAATTAGCTGGGCGTGGTGGCAGGTGCCTTTAATCCCAACTACCCAGGAGGCTGAGGCAGGAGAATTGCTTGAACGTGGGAGGCAGAGGTTGCAGTGAGTAGATACCATGCCACTGTCCTCTAACCTGGGAGACAGTGAGACTCTGTCTCAAAAAAACAAAAACAAACTGGAAGGAGGGTGCCACTGATGCTACTGGCATGTAGTGGGTACAGACCAAGAATGCTGCTAAACATACTCTAATGCACATGACAGCCTCCCACAAAAAATGATTATCCAACCCAAAATGTCAATAGTGCCACGGCTGAGAAATCCTGGTATGAATTATTAGCATAACCTTGCTAAAGGGTATTAAGTGTGTATATCCTCTGAGCAAACAGTCCCAGTTCTAGAAATGTATTCTATGGAGATATGACTAGTGAGCAATGATGTATACACAAAGGCTTTTTATGGCAAATACCATTCATAATAAAGACAAATTTTAAAACCACTTAAATGTCTATCATAACAGCCAGGAAAGTTGGCATGAACCTGTAGTCCCAGCTACTCACTTGAGGCCAAGAGTTCAAGTCCAGCCTGAACATCATAGCAAGACCTCATCTCCAGAAAAAAATGTCAATCACAAATGAGAATGGTAAAATCAATTTGGAGTACATTCACAAAAAGGAAAATGATGCATCTTCTTTTTGGGGGGCACTGGAGCAGGGACAGAGTCTTGCTCTGTTACCCAGGCTGCAGTACAGTGGCACAATCACTATAGCCTCGACCTCCTGGGCTCAAGCGATCCTCCCACCTCAATCTCCTGAGTATATGGGACCACAGGCATGTGCCACTATGCCTAGCTAAAATTTTTATAATTTTTTGTAGAGACAGTCTCCCAATATTGCCCAGGCTGGTCTCAAACGCCAGGACTCAGGGAATCTCCCATCTTAGCCTCTCAAAGTGCTGGGATTACAGGTGTGCGCCACTGCACCTGACCGCATCTACTTTTAAGAAAAGCTTTAGGCTGGGCGCGGTGGCTCATGCCTTAATCCCAGCACTTTGGGAGGCCGAGGTGAGCGGATCACCTGAGGTCAGGAGTTTGAGACCAGCCTGGCCAACGTGGTGAAACCCCATCTTTACTAAAAAATAGAAAAAAAAAATTAGCCGGGTATGATGGCGGGAACCTGCAGTCCCAGATACTTGGGAGGCTGAGGCAGAGAATAGCTTAACCCCAGGAGGCAGAGGTTGCAGTGAGCTGAGATCGCGCCACTGCACTCCAGCCTGAGCGACAGAGCAAGACTCTGTCTCAAAAAGAAAAAAAAGTTTTAGATGTAAACGTGGAAAGATGTTTATAATATACTAGGTAAGCCAAAGACAGGTTTCAGGCTGGGCACGGTGGCTCACACCTGTAATCCCAGCACTTTGGGAGGCCTAGGCAGGTGGATCACCTGAGGTCGGGAGTTCAAGACGAGCCTGGCCAACATGTTGAAACCCCGTCTCTACAAAAATTCAAAAATTAGCTGGGCATGGTGGCAGGTGCCTGTAATCCCAGCTACTCTAGAGGCTGAGGCAGAAGAATCACTTGAACCCGGGAGGCGGAGGTTGCCGGGAGGCGGAGGTTGCCGTGAGCCGAGATCGTGCCATTGCACTCAAGCCTGGGTGACAGGGCGAGACTCCATCTCAAAAAATAAAAACAAAACACCAAAAAAAAAACAAGTTTCAAAACAATACAATATACACATAATCTCACCATGCTTAAAAACTATAAAAATTAATGTAAAGATTTCAAAGTCTTAGACACATGCCAAATGTTAACATGATTATCTCTGAAGGGTAGTATTAAAGAGGAACTTTCAGTTTCTCTAGCTTGTTGGAATCATGAATCAGAAATATATAGACATTAAAATGCAATAATCAGGTTAATATCCAACAGTTACTAATTAAATAATGACTGGCAATAATTCATGGAGCAAGAAAAGGCACAGCTCGGAGTTCTACGCAGAAGGCTTGGTACATTATCAGAAGCAACTACCACCCCTAAAACCCAAAGGAATTTTTTTTTCCAAGACAGGGTCTTGCTCTGTTGCCCAGGCTGGAGTGCAGTGATGCACTTACAGCTCACTGGAGCCTAAAACTCCTGGGCTCAAGCAGTGCTCCCACCTCAGCCTTCTAAGGACCTGGGACTACAAGCATGCACCACCACACCTGGCTTAATTTTTAAATTTTTTTTTGTAGAATCAGGGTGTCACTGTTGCCCAGGCTGGTCTCATACTCCTGGGCTCAAGTGATCCTCCCACCTTGGCTTCCTAAAGTGTTACGATTACAGGCATGAGGTACAGTTTCTGGCTCACAAGGATTTCTCAGGTGATTCTGAGACAGGGTGAGCTGTCTTGTGGGTAAAGGAAATGGAAATTTTTAAGAGATGTGGGACTCTCTCAAAGCCATTGAAATCATCTGCTCTGAGTCACATTATATTGTTGTTGGCCTCTGACCATCAATTTGTAACATTATTTTTCACTGGAGAAGCCTAAAACATCTTAAAACTCAAATGGAAAAATTTCAATGGCAAGTTATAATACGACTAACAGTAGGTTACGATCCATTAATGAGTCACCAAACTTATTTAGTAGGTTAGAATCAACTTTTTTTTTTTAACAAGGCAGACAAGATTCAAATAAAATAGAATAAAAACTTTGTACTGGGTCTGAATAAATAATTTATTTCCTTTTGTGGGTTGTGGTCAAGAAATTGGAAGGTTACTAAATTACACACTTTAAAAAATGGATTATTATGCAAGCTCAGGGTTAGGAGAGTCCTTATTTGATAACTTAAGCTTAAAGTTGTTGTCAGTGTCATATCCTTTAATATTTCAATTTGATCAGGCATTTTCAATCTCCTATATACTTGAAAATTACTTTTTAACATTGGAGAATTAAACTTCATAGACTTTATTTATTTATTTATTTTTTGTTTTTTTGAGACAGAGTCTCACTCTGTTGCCCAGGCTGGAGTGCAGTGGTGAGATCTTGGCTTACTGAAACCTCTGCCTCCTGGGTTCAAATGATTCTCTTGCCTCAGCCTCCCAAGTAGCTGGGATTACAGGCCTCCACCACCATACCTGGATAATTTTTTTGTATTTTTAGTAGATTCGGGGTTTCACCATGTTGGTCAGGCTGGTCTTGAACTCCTGACCTCAGGTGATCTGCCCATCTCGGCCTCCCAAAGTGCTGGGATTACAGGTGTAAGCCATGGCACCCAGCCTAAACTTCATAGACTTTAGAAGCCACAAAACAAGGGAAGATAACTTTGTCCATTTTATGGTAATTTTGAAAACGTTAATAATATAAAATGGATTGGAGTATCATATCCTGTTTTAATGATTCAAAGCATTATTTTCATTAAGACATTTAAATTTCTACCTTATTTTCCTTTTTTGAGAGCTATAGAAAACTTTGTTATTTTTGCCTTAACCCAAGTCAATTATTATATCACAATATTGTTAATAAATTAACATTTTGTGGCATTATACAATTTTGAATTTTAAAATAACAGTGCCACCTGGTGGTGACTCTAAACATGTTTTTATTTCTCTTCGGTATACATACCAAAAAGTGGAATTGCTCTTTTGACTGTGGACATTCGGGAACTAGCAAGTGTGTTTAACCTGAGAGACTGCCAAACTGTTTTTCAAAGCTACTGAACCATTTTATACTTCCACCAGTAACGTATGAGGGTTCTAATTTCTCCACATCCCATCCGACACTTGTTACTTTCCTTTTTTTTATTATAGTCAACCTAGTGGGTGTACAGTGGAATCTCATTGTGGTTTTGATTTGCATTTCCCTAAGTAATGCTATTGAGCATCTTTTCATGTGCTTGTTGCCATTAGTATATCTTCTTTAGAAAATTATCTATTTGGGGACAGGCATTGTGGCTCACACCTGTAATCCCAGCACTTTGGGAGGCTGAGGCAGGAGGATTGCTTGAGTTCAGGAGTTTGAGACCAGCCTAAGCAACATGGCATGACCCTGTCTCTACAAAAAGTATGAGTCTGTAGTCTCAGCTACTCAGGAGGCTGAGAGGGGAGGATAACTGAGAGGGAGAGGTTGAGGCTGCAGTGAGCCATGGTTGCACCTGAGCAACAAAGTAAGACCCTGTCTAGCAAAAGGAAAAGAAAAAATATCTATTCAAATCGTTGCCCATTTTTTAGTTGGGTTGTTCATTTTTCTGTAGCTGTTGTAAGAATTCTGTGTATATATTGGACACTGGAGCCTTATCAGGTATATGATTTATAAGTATTTTTTCTCATTCTCTAGGTTGTCTTTTCACTTTCTTGATAGTGTCCTGGGATGCACAAATTAATTATTTTAATTCTTATGAAGTTCAATGTATCTTCTTTTTTTTCCCTTCTGTGGCTTGTGCTTTTGGTGTCATATTTAAGAATCCATTGTCAAATCCAAGGTCATGAAGATTTACCCTTATGTTTTCTTTCAAGAGCTTTATAATTTTAGCTCCTACATTTAAGGTCTTTGATCCATTTGGGGTTGATTTTTAGAGCCATCTCTTACTCACCATCATGGCCACCATCAGACCCCTCATGAAGCCCAAGATCATCAAAAAGAGGAGCAAGAAGTTCATTCACCACCAGTCAGAACAATATGTCAAAATTAAGCATAACCGGTGGAAACCCAGAGACAACTGCGTTCATAGAAGATTCAAGGGCCAGATCTTGATGCCCAACATTGGTTATAGAGAAGCAATGAAAACACAAAGCACATGCTGCCCAGCGGCTTCTGGAAGTTTCTGGTACGCATTGTCAAGGACTTGGAAGGGCTGCTGACATGCAGAAAATCTTACTGTCCTGAGATAGCTCACAATGTGTCCTCTGGAACTGCAAAGCCATCATGGAAAGGGCAGCCCAGCTGGCCATCAGAGTCACCAGTCGCAATGCCAGGCAGCACAGCAAAGAAAGGGAATAGACAGCTCATGTGCATGTTTTGTGTTGAAATAAAACCATAAAAACTGTGAAAAATTAATTTTCATATAATTTTTGAGATGGAGTCAGGGGGTGGGTCCAAACTCATTCTTTTATGAATAAGAATATCTAGTTAATACGAATATCTGGGGCTGGGCTTGGTAGCACACGCTTGTGATCTCAGAACTTTGGGAATCTGAGGAGGGCAGATCTCTAGAGCCCAGGAGTTCAAGCCCAGCCTGGGCAACATGGTGAGACCTGTCTCTACAAAAAATACCAGCCTGTAGTCCCAGTTACTCGGGAGGCTGAAGTGGGCCGACTGCATGAGCCCAGGAGGTTGAGGCTGCAGTGAGCCAAGATCCACACACCAATGCACCTCAGCCTGGGCTACAGAGCAAAACTGTCACACACACACACACACACACACACACACACACACACACACACAAAGGCTATTCTTGACCTATTAGTCTTGGTATGCTTGCTGAAAATCAATAGAGCATAAGTGTATCAGTTTATTTATTCTATTAATTGATCTATATGTCTATCCCTATGCCAATACCACATGGTTTTTGCTTTTGTTTTGTAATTATTAGACTTGATTTTTTAGAAGAGTGCTAGATTCACAGAAAAATTGAGCAAAAAGTACTGAGAGTTTCCACATACTCCCTCCTCCACCATTAACAGCCCCAGTTGGTATGGTAAATTTGATATAATCAATAAACCAACATTGACATATCATTATCAACCAAAATCCATAGGGTTCACTCTGTGTTGTACCTTCTGTGAATTTTGACAAATATATAATGACATATCTGTAACATTATGGTATCATACAGAATAGTTTTACTGCCCTAAAAATCTTCTGATCTCTGCCTATTGATCCCTCCCTCCTCACTAACTACCGGCAAACACTGATCCTTTTTACTGTCTCCATAGTTTTGCCTCTTCAGAATGTCATATATTTGGAATCATACAGTGTGTACCCTTTCCAGACTGGCTTCTTTCGCTTAGTAATATGCATTTAACTTTCCTCCATGTCACTGTGGCTTGCTAGGTCAGTTCTTTTTTTTTTTTTTTTTTTTTTTTTTTTTGAGACAGGGTCTCACAGTAGCAAGATCTTTAAAAACAGGCAATAAAAGTTTAATTTGATAAGAGAATTTCAAGAAGACAAAAAAAAAGCCCTAGTTATTTGCAAAGCAGAAGAAAAGCAAAAGAGCATACTAACCTTTTATAAGTATTTTGGTAAAGAAAAGTACCAGGGGGCCAGGCACCATGGCTCATGCCTGTAATCCCAGCACTTTGGGAAACCGAGGTGTGTGGATCATTTGAGCCAGGAGTTCAAGACCAGCTTGGGCAACACAGCAAGACCCTGTCTTTACAAAAACTATAAGCCTGTAGAACCAGCTACTCGTGAGGCTGAGGTGGAAGGATAGCTTGAGCCTAGGCGTCTAAGGCTGCAGTGAGCTATGATCACGCCACTGTACTCTAGCCTGTGCAACAGGGCAAGACCCTGTCTCTATTTTTAAAAAATTAAGAAATTTAAAAAAGAAATATTGTGAGAATTAGGAAAATATGACAGAGACACAAAGTGAGGACACATTATTGGAAAAATGGCACCAATTGACTTGCGTGACACAGGGTTGACAGAAATATTCAATTTGTAAAAAATGCATTATCTGTGAAGTACAATAAAGTGAAGCTCCATAAAACAAGGCATACTTACATACATTACCACTAACTAAGTCACTATGTTGTATATTAGATTTCCAGAACTTACTGACCCTATCTAACAGTTTCAGTACCGTGTAATCTACATATCTCCATTCCTCCACCCCCACCACAACCCAGCCTCTGGCAGCCACCCTTCTATTTGCTGCTTCTACGTGTTCAACATTTTTAGATTCCACACATAAGTGAGATCATGCCTTTCTGTGGCTGGCTTATATCACTTAGCATAATGTCTTCCACGTTCATCCATGTTATCACAAATGACAGGATTTCTTTCTTCTTTAAGGCTTAATAGTATTTCATTGTATATGTCTATCTATCTATCTATGTATCTATATATGTATGTATCTATCTATACATATGTCACATTTTCTTTATCCATTCATCCATTGATGGACACTGATATGGTTTGGCTCTGTGATCCCAGGCAAATCTCATCTTGTAGCTCCCATAATTCCCATGTGTTGTGGGAGGGACCCAGTGGGAGATAATTGAATCATGGGGGTGGGTCTTTCCCTTGCTGTTCTCATGAGAGTGAATAAGTCTCATGAGATCTGATGGTTTTAAAAATGGGAGTTTCCTTGCACACACTCTTTCGCTTTGTCTGCTGCCATCCATGTAAGATGTGACTTGCTCCGTCTTGCCTTCCTTCATGACTGTGAGGCTTCCCCAGCCATGTGGAACTGTAAGTCCATTAAACCCCTTTCTTTTGTAAATTGTCCAGTCTTGGGTATGTCTTTATCAGCAGCATGAAAATGGACTAATACAGTAAATTAGTACCAGTGGTGTGGGGTGCTGCTGAAAAGATACCGAAAAATGTGGAAGTGACTTTGGAACCGGTAATAGACAGAGGTTGGAACAGTTTGGAGGGCTCAGAAGAAGACAGGAAAACGTGGAGAAGTTTGGAACTCCCTAGAGACTTGTTGAATAGTTTTGATCAAAATGCTGATAATGATATGGATAATGAAATCCAGGCTGAGGTGGTCTCAGATGGAGATGAGAAACTTGTTGATAACTGGAGCAAAAGTGACTTGGGTGCTGTTACAGGCATTCCATTTTATAAGGGAAGCAGAGTTCTGAAAATTTGCAGCGTGACAATGCGATAGAAAAGAAAATCCCATTTTCTGAGGAGAAATTCAAGCCAGCTGCAGAAATTTGCATAAGTGGCTGGGCACAGTGGCCTGTAATCCCAGCACTTTGGGAGGCCAAGGTGGGTGGATCATGAGGTCAGGAGTTCGAAACCAGCCTGGCCAACATGGTGAAACCCAGTCTCTACTAAAAATACAAAAATTAGCTGGGTGTGGGGGTGCATGCCTGTAGTCCCAGCTACTCAGGAGGCTAAGGCACAATAATTGCTTGAACCCAGGAAGCGGAGATTGCAGTGAGCCAAGACACACCATTGCACTCCAGCCTGGGCAATAGAGTAAGACTCTGTCTCAAAAAAAAAAAATTGCATAAGTAATGAGGAGCTGAATGGTAATTCCCAAGAGAATGGGGGAAATGTTGCCAGGGCATGTCAGAGGTCTTCATGGCAGCCCCTCCCATCACAGGAGGAAAAAATGGTTTCATGAACTGGGTCCAGTGTTCCCAAGCTGTGTGCAGCCTAGGGACTTGGCACCCTGCTTTCCAGCCACTCCAGCCATGGATGAAAGGGGCCAATATAGAGCTTGGGCCATGGCTTCCGAGGGTTCAAACCCCAATCCTCGGAAGCTTCCACGTGGTGGTGAGCCTGCAAGTTCACAGAAGATTTGGGGTTTCTGAACCTCCACCTAGATTTCCAAAGATGCGTAGAAATGCTTGGATGCCCAGGCAGAAGTTTGCTGCAGGGGTGGGCCCTCATGGAGAACCGCTGCTAGGGTAGTGCAGAAGGGAAAGGTAGAATCAGAGCCTCCACACAGTCCTTAGTGGGGCACCACCTAGTGGAGCTGTGAGAAGAGGGCTACCGTCTTCCAGGCCCCAGAATGATAGATCCACTGACAGCTTTCACCATTCACCTGGAAAAGCTGCAGACACTCAATCCTAGCCTGTGAAAGCAGCCAGGAGGGGGGCTATACCCTGTAAAGCCACAGGGGTGGAGCTGCCCAGGACTGTGGGAACTCACTTCTTGCATCAGCATGGCCTGGATGTGAGACATGGAGTCAAAGGTGATCATTTTGGAGCTTTAAGATTTGACTGCCCTGCTTTCTTTGTGGTTACCATGAGCCTAACATAAAATATCTTATCACAGTCTATTTTAAGTTGACACTAGCTTAACTTTCATCACAAGAACTTTGCATTTTAACTTTTCTTCCCACATTTTATGTTATTGATGTTACAATTTGTATGTTGTCTATCCATGACCAAATTATTATAGCTATATTTTAATACATAAAAAAACTTTAGACTACAGTTAAAAGTGATTTATGTACCCCCATTACTATATTAGAGTATTCTGAATTTGACTATTTTTACCCTTACAGTGAATGTTATACTTGCATGTTTTCATTTTGTTAGCTATTATTCTTTTGTTTCAACACAAAGAACTCCCTTTAGCATTTCTTGTAAAGCAGATGTAGTGGTGATGAACTCCCACAGGTTTTTTTGTTTGTGTTTTGGGTTTTTTTGTTTTGTTTTGTTTTTTGGCTAGGTTCTTATCTCCTTTATTTCTGAAGGACAGCATTACTGACCTTCAGAACAGTATAGTATTGTTAGTTGGCAGGTATAGTATTCTTAGTCAGGTATAGTATTGTTAGTTGCCAAGTTTTTTCATCTTTCAACATTTTGAATATATTCCCATGGTTTCCTGGCCTGCAAGGTTTCTACTGAGAAATGCAATGATAATCTTATGATGGTTCCCTTGTATGTAATGAGTTCCTTTTCTCTTGCTGCTTTCAAAATTCTTTCTATCTTTGACTTTGATGATTTGATTATAATGGGCCTCAGTGAAGATCTCTTTATATTTAATCTATTTGGGATTCTTTGGGTTTCATGGATTTGGATGTTCATTTCCCTTCCCAATTTGGGGAGTTTTCTGTCATTGTTTCTTTAAATAAGTTTTCTGCCCCCTTCTCTTTCACTGTTCCTTCTGGAACTCCCATAATGTATATATTAGTTTGTTTGATGATATCCCATGATTCCTGTAGGCTTTCTTCAGTTTTTTTTTCTTTTTGTTCTTTTCATTGTTGTTGTTGAGACGAAGTCTCACTCTGTCACCCAGGCTGGAGTGCAGTGGCACAATCTTGGTTCACTGCAAACTCTGCCTCCTGGATTCAAGCAATCCTCCCACCTCAGCCTCTCTAGTAGCTGGGACTACAGGCATGCACCACCATGCCTGGCTAATTTTTGTATTTGTATTTTTTATTTTTTGAGACAGAGCGTCATTCTGTTGCCCAGGCTGGAGTACAATGGTGCAACCTCGGCTCACTGCAACCTTTGTCTCCCAGGTTTAAGCGATTCTTGTGCCTCGGCCTCCTGAGTAGCTGGGATTACAGGCGTGCGCCACCACACCCAGCTAATTTTTGTATTTTTAGTAGAGACAGGGTTTCGCCATGTTGGCCAGGTTGGTCTCGAACTCCTGACCTCAAGTTATCCACCCACCTTGGCCTCCCAAAGTGCTGGGATTACAGGTGTGAGCCACCGTGCCCAGCCCAGGTACCTTATCTTCAGGGAGCACACTGTGAAAGGAATTCTTTATCAAATCTTGGCTTTTTTTTTTTAAGGTGATAAATGATTCCCTCACAATATTACAATATAACTCCCTTGAGAAAAGTTGGATTGGTTATTTTCATTCCCATACACATGGGCCTTCCCATTATAATTTCATAAGGGGACAATTGATGTTTTCCCAAAGGGATGGATTGGAGTGTATGCAGCACTAGTGGGAGTGCTTTGGGCCAGGGGAGATGAAATACCTCTGTGAACTTAGCCAATTTGCATAAGTAACGAGGAGCCAAATGTCAATTATCAAGACAACGGGGGAAAATGTCTCCAGGGCATGTCAGAGGTCTTCACGGCAGTCCCTCCCATCACAAGCTGGGAGACCTAGGAGAAAGAAATGGTTTCATGGGCCAGGGCCAGGGCCTTGCTGCTTGGTGCCCTGTGCCCCAGCCATGGCTAAAAGGGGCCAATGTACAGCTCAGGCCATTGCTTCAGAGGGTCCAATCCCCAAGCCTTGATGGCTTACACGAGGTCTTGTGCCTGCAGATGCAAAGAGGTGAGGAATTAAGGATTGGGAACCTCCACCTAGATTTCACAGGATGTATAGAAACACCTGGATGTCCAAGCAGAGGTGTGCTGCAGGGGCAGAGCCCTCATGGAGAACCTCTGCTAGGGCAGTGTGGAAGGGAAATTTGGGGTGGAAACCCCTACACAGAGTCCCCACTGGGATACTGCTTAGTGGAGCTGTGAGAAGAGGGCCACCATCCTCCAGGTCCTAGAATGACAGACCCACTGACAGCTTGCACCATGTACCTGGAAAAGTCACAGACACTCAACATCAGCCTGTGAAAGCAGCTGGGAGGGCGTCTGTACCCTGCAAAGCCATGGAGGTGGAGCTGCCCAAGACCATGAGAACTCACCACTTGCATCACTGTGACCTGGATGTGAGACACGGAGTCAAAGGAGATTATTTTGCAGCTTTAAGATTTGACTATCCCTCTGGATTTTGGACTTGCATGGGGCCTTTAGCTCCTTGATTTTGACCAATTTCTCCCATTTGGAATGGGTGTATTTACTGAATGCCTGTACTCACATTGTATCTAGGAAGTAACTAACTTGCTTTTGATTTTACAGGTTCATAGGTGGAAGAGGCTTGCCTTGTCTCAGATGAGACTTCAGACTATGAACTTTTGAATTAATGCTGAAATGAGTTAAGACTCTGGGGGACTGTTGGGAAGGCATGATTGTGTTTTGAAATGCGAGGACAGGAGATTTGGGAGAGGCCAGGGACAGAATGATATGGTTTGGCTGTGTCCCCACCCAAATCTCATCTCAAATTGTAGCTCCCATAATACCCACGTGTTATGGTATTATGGGAGGGACCCAGTGAAGGTAACTGAATCATAGGGGCCAGTTTTCCCATGCTTTTCTCATGATAGTGAATAAATCTCATGAGATCTGATGATTTTATAAAAGGCAGTTCCCCTGCACACACACTCTTGCCTGCCACCATGTAAGACATGCTTTTGCTCCTCCTTTGCCTTCTGCCATGATTGAGAGGCCTCCCTAGCCATGTGGAACTGTGAGCTTATTAAACCTCTTTTTCTTTATAAATGATCCAGTCTCAGGTGTTTCTTAATAGCAGTATAAAAATGGACTAATACAATGTTTCTGCAAGGGAACAAATGCTGGAAAATCCTCTTCTACCATCTTGCTGATGTCACTGCTCCCACTTTTGATTACTGTAACCTTATAGTAAGTTTTAAAATATGGAAGTGTGGGCCAGGTGCAATGGCTCATGCCTGTAATCCCAGCACTTTGGGAGGCTGAGGCAGGTGGATTACTTGAGCTCAGGAGTTCAAGACCAGCCTGGACAACATGGCAAAACCCTATCTCCACCAGAAATACAAAAAAATAGTGGTGTGGTCATGCATGCCTGTGGTCCTAGCTACTCAGGAGGCTGAGATGGGAGGATCACTTGAGCCCAGGAGGTGGAGGTTGCAGTGAACCGAGATTGCGCTACTGCATTCCAGACTGGATGACAGAGTGAGACCCCGTTTCAATTAAAAAAAAAATCTGGAAGTATGAGTCCTCCAATTGTGTTGTTCTTTTTCAAATTGTCTTAGCTATTGGGGATGTCTCACAAGTCCACATTAATTTGAGGATTGGCTTTTCCATTTCTATGAATAAAGCTATTATAATTTTGATAGGGATTGTATTGAATTTGTAGATTGCTTTGAGGAGTATTGTAATTTGACAATTTTAAGTCTTTCAACCCATGAACTGGAATGCCTTGCCATTTATTTAGGTCTTCTTCAGTTTCTTTCAGCAACGTTTTTTAGTTTTTGTATAAATCTTGCATTTTTTGGCTAAATTTATTCCATGTATTTTATTCATTTTGATGTTCTTATAAATGAAATTTATTAATTTCCTTTTTGGATTATTTATTACTAGTGTATATAAATAAGGTTGCATTTTTAATATTCTGCCTCCTACAACCTTAGTAAATTCATTTATTAGCTCTAGTAGTTTTTTTTTGTGGATTCCTTAGGTTTTTCTAGATATAAGATCATGTCATCTGCAAGTAAAGATAGTTTTACTCCTTCCTTTCCAGTCTGGGTGCTTTTTTTCTTTTTCTTATCTAATTGTTCTGGCTATTGCCCCCAGTACAATGTTGAATATAAGTGCCCAAAGTAGACATCTTTGTCTTACTCACCTGTTTTGGGTATAGCACCTGAAATAATCATATGAATCATTTCCTAAAGACTGCAGTTCTCCCCAACCTCTGTGGTTAATGCCCAACTACTTACTGTCCAGATTTCAACATGTTTCTTACTGCTAGACTCCTTGCTGCCTCATTCTACATCCTTGACCTACTACTTGCTGTCTTGTTTTCTCAATACTGGATTGCTCCTACTAATTGCACTTGGATTTTTCACGTGAACCCCTAATTCATCTGTTTCAACTCAACTATGAAACTGCTAGAAGAGGTTGGTGGACATTCCACATGAAAAGATATAAAATTATTACCTTGGAGAATGCAAAATAAACTTATTAGAGCACTCTCCTCCACACATTGTTCAAGAGCTTTGGTGTATTTCTCAATTCATAGATCGGTTCTGCTTCCAAAATCCAGGAGAATGAGAACTGGAGAAGTTTTTAGTAGATTTTTTTTTTTTTTTTTTTTTTTACCAGATCCCACTGGTGCTCAAGGTAGTCATAAAAGTTACACCTTTATTTCTTAGTTCACAATTCATTCATTTTTGTTTTTTGAGACAGCATCTCACTCTGTCACCTAGGCTAGAGTGCAGTGGCATGATCATGGCCCACTGCAGCCTCAACCACCCAAGCATAAGGGATCCTTTTGCCTCAGCCTCCCAAGTAGCTGGGATCACAGGCATGCACCACCACATCTGGCTAATGGCTATTTTTTTGTTTTATTTTTTGTAGAGATGGAGTCATGTTCTGTTGCTTGACCTGGTTTATTCTTCATTGCTTAGGTATTGTTCTCCAAAGCACAACTGTAAAAAGGGGGCTGGGTCTTGAAGAGTTTTCTGCATCAGCCATGTTCTGTTAAAAATTTTTCTTCCATAGATTCTTTTTTCTTTTCAGAGACAAGGTCTTATTCTGTCACCAAGGCTGGAGTGTAGTGGTGCAATCATAACTTACTTCAGCCCCCTCAAGCTCCTGGGCTCAAGTGATCCTCCCTCCTCAGCCCTCCTGAGTACCTGGAACTACAGGCACATGTCACCATGTCCAGCTAATTAAAAGAATTTTTTTTGTAGAGACAGGGTCTCACTATGTTGCCAGGCTGGTCTTGAACTCCTGGCTTCAAGCAATTCTCCTGCCTTGGCCTCCTAAAGTGCTGGGATTACATGCATGAGCAACTGCACCTGGTTTTCCATAAATTTTTTTGTTTAAAAAAACGAGGTGGAATTCACATATGAAATTAACAATCTTAAAGTGAAATTTTCATTGACATTTAGTATAATTACTATGTTGTGTGACTACTACCTCTATCTAGTCCCATAACATTTTCATCACCCCAAAACGAAACTCCATACCAATTAAGCAGTTACTCTCTATTGCCCCCTTCCCTTGGCCTCTGGCAGCCACCAATCTGCTTTCTATCTCTACAGATTTACCTATTATGGACATTATTTATAGAAATGGAATCATAAAATAGGTGACCTTTTGTGTCTGCCTTCTTTCACTTAGCACAACGTTTTTGAGGTTCATTCATATTTTAGCATGTATCAGTACTTCATTCCTTTTTATAGCTGAATCATATTCTATTGAATGCATATACCATATTGTGTTTATCCATTCATTAGTTGATAGACATTTGTTTCCACCTTTTGGCTATTATGAATAATGCTGCCGTGAACATATACGTACTTCCTTGAATTCATAGGCTTTCTTTTTTTTTTTTTTTTGAGATGAAGTTTCACTCTTGTTGCCCAGGCTGGAATGCAATGGTGCGATCTCAGCTCACTGCAGCCTCTCCCAGGTTCAAGCAATTCTCCTGCCTCAGCCTTCCAAGTAGCTGGGACTACAGTGCCCGCCACCATGCCCGGCTAATTTTTTTTTGTATCTTTAGTAGAGACAGGCTTTCACCGTGTTAGCCAGGATGGTCTCGATCTCCTGACCTTGTGATCTGCCCATCTCAGCCTCCCAAAGTGCTGGGATTACAGGCATGAGCCACCAGGCCCAGCCTACATGAGTTTATTAAGTATTAACTCACATGATCACAAGGTCCCACAATAAGCCATGTACAAGCTGAGGAACAAGGAGAGCCAGTCTGAGCCCCAAAACTGAAAAACCTGGAGTCTGATGTTCAAGGGCAGGATGCATCCAGCTTGGGAGAAAGATGTAGGCTAGGAGGCTAGGCCATTCTAACCTTTTCACATTTTTTCTGCCTGCTTTGTATTCACTGGCAGCTGATTAGATGGTGCCCACCCAGATTAAGGGTGGGCCTGCCTTCCCTAGCCCACTGACTCAAATTTTAATCTCCTTTGGCAACACTGTCACAGACACACCGAGGATCAATACTTTGCATCCTGCAATCCAATTAAGTTGACACTCGGTATTAACCATCACAAGTCCACCCCTTGTCAACTTGAACCCATACACATCTCCTGAGAACATACGTAATCTTCAAATAAAGACAATAAGATCAGAATTCCGCCTAACATAATACAACTATCCTTCCCCAATCCAAATGCTGTTACATAAAGTTAACAATACTTAAATGCTGACATGAAGTCAATAAATCTTATGTCACATGATAAAGGAAAAAGGAAATAAAATGAAGATATTTTCTTAGTACAAGTGTACACCTACACAAACATGTTTTTAACAAAAGAAGGAAATACTCATGACAATTACAGTCCTTGTTTCTGCAACTGGTCACGTGGTCATAGCTGGTATTGATGACTATCTTCTTCTGCTACCCATTCTGTATTCCCTTTGCCTTCATCAAGCAGCTCAGCAGGTCGTGGTTTTTTTTTCCTGGTGGGGTGACCCAAACTTTCATTTCTGAAGGGTCTGGGCCATTTATAGTCCTGCTTGGATTGGGCTGCTGTAGTTTCCCATCGACCTTAACCACGGGGTATGGTAACACTGAGATGCCCTAATGGATCTCCTGTGAATACTGTGGAGTAGTAGACTGATTTCATCTTGATAATCCGGGTCAATCACACCAGGCAACACTAACTCCCTTCTTAGCCCATTGACTTAAAAGGTAGGAGGAGCACAAAATGTCCAGGTGGCAATCTTAACTTCCCATTTAATGGAATCATTGTTGTGTCTCCTGGTGGCAGCATTCCTCCCTCTGGAACTAAGACCTCTAGGCCATCAGAATGTAATGTCACAGGAACAGGAAGCAAATATTTGCTAGTGGATCATTGGGCGTTACGGTAAGTAGTGCCACTTCCACTTCTACCCCTTGATTCCTGGACCCATGAATCCTGGCTATGGGAGAAACAGTACCATATATTGAACACTGATTCAGAGCATACACAACCTTCTGGAGAACTTTGCCCCAGCCCTGCAAAGTATTGTCACCTAGTTGGTGTTGTAATTGTGACATCAAAAGGCCATTCCACTGTTCTATCAATCCAGCTGCTTCAAGATGATGGGGAACATGGTAAGACCAGTGAATTCCATGAGCATGAGCCCACTGCCACACTTCTTTAGCCATAAAGTAAGTATCTTGTTCAGAGGCAATGCTGTGTGGAATACCACGACAGTGGATAAGGCATTCTGTGAGTCCATGGATGGTAGTCTTGGCAGAAGCATTGTGTACAAGATAGGCAAACCCATATCCAGAGTAAGTGTCTATTCCAGTGAGGACAAACCTCTGCCTTTTCCATGATGGAAGAGGTTCAATATAATCAACCTGCCACCAGGTAGCTGGCTTATCACCATGAGGAACTGTGCCATATTGAGGGCTCAGTGTTGGTCTCTGCTGCTGGCAAATTGGGCACTCAGCAGTGGCTGTAGCCAGGTCAGCCTTGGTGAGTGGAAGTCCCTGTTGCCCATGAATAACCTCCATCCCTGCCACCATGGCCACTTTGTTCACGGGTCCACTGGATGATGACAGGGGTGGTTGGGGAAAGAGGCTGAGTGGTGTCCACAGAACGAGTCATCCTATCCACTTGATTATTAAAATCCTCCTCTGCTAAGGTCACCCGTTGGTTAGCACTTCACAGTTTTTGAGCATTCAGAGAGGTCCATCTACATACCTCTTCCCCAAATTTTATTGTCACCAATTTTCCAATCTTGCTTCTTCCAAGTCCCTGACCATCCAGCCAAATCACTGGCTACCGCCCATGAATTAGTGTATAATCATACATCTGGCCATTTCTCCTTCCATGCAAAGTGCACATCCAGGTGCACTGCTGGAAGTTCTGCCCACTGGGAAGATTTCCCTTTATTGCTGGCCTGCAGGGATGTCCTAGAAAGGGGCTGTAGTGCTGCAGCTGTCCACTTTCAGATGATGCCTGCGTATCATGCAAAACCATCTGTGAACCGGGCCCTAGTCTTCTCTTCCTCTGTCAACTGATCATGTCAACTGATCATGATCATAGGGAACTCCCCATGAGGCCACTGGTGCAGGCTAGGGCAAAGAAGGCAGGGTGGCACGAGCGGAGACCATGAGCATTTGAGCCACTTCCTCATGTAACTTATTCCTCAGGTGCCTTCAGGACCTGCTAGAGCCCAATCATGCATATAACACTTCCACTTGATGATGGAATACTGCTGTGCACGACCCACTTTATGGCTAGATGGGTCAGAAAGCATCCAGTTCATGATAGGCAGTTCAGGTCACATGGTGACTTAATGACCCATAGTCAAACGTTCAGTTTCCACCAAAGCCCAGTAACAGGCTAAGAGCTGTCTCTCAAAAGGAGAGTAGTTATCTGCAGAAGAAGGCAGGGTCTTGCTCCAAAATCCTAGAGGCCTCCACTGTGATTCATTTATGGTGGCCTGGCAAAGGCTCCAAATAGCATCCCTATCTGCCACTCATCCCTCAAGCACTATTGGATCTGCTGGGTCATATGGCCCAAGTGGCAGAACAGCTTGCACAGCAGCCTGGACCTGTTGCAGAGCCTTCTCCTGTTCTGGACCCTACTTCTGGTACCAAAATCCGTATTAGTCAGGGTTCTCTAGAGGATATATATATATATATATATATCCTATTACTTCCTTATATACGTGTGTGTGTGTGTGTGTGTGTGTGTGTGTGTGTGTGTAGGGGAGTTTATTAAGTTTTTTTTTTTTTTTTTTTTGAGAAAGAGTCTCGGTCTGTCACCAGGCTGGAGTGCAGTGGCGTGGTCTCCGCTCACTGCAACCTCCGCCTCCCAGGTTCAAGCGATTCTCCTGCCTTAGCCTCCCGAGTAGCTGGGACTACAGGTGTGTGCTACCACGCCCAGCTACTTTTTGTATTTTTAGTAGAGATGGGGTTTCACCACGTTGGCCAGGATGGTCTCCATCTCTTGACCTTGTGATCCGCCTGCCTCGGCCTCCCAAAGTGCTGGGATTACAGGCATAAGCCACCGCGCCCAGCCTATTAAGTATTAACTCACATGATCACAAGGTCCCATAATAGGCCATCTGCAAGCTGAGGTGCAAGGAGAGCCAGTCCAAGTCCCGAAACTGAACCTGGAGTCTGATGTTGGAGGGCAAGAAGGGGATAAACGCACAGGAGAAGGATGTAGGCTGGGAGGCTAGGCCAGTCTCATCTTTTCAGGTTTTTCTGCCTGTCTTATATTCACTGGCAGCTGATTAGATGGTACCCACTCAGATTAAGGGTGGGTCTGCCCTTCCCAGCCCACTGACTCAAATGTTAATGTCCTTTGGCAATACCCTCACAGATACACCCAAGACCAATACTTTGCATCCTTCAATACCATCAAGTTGACACTCAGTATTAACCATCACAAGCCCTATGAAATAAAAAGTTTTATGACCCCTTTCTTCCCAGAATTATGAATGCCAATTTACTTGCTCTACATTTACGCAACTTCCATGACCTGGGGTAGGTAGGTATGCAATGTTGTGTTACTTCCCCATTGTCCATATCCACTTGTGTCCCTGGCCATGGCCAACTAATTTACAGGTTGAAACATTTCCCAGCACCTTGGAAGGCTGTGTGGTGGGAGGATTGCTTGAGGTGAGGAGTTCAAGACCAACCTGGGCAACATAGTGAGACCCCTGTGTCTATAAAAAGTAAAATTAGCCAGGTGTGGTGGCACATGCCCGTGGTCCTGGCTACTTGGGTGGCTGAGCCCAGGAGGTTGAGGCTACAGTGAGCCATGATCATGCTGCTACACTCCAGCCTGGGTGACAGAGCAAGATCTTATCTCAAAAAAACAAAACAAAACGAAACACATTGTACTAGACTGTCTTAGTATTTGAAGCTTGAACAGATACACAGAAAAGACAGGGAAGCCACCTACAATGCATTCTAGAAAGATCATGCTGCTGAGGATCATGGAAGCACCTTAGTTCCCATTGTCAAGCTTAGTTGTTCAGCTCTTCCTTAAGTTATATAAACTATCCCAGAATTCTTCTAAATTCTCCAACCCCTTTAATTTGGTTTAAATTAGCCAAATTACATTAATGTTGCATATAACCAAAACTTAAGGGATATAAATTGGTTGGGAGAATGTGTTGTAACCAGTAGTCTGTCAGGAAACTGTTGCATTTTTAGGTAGTTTTATCAAGCTGAGAAGGGGTGAAATGAGTGAGACTTACCTGACTTTCAAGACATCTATTTTTCAAACCATTTGTTTTCACTTCTTTACTGTGTTATCACCATCCTCCCAGGACTTTACACCAGAAATCTGAAGGTCACCACTGATACCATCTTCCCCCTTTGCTCCTACATCTAATCATTAGTTACATCTGCCAGGTTCCATATCTTGAGTATGTCTTTTCATTTCTACTATTACTGCCTTAGTTCAGGTTACTACTTTTCTTACACATTACATTACTATGGGCTTTTAAATGGCTTCTGTGCCTTTATCTACTCACAAACTATTCTTCATGCTGCAGTCAGAAGTGTTCTAAGCCAAAATTATTCACCTTCCAAAATGAAGATCTAATTATGTTCACAAGTCCTCTCCTTCACCCATTCCTCACCTCTAGCATTAATCTAACACTAGGTTAATCAAGGTAATGGGGTAGAAGGTCATGGGTAACTCCAAATCACACTTTAAATGAACTCTAGTCAAAGTACTGAATACAATGGATTTAAACTTGCTTGGTAAAACTACCTCTAATAATTTAGGAATATATTTGCCTTCTGTGAAAGCCATCGCAAAGTATAAAAATAGTGTAAGTACAGGTATTTAGGCTCACAAAATATCGTTATGACTGAAAAATTGGCAAAGGTTTTTTGTTTGCTTTGCCTCTTCGTTGAGCTCTCTTTCCGTAACAAATGGAAATAGAAGCACACAAATTCAAGAAAGGAGGCTCTAACAGACTGAAGATATTGTGGCTTTCAAAAAGGAGAGAACATTTTAGATGATATGAAGGAAATGTCACCCCGTTACTAAGAATTCACTCTATTCGACAGATATATACACGCTTCAGCAAGTGCTCCTAAGGATGAGAGGAGAGTAAGTTATTTTCATCTAACAGTCTCTATCAACACTCTTCTTAAAACACCTAATGCTTAACAACAGTCTAAAGAACACACTGGCTACTCATACCTCCCATAGGCAGAGACCTTGTCCTTTTTGAGCTGCTGTATCTCAGGTAATCAGCAATCACTTAGTGGATGATAATAATTTGCAAATTCCTCTGGAGCCTCTAAAGACCGTATCATGAATCATCAATTCAAATGCCTACAGGAGTCGGGCAGGTGATATGCAGGAGGAAATAGAGTCATTTAGGGCCCATAACAAAGGGGAGAGAGGCCGGGCGCGGAGGCTCACGCCTGTAATCCCAGCACTTTGGAAGGCCGAGGCGGGCCAATCATTTGAGGTCAGGAGCTCGAGACCAGCCAGCCCAACATGGCGAAACCCCGTCTCTACTAAAAACACAAAAAAATTAGCCAGGCGTGGTGATGCATGCCTGTAGTCCCAGCTACTCCGGAGGCTGAGGGAGGAGAATCACTTGAACCCGGGAGGCGGAGGTTACAATGAGCCGAGATCCGCGCCACTGCACTTCAGCGTGGGCGACAGCGAGACTCCGTCTCAAAAAACAAAACAAAAACAAAGGAGAGAGTACATAAGCCATCTCCAGGCTAGTTTCTTTAACTAGTCTTCATATAATAATCTCCTCAAGGTCCTGTTCTATCCCTACAAAATACAAAACAGTTCCTCGTGTCTTCCTTCAAATATACTACAGTCTTTAGCTCATCAGAGTAGCTGAGTTAGTCCAAGGCATAATCCCAAAAGCGAAACTGAATGTCAGAATTGATCTCATTTCAACACTCATTCCAGAAGTAGAAACTTCTGCAAGTTCAGCTTTTGACTATGAATTCTTCAGCGCGACTTTTGCAGAGAGCTCTGTTCCAAGAAGCTGGCGCCTTAACACAAGCTATCTACCGATGCACAAGGGAAGGCTGGCTTGGGTCCAGATTCGGCGGGAGAGTGGAAACGCGACGCTGGCCGACTTCAGCCACAAAGGCAATTTCTGCCCAGGGCTAGCGTTCCTAAGAGGGGGCCGAGAGAACGCCAGGCTCGGGCGTAGGGGCAAGAAGACCCAGAGCTAACGCACCTCTCGGAGGGCCCAAGCTCAGGGCTCAGTCACCCTCCCAGCTCGGAGCCGGCGCTGGAACACAGCGGCGCGAGGAGAAACCCCTAGAGACAGGGAAAAGGTGGACGTAGCGGCTGACGCTGCCCAGACGCTAGGCGCCGACAGGAGCCTGATTGTCACCGTACGACCAGTGAGGGGGCGGGGCGGAGCTGTGCCTCAAAGCGCCTGCGCGGAGAGCCTGCAATCAGGGACCAGGCTTGGGAGGCGACGAAGAGGAACGCTGGGCGCAGGAGGCCCACTGCATACGCAGGCGCACTCGGCGATCCCGGCTTTTCCGCGCGCAGTTCCCGCACAGGCATCGGGGGGGGCAGGGGCGGGGCAGGGGCGGGGATAAATGCGGAGGGACGGTCCAGCTTTAGCTCTCTGCTCGCCGCCGCCGCTGTCGCCGCCACCTCCTCTGATCTACGAAAGTCATGTTACCCAACACCGGGTAAGGGGGTAGGGGCGGCGCGGGGAGAGACCCTGTCGGGCGAAGGGCGCGTCTCGGTGGGGCCGCCGCGGATCGCCCGGGCTGGCCGGCCCGGCTGTGGGAGGTCAAGGATACTGCCTGGGCACGCTCTGAGCTCTGGTCCGCGCTGGGCACTGTGCACCGAGAATCTGCGGTAACGTGTGAAAAGGAACACAAACTTTTGTATTACAGGATGGCAGCAGTGTAGAAACCTTTTCCACGGGTAAAGGGCCGAGGGGGAGTCACCACGCCGCCCCCAGTGCCGGCCCTCCCTGAGTTTAGCAGGAGTGCGTGCCTGGCCGAATGCGTGTGAGTTCTAGGTGAAAGGTCGCAGGAGCAGCTCCAGAGTTTAAAGAGTTTTCACTTGTTCCTGACGCTCAATTCTAGAGTAATAATGGAGTGTTTAAAAAATGATTTCCAAATTAGAAACTAAACCGATCTTAAAACATGGGTATCTTTGGGGGATTTTTTTTTCACCTTAAAAAATTGTGTTAAAATACGTACAAAATCTGCCATCTTAACCGTTTTTTAAGTGTACACTTCAGTAGTGTTAAGTAGATTCATATCGTTGTGCAGTCAATCTCCAGAACTTTTTTCATCTGCAAGCTGAAACTCTATCCATGAAACAACTCCTCTTCCCCACCTCCGCTCGTACATTGGCAACCACCATTCTACTTTCTGGTTTATGTAAGGTCTGGGTATCTTGAGTTGAGTGACGTGTTGTCAGATTTTGTAATTTGCCTGAAACATGCAGGCATATAGCCAAAGACTTAAAACAGTTCAAAGAGTATAGGGTAAAAAGTGAGTCTCCCCATCCCTAAAATCTAGTTCCCCAGTTACTTACGTTTCTATTTCGTGCATGTATGAACATAATTTGTATACATCCGGATACACACACACACACACACACACACACACATACCCTTTCTTAAAAATAGCAGCAGACTCTATTCTTGGTCTTGCTACTTTTAGTTGGTATGTCTTGGGACATTCTTTCTTTGTTTTTTTTAAAGACGGGGTCTCCCATGTTGCCCAGACTGGCCTGTAGCCTTGAACTCCCAGGCTGATGTTCCTCCCTTCTTAGCCTCTGGAGTATTTAGGATTACAGGCATGCACCGCTGTGCCCAGGGACATACATTTTTAGTACATGGCAGATCTTCCGCCTCCTTTTTTTTTCTTTTGAGATGGAGTCTCGCTCTGTCTTCCAGTCTGGAGTGCAGTGGCATGATCTCGGCTCACTGCAGCCTCCGCCTCCCGCAATTCTCCTGCCTCAGCCTCCCGAGTAGCTGGGACTTCAGGCGCGTGCCACCACGCCCTGTTGATTTTTTTGTATTTTTAGTACAGACGGGGTTTCACCATGTTAGCCAGGATGGTCTCAATCTCATGACCTCGTGATCCGTCTGCCTCGGCCTCCCAAAGTGCTGGGATTACAGGCGTAAGCCACTGCGCCTGGCCCCTCCTCCTTTTTAATGGTTGCATAATATTCTGTAACAGCTTGAGTATCCATTATCCAAAATGCTTGGTTCCAGACGTGTTCGGATTTCAGATTTTCAGATTTGGTTTGCTCAACCTGTATATGAATATACCTTTGTTTATTTAACCTGTTCCCTATTGTTGGATACTAGACTGTTTCCAGTTTTTTGGATACTCTTTTTTTGCTTCCATAATTATACTTGTATTTATCTATTTGCACATATATAAGTGTATATGTAGGATAAACTCCTGGAAGTGAAATTGCTGGATCAAAGAGTAAATGTGGCTGGGCACAGTGGCTCACGCCTGTAGTCCCAGCACTTTGGGAGGCCGAGGCGGGCGGATCACTGGAGGTCAAGAGTTCGAGACCAGCCTGGCCAACGTGGTGAAACTCCGTCTCCACTAAAACTACAAAATTACAAAAATTACAAATACAAAAATTAGCTGGACCTGGTAGCGGGCACCTGTAATCCCAGCTACTCAGGAGGCTGAGGCAGGAGAACCGCTTGAACCTGGAGGCGGAGGTGGCAGTGAGCCGAGATCATGCCACTGCCCTGCCCTCCACCCTGCGAGAGAGAGTGAGAGTCTGTCTCAAAAAGAAAAAAGAGGAAATGCACTTTATATTTTGACAGATATTTCCAGATGACCCCCCAGAAGGGTTGCACACCCAAAAGGATAAATGAGATCCTCTAATCCCACTTGTTGGCTAACCGCAAAATAGTTAATGATGAAAATCTAATTAGAGAAAAAAGTGTCACCTCATTATTGTTAAAATTTGCATTTATTTTATCACAAGTGTGGATTTGGATCTCTTTGTGTATTTAAACCAGGGACAATTTGATCCCCAGAGGACATTTGGTAATATCTCAAGACATTTTTGATAGTCACAATTGAATGGAGATGCTAATGGCATCTCGTGAGTAGAGTACAGGGATGCTGGTGCACATCCTACAATTCACAAGCATTCCGTACAACAAAGAATTATGTAGTCCAAAAGGTCAGTAGTGCAGAGGTTGAGAAACCCTGGTTTAAAGCCATCTATGTATCTTTATATTTGTCTGGCTTAACAAATGAGGTTTTTCGTTAATCTCTGAGGGCTCTGTGTATTTTAAAAATTTGTCTTTTATCACATTACAAATATTTTCCACAGTTTTTCATGTTGCATCTGGACTTTGATTATACTGTTTATTTAACATGGAGAAACATGTTTTTGTGAAGCCAGAGTTATCAGTCTCTTAAGGCTTTTGCATTTTTGAGTTAAACCAAGATCTTTTTTTTTTTTTTTGAGATGGAGTCTTGCTCTGTAAGCCTTTGAGTTAAACCGAGATCTTTCTTTCTGTCTTTCTTTTTTTTGAGATGGAATCTTGCTCTGTATGCCTTTGAGTTAAACCGAGATCTTTCTTTCTGTCTTTCTTTTTTTGAGATGGAATCTTGCTCTGTTGCCCAGGCTTGAGTGCAGTGGTGCGATCTCGTTTCACTGCAACCTCTGCCTCCCAGGTTTAAGTGGTTCTCCTGCCTTAGCCTCACAAGTAGCTGGGATTACAGGCGCACACCACCATGCCGGCTAATTTTTGTAATTTTAGTAGAGATGGAGTTTCACCATGTTGGCCAGGCTGGTCTCAAACTCCTGACCTCAAGTAATCCTCCTGACTCGGCATCCCAACATGCTGGGATTACAGGTGTGAGCCACCGTGCCTGGGCAGATCTTTTTATAATTAGTTTTCTTCTGATATTTTTATGGTCTTATATTTTTGTATTTTTCAAATATATTTGTATTGTCTATATTTTTTATAGTCAGATTTTTTTATCCCCCTGAGATTTCTTTCAGGAAGTGAGTTAGGAAGCCCACTTGATTTTTCTTCAGATGGCTGCTCATTTGTCCTAGCAGCATTGACCTAAGAGTTAATCTTTTCTCTTCTGCTCGAAATTCTACCTCTGTTGTATATTAAATTCTTGCACATATAGCGCTCTGTTTCTGGACTTTCTGCTCTGCTACTTTAGTCTCTATTCATGTACCAGTACCAGACTGTTTACTTAATTAATTAATTGAGACAGGGCCTCGCTCTGTCACCCAGGCTGGGGTGCATTGGCACCATCATAGTTCACTGCAGCCTTGATCTCCTGGGGTTAAGCAGTCCTCCCAGCTCATCTTCCCAATTAGGTGGGACTATAGACATGCGCCATAATGCCTGGCTATTTTTAAAAAATTTTTTTGTAGAGGAGTCTCACTTTGTTGCCCAGGCTGGTCTCAAACTCCTGGGCTCAAGTGATCCTCCTGCCTCAGCCCCCGAAGTGCTAGGATTACAGATGTGAGCCACTCTACCCAGCCCAAACTATTTTAATTGCTCTAGTTTTACAAAATGTTTTAATATGTGGGAAAGCTAGTTCCCACCACATTTGGATTATTTTTCAGAATTTTCCTGGTTATACTTGGGTATTTATTTTTCCAAATGAAGTTTAGAATAATTTGTATAGTTTTTTGGAAACAGTTGTTCTTCCTTTTACTAAAAATTTCAGTACTTTTACCTGATTTTGGGGTACCAGAGAATTTTAGTAAATTAAACTGTAAGTTAGCTCTTCATCAGCAAGTTTTAGCCATCTATCAATAATACTAAGAAATTTGGAGCCTTCTTTGAAGTGCTCTTGCCTTCTATATTCTGGTACTAATGCTTTGGAGCTGGAGGACTTCTTACTGGCACAGATCAGGGTTATGTTTGCTTTTTTTTCTGCCAATGCCAGAGACTCTGAGTGAGGAAGAAAATGCCCTTTCTCCTACTGGGAATCAATCAAGCTATACTCAAAGCAAAGAGATATGGCTTTTTTTTACAGCAATAGTTGGGACATTTTCTTGTAAATACTTACATTAAAAATCACTTTAGCCTGTGGTCCCAGCTACTTGGGAAGCTGAGGTGAATCACTTGAGCCCAGGAGGTTGACGCTGCCATGAGCTGTTGAGGCTGTTGTGGTAAACTGAGGACCAGAGAGACCGATATTGGGAAGACAGGAGGATGTTTATTTAAGGTACTCACCGGCTCAGTGGATTCACATCCAAAAAGCTGAGCCTTGAACAAAAACAGAGTTTAGCTTATATAGGCCAGCATACAAGATCAAAACAAAGGCAGTAAATTTTACAGTGACAAATCACGTAATCCATAGCATAACTGCTGACCTGGCACTAACCTGTGGCCTTGCATAGCTAGTGGCCTAGCAGCTGCATCGAAAGAAAAACAGGAACTTTGCAAATCTTACTAAATACAAGCATTGGCAAACATAGTCATAACTAATAGTACAAGAGAGACAGTAAAGGAAATTGTTTTTCGTCTTTTAACCTTGCTCAGGGGTGTCTGGAGTTCATTTCTGCAGGCTAGGTCACCACGACCTGTCTACAGCCTTGCTTGCAGTAGTGAAAAACTTGTGCAAGACTGTCAAAAGAAAAACACAACAACAACAACAACAGAACCACTTTAATATTTTATGTATACTACCTTTTGTATGAAAAAAGGAAGGGATAGTTTTTCACATACATAGAGTGTTTTATATATATATATGTTTGCTTATGTTTGAAAAAAGTACAAAAATGATAGGCCAGAAATTAATGAAGCTGGTCACCTATAGGTAAGAGATCAGACTTCTTTTTTAAAAGTTTTTAAGTTTTATTTATTTATTTATTTTTTTGAGATGGAGTCTTGCTCTGTCGCCCAGGATGGAGTGCAGTGGCGCGATCTAGGCTCACTGCAACCTCTGCCTCTTGGGTTCAAGCGATTCTCCTGCCTCAGCGTCCAGAGTAGCTGGAATTACAGGCATGCACCACCACACCTGGCTAATTTTTTTTTTTTTTGACAGAATCTTGCACTGTCGCCCAGGCTGGAGTGCAGTGGCGCGATCTCAGCTCACTGCAGCCTCCACTTCCAGGGTTCAAGCAATTCTGCTTCAGCCTCCCGAGTAGCTGAGATTACAGGCACCTGCCACCACGCCTGGCCGATTTTTTTTTTTTTGTATTTTTAGTAGAGATGGAGTTTCACCATGTTGGTCAGGCTGGTCTCAAACTCCTGACCTTGTGATCCGCCCACCTCAGCCTCCCAAAGTGCTCGGATTACAGGCGTAAGCCACTGTGCCTGGCCAATTTTTGTATTTTTTAGTAGAGACGGGGTTTCACCATGTTGGCCAGGCTGGTCTTGAGCTGACTTCAGGTGATCTGCCCACCTCGGCCTCCCAAAGAGCTGGGATTACAGGTGTTAGGCACCATGCCCGGCCAATTTTTTTAATTTAATTTTTTTTTTTTAAATAGTAACATGGTCTTGCTATGTTGCCTAGGCTGGTCTCAAACTTGGGCCCAAGCAATCCACCCACCTCAGCCTCCCAAAGTGTTGTGATTACAGGCATGAACCACCATGCCTAGGCCTCAACTAATTAAAAAAATATTTTTTTGGTAAAGGTGGGGTCTCACTATGTTGCCCAGGCTGGTTTGTAATAATATATTTTAATTCTCTTTTTTAACCCCACAAGTATTATTTTATTATTATTGTACTCTTTCTAAACAAGATTTCTGTACTTATTTACCAATATCTTTGATTTTCCTATTTTCTTGAATTTCAGACCTTCCATCTGGAAACACTTTTCTTCTGACTGAAGTGTAACCTTTAGTAAATAAGGTGTAAGACAGGAAGAAAAAGTATTTGGATTATAATGAAATAAATAATGCTGTCGTTATTTGCCGATGATATTATCCTGCACAGAAAACCAAAATAATGTATAACTGAATTATTATAATTAATAAAAGTTTAAGAAAATTGCTATATATAAAAGTCAACAAATAAAAATAATTTTGAGCTTGGCATGGTGGCTCATGCCTGTAATCCCAGCATTTTGAGAGGCCAAGGTGGGAGAATCGCTTGAGCCCAGGAGTTCAAGACCACCCTGGGCAGCACAGTAAGACTCTGTCTCTACCAAAAAAAAATAAAAATTAACCAAGCGTGGTGATGCACACCCGTGATCCTAGCTATTCAGGAGGCTTAGTGGGAGGATTAGTTGAGCTGGGAAGGTCAAGTCTCCAGTAATCTGTGATTGTGCCATTGCACACCAGCCTGGGCGACAAAGGGAGACTCTCTCAAAAAATAATAGTAAGTTAGATTTCTACACGAGCAAAAATCTGCAAGAAGTATATAGTACATGTCAATAAAAATGAGAAGTTCAAAATCCCAGATATGGACTCCACTACAGGACATATGATGTATATTCTTCAGCAAATAAATGGCATAAAGAGTGGAAGGGAAGCTGGCAGTGATTAAAAGAGAAACTCTTAAGGTATAACAGCCAGATGTAATGTGAGGTCCTTATTGGATCCTGATTTGATCAGGCCAACCATAAGAAAAACTGAGATAGTTATAAAAGTTTGAACATAGACAGATATTGAGTGATATTGAGAAATTATTGTTAATTTTCTTGGGTATAATAATGACATTGGTATTTTAAAAGTTTTTATCTGTTAGAAAAGTAAATACTGAAGTATTCATAGGTGAAAGTATATAACCTCTGGGATTTGGTTTCTTTTCTTTTTTTTTTTTTTGAAACAGGGTCTCACTCTGTGGTTCAGGCTGGAGTGCAGTGGTGTGAAATCAGCTCACTGCAACCTCCGTGTCATGGGCTCAGGTGATCCTCCAACCTCAGCTTCCTGAGTAGCTGGGACTATGGGTGCGTACCACATGCCTGGCTAATTTTTGTATTTTTTAGTAGAGATGGGGTTTCTCTATGTTGCCCAGGCTGGTCTCAAACTCCAGGGCTAAAGCGTTCTGCCCACCTCTGCCTCCCAAAGTGCTGAGATTATAGGCATGAGCCACCATGCCTACCTAGGATTTGTTTTCTGATGATTGCTTTCACAATTTAGTAGTTGAATAAACATGGAAGCTTATTATACTCTTTTCTGGTTTTTTAAATGTATTTGAAAATTCCATAATAAAAAGAGTCTTCGTTTTTGCACTGATTGTTTATTGGTTGCAAGGGAAGGAATAGTAACTGTGCAGTGGAGAAATATGGTAACACTATGGTTAGATGATAAAAATTGACATTATAAAGTGAGTACGGATGGACGTTGTATGCTGCCCTATGGGATATACTGAGGAAAATACAGTATCACATGTTCTGGTTGGAAATGCATAACCGGAATCTAATCATGAAGAAATATCAGTTGAATCCAAAATGAGCATTCAGCCAGGGGTGGTGGCTCATGCTTGTAATCCCAGCACTTTGCAAGACCAAGGCAGGAGAATCGCTTGAGCCCAAGCATTCAAGACCAGGCTGGCCAACATGGTGAGACCCTGTCTCCACAAAAAATAAAAAAATTAGCTGGGCTTGATGATGTGTGCCTGTAGTCCCAGCTACTCAGGAGGCTGAGGTGGGAGATTTGCTTGAGTCCAGGAGGTCAAGGCTGCAGTGAGCTGTGATTGCACCACTGTACTTCAGCCTGGGTGACAGGGCAAGAGCCTGTCTCAGAAAAAAACAAACAAAAAAAAACCCAGGCACAGTGGCTCATGCCTGTAACCCCAGCACTTTGGGAGGCCGAGGCGGGCAGATCACGAGGTCAGGAGTTCAAGACCAGCCTGACCAACATGGTGAAATCCCGTCTCTACTAAAAATAGAAAAATTAGCTGGGCGTTGTGGTGCGTGCCTGTAATCCCAGCTACTCGGGAGGCTGACGCAGGAGAATCACTTGAACGTGGGAGGCAGAGGTTGTAGTGAGCCGAGATCGCGCCACTGCACTCCAGCCTGGGAGACAGAGCTAGACTCCATCTCAAAAAAAAAAAAAAAAAAAATACGCCAGGTGTGGTGGCTTACACCTGTAATCCTAGCACTTTGGGAACCTAGGTGGGTGGATCACAAGGTCAGGAGTCCAAGACCATGGTGAAACCCTGTCACTGCTAAAAATACAAAAAAAAATTAGCCAGGTGTGGTGGTGCATGCCTGTAATCCCAGCTACTCAGGAGGCTGAGGCAGGAGAATTGCTTGAACCTGGGAGGTGGAGGTTGCAGTGAGCTGAGATAGTGCCACTGCACTCTAACCTGGGCGACTGAGTGTGACTCCATCTTGGAAAAAAAAAAGTAAGGATCATTATATTTTTTAAAAAAGGAGTGCAGACTGTATTTTTCAAAAGGTCAATATCATAAAAGACAGAAGAGGCTGCAAAAATGTTCTAGATTAACGGAGACTAAAGAGATATGTCAATTAAAAGCACTACCCTAAACCGGGTCCTGTAGTGGAAGGAAAAAATGCTCTAAAGGGCATTATTGAGTCAATTGACAAAATTAAAATACTGTGAAAGTAGATACATGAGAGACCAAGCTTTGATGTATTCAGATCACTTTTTTTTTTTTTCTTTTTGAGACAGGGTCAGTCTCTGTTTCCCAGGCTAGAGTACAGTGGTGTAATCATGGCTCACTGCAGCCTCAACCTTTGGGATCAAACAGTCTTCCTGACTGAGCCTCCCGAGTAGCTGGGACTACAGGCACACACTGCCACACATGGCTAATTTTTTAATTTTGTAGAGACAGGGTCTCACTATGTTGCCCTGGCTGGTTTCGACTTCTGGGCTCAAGTGATCCCCGTCTTGGTCTCCCAAATTGCTGGGATTATAGGCATGAGCCACTGCACCTGGCCTCAAATCACTCTTAAGTGGTTTGGAGAAAATAAGATATAGAGAAGGAGAAAGGGAGAAGGAGAGAAAATGAGCACAAATGCTAAATCATTGGGGTAAAATATTAACAATACATGAATCTGGGTGAAGGATATGTGAATATTTTTTTTGTACTATTATTCTTGCAACTTTAAATTTGAATTATTTACAAATAAAAAGTTGGAAAAAGTTAAAAACAATGGAGTACCTAGGAATAAAGCCAACAAAAGATGTATAATACCTTTCTGTAGGAAATTATATCATAATGAAATACATTAGAAAGACCTAAATAAATGGAATTATACCATGTTCATGGATTAGAACACTCACTGTCACAAAAATGTCAATTCTTTCCACTTTGAATTATAGACTTAATGTAATTTCTGTCAAAATCTCAACTGATTTCACTTGACCAGTTAGATAATGAGATTCTAAAATATATGTGGGCCGGGCGTGGTGGCTTATGCCTGTAATCCCAGCACTTTGGGAAGCCGAGGCCGGTGGATCACTTGAGCTCAGGTATTCCAGACCAGCCTAGCCAACATGGCAAAACCCTGTCTCTACTAAAAATACAAAAAATAGCCAGTCATGGTGGCGCATACCTGTAGTCCCAGGTACTCAGGAGGCTGAGGCAGGAGAATCACTTGAACCCAGGAGGCTGAGGTTGCAGTGAGCCGAGATCACGCCCCTACACTCCAGCCTGGGCAACAGAGTGAGACTCTGTCTCAAAATAAATAAATAAATAAATAAATAAATAAATAAAGTAAAAAATAAAATAAAATATATGTGGAAAATTAAAGGTCCAAATATAGACAAGAAACTCTTGAAGAAGAATAAATTGGAATCATTTGCCTTATCAGTTATTAAGACTGATAAAGCTGTTTTAATTAAGGCAGTGTGATCATGTAGATTAGTGGTACAGAATAGAGAGTCCAAAAGCAGATAATATATATATTTATGGACATTCAGTTTATGACAGAGCTGATATTGAAGAGCAGTGGGAAAGATGGGCATTTCAGACTTGGACAGTTGGTTATCTATGTAGGGAAAAAATGTATTAGTCCCTTACTTCAGTTCATACACAAAAATTAATTCCAGGTAGATTAAAGACCAAACTTATTAATTTATCTATTTAGAGACAGGGTCTCGCTCTGTCACCAAGCTGGAGTGCAGTGACATGATCATGGCTCACTGCAGCCTCGACCTCCTGGGCTCAAGCAATCCTTCACCTCAGCCTCCTGAGTAGTTGGGACTACAGGTGCACACCAATACACTGGGCTAATTTTTTTATTTTTTGTAGAGACAGGGTCTCACTATGTTGCCCAGGCTAGTCTTGAACTCCTGGGCTCAATCGATCCTCCCATCACGGCCTCCCAAAGTACTGGGATTATAGGTCTGAGCTACCACACCTGGCCTCAAGACCAAACTTTAAAGGGTAAACCATAAAACTTTTGAAATACAAATTAATCCACTTACAGGAAAAAAAGAATTTCTTAAGATTCCCAAAGCCCTGGCCATAAAAGAAAAGAATTATAAATTCTTTAACAAATTTTCTAGGCTGGACGCAGTGACTCATGTCTGTAATCCCATCACTTTGGGAGGCCAAGGTGGGCAGATCACTTGAGGTCAGGAGTTCAAGACCAGCCTGGCCAACATGGTGAAACCCTGTCTCTACTAAAAATACAAAAATTAGCCAGGCATGGTGGCACATGCCTGTAATCCCAACTATTTAGGAGGCTGAGGCAGGAGAATCACTTGAACCCAGGAGACAGAGGTTGCAGTGAGCCAAGATCACGCCACTACACTTCAGTCTGGGTGACAGAGTAAGACTCCATCTCAAAAATAATAATAATAATAATAATAATTTTCTATAATCCCAGTGCTTTGGGAGGCTGAGGCAGGAGAATTGCTTGAGGCCAGAAATTAAAGATGAGCCTGGGCGACATAGC
The DNA here is from genome assembly GCF_000001405.40 of Homo sapiens. Lineage (NCBI taxonomy): Eukaryota > Metazoa > Chordata > Mammalia > Primates > Hominidae > Homo > Homo sapiens. The sequence goes on from NC_000009.12 coordinate 112,391,287, forward strand.
AAGACCCTGTCCCCCCCCAAAAAATAAAAAAATTAAATTAACCAGGCATGTTGGCATGCACCCGTAGTTCCAGGTACTTGGGAGGCTGAGACAGGAGAATTGTGATCCCAGGAATAGGAGGTTATACTGAGTTGTGATTCAGACACTGCACTTCAGCCTGGGTGATACAGAAGACCCAATCTCTAATGATAAAGAATTTCTGCTAATCAAAAGACACTATAAAAATAGTGAAAAAGCAAGCCACAAATGAAAAGATACTGAAATGTATGTAATTTATAGACTTGTATGAGTCAATAAGAAAAAAGTTAACCTTATTTATAGAAAAACGGGCAAAACCAGCCAGGCTTGGTGGCTCATGCCTGTAATCCCAGCACTTTGGGAGGCGGAGGCAGGTGGATCACCTGAGGTCAGGAGTTCAAGACCAGCCCAACCAAAATGGAGAAACCCTGTCTCTACTAAAAATACAAAATCAGCTGGGTGTAGTGGCACACGCCTGTAATCCCAGCTACTTGGGAGGCTGACGCACGAGAATCACTTGAACCCAGGAGGTGGAGGTTGCAGTGAGCTGCAGCCTGGGCGACAAGAGCAAAACTCTGTCTCAAAAAAAAAAAAGAAAAGAAAAGAAAAATGGGCAAAACCAATTAATAGGAACTTTGCAAAAGAAGGTATTGGGGGAACCTGCCCCAAGTATTTCAACATAGGTTCTTTCTATTTTCCTTAAGTGTCGGCCAGCTGAGAAATAGAGACAGCACAAAGAGAGGAATTTTACAGCTGGGCCTCCAGGGGTGACATCACATATCAGTAGGACTGTGATGCCTGCCTGAGATTCAGACCAGAAAGTTTTTATTAAGAGTTTCAAAAGAGGGGGAGGTGTAAGAACAGGGAGTAGGTACAAAGATCACATGCTTCAAAGGGTGAAAAGCAGGACTACTAATAAGGGTCTAACAAAGATCACATGCTTCTGAGGGAACAGGACAAAGGGAAAAAGCAGAACCACTGATAAGGGTCTATGTTCAGTGGTGCAGGTATTGTCTTGATAAACATCTTAAACAACAGAAAACAGGTTTGAGAGCAGAGAACCGGTTGACCACAAATTTACCAGGGCAGAGTTTTTCCTCACCCTAGAAAGCCTGAGGGCACTGCAGGAGACCAGAGCGTATCTCACTCCCTCACTCCTTATCTCAACTGCATAAGACAGACATTCCCAGAGTGGCCGTTGATAGACCTGCCCCCAGGAATGCATCCCTTTTCCAGGGTATTAATATTAATATTCCTTGCTAGGAAAAGAATTTAGCAATATCTCTCCTACTTGCACATCCGTTTATAGGCTCTCTGCAAGAAGAAAAATATGGCTCTTTTTGCCTGACCCCACAGGCAGTCAGACCTTATGGTTGTCTTCCCTTGTTCCCTAAAAATTGCTGTTATTCTATTCTTTTTCAAGGTGTGCTGATTTCATATTGTTCAAACACACGTTTTACAATCAATTTGTACAGTTAACACAATTATCACAGTGGTCCTGAGGTGACGTACATCCTCAGCTTACAAAGATAACAGGGTTAAGAGATTAAAGTAAAGACAGGCATAAGAAATTATAAAAGTATTATTTGGGAACTGATAAATGTCCATGAAATCTTCACAATTTATATTCCTCTGCCATGGTTCCAACTGTTCCCTCCATTGGGGGGTCCCAGACTTCCTGTAACATCTCTCCCTTTCTTTTTATATAAATGAGCCATGGCGATGAAGGCTTGTTCGTTCTCTTGGTTTTGACGCAGGATTCGTTGACTGGTCTGGCACGCTAAAAAGTCGATTAAACAGAGAAACATGATTCCAAAATTTACTACAGTGGAGCCCCCAATAGACTTAATCCAAGTCGTGGGGTTTAGTCCAGAAAGACTTTCTGCCACCTGACCTAACGCCTCAGCTCCAGGCACAATGGATAAATAAGCTTGAGAGGCTTCAAAAATTATTGTCTTTAATTTAGTTACGTCCAAGGATAAATGATCTTCCCTACCCAGCAGGTGTCCTTTGACCATTTCCCATGACTCATCAGTCTCATTGTAGGAATATGGTGTGATACAGAAATCAGAAGTATTCCAGTCACACTGCACTTGCATGTGATATTCGAGACTCATTAGCCAATCTCCAAGCCAAATAACAGACTGTCTTAAATCGTTAATTTGATTAGCTAATTTTTGATCAATGCCCTGTTGAGAATTCCACATTTGGGTGGAATTGGCTTGCCAATCATTAACAAAATGAGCCACTTGAATAGATTGGTGTAACGCCACTCTGGCAGTGGTGGCCAGTGCAGTGACTGTAATTAGGCCCATGATCACAGCGATTAAAGTGAAAACAAATCTCTTAGATCTTTTGAGAATTTGCTGTAGCACTTCATTAATTAAATGTACTGAGGGGGAAGATTCCCAAGGTCTGGGTAAAGTTACTGGTATCCAGATTCCTTCTTGAGCTCGAACCAACATTACACTTTTCCTGAAGTCAAAACAGGAGTTAACACAAGTGCATAAATGACAATGTATTGGACAGTTTGATTGTTCATCCAAATTTTGATATTTCCCACTAACAGCATGTAAGGAGGCTTAACACAACTCTGTATAGGAATAGTCAGGCTGGAGGTAATCAAAGCAGAATGTTTGAATCTACGTTGATACTGAGGGAGAGGAGCAGCGTGGCAATGCCTGATGTTCTCCACCATAAAGAAGCAATCTGAGGTGCCCAGGGATGCCGAAGAGGTAGAGGGGCATACCTGGGTCGAGAAGAATTATCATAATGCCAATTGGAGTCCCATAAAGGGGGATCGGCGTCAAAAAGAGGAAGAGGGTTCAAAGGGGATTTATCATGGGGTTCAGAATCACAGATGTGAGGGGTGGTAGTGGGGACAACAGACAGAAAAGTTTCCCCTTCCCATACTCGCAGTCCGGACATGGCAATAGCCAATTTCCAAAGTTCTGGGTGTTCTGGGCTCAGAATGGGGAATATCATACAAAGCCTCAGGGCTGGGGTGGGCGGGTAATGCCCTTATCTTCTCATTTTAAGGGAAAGAACGAGCTGAACTACCTATGGAAAGAAGGATGGTGATCCTCGTCCTCCCAATAAGAAATAAAATAAGTAGCCTCCAGACATCCTCTTCCGCCAGAGGAGCAATTGTTTTTTAAATAGCCCTTTGGTGCCCAGTCTATTACTAAACCATGTGAGTCATTTTTTAATACTGCTGCATGTGAGTTAACACAATCTTCCTAAATTAAAGTTTTAGATGGGCCCTCAAAATTTTTAGGACATAGTTTTCCTATGGGTTTATATTGAAAATATGGGGTATCTCCTATTACTCCCCCTTTCATTTGTCTTAAAGGAGAAAGGGAGAGGCCGGAGACCAAATGTCCCCATTCCCCTGTGGCTGATCTCTCCGGAAGGTAAGCAGCCCAGACTTGAGTTTCTAGATGGATACAACCAGGTGGATGTCCGAGGCACAGAGGAGGGTATTTATAACCCATAGTAACATTAAATGCAGTGCCTTCTTCTCCTGGTCGAGTGGGGCAATGGTCATCTGTAGCTCCAGGCATATATACACTATCGTTAGTATAGATTTCTGCAGGAGCATCCATCCAGGTGAGAGGTCGAATAAGTGGAGGAAAAGGCACATAAGCCCAATAAGAATAATTTTATGTAGCAGGTAAATCAGTTTGAGGGGAAACTGGTGAGACAGAAAGTGTAAGGAGGAGAATTATTAAATAAAACCTACTGTAAGCGAGATCCAGTGCTGGAGGAGGAAGAGAAGAACAGAGGGATGTTATTTTCAGGCTAATAGAAATGGTGAGATTTTTAGGTTCGTAAGGAGAAAAAGAAAGGTAATTAGGAGATGTGGGATTAGTTAGAGGGGTCTCTGTTGCCATTTGGGAGGACTGAACCAGACCCATTTTGATTTGGCCTACCAGTTTCTGAGGAGTCGGCACAGATCTCACCAGGTATGAGGGCAGTCTCTGACGCGGACATCTCTTTTCTGTGGTTTTCATTGTCAGTATGCATACGAAGTTTAAGTCTTCTAGTGGGCACCCAGACAGGGGATTGATGATCTCCTGGTGAAACGCAAGCATACCCTCTTCCCCACGTTATAATTGTTCCAGGTTCCCAGGTATTGGTTTGGGAGTTTTTCCATAACACTGGCTTGCTTTCATTGAGGGAGAATTTTTTGCCTATGAATAGTGTTCAGCAGCATTCCCTGAGGAAGTACTTTCCATTGATAATGAGCTGCAGGCTCCTGATTATTGATAGATGGTACAGTAAAAGCAAATTTTGACAATCTGATTTATGTAAAGCAATATGAAAGAAACAGTCTTTAAGATCAATAACTATGAGAGGCCAATTCTTAGGTATTAAAGGAGGGGCAGGCATGCCAGGTTGGACGGCTCCCATAGGTTTAATTACAGCATTAATGGCCCTTAAAGCAGTTACCATCCTCCACTTCCCTGATTTCTTTTTTACTAGAAACACAGGAGAATTCCAGGGGGAAAGAGGAGGTTCCACATTTCCAAGTTGTAACTGTTCAGAAACCAATTGAGTTAAAGCCTCCAGTTTTTCTTTAGAGAGCAGCCACTGCTCAATCCAAACAGGTGTTTCAGATTTCCCTCGTAGAGGAACAGGATTAGGAGGCGTAGCAGTGGCCGTCATTAAAAAGGATAACCTAAACCAGCCCTGTCTTCTTTTACGGTAACTTGAAGAGGTTTGGTAATTCCTTCATGTCTTGGACTGAGACCGAGTCCTGGAACAAACCCCATGTTTTCCATTATATGTTGACTGGGAGCACTATAAGAGTTATGTGGAATATTAATTTCAGCCCCCCATTGTGCCAGCAAATCTCTACCCCAAAGATTAATGGGGATTGGTGTGATATGAGGCTGAATTGTACCCTTTTGACCATCAGGGCTAGTGCAAGGCAAGATAAATGTGCTCTGGTGAACTTCATCAGCTTTTCCAACCCCTACTAGTCCCATTTTAGTGGGATGTTTAGGCCAGGAGGAAGGCCATAGATTAGAGGAAATAATAGAAACATCAGCCCTAGTATCTACTAGGCCCTCACACTTTTTTCCTTGAATGTGTATGGTGCAGGTGGGCTGTTGTTTAGAAATTACATTAATCCAATAAGCGGCTTTTTCACCACCAGAGCCCATCCCAGGGCCCCGTGTCTTATCTCCTTTGCTTAAAACAATATTAGGTGGTAAAAGTAATTGAGCAATTGACTCACCAGCTGGAATGGAAACAGGAACCTTGGCAGACACCATAAGTTTATTCTCATTAGAGGAATCAAAATGAGACCAGTATGAACCGTGATTCCTTTAGTAGTAGTGGATGTCATACCTAACACCAGGCCCACCGAACCTTGAGGTAAAGGGCCAGAACCTTGAGGTAAAGGCCCCGTGAGGACAATTAAAGGGAAAGAATTAGGTAGTAAATTTAGAGGAATGGTACTACAGAGATTGACCACCCCGCCCCCTACTGTGGAGGTAGACAAGTGTACTGAGACAGAAGAAGAGGCTGGGACCTACCTGAGTTGGCTGTAGGTAAGTTTGTGTGTGCTGGGGGCTGTGTTGGGACCGCTTGAAGCAGAAATGCAACACTGGTCTGAGTCTGAGGTGTCCCATTTCATATTGGGGCCTGAGACTGGCCCCGCTTCCGATTTCCCTGGTTCTGTGGCAAGGGATTTCCATCTATATCAGACTTAGAACGGCAAGTACTTGCCCAATGTTTGCCTTTATGACAACAAGGGCAAACAGTAGCAGGAGCATTTGGCTGTGTTTGTTGAGCTGGCTTGGCTGCTTTTAAGTTTTTAATGGTGCAGTTTGTTCGAGTATGACCAAGTTGACCACAGTTATAGCAGGCTCCAAGAAAAGAATCAGTCGAGCCGGTTTGATTGCCGTCCTTCATAGCCCGTGCCCACAGAATAGCTTTGTGGGTCCCTGATCCAATGCCTTCACAAGCTTTAATATATGCAGGCAACACCTCGTGATCAGCTAAATTTTGTCATTGGATGGCATGCATGGCCATTTTACACTCATGGTTCACATTCTTAAAAGCTAACATGCTAACATACAAAGGAGAATACCTTGAGCGTGCTCATCAGAGATGAATTTTTCAACAGCATCTTGTAATTTAGCCAAAAAATCAGGATATAATTCATTGCGACCCTGTTTAACAGTAGTAAAAGAAACAGGAGCTTGACTTGGGGCACGTAATTTATCCCAAGTTCTCATACACACCTTTGTTACTTGTTCCATGGTGAGAGCATCAAAGCCTAATTGGGAGGTAGTGTCAGAGTAATTATCGGAGCCTGTGAGCTGAGCCTGAGTAATTGGAATGCCATCAGCCCAATTTAGCTGAGCCTGCAGACGGGCCTCCTCTCACCACCAGGTACGGAATTGTAAATGCTGAGATGGAGTTAGAACAGCTTTTGCCAAAAGGTCCCAGTCTAAAGGAAGCAAAATGACCTCAGTACAAAGAGTCTGTAATACCATTTTAACATATGGAGAAGTAGGACCATACTGAGTACAAGCATCCTTGAATTCTTTTAAAAAGGTAAGATTGAGCGGCCTAAATCAATGCACTTGTACCCCTTGAGCACTGGGAGATTCCAGCACGACCGGATAAGCCGACACCTCTAATCCACTTGTTTCTTTTTTCTGGCGTAATAAGTGTTGCATGGAAGTTTCAAGAACAGGCACATGAGATGGACTCGGCATAGAAATGACAGGAAAAGTATGTGTAGATAAGGGAAACTGAGGTTGAGGAGGTCGGACTGGTATGAGAGTATGAGAAAGGGGCATTGGGGGAGCAGAAAAGGCATAAGCATACTGGTGATTATTGGCTCAATCCTGTGCAACCAGAGTGGCAGGGGCATCCACGTGTGAAGAAGGGTACAGAGAAGCAGGTTGAATGGATGGCAAAGTGACCAAATGAGGGACCGAAATGACAGGAGAGTGAGGGGCTGTGGTGGATGAGGGAGGGCCTGCAGAATTACAGGTAAATTGTAGTTTGGTTCCGGAGCCATCAGATGGCTCCGGAAGCAAAGGCTGCAAAGGTTTGAAGAGGGAAGAGTTAGTATAGATATGGTCCTGGGCTGTCCAAGTCGGGTCCGTGGGAGCTACAAGTACCGGCTCCTCATGAAAAGAAATAAGATCATTGGGGGTGACGTTAAGCCAAAGTCACCAGAGTTAGATATTGAGTCCTCAATATCGTCAGGTAGGGGAGGAGTTGGTGAAGGGAGAGGCTTGAGCAGATAACGAAGGCCGAACGGGAGAGGAAACCTGAGGAAGAGGTAGAGGGTCACCAGACACAGAAAACTGTGGTAACTGCAGGGGGTTACAGGATTGGTATTTTAGGACAGCACTTACCAAGGCCCAATCACCCCAAACAGTGACGGGAGCATAATTTCCTGTTGGGACCAGTTCCTGGAATTTTGCACCAACATGATCCCATAGTCCCACATCTAACATTCCCTTTTCAGGAAACCAAGGACAGTGTTCTTCCACTGCCCTGAATAGGATGTCCATATTTTCCATAGGTACCTGAACTCCTCCCTGTTTTAACAGGAGTTTAATATAGCAGAGATAAGCATAATGCTTAGACTTCGTGTGACCCATAGTTACCCCGGACAATACACAGACAACTCACCAATTGTCAGGGAGCCGAACAAGCGTTTCTGTGAACCGGACCAATGAACGTTTCTATGCACGTACCAAAAGGAATCGGGTTCCCACATGCACTTAGGAAAAAGCCACTTGGCATGCCAGATATTGGGGGAACCTACCCCTAATATTTCAATGTAGGTTCTTTCTATTTTCTGTGTCAGCTAGCTGAGAAATAAAGAGAGACAGTACAAAGAGAGGAATTTTACAGCTGGGCTGCCGGGGGTGACATCACATATCGGTAGGACCGTGATGCCCACCTGAGTCTCAGACCAGCAAGGTTTTATTAAAGGTTTCAAAAGGGGAGGGGGTGTAAGAACAGGGAGTAGGTACAAAGATCACATGCTTCAAAGGGCAAAAAGCAGAACTACTAATAAGGGTCTAACAAAGATTACAGGGCAAAGGGCAAAAACAGAACCACTGATAAGGATCTATGTTCAGTGGTGCACGTATTGTCTTGATAAACATCTTAAACAACAGAAAACAGGGTTCGAGAGCAGAGAACCAGTTGGACCACAAATTTACCAGGGTGGAGTTTTTCCCCACCCTAGTAAGCCTGAGGGCACTGCAGGAGACCAGAGCGTATCTCACTCCTTATCTCAACTGCATAAGACAGACGTTCCCAGAGTGGCCGTTTATAGACCTCCCCCCAGGAATGCATTCCTTTCCCAGGGTATTAATATTAATATTCCTCGCTAGGAAAAGAATTTAGCAATATCTCGCCTACTTGGACATCCGTTTATAGGCTCTCTGCAAGAAGAAAAATATGGCTCTTTTTGCCCGATGCCGCAGGCAGTCAGACCTTATGGTTGTCTTCCCTTGTTCCCTAAAAATCACTGTTATTCTGTTCTTTTTCAAGGTGCACTGATTTCATATTGTTCAAACACACATGTTTTACAATCAGTTTGTACAGTTAACACAATTATCACAGTGGTCCTGAGGTGACGTACATCCTCAGCTTACGAAGATAACAGGATTAAGAGATTAAAGTAAAGACAGGCATAAGAAATTATAAAAGTATTATTTGGGAACTGATAAATATCCATGAAATTTTCACAATTTATGTTCCTCTTCCGCGGCTCCAGCTGGTCCCTCCGTTCGGGGTCCCTGACTTCCCGCAACAAGAAGGAACACAAGCGACCATTAACATGGGAACAAAAATATATTCCACCTCATTAGTAACTGGGGAAGTGCAAATGAAAATCACCTTGGGATATCATTTCATAATACTGAATTGGTGAAAAAACTTTAAGGTCAGAAATTACCAAGTGTTGGGGAGGTGGTGGAGCTACGGGAACTCTTATACTCATTCACTGCTGCTGGTAAGGATATTATCCTCTTTGGGCAGGGCATGGTGGCTCACACCTGTAATCCCAACACTTTGGGAGGCCGAGGTGGGCAGATCATGAGGTCAAGAGATCAAGACCATCCTGGCCAACATGGTGAAACCCCATCTCTACTAAAAATACAAAAATTGGCTGGGCGTGGTGGCGCATGCCTGTAGTCCCAGCTACTTGGGAGGCTGAGTCAGGAGAATCGCTTGAACCTGGGAGGCGGAGGTTGCAGTGAGCCAAGATCGTGCCACTGCACTCCATCCTGGTGACAGAGTGAGACTCCGTCTCAAACAAAACAAAACAAACAGAACCACAAACTGGATGGCTTAAAACAAATGGATGCTCTCACTGTTCTGTAAGCTAGAATTCTGAAATCAAGATGTCAGCAGGGCTGTGCTGTTGTAGTTCTGGGTAGAATCCTTCCTTGCTTCTTCCCAGCTTCTGGGGGTGGCCAGCAATCCTTGTGTTCAGGGCTTGCAGCTGCATCCCTCCAGGCTCTCTGCCTTTGTCATCACACATTCTCCATGTGGCTGTCTTTACATAGTCTTCCTTCTTCTTAGAAGGACACCTGTCCGATTGGAGTAAGGGCCTACTCCAATATGACTTCATGTTAACTAATTACATCTTCAGCAATCCTGGTTCCAACTGAGGTCACCTTCTGAAGTTAGGACTTCCACATGCTTTTTGGGGGACACAATTCAATCAATAACAGGGAGATAAGGCCGGGGTTATCTTCCTGTTATTGATTGATAACATCCCTTGCTGTTATCTTAATTTTATTCTTTTATTCTTTTTTAATGAGTTTACCAGGAAGTTATTTTAGATGTCTCCTTCTTACTTAGCAAGTGAGTAAGTAAAAAGTTTAAATGAACTTAATTTAATGCTAATAATCCCAGCACTTTGGGAAGCCAAGGCAGGAGGATCGCTTGAGCCCAGTTCAAGACCAACCTGGGTGACATAGTGAGACCTTGTTTCTACAAAAAATTAAAACTTTTTCAGGTGTGGTAGTGCACGCCTGTAGTCCTAGCTACTTGAGTGGTGAGGCAGAAAGATCACTTAAGTCCAGAGGCAGAGGTTGCAGTGAGCCACACTCCAGACTGGGCGACAGAGCAAGAACCGCTCTCAAAAAAAAAAAAAAAAAAAAAAAAAAAGTAGCAGAGAGCTAATGTTTTACCTAATTGGGATTCAAAATTAGCATTCCTTGTCATCGAATTGATCACAAATACTCATCTGTAACAATCAATCTTAGCTCCAGGGCCACACACAGACAGGTGGTGGGTCAGATTTGGCCTGGGGCCATAGTTTGCAGACTGTTGATTTAGACTCAGAGACCTAGGTACTAGGAATAATGAAAAAACAAGGGAGTGCATAACATTTAAGGTAGTTTTCGTTCTGTGGGGTGGGGGAGGGAAGGAGGATAGAGTTGGAGAGGAATATACAGGCTGGTTTCTGGGGTATTGGTAATATTCTATTTCTTGCCTTGATACTACTGTTCATTTTAATTTTGTTCATTAAACAATACACATTGTTTTACATGCTTTTTATATGTGTGCTATATTTCATGAAAAATAATTTCAACCTCTCTGACTTCTCCCCACTTCTCCACTCTCCCTCCTTCTTACCAAACAAATTATTCCTTATTTTAAAACCGCTTCCCACTTTTACCTCTGATCTCTTTCTTCTGGAGTGTAATCCTCTGGGTCGTGCAAGAGTTTTATGTTCCTTTATTAACAAACCTGTTAATCTATCACCAATCTCAGGTCATCCCTTTTTCTTTGTCATTGTCACTTTTGCTCTTCTTTCTCCATTCTTTTCCTTAAGCAGACTTTTAAATTTGCCCTTAGAAAGTAAATAAGAAAGCGGGTTTCCCTTGCTGTTATCTTTATTTTATTCTTTTAGTTTTTCTTTTATGAGTTTACTAGGAAATTATTTTAGGTGTCTCCGTTTCACTTAGCCACTGAGTAAGCAGAAAGTTTAAGTGAACTTAATGAAATGGGGGGAGGCCAGGGTGGGAGGATCACATAAGGCCAAGAGTTTGAGACCTGCCTGGGTAACATACCAAGACCCTGTCTGTACAAACAATTTTAAAAAGTAACTGGGTATGGTGGTGTGTGCCTGTAGTCCCAGCTACTTGTGAGGCTGAGATGGGAAGATCATTTAAGCCCAGGAGTTCAAGGCTGCAGTGAGCCATGATTGCGCCACTGTACTCCAGCCTGGGTAACAGAGCTGTCTTAAAAAAAAAAAAAAGCACGTAGGAGTTCAAGGCCAGCCTGAGTAAGATGGTGAGACCCCATCTCCATTTAAAAAAAGCAAAAAACAGGCTAGCCGGGCGCGGTGGCTCATGCCTGTAATCCCAGCACTTTGGGAGGCCAAGGCGGGTGGATCACGAGGTCAGGAGTTCGAGACCAGCCTGGCCAACATGGTGAAATCACGTCTCTGCTAAAAATACAAAAATTAGCTGGGCGTGGTGGCCCACGCCTGTAGTCCCAGCTACTTGGGAGGCTGAAGCAGGAGAATTGTTTGAGGCTGAAGCAGGAGAATTGCTTGAACCCGGGAGGCAGAGGTTGAGTGAGCTGAGATTGCACCACCGTACTCCAGCCTGGGCGACAGAGCGAGACTGTGTCTCAAAAGAAAAAAAAACACACACACACACACAAAACACACACACACAAAGAATGAAATGGGCACAGGGACCCATCAGTACATTTGAATCAGAATATTTCAGATCAACCTGCAGCAATTTGTGAGCGTTTGTTTATTTAACAGCTCTTTTGAGATGTGATTCACGTACCCCACTATGCAGTCATTTAAAATACGCAATTCATTGGCTTTTAATATATTCACAGAGTTGTGCCACCATCACCACAGTCAATTTTAAAACCTTTAATCATCCTAGAAGGAAACCCCTCAACCCTCCGTTGTCAGCCTCCAATCCCTCCCACTCCCAGCTCTAGGTAACCTCTGATCTTTCTGTCTCTATAGGTTTGCCTATTCTGGACATTTCATATAAATGGCATCATATGTGGTCCTTCATGACTGGTTTCTTCCTCTTAGCAGAATGTTTTTGGTTCATCCATGTTGTAGCTCATAGCAGTACTTTATTGCGGAACATTATTTCATTGTATGCGTGGCTACACCACATTCTGCTTATCCGTTCATCAGCTGATGGACGTTTGAGTTGTTTCCACCTTGGCTATTATGAGCATTCATTGAACAATTATTTGCTTTTAGGTAATTTATTTTAAGTGGTATGTAGTCATTGTGGAAACTTTGAAAAATATTAAAGAATATAAAGGATGTGATAAAATTTGCTCATAATCCCACCACTCAAAAAAAAAAAGCTTTATTAACACGTTTTCTGTGGGGAAAAAAATGCATGTTTATATAATTTGTTTTATAATTCTTTATTTCTCTTGAAGATTTGCTTTGCATTTGAACAGATTTTGTTTGCTAAATCACAGCAAGACTGGCCAACTGCAGTTGTCATAAATAATTTATCAGTCATTGTGCAATGGGAGTATAGTGGAGTTATCTGCCATCAGATGGGCATGGGGAGGGTTTAGAGAAAATTTCACAGAGGAGGAAACATATATTATGAAAATATGCATGAGGTTCTGATACCTGTCAGTAAATAAAACATTGGGTCTTCTAATAAGGTCGTATTTGTTCTGTTGTAGGAGGCTGGCAGGATGTACAGTTTTTATCACAGGTGCAAGCCGTGGCATTGGCAAAGCTATTGCATTGAAAGCAGCAAAGGATGGAGCAAATATTGTTATTGCTGCAAAGACCGCCCAGCCACATCCAAAACTTCTAGGCACAATCTATACTGCTGCTGAAGAAAGTGAGTGTGACAGTGCCATTTGATAAAATGTCTTTCTAGTGGTTTCAATACATAGAGAATTTGCTGGAGAGTTTAGTTAAAGCTATTTGAAAGCTACCCTGAACATAATTTTATCTAGTGAAAGAAGTATTTATGTTGTCACCTTGGGGCAGTGCTTCTGACCGTTTTTCTCCACCAGCACTTTTAAGCAATGTGAGAAACTCCAGTTAAAAATCTTATTTCATGGCGGGGCGTGGTGACTCACACCTGTAATTTCACCCAGCTACTCGGGAGGCTGAGGCAGGAGAATCACTTGAACCTGGGAGGTGGAGGTTGCAGTGAGCCAAGATCATGCCACAGCACTCCAGCTTGGGTGACAGAGCGAGACTCCATCTCTTAAAAAAAAAAAAATCTTGGTTCTTGAGGGCAGTGGTTCTTGGATGGGAGGGGGAGTAGGGAAGTGGAGTAGAGAGGAGAGAATTTGATTGGTGAGTGGCATGAACTCTTTGAGAAAGCGTTCTGTGTTATTTATTCTCTGTACAATTTGCAAGTCATCATTTTAATACTTTTAGTTGACAAATAATTATCACATACTTCTATTTAAGGCATAGCGCTAGGCACAGAGCCAGGAGAGAGGGCTTAAAAATTCAAGTTCAGTTGACATTGCTAGTTTTGTTAATCATGTTCAGAGCACTGTGGTTATGTTAGAGGAATGCATGTGAAGTGTTTATGAGTGAAATGATGTCAGGGATTTGCTTTAAAACACACCAGCAAAAAATAAAACAGGGGACAGGAAAGATAAACATATTAACTGACAAAACTAACAATCGTTGAAGATAGGTGATGGATTCCTGTTAGTTTATTACAGCATCTTTACATTTTTATATAGTTTAGAATATTTCCACAATAAAAAGTTTTTAAAAATTACTTTCAACTGGGTGAGGTGGCTCAAGCCTGTAATCCCAGCACTTTGGGAGGCCAAGGCGGGTGGATCACTTGAGGTCAGGAGTGCGAGACCAGCCTGACCAACATGGCAAAACCGTGTCTCTACAAAAAATAGAAAAATTAGCCTGGCGTGGTGGTGCATGCCTATAGTCCCAGCTACTTGGGAAGCTGAGGTGGGAGGATCCTTTGAGCCTGGGAGATTGAGGCTGCAGTGAGCTGTGTTTGTGCCACTTCACCCAAGCCTGGGCAAGAGAGTGAGACCCTGTCTGAAAAACAAAAACAAACAAACAAAAAACTTCCTTTTTTTAGCTTTTTAAAAAAATTACAAAGAAACCCCCACCAAACCTTCGTTTTTGTTTTTTAATAGTGTTAGCCTAGCTAGTCTGTCCTGCTATATGGTAGAGTCACTGGTGGTAAGATAGAGTTATTTATATTGATTTTCTGAAAACAGGGTACTTTTTTCTTTTGACTGTGATATTGGAATTAAAGGTATAATATTTAAATGCTTTAACGCTTTTTCATTTTGTATCCTTTATATAAGTTGAAGCAGTTGGAGGAAAGGCCTTGCCATGTATTGTTGATGTGAGAGATGAACAGCAGATCAGTGCTGCAGTGGAGAAAGCCATCAAGAAATTTGGAGGTAATACCTTCATTCTGAAAAAATTATTGGATATTGGTAAAATAAAGGTATAACTATAATGTTAATTTAAAAATTTGTTTTGAGTTTTGAATTTTCTGAGTCTTTGGAGAAATACGTATTTGCTCACACAGAACATGATTTAAAACCATCTGATAAGGCTGGGCGTGGTGGCTCACACCTGTAATCCCAGCACTTTGGGAGGCCGAGGCAGGCAGATCACTTGAGGTCAGGAGTTTAAGACCAGCCTGGCCAACATGGTGAAACCCCGTCTCTACTAAAAATACAAAAATTAGCTGAACATGGTGGTGGATGCCTGTAATCCCAGCTACTCAGGAGGCTGAGGTGGAAGAATTGCTTGAACCTGGGAGGTGGAGGTTGCAGTGAGCTGAGATTGCACCACTGCATTCCAGCCTGGGTGACAGAGCAAGACTCTGTCTCAAAAAGAAAAAAAAAAAAAAGAAAAAGAGTGTGGAATGATAGACTGTGGAGACTGGGAAGAAAGAAGGGATGCAAGGGGGGTAGATGAAGAGAAATTACTTAATCGGTACAATGTTTGCTGTTTGGGTGATGGATACCCTAAAAGTCCTGGACACTGCACAATCTATGTATGTGAGAAAATTGCACTTGTGCCTTATATATTTGTTTTTGAAAAAATTCTTCCTTTATGTGGTTAAATTTCATCTTCTTCACAAAGTCAGTTCCCTCACCATGCCAACTAATCAGAATTATATTTTTCTTTCTCTGATTTCTTTTTTCTTTTTTTTTGAGACTGAGTCTTGCTCTTGTCACCCAGGCTGGAGTGCAGTGGCGCAATCTCGGCTCACTGCAACCTCTGCCTCCTGGGTTCAAGCGATTCTCCTGCCTCAGCCTCCCGAGTAGCTGGGATTACAGGCGCCTGCCACCATGCCCAGCTAATTTTTGTATATTTAGTAGAGACAGGTTTCGCCACATTGGCCAGGCTGGTCTCGAACTCCTGACTTCATGATCCACCCAACTCAGCCTCCCAAAGTGCTGGGATTACAGGCGTGAGCCACCGTGCCCGGCCTCTCTGATTTCTTAAAACATTCATTTGATCCTTATCTTGTACTATTTTAGATCTTAGTATTTCTTTTCTCCCCAATTAGTTCAAAAGTTCCTAGAAAAAAGGTGTTGGGGATTGAGCTAAGGCTTTCATGGTATTATAGTAGGGCACCTAGGCATGTCCAAATCCTGCCTAAACCATTACCACTCTCCCCGCTAATGTTCTGGAGGACCATATGTACATGTGAGGGACAATGGCCAGTGGAAAATGAGGGAATGCTTCAGTGTTAGCAAGGCTGTACTTATAATCCCAATGCAGAGTGCTGTGGGGTGCTGGACTGAAGCACGGAGCTTTGGCTCAAGTGGAGCCTCTTCCCTTAAATCCAAAATCTTACCCCTAGCCGGCAGCCTTTCCCAAAGAAATGTGAATGCCTGTGTCAGAAGAGGAGAGAAAATGCAAAATGATGTTTGTCCAACTGATAGGGCGCTAAATGTGAAATGTGCCACGCTCAAATGCAGGATATTTTATCTAAAATGACTTCACCTAGTAGTAAAAGTGGTTAACTAGTGCCACTTAGGATTTGATGTAATTAGTTTATCCACTAATTTTTGGAGAGGACGTAAGGGGAGAAAGCTGAAGCTTTTCATTCTCCCATATTCATTCAGTTTTAGTTCTTTTTTTTTTCTTCTTTGAAACAGGGTCTCACTCTGTCACCCAGACTGGTATGTAGTGGCATGATCGTGGCTCACCACAGCTTTGGCCTCCTGGGCTCAGGTGATCCTCCAACCCCAGCCTCCCAAGAAGCTGGGACTATAGGTGCCCACCACCAGGCCTAGCTAATTTTTGTGTTTTTAGTAGAGATGGGGTTTCACCATGTTGGCCAGGCTGGTCTCAAACTCCTGACCTCAAGGGATCCACCCACCTCAACTTCTCAAAGTGCTGGGGTTACAAGCATGAGCCACTGTCCCCAGCCTTGAATTTATTATTTAATTTTTTAAAATTGTGGTAAAATACACATAACATAAAATTTACCATCCTATTTTTAAGTGTACAGTTCAGTGACATTGAAGTTTATTATATTGTTACACAACCATCATTAAGTACACTTCACAAAGAATAATGAAGACCAGGTAGAAACAAAGAAAAAATGTTTGACATAGTTTTTGTATTTTTACCATTTTCCTTTAATGTTATTTCACTAAGCATATAACTATAAGCAAAACTTGTTGGTTATAGGTAGAAACTAGATAGAATTTGCAGAAATAGTAGTTACTCTAGGTTTATTTTTTGTGTGTGTGTATGAGTCACTAAAACAAAATTGATCCACTTTGATGATCTGCCTGGGATTGAAACAGTAGGTCTTTCTCTTTTCCCAGTTCTCAAGACCAGAAAGGAGCCTTTCCCTTTAAGTGAGGGGCCTTGGGGGAAGGGAGACTACTATGCTTGGAGGGAGGACAGGCCTTTGAAACTTCATGCTAGAGAGGAAGAAAGACTTTAAGGAATTTGATCCAAGGTTTATGGAGACAGGGAGGGACAACCAGGAGGTAAGAGAACAGTTAAGAGTGGAAGCTACAAACCACCGAAGACTAAGCCTCCTTGTAGTTTCACATGGAGCTCTGGCAATTGGCTATATCTCCACTGTGCTAGTGACAATCATGCAGGTGCTATTTTGAAATAGCTACCAGTCTTGCATTGGTAGTGGTTAGTCATATTATCTAAAGGAAGTATAGCCATGCATTGCTTAATGATGGGGATATGTTCTGAGAAAGGCATTATTAGGTGATTTTATGATCGTATGAACATAGAGTATACTTACACAAACATAGATAGTCTAGCTGACCACATACCTAGGCTGTATGGCATAGCCTATTGCTTCCAGGCTGTAAAGCTGTATAACATGTTACTGTACTGACTACTGTAGGCGTTTGTAACACAACAGTAAGTATGTATCTGAACAAACTTAGACAGAAAAGAGATAAAATAAAAAAACAGTATTGTAATCTTAAGGGACCATGTTGCGTATATGGGCCATTGTTGATTGAAATGTTAGGTGTGGTACATGACTGTATTTGTGAATCAACTGAGGGTTCAAGAGAGTAAACGCTTTTTTTGTGTGTGATAAAAAGTCTTTCATTAAAATGAAATTGATTATTTTGAAAACAGGAATTGATATTCTGGTAAATAATGCCAGTGCCATTAGTTTGACCAATACATTGGACACACCTACCAAGAGATTGGATCTGATGATGAACGTGAACACCAGAGGCACCTACCTTGCGTAAGTTTGCAAGAAGAGTTGTTGGGGAGGAAGTTGCGGTGTTTCTCAGGGAACTTACATAGTTGTAAACAGATTTGAGCCAAATTAACAGTGTAGTTCAAAATCTAGTCAATCCTTATAAGGGTCTAAAAGTCCTTCATTCAGTCAATAGTATTTTATTTTATTTTTTATTTATTTATTTTTTTGAGATGGAGTTTCATTCTTGTTGCCCAGGCTGGAGTGCAGTGGCACGATCTCAGCTCACTGCAACCTTTGCCTCCTAGGTTCAAGCGATTCTCCTGCCTCAGCCTCCTGAGTAGCTGGGATTACAGGCGCCCACCACCATGCCCAGTTGATTTTTTGTATTTTTAGTAGAGACAGGGTTTTACCATGTTGGCCAGGCTGGTCTCAAACTCCTTACCTCAGGTGATCCACCCACCTTGGCCTCCCAAAGTGCTGGGATTACAGGCATGAGCCACCATGCCCAGCCCGATAGTATTTTAAATAGCTTTATTTGGAGCTCCTTTTCTCTATGAATTTAGGAAAGACTAAAGTAGGCTGAGTGCAGTGGCTCACACCTGTAATTTCAGCACTTTGGGTGAGGGGAGTATTATTGGAGGCCAGGAGATTGAGACTGAGATGCACAAGATGGCAAGACGCTGTCTCTACAAAAAAAAGTTTTTAAAATCAGGCAGGCATAGTGGTTTGTGTGCTACTGAGACTGTGGTGGTGGTCTCATCTACTCAGGAGACTGAGGCAAGAGGATCCCTTGAGCCCAGGAGTTTGAGGCTACAATGAGCTGTGATCATGCCACTGCACTCCAGCCTGGGTAACAGAGAAAGACTGTCTCCAAAGAAAAAAAAAAAAGACTAAAGTGTAGCTCAAGCATTTTCTCAAATATTTGCATGTGTAAATACTTACATGTATACTCTGTCTTTCATAGGACACAGTCCTTTCATAGGACTATTTAGGATTACTGAAGCCAGCAATAGTCTCCTTCCTCTGAAAAAGACCTGGCGTTAAAAAAAAAAAAAGACGTAGGTTTTAGTTATTTAAATAACAGTAAGGTCATTCTCATTATGAATCACACTTTATTGTAACCAATAAAAACACTAATACTTTCTTGGGCTTTGCCGGGGAAATGTAGACTATCGAATGAAAGAACATAGTCTTGATCTGTTCTGGATTCATCAGACAACCTGTCTTATTGTCCATTTATTTATCTGTTTATTTACCCTCTGGTTCTATATTTTCCATGTGGATATCAGGATACATCAGGTTAGAACTTGCTTCTGTACCTTACATGTATCTTGTTAACACACAGAATAGGTGGTTAGGAGCTTAGGCTCTGGAGTAAGACTGCTTGGATTCAAATCTTAACACTCACCCCTCATGACTTTCTATTTTGTGACCTTGGACAAGTAACTTAACTTCTTGCAGATTCAGTTTCTTTACTTTTAAAATGGCAATAATACAGTAATATGTTATAGGGTTGGTCACGAGGGTTAAATGTCTAAGTTATTAAGTTAGAGTCCTGAATTTTTCCCTCAGGTATGTTTTGTTGGGTCTGCAAAACTTGGCCCAGACAGTGTTAAAACAAAATTGTTTTCATTAGTTACCTACATTCAAAGTTTTATTAGTTAGGGCCAGGCATGGCGGCTCATGCTTGTAATCCCAGCACTTTGGGAGGCTGAGCCAGGCGGGTCACTTGAGCCCAGGAGTTCGAAACCAGCCTAGACAACATGGCAAAACCCTGTCTCTACAAAAAATAGAAAAATTAGCTGGGGATGGTGGCACACGTGCCTGTAGTCCCAGCTACTTAGGAAGCTGAAGTGGGGGGATTGTCTGAATCTGGGAGGTGGACGTTGCTGTGAGCTGAGATCACCCTACTGCACTCCAGCCTGGGTGACAGAGCGAGACCCTGTCTCAAAAACTTTATTGGTTGCTTATGTTGAAAAAATTAGAAGATTTATACAAAAGTCCAGATTTCTAGCTTTTCTTGAAATCTTAGAAGATCTGGCCAAATAGAGAAGCATTACCACATGGCAATAGTTGCTGTAGCTGAGTGGCAGGGTTATCAACTGCCTCATCAGATGGGGCCAGAGCTCTGTTGTCTTCTGGATGCTGAGGACAGACTAACAAGTTATATCATTGCATTTACACTGTTGTTTTTCTTATATGAAAGAGGAAAGTGAAATATTTCTCATAACCACATCTCTCTCTGAATTGGGAAAATGAGACTTATGCCAAGAGGGCCGTATGTTCAAGCAAAATGGGTGAAAGCTTACTTGTTTGTAGATGTAAGGCATATTTCTATAAATTCGATATGTAAGGTAGGTCTCTATTGAATGAAACCATATTGAATCCAACTGTAGTAAGAATTATGGCAAATGGCTGGGCACAGTGGCTCATGCTTGTAATCCCAGCACTTTGGGAGGCCAATGCAGGCAGATCACCTGAGGTCAGGAGTTTAAGACTAGCCAGGCCAACATGGTGAAACCCTGTCTCTACTAAAAATACAAAAAATTAGCCAGGCGTGGTGGTGTGCACCTGTTACTGGACTATTCCGGAGGCTGAGGCAGGAGAATCGCTTGAACCCAGGAGGCGGAGGCTGCAGTAAGCCAAGATCACACCACTGCACTCCAGCTTGGGCAGCAGAGTGAGACTCTGTCTCAAAAAGAAAAAAACTATTATGGCAAGCATATAGATTGTGATGAAAAACTTGAACTAGAAAGAGTTTGTGTTTATTTTCAAATAAAATAGGCAATGTTGCTATGTGATACTGTCATGGTACTAGAAAAAATTATATGGGAATAAAAATATTTTACAGCTGGCAACTTTGTGAAAGAATTTCAATTGAATGTTAAGTATTTGTTTAAACAAATGCTTAAAAATATAAACCTAGCCAGGAATATTATTGCTCAACATGTTGAACTAAGGCTTAGTTAAGGGCGTGTTGTGTGAATAAGTTTAATGATTTCTGGCAGTTTCTATTATAGATGATGAAGCCACAGATATACATATACAGGTTGAGTATCCCTGGTCTGAAAATCCCAAATCCAGAATGCTCTGAGATCTGAAACTTTTTGAGTGCTGACTCGACGCTCAAAAGAAATGCTCTTTGGAACATTAAGGATTTCAAATTTTTGGAGTAGTGATGTTGAACTGGTTAAGTATAATGCAGATATTTCAGAATGAAACCTGAAACAATTCTGGTCCCAAGCTAAACTTGTACCACACACCTAGGTATATGGCGTCAGGAGAATTTTGACGTGATTAAAAAGGTTTTAGACTGGGTTTTCATGACATGAAATGACTTCCAAGGTATTGACAAATATCTTGGCAAGTTTAAGGCAGATTTATCAAAACTAGTAATCATAACTATAGACAGTGCTGTAGCAGTGGTCAGTGTTAATTTTAGACTTATTAAAATCTAAACAAATGTAGGTATATGTTTTGCAGGGGTGCAGAAATTGTTTGTTCATTGTATCATTCACTAGGAATTGCTCCCTACTAACAAAGTTAAAAATATACGTTTTCTTTCCAAGAGATGATCAATACAAGTAAAGCATTGAATTTTATGTAGATTTGTCAAAATTAGTAATCATAACTATAGACTTGACCTTTTAAACTGACATTATGACTGATGTGTACATAAATGTATAAGTCTCTTTGTTTTTTCCTTGTGAAATTATGTCTTTGGAAGCCCATTTGGCAAAAATAATTTGGTCTACTTTCCTATATTGAGGTCATTTTTCAAAAATGAAAGTGATGTCTTAACCCACATTTTTAGATGTGAAGGTGCAATTAAAAACAAAACAGACCAGGTGGGGTGGCTCACGCTTGTAATCTCAGCACTTTGGGAGGCCGAGGCAGGCGGATTACTTGAGCCCAGGAGTTTGAGATCAACCTGGGCAACATAGTGAACCCTGTCTCTGTTTTAAAAAAAATTACAGTTAAAATTAAAACTCTCGCACAAAGATTCTATTCACTATTGAAAGTTCCTACCTTTATAAACAGCCACTTAAAAAAAAAACACTAAATAAAATTAAATATTGCTCCCAGTTAAAAGCAGATTGAAATGCCAAATGAAAGACCTCACACTGACTTTTGGGTCAAAGAAAAGTGTCAGATTTTTGGCCTTCTATGAAAAGTATGTTATAAAATGAAAATTCATAATGAAATATTTCTATTTTGGCCAGGTGTGGTGGCTCACGCCTGTAATCCCAGCACTTTGGGAGGCCAAGGCGGGCAGATTACATGAGGTCGGAAGTTTGAGACCAGCCCGACGAACATGGAGAAACCCCGTCTCTACTAAAAATACTAAATTAGCAAGGTGTGGTGGCACACGCCTGTAATCCAGCTACTCGGGAGGCTGAGGCAGGAGAGTTGCTTGAACCCAAGAGGCAGAGGTTGCGGTGAACCAAGATCACGCCATTGCACTCCAAGAGTGCAACGAGAGCAACAAGTGCGAAATTCCCTCTCAAAAAAAAAGAAAAAAAAGAAAAGAAAAGAAATATTTCTATTTTATTTTATTTTTACTTCCCTGGTAACTCACAGAACACATTTCTTTTTTAATTTGTATTTTTCAATTTAATTTATTATATACTCTCCAGTATTACATTGTTTGTATCATGTTAAATGCTTTTAGAAGCTTAGTAGTAAGGTTCAGTTGTATCTCTGAACAGTTGATTTTTCTTATTCCCAGCTGTTTGAAATGCTTGTTCCCTGGTGCCATAAAGAAATAGCACTTGAACATAAATTTAATTTACTCAGCAAGGCCGTTTTTATACTTTCTGCAGAAAGGGTATACTTGCCAGCAGTTTTGCCACAAGAGTACACCGATCAAAGCAGACAGGGTCATTTATAACCTGACGCGTCCACCCTACTGCTGTGTCCGGTTTCCATTGGCTGGAACGGGACCTGACGTTCTGTATTTGTCCCGGTTGGCTAGCAACTTAGAACTTTTTTTAAAAAGAGGCAAAGGCAGAGGAGAACAAAGGAAGGAGGAGGTAACTTGTGGAATGCTGAGAACGGTAAAAACACCTTCAAATAAGGAAGAGGAACAGGCTATGACCTAATGCTTGCTTGGACCAGTATATGCATGCCAGGGCAAATATTTAGGCTAAATTGTGGGAGCTAAGAACTTAAAGTACATTGATTTCTTTATCATGGCTAGCAGATATTTAAGAATGTTAGTACGGGTCTTTGAATACATTTTGCTTCTAAGAGAAGTTACTATTTATTCCTAATTAGACAGGGAGGAAAGTCTTTGAAGAGGAACCTCTAGTTTTTACACCAACTCACTTTATTCATTTACTCAAATGCCTTACAGGTCTTTGAGTTTGAAACCCCAAGTAAGTAAAATAATTCATGAAAGGTAATAAAAACAGAGTCTGGCACATAGTTAGGTTTTCAGTAAACGTAACTATTTTATTCGGCTGAAGGTATCAGTATCTAAGTGTGGTGCTAAGAGTTTTCAATATAATATATAAGAGGGCATGCTACTGTGACAGATGCACCTGATGTAGGATTAGCAATGTTGAGGTCCAGGCCAGCAAAGTGCAGATGGAAAGGTCTTGTCCCATAGATCAAAGGAAAGCCCATGTTTAGAATGTAAATGAAATGAGCTCTTTCCTTTGAGTGTAAAATATGGTCTTATTTACTGGAGTAGATTTAGTTTGTTTCTTCTTGATGCTTCGAGTTGCAGTTTCACTGTTTTAATGAAACTCAGCTGTAATATTGTTTGCCCCACCTCACCTCACCTCCATAAAAGTGAAGCACCTTTGGAAATGAAAACAGTATCTACCAAAACCCCTCTAGTGGTATTGATTATATTTGGTAAGCTTGGTAAGATGTTGCTGTTTTTAACACCAGTATTGTACATTTGGTAATTAAAAAACTGACTTGAAAGAAGAATGAACTAGTTCATTCACAGCTCCTGGTTCAGGGTAAAGAAAAAAAAAAGAATGGACAAGTTCAGAGTCCTAGAAGTCCTAGAAGTCATTGAATGTAAACGAAAGCTAAATTTGTAGCTAAAATAAAGCTATAAATTAAGCTATAATATATTATTTAGCTGCTGACATTATGTAAAAATTAACATTTTAGAAATATTGAATCTGAATCTTAAATAAATTACCTACCTTAATGAGTGACTTTTTAAAAATAAAGCTATGTATTGCACCCAAAGGCATATTTTATATTGGTGAAAATTAAATTTGGGAATGTAATGAGAGTTATATTACTAAATTACAGTTCCAATGTAGTAGAAGTACTATGCCTATTAAGATGAAATAAATCAGCATACATAATACTAACAACAGCGATTGTTTATTTCATGTTTAGTATATACATTGTCCTAAGTATCTCATATATATCATCTAATTTTAATCTCTTGGTCAATCATAGAAGGTAGTGACTTTTACCAACATTTGCAGAGGAGAGAACTGAGCATTAGAATGCTATACAATTTTCCCAGGGTCACACAATGAAGGGGCAGAAGCAGAATTTGAACCCTGGTCTGTCTGACTTGAACACTCATGTTATTTACCACTGTGCTGACCGACAAGTATATTAACTATCTCTGAAAATTACATATGTGTGTTAGGGAGGCAGAATTTGGGATGGTTGTGGTTGCGGATAACCTCAGTTGGGCTTAAGGCTAGTATATCAAGGATTTGTTTTTTTCCATCAAGCAGATCATGTTGCCAGGCCATTAAGCAGAATTTCAAAGGATGAAAATTAGTTGCTTTTTCTGTCTTAATTCTAGAAAGCAAACAAAAGTACCCTATGAACAAAACAAACAAACAGTTCCCTACAGATTTCTGAGCAAGTTCAGTTACTCTGTAGGAGTAGTTTAAAATGTATCTTGGCGGAGCGTGGGTGGATCACGAGGTCAGGAGTCGAGACCATCCTGGCTAACACGGTGAAACCCCGTCTCTACTAAAAATACAAAACATTAGCCGGACGTGGTGGCGGGCGCCTTGTAGTCCCAGCTACTCAGGAGACTGAAGCAGGAGAATGGCATGAACCCGGGAGGCGGAGCTTGCAGTGAGCGATTGTGCCACTTCACTCCAGCCTGGGCAACAGAGCCAGACTCCGTCTCAAAAAAAAAAAAAAAGTGGATTGGCCCGGCATGATGGCTCACACTTGTAATCCTAGTACTTTGGGAGGCTGAGGCGGGTAGATCGCTTGAGTCCAGGAGTTTGAGACACGCCTGCGCCACATAGCAAGACCCTGTTTCTAAAAAAAGAAAAAAAAAATTACAAAAACTATCCAGGTAGCTGGGCATGCTGGCACATGCCTGTAGTCCCAGCTACTCAGGAGGCTGAGGTGAGAGGACCACTTGAGCTGGGGAGGCAGAGGCTACAATGAGATGTGATCATGCCACTGCACTCCAGCCTGGCAACAGAGAGACCCTGTCTTAAAATTAAAAAAAAAAACAAACAAAAAAAAAGAAGTTGGCTGGTCGCAGTGGTTCACACCTGTAAACCTATAATCCTGGCACTTCGGGAGTCTGAGGTAGGAGGAGTGCTTGAGTCCAAGGGGTTCAAGACCAGCCTGGGCAACAAAGCTAGACCCTGTCTCTAAAAAAAAAAAAAAAAGTACAGAAATTAGCTGGGCATGGTGGTGCTGCACACCTGTAGTTCCAGCTACTCGGAAAACTGAGGTGGGAGGATTGCTTGAGCCCAGGAGCCCAGGAGCTCAAGGCTTTAGTGAACTGTGATCGAGTCATGCACTCCAGCCTGGGCAACAGAGCAAGGCCCCCTCTCTTAAAAAAAAAAGTGGAGAAATTGTTAGAAAGCTATTAAATTTGGCTTGTATTTTCTTTTGCTTTCAGATCTAAAGCATGTATTCCTTATTTGAAAAAGAGCAAAGTTGCTCATATCCTCAATATCAGTCCACCACTGAACCTAAATCCAGTTTGGTTCAAACAGCACTGTGGTAGGTGGTAGGTGGTAGGGTGAGGGGATGGTTTGTGCTTAATTTGTTTTGAATTAAATCTGTGTATGTCTGATGTAATCACAATCTGCACATAACATTCATCATTGAATTTTCTATGCCAAGTCATTAAGTGGCATTTGGAAAGTAGATTCTTCATCTTTTATCTGTAATTTAAAAAATTGAGGCATAATTGACATTCAATAAAATGCACAGCTCTTAATGGTTCAGTTTGATGAGTTTTGAGAAATGTATATAACCAACACCCAAATCAAGATACAGATTTTTACCATTTCAGAAAGCTCTTTCATTTCCCAATGAGTGTGTTTTACTGTGTGTAATTTATTCATCTATAAAGTTGGTTAAAAACTATCTATGAGATACTTTATTTTTCTTAGACAGGTATGCACCTGTAGTCCTAGCTACTTGAAAGGCTGAGGTGGGAGGATCGCTTGAGCCCAGGAGTTTGAGGCTGCAGTGAGCTAGGATCATGGCACTGCACTCCTGCCTGGGTGACAGAGCGAGACCCTGACTCTAAAAAAAAAAAAAAAAAACGACAAAAAAACCCTATTACCTTTCATAGCAAACTAATGGTTTAAGGTAAATATGCTAAGTAACAAGATTTACATATAGATGCCTCCTTTAAAATAGTTGTATCAAACACTTAGTTTTTATTTCAGCACAGTTCACTAACATTTGGAAAGGCACTTGGAATGGGAACCCACAGAGCAAAACTGAAAGAAGTTCCACTTTAATTGACTAGGTTAAATACATTTGCAGCCTTTTTTTATTATTGTTTTACTAGCAGTAGTTTCCCTTTAAATAAACACTTTCATTCTTAAAAAAAAAAAAAAGTCCAGGCATGGTGGCTCATATCTGTAATCCCAGCACTTTGGGAAGCCGAGACAGGCAGATCACTTGAGGTCAGGAGTTTGAGACCAGCCTGGCCAACATAGTGAAACTCCATCTCTACTAAAAATACAAAAATTAGCTGGGCATGGTGGTGCACACCTGTAATCCCAGCTACTCGGAGGATGAGGCACAAGAATCACTTGAACCTGGGAGGTGGAGTTTGCAGTGAGCCAAGATTGCACCACTGTGCTCCAGCCTGGGCAACAGAGTGAAACTGTATCTCAAAAAAAGAAACATATTAAGAGATAATAATGTAATTTACCCTCATAGTATTAAGAAAAATGAAAGTTTATTACTGTCACTTTTATTTTAATCAAATATTAGGAGGGAGATATATAAAATGATTTCATCTCTGTTCACTTCTATAAAACCTGTTCTTTACAAAATAGTACAGTGAAAAGTTATATTTTATATTATTGAAAAGAATTCTCAAAAATATATCAGGGAGGCTGGGTACGGTGGCTCGTACCTGTAATCCCAGCACTTTGGGAGGCTAAGGCAGGTGGATTGCTTGAGCCCAGGAGTTCAAGACCAGGCTGGGCAACGTGCAAAACCCTGTCTCTACAAAAAAATTGAAAAATTAGCCAGGCTTGGTGGCACACACCCATAGTCCCAGCTACTCGGGAGGCTGAGGTGGGAGGGTTGCTTGAGCCCAGGAGGTAGAGGCTGCAGTGAATCGTAATCACACCACTGCACTCCAGCCTGTCTCAAAAAAAAAAAAAAAGTATGTGTATATATATGTATATATGTATGTGTGTGTATATATGTGTGTATTACTATTTTCTTCCTGATATATATGTGTGCGTGGGTGTGTTGTATGTATATGCATATATATACACATGTATATGTATATACACACAGATATATACACATACATATGTATATACATACATGCACACATATATCAGGAAGAAAATAGTAATAGAAAAATTGGTTATTTCTACTCACAAGTTAATCAAATTAATTTCTTTTATAATTAAATTATTATTTTTTGTGGTT
Organism: Homo sapiens; assembly: GCF_000001405.40. NCBI lineage: Eukaryota > Metazoa > Chordata > Mammalia > Primates > Hominidae > Homo > Homo sapiens. Next base: position 112,418,853 of record NC_000009.12, read on the forward strand.
CTTTCAGCTTATACCATTGCTAAGTATGGTATGTCTATGTATGTGCTTGGAATGGCAGAAGAATTTAAAGGTGAAATTGCAGTCAATGCATTATGGCCTAAAACAGGTATGTATTTTTAAAAACTTCATTTGTTAGATTTTCATGTATTGTCCTTGACACTTATTATTATTTTTTGACAGAATCTCACTCTTGTCATCCAGGCTGGAGTGCAGTGGTGTGATCTTGGCTCACTGCAACCTCTGCCTCCTGGGTTCAAGCAGTTCTTGTGCCTCAGCCTCCCAAGCAGCTGGGACTATAGGTGCACACCACCATGCCTGGCTAATTTTTGTATTTTTAGTAGAGACAGGGTTTCACCATGTTGGCCAGGCTGGTCTCGAACTCCTCAAGTGATCCTCCCACCTTGGCCTCCCAAAGTGCTGGGATTACAAGCATGAGCCACCACGCCCGGCCTGTCCTTGACACTCTTGAGGTGCATCTTGGGTATGATAGGGTGAGAGTATGTAGACTGTTAATACTAACTTCAATCTGTTTGTTGGGAAACAAGTTCAACTTTTTATTGTACAACATAAGATCCTTTTCAATCATCTTCCTGCCTTGGCTTAGACTACATGAGTGACTCTTCAGCCAATAGCCTTTGTAGGAACATTGACCACCGGAACACTTTAAGAATCTTTTGAAGGCCAACAGGAGAAGCTGCACTTCCCCAACTCTTTCTCCATCTTTGTTTCTGGAAACTACCTAAATTCTGCAGATTCTCATACTTTTGTTTTCTCCTCACACATTCTAACAAATGCTTTTTAACATTTTTGTATTCTTACTGGCCTTGTCTTTTTCCTTTAGAAAAAGCTGGATTATCTTTCCTTTCACATGAATTCTTCTGAATTCACAGAGTACCTGGAACCCTGTGAGATGACAGAAGAACCTGTGTATGCCTGGGCTTGGTGTGCAAATTTACAGTTATGATATAACAGAAGTTGATGGCTTCCTTGCTGGGCAATAAGATATATAAAAATGAGGGAAAGCCAGCAAAAATGAGAAAAAAGGAAAGCCTGTCTTTCTTATAGGTTCTTACCCTCTGCTTGTATATCAGAGTAGCTTAAAGGAAGAAAAAGAGACGATAACATTTCACTACACATTTTTCCATGTACTAGTGGGTAATGCCCATGAAAACCTTAACTTCTTTTTATCTTAAGTGTAAATGGTGCCGGGTGTGGTTACAGATGGCTCATGCCATCCCAACACTTTGGGAGGCCAGGATGGGCAGATCACTTGAGGCCAGGAGTTTGAGACAAGCCTGGGTAGCATGGCAAAACCCCGTGTCTACTAAAAATAGGATAAATTAGCCAGTTACTTGGGAGGCTGAGGCATGAGAATCACTTGAACTTTGGAAGCAGAGGTTGCAGTGAACCCAGATTGGACCACTGCACTCCATCCTGGGTAACAGAGCAAGACCCTGTCTCAACAACAGCAACAAAATATGTAAATGGCAATCACATCGCAGAAAAGTATGTCTAATGATAAACAGTATGCAGAGGGACTGGGTGTGGTGCCTCACTCCTGTAATCCTAGCACTTTGGGAGGCTGAGATTGGATGGGAGGATTACTTGAGGCTAGGAGTTTGAAACCAGCCTGGGCAACATAGTGAGGCCTCTTAAAAAAAAAAACACACACAAAAAAAACCTAGCTAGGTGTAGTGGTGCACACCTATGGCCCCAGCTGAGATGGGAGGATCACTTAAGTCCGGGGGTTGAAGGCTGCAGTGAGCCATGGTCATGCTGTTGCACTTCAGCCTCAGCGACAGAGTGAGACCCTGTCTCAACTAACCCACTTCCCCTTTGTCCCGAGAATACTCTTGTCTCTAATTCTAATGTAACATCATATACATTTCTGTTACATTAGGGTTTTCCCATTTGTCCCGAGAATACTCGTCTCTAATTCTAATGTAACATCATATACATTTCTGTTACATTAGGGTTAGAGACAAGTTCTGTTTAGAAATAACTCAATAACTTTTATGTTTTCACATTGAAAATCAGTCAGATTTGCTTCAGCCTCAACGTGTGTGTTTATGTAAAATTAAATGAGCGCTGGTAATTTTTTTTTTTCCTAAACAGGAAGTGGGTTAAAAAACAAACAAAAAAAGAGAATGCATAGTGGGAACCACTTTTTCATTTCACTCTTTAAAAATGTAACAGGCCAGTTGCAGTGGCTCGTGCTTGTAATCCCAACACTTTGAGAAGCAGAGGCAGGAGGATCTCTTGAGCCCAGGAGTTCAAGACCAGCCTAGGCAACATAGTGAGACCCCATCTCTACAAAAAATTAAGTTAGCTGGGCACAGTGGAGCATGCCTGTGGTCACAGCTTCTCGTGAGGCTAAGATTGTAGGATTGCTTGAGCCCTGGAGATTAAGGCTGTAGTGAGCCGTGATCATGCCACTGTACTCTAGCCTTTTGAGACAGGACAGAGTGAGATCCTGTCTCAAAAAAACAAACAAACAAAAATTGAACAGAAACTTGATTATACTCACATTGGAATTTAAACAGAAAATCAACATGGCCCCTCTACGAGGAACCACCTTAGGAATCAATACTGGTGTTTCTGCTCCTAGGGTAGTGCTCTGCCCGTAATAGTCACTCAGATCTTTGTAAATGCATGATATTTTTGGATTCCTTTGGAAAGTCTTCATATTCTTCATTACATTTAAAAAAAAATTTTTGTAGTTTTTTTTAGTGGAAAGGGGGTTTAGCCATGTTGGCCAGGCTGGTCTTGAACTTCTTGCCTCAAGTGATATATCCTCCTCGGCCTCCCAAAGTGCTGGGATTACAGGCATGAGCCACTGCACCGGCCTTATTACATTTTTGAAAACATTTCTACTGATGGCAAATTGGAATCTTTTTCACTGAATTTGCCGGCAGAGGGGGTTTCTAGATGACTACTGGAATTCATGTCCCTGCCGTCCCTCCCTTTCCCCTGATTGGAGCAGCTGCTAGGACGGTGGGCAGGTGAGCCTATGAAGGAATGAGTAAGACTTGATTCTGTAAGAGAAGGAACTTGAGAAGCTTGTGAAAGACTGTTCTCTCTGAGCTAGAGGACAGAATGGAGCCAGGTGAGAGAACTTGAGAAAGAACAGATACTCAGAAGGGCTTTGACCACGGAGATCTGAGGATTCAACAGGGTGACTCAACAGGCAAGATAAGTATTTCCTATCCTTGAGGAGTGGAAGTGAGGAGACCTCAGAGACTTCTTCAAGTCCCAAAATAGATTCAGTGACTGGTATATCTGATATGATAACTTACTACTGCTGGCAAAGCTGGCATCATTTAAACTATCCCGGGCGACAGAGTGAGACTGTCTCAAAAAACAAACAAACAAACGAACTATATAAGGGTGAACAGTGCTATAAGGAAACAAAGAAAAATTGCAGTACAGCTAAGAGGACCCAATATCCAGACATGGAAAAAATAAACAGAACACCAACACCCAGAATAGCAGTTTTCAGTGAAATCAAACTGTTAAAGAAAAAATATCTCAATTTAAAAACAAAAATCCTGACATAAGAGATTGAAATATAATATGAAAAATGCTCTCTGGAACTAAAAATAGATTGTGTTTTTAAAATATACATATATATGTATGTAATAGTTGAAGGGTTGGATGTTGAGTAACACCTGGGTAAGCAGCTTGGATATTCTAGTGCAAGAAGTATCTCAGAAGAGCAGAAACACCCTGAAGTAAATGGAGAGAGACTTAGAAGACACATCCGGGGAACTTCACATGCAAATACCAGGAGTCCCAGAAGGAGGTCTGGAAAGAGAACAAATAGAGGAGAAACAATAATTGAATGAATAATAGGAAACAGTTCCCTTGAGCTGAAGAAAGACCGATATGGATGTAAACTAAAAGGTTTACCAAATTTGAGGCTGAATTTATGAGGGGGAGAAAGACATCTGGGAGAACCTCAGAATTTCAAGGATAAAAAAATCTTCCAAGCCTTCAGGCAGAATATATGTTACTTACAAAGGAAAATGATTGCAGACTCTTTTATCTTCAATGCCAGAAACTAGAAGGCAGTGGAATAACATCTGTACGTTGCTGATACAAAGGGACTCAGCCAAGATAGTTACTTATTGACAAGATGAAGGGAAGATATGTGGATATGCTACCACACTTGAGAAGAGTCTTGTAGAAAGGGCTGTTAACCAAGCAGCAAATCTGTCAGAACAGAGAGTTTTCAAGATAGGAGTCAGAAAAAAGAGGAGAGAAAATAATGGCTGGCAAATAAACCTGTAGTACATTTAATATATGGTCAAATGTACATGGATTATATAGAATAACTGGGAATATGAAATACAAGTACCAAATAACAACTCCCTATATTGAAGAGACAAGATAAGAGAAAAGTTTAATAATTGTCTCTAGCCAAAAGCACTACACTGTCTTCAAAACCTGGAATTTGGGGAAGAGGGAAATGTGGAAGTCATTGAATTCTTTTCTTTTCTTTTTTTTGAGACGGAGTTTCGTTCTTGTCGCCCAGGCTGGAGAGCAGTGGCATAATCTCGGCTCACTGCAACCTCTGCCTCCTGAGTAGCTGGGTTTACAGGCGTTTGCCACCATGCCCAGCAAATTTTTGTATTTTTAGTAGAGAGGGGGTTTCACCATGTTGGCCAGGCAGGTCCCAAACTCCTGACCTCAGGGATCCACCTGCCTCGGCCTCCCAAAGTGCTGGGATTACAGGTGTGAGCCACTGCCCCAGGCCAGAAGTCCCTGAATTCTAAAGGACTTATATGAGCATGGGAACATTAGGGAAGGGAACACTTTCTAACCGTCTCGTTTTGAGGCAGCTACAATTCTAGATGGTATCTTTGTTGTTGTTTGTTTTTTGAGACAGAGTCTCACTCTGTCGCCCAGGCTGGAGTGCAGTGGCACAATTAGCTCACTGCAACCTCTGCCTCTGAGGCTCAAGCGATTCTTGTGCCTCAGCCTCCCGAATGGCTGGGATTACAGGCACTCGCCCCCACGCCCAGCTAATTTTTATATTTTTAGTAGAGACAGGGTTTCACTATGTTGGCCAGGCTGGTCTCGAACTCCTGACCTCAGATGATCCTCCTGCCTTGGCCTCCCAAAGTGCTGGGATTACAAGCGTGAGCCACCACACCTGGCCTAGATGGTATCTTTTAAAAAAATTAGACTGGGCGCAGTGGCTCACGCCTGTAATCCCAGCACTTTAGGAGGCTGAGGTGGGCGGATCACGAGGTCAGGAGATTGAGACCGTCCTGGCTAACATGGTGAAACCCTGTCTCTACTAAAAATACAGAAAAATTAGCCGGGCATAGTGGCGGGCGCCTGTAATCCCAGCTACTTGGGAGGCTGAGGCAGGAGAATGGCATGAACCTGGGAGGCAGAGCTTGCAGTGAGCCGAGATCGTGCCACTGCACTCCAGCCGGGGCGACAGAGCGAGATTCCATCTCAAAAAAAAAAAAAAAATTATATTTTCTGTTTGGTGCTAGGGTGTATAGAAATGTTTTTGCATTTAAACATTATAGGCAGCTACCTTTCTAAACTTTCTTGTTGAGTCTAATAATTTATCTAGAGTCTCCTGGATTTTCTGTGCAGGTAATAATATAATCTATAATAATATTCCAATTCTTACATCCTTGGTTTCCTTTTTCTTGCTTTACTGCACTCTCCTCTCTCTTCCTCTCTAGCCTTCACCAGTAGTTTTCTCTTGACTTATTGAGAGCCCAGCAATGCTTTTAAGAAATGTTTATTGCTTATTTATAGTTTTATTGTAATAAGACAGCCCTTTAGAGTATATAAGTCACCATATAGTTGATCCATGAACAATGTGGTGTTAGGGATGCTGGCTCCTAGCAGTGAAAAAAAGAAAACATATTTCCAAAAGCAGAAGACTAGTCCCATCCATTTTTAATTAAATATATTACTAGATATTTTATATTTATATTTTTTCAATATATTTTCTAATTTGTTAAAGTATATATTAACATAAAAACTATATACCTTTATTACAAATATACTAGTAAACTGAACTCTCTTATTAGTACTGAAGTTTTCTGCAGATTCTCCTAGTTTTTTTAGGTTTAAAGTCTTATCACAAAAAGTGACAACTGTGTTTCTGCCTTTTTGTTATATGTTAAATTATTTTTCCATTTCTTATTAGATTAGCTAATCCTTTTAGAACAATGTTGAATAGTAACAATGATGGGACCTATATTTGTTGTGTTCTTGTCAATAATGGGAATGCTTTTCATCATAATATATATGCAGTTTCTTCCCTTTTTTTAACTTTAGTTCTTGCATCCTTTCTACTACTTAATGCTGTGTTAGTATTAAATGTGATAGTTAAAGCATTAAGGTCTTACTTGATTTGCTGGAAATTTTTGTGTAATGTTCCTATCTACTAAGTGGACTTGGTAAGTTGGTAACTTATTCTGAACTACCATAAAATCTCCATGTAAGTTTTTAAATGCTTATTAAAATTGAAATATTACTTTTTAGTCATATCTCAAACTTGGAACTATTGGAGAATTAAGCAATACCATATTGTTTCTGCCCTTAGTGGTTTACAAATTTTGTTAGGGCAAATAAACCATACAAATATAATGCAACCAGAGAAGTAATCTACCTAGATACTCCTCAAATGTGTGAACTCTTGATTGTAAAGTTCAAATAGATTTCCATAATCTGTTAATTATGGAAATTAATTCCATCTGTATCTTTTCTTCTGTGAGAGCCTTTGAGCTTTCATATTCTTGGTGTCACATTTTGTTTAATTTTCTTATTAGCATACTTATTCTGTATTCCAGATTCTCAATTAACCATATAATATAGTTCATGTAAAGAAATGATAGAACTGATTTTTATTTATTTATTTTGAGATAAGATCTTGCCCTGTTACCCAGGCTGGAGTGCAGTGGCATGATCACAGCTCACTGCAGCCTTGACCTCCTGGGCTCAAGCCATCTTCCTGCCTCAACCTCCTAAATAGCTAGAACCACAGGTGCATACCACCATGCCCAGCTAGTTTTTCAGTTTTTGTGTGTATGTGTGTGTGGAGATGGGGTCTTGCCATGTTATTCAGGCTGGTCTCGAACTCCTGGGCTCAGGAAATCCTTGCACCTCGGCCTCCCAAATTGTTGGCATTACAGGCGTGAGCTACTGTGCCCTGCTAGAAGTAATTTTGATAAAATATCCAAACATCACATTAGTATTTAAAATTATTCAGTTTCTCTTTGCTTCTTTGGGTTTGTGGCACCCTGGTCACCCCCATCTGGCTGTGATAGCCTCTGTAGTCCGTGGGCTGGCAGTTTGCTCTTCTTTTAAGGTTTCTTTCCTACACAATCCCCACTTTCTGGTAAGCCTTCTTTTTTTTTTTTTTTTTTTGAGATGGAGTCTTGCTCTGTCGCCCAGGCTGGAGTGCAGTGGCATGATCTCAGCTCACTGTAACCTCTGTCTCCCGGGTTCAAGCGATTCTCATGCCTCAGTCTCCCAAGTAGCTGGGACTTCAGGCGCCTTTCACTATGCCTGGCTAATTTTTGTATTTTTAGTAGAGACAGGGTTTCGCCATTTTGGCCAGGCTAGTCTCAAACTCCTGACCTCAGGTGATCCACCCGCCTTGGTCTCCCAAAGTGCTGGGATTATAGGCATGAGCCACTGCTCCTTGCCCTGGCAAGGTTTCTATGCAGTCTGTTAGGTGTACATCCTGCAGCTTATTGGTTTAAAATGTACTAGCCTGTGATGTGGTCTCTTTGGGGCCAACTGGGAGAAAGAAAAATCGATAGTGCAGCAGTTTTGATACTGAATATTGACAAGTGTCTTTATGAAATAAAGAACCAGTCCCTCGAAAAAATAAAAATAATTAAGTTTCTGTATTGCACATATTCTTCTTAGCTGTGTGAGCTGCAGTAGCTGTCTGTACCTAGCTTCCCCTTATATAAAATTAGGTATTATAAATAACCTCTAAAGCCCTTTGTTGCATATTTTTCAAACTTTTAATTATGAAAAAAGTCAAACATATGTACAAACATGTATACAAGTAGGGAGAGTAGTACATCACGTACTATTCCGCTTCAGCGATTTCACCACATGGCCAATCTAGTTTTACCAGCCCTCACATCTCCATCTCCCTTTAACTCCACTTCTAACCTCACCAGATTATTATTATATTATTAATTAATTAATTAATTGATTAATTATTTTTTCGAGGCAGAGTCTCACTCTGTCACCCAGGCTGGAGTGCAGTGGCACGATCTCAGCCCACTGCAGCCTCCACCTCCCAGGTTTAAGTGATTCTCCTGCCCCAGCCTCCCGAGTAGCTGGGATTATAGGCGCCCACCGCTGTGCCCGGCTAATTTTTGTATCTTTAGTAGAGAGGGTGTTTTGCCATGTTGGCCAGGCTGGTCTCGGACTCCTGACCTCAAGTGATCCACCCGCCTCGGCCTCCCAAAGTGCTGGGATTACAGGCCTGAGCCAATGCGCCTGGCCCTCGCCACATTATTTTTAAGCAGATCTCAATCATAGCATCATTTCATCTGTACATACTTCAATATGTATTTTTAAATGATTCGGTCTCTTTAAAAAGACAAAATTATTATCATAGCTAACAAACATACCTTAATATCATCTAATATCTAGTCAGTGTTCAAATTCCCTCAAGTGTCTCATAAATGTTTTCTTTGCAGTTGGTTTATTTACATCAGGATCTAAATTGTTCCATACATTGCATTTGTTTGATAAGTCTCAAGTGTTTTTAATCTAAAGCAGTTACACTCATTTTTTTTCTTGCCACTTATTTCTTGAAAAACCAGGTCGTTTATCTTATAGGAGTTCTGTCATTCCAGATTTTCCTGATTCTCCCAGTCGTATCATTTAACATCTTTCTATATCCTGTAAGGACCCTTATATTAGTATATTGTTTATTCCCATTCTTCTTTCTTCTGGCATTATTTTATTTATTCATTCATCATCCAACAACTATTGATTGGACAGTTATCACGCAGCAGACATGGGTATTGGGGATACTTCTTTGGCCTTTTTACCTAGTGTATGTCTAGGTTGGTAGAAGTTAGGTTTTAAAAGCATATTTAATCCAGCATTTATGCAAAGTATTATTAAAGCCCTGGTGGTACTCTTGAACTGAACTGCCGCATATAGCTGTGTGGAACATATCCAGAGTTGCTTCCTATCTGCTATGTACTGGATAAAGGGAGTTCCCCGGCTCCAAGCAGTACTGAAGATTCTGTGGCCTGTGGTGTAGACGATGGGAAACAAAGGACTATGGGTGAGAATTTACTGAGTACTGGGGCATGCTGCTGAGGTAACTCTTAGGAATATTTGACAGTTGCAGCCAGCTTTCCAATCACCATCTTTCTTTTTCTTCTAAGTAGTCCAGGAATCAGTTTGGTTAAATTCCTTTCTTCTGCAATTTGACCAAGACTCCTTTCTTCCCTGGTCCTCACTGTGGGACCAAAACCATGTTTTATTGCTTCTTTGTTTCCTTTATGTTTCTGTAGCAGACAATTCTTTTAAGATTTTCTGAAGAGTGTTGTTTTTTGCAGTGGGGAAAAAGATGAGAGTGAAAAAGGCACTTCTTCAATATTTCTCAAACTATATGTCAAGACTCGTTGGTGAGGCATGAAATCAATTTAGTGGATTGTGAAATTGATTTAGTGAGTAGCAGCCAGAGTTGTTTTGTTGTTGTTTTGTTTTATTTCTAGTGGAATCGAATAGAAAATATTAGAGTGGATTGCATGGAGGAAGGGTCAGTATTGTTTCATAAGCTTTTGTTTCATATATGAAAATGTTACTTATTATGGGTCACAGCCAAAAAACTTAAAAGCTTACACTTTATGGTGCCTCTCTTTTTCAACTTCTTTGCCTTTTCTCACCCTTTCTCAATTACCCTTCCTCACATCACTGTTGTCATTAAAGTTGATACAGAGAGTTAGGAAGTTAAAAAGGGAGGTCTCTGAGGTAACAAAGTTCTAACATATTATTTTCCCTCTTTGTACCTCCCTTATGTTACTTGTCACTTTCTTTTTTGATTTTTGAGACAGTCTTGCTCTGTTGCCCAGGCTGGAGTGCAGTGGTGCGATCTTGGCTCACTGCAACCTCTGCCTCCCAGGTTCAAGCGATTCTCAGGCCACAGCCTCCCAAGTAGCTGGGATTTCAGGCGCAGGCCACCATGCCCAGCTAATTTTTGTATTTTTAGTAGAGATGGGGTTTCACCATGTTGGCCAGGCTAATCTTGAACTCCTGACCTTAGGAGATCTGCCTGCCTTAGCCTCCAAAGGTGCGGGGATTACAGGCATGAGCCACTGTGCCCAGCTGACTTCTCACTTTACATTCATTCATTTTCCAAACATTCATTCTTACATGCCAGGCACAGTTCTCTGCACTATTCAGTTGTTATGCATTTGACAGATAATTTATTAACTATCTACTCGGTGCAAGGCAACATGGGTACTAAGATGAATGTGACACAATCCTTACCCTCAAGGAGTTTACCATTTAGTGTGGGAGATTTAAGAGTTTGTTACCACCATTTGTACTTTGTCCTCCCCTCTGCCCTTTCCTCTACTTCCCTAACCTGTAGGTCTTTGGGATCCTGGGGTAACAAAGTCAGAAAAAGCCTTCTTTGACTCTTAAGAATTTTAAATTTTATTCATACAATAAACATTCATCGGACACTTATTTTATGCCAAGCTGTGCTCTGTTTGCTGAAGATACATCAGAGAACAAAAGAGATATCAATCGCTGTCCTTATGGAACTTATAGTCTAATTGGGAGAGATACAATAGACAACATGATGAATGGCAAAGTATATAGTATGCTAAAGGTAATATGCTATGAAAAACAGAACAAAGGAAGGGGGATTGGAGTCTCAGCCATTGAGGAAGGAAGGTGGCAATTTAAAATAGAGTAGAAAGGTTTGGCATTAGGCCAGGAGTGTTGGCTCCTGCTTGTAATCCCAACACTTTGGGAGGTCAAAGCAGGCCGATCGCTGGAGCCCAGGAGTTCGAGACCAGCCTGAGCAACATGGCAGAACTCCATATCTACAAAAAGTAGCAGGGTGTGGTGGTGTGCGCCTGTCGTCCCAACTACTCAGGGGGCTGAGGCAGGAGGATCACCTGAGCCTTAGGAGTTCAAGGCTGCAGTGAGCCGTGATCATACCACTGCACTCCAGCCTGGGCAACAGAGTTAAACCCTATCTCAAAAAAAAAAAAAGAAAGAAAAGAGATGTTTGGCCTTTCTGAGAGTGCCAAGTCCTAACCGTCAGACCACCAGGGAAGGTAGGTTTGGCCTTTCTGAGAAGGTGACGTTTGAGCATAGACTTTGACATTTGAGCATACCGTTAGTCTTGGGGGTAATACAGTTAGCCAAAGGTTATCTGAGGGAAAACATGCAAGGCAGAGGAAGCAGCAGTGGATAGGTCCTGTGGACTAGTATGGCTGGCATGATGCAAGAGCAGGGAGAAGACCAGTGTCGCCAGAGTGAGGGAAGAGGAGTAGAAAATGAGACGATGTCCATAAGGAAATGGGGGTCAGATGTTATAGGCCCTTGCCAAGACTTGGTCTTAGATTACTCTGGGTGAAATGAGGAGCTGTTTCAGGTTTTCAAGCAGAGAAGGGACCTGATCAAACCTAAATGTTTAAAAAACCTCTCTGGCTGTTCTGATGAGCCTAGATTCTTGAGGGGCAAAGGGGGGAACAGTTAGGAGGCTATTGCAGGAACTGAGGCACAGATTTTGGTGGCTGTGACCAGGATGACAGCAGTAAAGGTGGTGGACAGTGGCCAGATTCTGATATATTTTCAAGGTAGAACCAACAGTATCTGCTGATGGATTGCCTTTGGGATGTGAGAGAAAGAGTCAACAGTGACTCCAAGATTTCTGGAAAATAGCCTGGTGCGGTGGCTCGCATCTGTAATCCCAGCACTTTGGGGAGGCCCAGGTGGGTGAATCACCTGAGGTCAAGAGTTCGAGACCAGCCTGGCCAACATGGTGAAACCCCATCTGTACTAAAAACAAAAAATTAGCCTGGCATGGTGACGCGTGCCTGTAGTCCCATCCACTCAGGAGGCTGAGGCAGAAGAATTGCTTGAACCCGGGAGGTGGAGGTTACAGTGAGCCGAGATCACGCCAGTGCACTCCAGCCTGGGTGACAGAGTGAGATTCCAACTCAAAAAAAAAAAAAAAAAAAAATTTAAAAAAAATAAAGATTTCTGGCTTGAGTTACTAGAACAGTGGAGTCGCCAGGAACTGAGATGGAGAAAGCTGCAGATAGAGCAGATGGAGGGCAAGCTTAGGAATTGTGTGGGGTGTTGTGTTTGAACATCCAAGTGGGGACAGTCATTAGGCAGCAGGCCTGGTGAATGAGGGTCAGGAGAGCGGTCCAGGTTGGAGATAAAAAAATCTGTGGGTTATCAGCATATAGAACATATAAAAAGCCACAAAACTACATGATACCATCTAGGCAGTGAGTAGAAGAGAAAGGACTATTGTCCATTTCAACATTGAAAGGTTGGGAAGAAGAGGAAGACCCACATAGGAGAGTAAGGTAGGAAGATGAAAGGAAGATGAAAGAGGAGATGAAAGCCGACTGAAGAAGGAGCTTGGGGAGTGATACAGTTTGGATGTTGTCTCCACCCAAATCTCATGTCAAAATGTCACCCCCAGTGTTGGAGGTGGGGTCTGGTGGGAGGTGATTGGATCATGGGGGCAGCTTTCTCCTGAACGGTTTAGCACCATCCTCCTTGGTACTGCCCTCACCATAGTGAGTGAGTTCTCATCTCGTTTTTAAAAGTGTGTAGCACACCACCTGGCTCTCTTGTTCCTGCTTTTGCCATGTGACGTGCCTGCTCCCTCTTCACCTTCCACCGTGAGTACAAGCTCCCCAAGGCCTCCCCAGAAGCCAAGTGATGTTGGAGCCATGCTTGTACAGCATGCAGAACTGTGAGCCAGTTAAACCTCTTTTATAAATTACCCAGTCTCAGGTATTTCTTTCTTTTTTTTTTTTTTTTTTGAGACGGAGTCTTGCTCTGTTGCCCAGGCTGGACTGGAGTGCAGTGGTGCGATCTCAGCTCACTGCAACCTCCGCCTCCCAGGTTCAAGCGATTCTCCTGCCTCAGCCTCTTGAGTAGCTGGGATTACAGGCGTGCGCCACCACACCTGGCTAATTTTTTTGTATTATTAGTAGTGACGGGGTTTCACCATGTTGACCAGTCTGGTCTTGAACTCCTGACCTCAGGTGATCCACCCACCTAGGCCTCCCAAAGTGCTGGGATTACAGGTGTGAGCCACTGTGCCGAGCCTAGGTATTTCTTTATAGTAATGCGAGAACAGACTAATACAGGGAGTGATCAATTGTGTCAGATTATGCTGATAGTTCTTACAAAATGGGACTGATCGTCAGGTTTAGTAGTCTGTACATCCCCTTCACATCACTTACACCGTTTGTAATTATTAATTTATAATTATGGTTGTTCAGTGTCTTCTTTGCTAGAATGAAAACTTCTTGAGGATAGGGACAGTGTTTGCTTTGTTTGTTTTATTATAGTCATTGTAGACATTCAATAAATATTTGATGAGTGAGTAAATGAGTGAATGAATGTGCAATATGATTACCTTCTGCCTAGCTCCAAAATATATTCTGGACAAAGCTTATATAATAGGCAGAATGTTCTGTATCAGGGAATATAGAGGGCATTATCTGGTCCAGCAGGAAAAATCAGCTCATTGCTGAGATCTTTGCTTTAGCTTCAAGATATTCATTTTAGAAGGTTTACTAGACATCTTGGAGCCAGTGATGTTATTTGGTCCTAGACTTGATGACACACTAAATCCAATTTACAGTCATGTTCCTTGTGGTGCATGGTATGATGAATTATGTACTGGATGTTGTGTTTTGTTTTTGTTTTTTGAGACAGAATCTCTGTCACCCAGGCTGGAATGCAGTGGCGCCATCTCGGCTCACTGAAACCTGTGCCTCCTGAGTTCAAGTGATTATCCTGCCTCAGCCTCCTGAGTAGCTGGGACTACAGGCATGCACCACCACACCTGGCTAATTTTTGTATTTTTTTTTTTAGTAGAGACAGGGGTTTCACCACATTGGCGAGGGTGCTCTAGAACTCCTGACCTCAAGTGATCCACCCACCTCAGCCTCCCAAAGTGCTGGGATTACAGGTGTGATCCACCGTGCCTGGCCTACAGGGTGCTTTTGAGACATAGTAGCTCAGGATAAAGGATCAGAGCAGTAGATTTTCAAAAGTAGGTAAACAATTGAAATGAGATCTCAAGGGGATGTTGGAATTTTTCAAAAAGGAGAACTGGGAAAGACATTTCTTGGCAGAGGGAGCGACGCATGCAAAGATTGCAGTTTGGGAAAATACTTTCTGTGCGGTGGAACTACAAGGTTGGTGTATGTATGATAGGGTGTGGGCTTGTTATTTCCCACTGAACTTGAGCAACTCAAGTTGTACAGGTTGACTGGAATGTTGGGTGAGTTTGAGAGTGTGGGGAAGATGGATGAGATGGATGGTCTTGTCTGCCAAGTTTAGGAGCTTGAATTTTAACCTATATTCAGTGGAGAGCCACTGAAGAATCTTAGAAGCAGAGGATTAATAATAAACTGGGGAAAATAGGAGCAGTGAAGTAATATGGTTGCTGATGAGGTTTAGGAAGTTTAATCTGGCATCTGAATATGGGATGGCTTGTAAGACTGTAGAGAGAAGAGGCAGGAAAGCTAGCTAGAATATTACATTATTCATGAGTGAGGCAATGAAAATGGAGGAGTGAAAATGGATTTGAGAGGGTGTTCAGGCTCTTGGCTGTTTGAGAGGCCTCTATTTAAAAGAAAACACTCATCTCCTCATCTTAGACGACAGCGTAGAGTGACTCTCTTTATGTCAGCTGGAACCAGAAGTAATCTCCCAACATTATTGCCTTTCAAGAAAAAGGAGATTTATTGTGCTTAACGGAGTGGGTACAGTGTAACATACATTATCCTCAATCAGAGCAGTGTCCCGGTCTCCCACTTGGCTTCTCAGCTGCATGTTCTTCTCAACACTGACTTCATTGCTCCTCCTGGTTTTAGCACTTCCACCCTGCTGAATTCAGCACATCCAGAGAAAGGATCAGAGGGCCGGCCTCTAGTTGTTTCACAACATGGAATTTCAGGCTTCCAACTAGGTCACCTCCAGAATTGTAATTTTTTTCTTTTTATAAGACCTGTTTCATGGTTCTTGCTGAAATGGAGGGTGGGGAAGGGGAGAGGGATGATGGCTGCTATTCACAATGCCTACTCTTACCTCATGACTGGTCTGGGCAAGTATGGTAGAAGCAGGAAAGTCCACTTTTGGGTGGATTTGATTTGGGCTTGGGGTGGGGAGTCTGGGAATGGCAGCTACTGATTTGGTAATGGCTACAGAGAGGAAGGCAGTAGAAGTACCACAGAGCAGCTGCAGACTTCTGTCACCTGGACTATATTACAAATAGATTTGGGAACTCAGCTAACCAGGGAGGGTGAGGCGACAAGGTGGCAGCTCACCTCCTTCCTGTCTGGTGCTAGAAATCAAAACCTGTTCACTAACTAGGTTAAACAGTTTATACCATTTTCATTGATTCTGACATGCCCATGCTTTATATTTGTACATCTCTGATCTCAGTCTGTATCTTACAATGGATGATATATCATAGTTTAATTGGCAGCTTTTTTCTTTCTTTAGTGGTCCCTAAGGTAATGGTGCGCTGTATAATCAGTGGTATCATTGGTTCAGTGGATACACACATGAGTGTGTGGATATGTTTGGTGGTGGCTGACAGGTGTCAAAGAGGGGAAACAAGCTCTCTTCCCAGAGAAGGAGTCATCACAGGCAATGCTGATATTTTAAGCCTCATACACACTTCATATGTTTATGTGAAAGGAAATCTTTGGTCTTAAGACTGTTGGTACTGTCTGTTTTCAGGCAGTAATCTCTTAGCTGTTATCAGGAGAATCAATTGGAAGCTATTAGATGTCTCTTCAGTTATTTCTTAATAAGACTTAAGTTTTCAGGTCGATGTTGTTGACTCTTGTGATCCATGGCTTATCTGCTTTCATTATAAATTTTGCTTATTTTCTTTCCCAGAAATCATCAGTGAATTTCATTTGATTGATCCTACTGTTAACCTGCTTTTATTGTTACCAGTTTTTTCTAACCTATTGGGTTAGCTTGTTGGCATTGCAAAATCTGTGTTGAGAAATACTCAATGGCCCACTCCTTGAGTTTTGAGTGCCTAGTTGTACCTTCTTTGTATCTTTCCTAGAAAGATTGTTAAAGTAATGATAGGTTGGAGGAACATTTCTTATTCTATAGACACTCACACACACACACACAGCATGTATATACTTATACATGACATATTTTATTAGACTTCTAATTTAGAGTTTTTAAGGATTCTTGTACAATTCATGTAGTTTACATGGAGACTAGCAGTGTGCATGTATGCATATAGTCTCAAAATAGATTATACTCAATTATGTACAGAAAAGTTCTGCAGTTTTCGGGAGTGAGATGATAACTGAACTCCAAGAACTTTGGTTAACAAGGTTAACCATTTAGTTGCATTAAGGATGAGAGCCTGGCTCTGAAGTCAGGCTGCTGGGTGTTTGAATTTTAGCTTCTGTGACCTTGGGCAAGTTACTTAACTTCTCTGTGCTTCACTGCTCCTATTTATAAAATGGGAATAACAACAGGACCTACCTCAGGGTTCTAAGAATTAGGTAAGATAATGTATGTAAAATAGGTAACAGCATGCCTGGCACAGGGTACACTTAATGAATGGTAGGTGCTATTTTTTATTTTATTTTATTCATTTTTAATTTTTCTGTTTTTTTGACAAACAAATAGGGTCTCACTCTGTCACCCAGGCTAGAATGCAATGGCACAGTCATAGCTCACTGCAGCCTCAAATTCCTAGGCTCAAGCAATCTTCCTGCCTCAGCCTCCAGAATATCTGGGATTATAGGCTCTAGCCACAACATTCAGCTGCTATTTTTTTTTTATTATTAATAAAGGATCAGTTCAAGAGTGAGACCAGAGCTCTTGCTCTTGATCTGTTGGTTAAGGAAAAAATTATTTCTAGGGCTGGACACGGTGGCTCACACCTGTAATCCCAGCACTTTGGAAGGCCAAGGCAGGAGGACGGCTTGAGCCCACGAGTTGGAGACCAGCCTGGGAAACATAGCAGGACCCCATTTCTACCAAAAAAAAAAGCTGGATATGGTGGGAGGGTGAGGTAGGAGGATCGTTTGAGAGCCCAGGAGATCAAGGCTGCAGAGAGCCATGATCTCACCACTGCCTTTGGCCTGGGTGACAGTGTGAGACCCTATCTCAAAAAAAAAAAAAAAAAAAAAAAAATTATTCCTAGTAAATGATTTTTAGTTATGAAGTAGAAAAGTGTCTTCTAACTCAGTGCTTTCAAGAAATTCCCTAAATTAATTGAACATTAAACAAAATAGGGATGTAAGTTCCATGAAGGTAGATGCCTTATGTCTGTTTTGTCAACATCTGTGTCCTTAATATCTAGAATAGCGCCTGACTTACATATAGTAAGTGCTTAATAACTATTTGTTAAATGAATGAAAAAGGGCCAATGGCTCTTAAAAGCTACAGACATTTCATCTTATAGATGAAAATATGTAAGTTATTCTAGTATGTAATAATTTAAAATTGTATTTTAACAATATATGGAAATAAGCTTTAACTAAAATACTAGAAACTCACAAACCTAAGTACATTTAAATAAGTTGACTTTCTGTGAACCTATGAATTATGTTGGAAAGTAAATAAATAAATAAATAGACTTTTCTTGTTTGATGTAAACTAGGATATATGTAAGAAAATTGAGATGTTACTGTTGACAATGTGTAATTAATAATGTACTGTTAATTGTAGAGTTTAAAGTTACTTCACATAAGAGACATAATTTTAAAAGTACACCTAACATGGTAAAAATTTTATGCAAACATTAACAGCAGTTATCCCTGGATAGGGAAATTATAATTAATTAAGCAATTTTTTCCTTTTACTTCTCTTTCTTTTCTTTTTTTCTTTTTTTTTTTTTTTTTGAGACGGAGTCTCGCTCTGTCACCCAGGCTGGAGAACAGTGGAGTAATCTCAGCTCATTGCAACCTCTGCCTCCCAGGTTCAAGCAATTCTCCTACCTCTGCCTCCCAAGTAGCTGGGACTACAGGCGCTCGCCACCATGCTTGGCTAATTTTTGTATTTTTAGTAGAGATGGGGTTTCACCATGTTGACCAGGCTTGTCCCAAACTCCTGACCTCAAGTGATCCACCCACCTCGGCCTCCCACAGTGCCGGGATTACAGGCGTGAGCCACCGCACCTAGCTATTTTCTAATATTTTCTACAAAACAGTGTTGTGTGAATTTAAAAAGGACCCCCAGAAATCCAACCAATATTTATTGAGTGTTTTTCAAGGAACCTATTCACTGACTAGGTGAAAGAGTTTATACTACTTTCATTGATTCTGAGATGCCCATGCTTTATATTTGTACATCTCAGATACCAGTCTGTTTCTTACAATAGATGATATATCATAATTTAATTGGCAGCTTTTTTGTTTCCTTAGTGGTCCCTAAAGTAATGGTGCACTGTATAATCAGTGGTATTGTTGGTTCAGTGAATACCCACAAGAATGTGTGCATGTGTTTGGTGGTGGCTGACAGGTGTTAAAGAGGCGAAACAAGCTCTCTTCCCAGAGAAGGAGTCATCACAGGCAATGCTGATGTTTTAAGCCTCATACGCACTCCATATGTTTATGTGAAAGGAAATCTTTGGCATTAAGACTGTTGGTACTGTCTGTTTTCAGGCAGTAATCTCTTAGCTGTTATCAGGAGAATCAATTGGAAGCTATTAGAGGTCTCTTCAGTTATTCCTTAAACAGGCATGCAAATTCTTGAGCATTCTAAATCAGAAAGTTCATTGAATTTTACTTTGAGTCTTATGGTTTGGTCTGTAGTATAAGGCAGTGTTGCAGGGTAAGGAACATGTGTTTTCCACCCAGTTCTCTCCGTAGAACATTTGGTAAATCCTGGGGCCAGGCGTGGTGGCTCATGCCTGTAATCCCAGCACTTTGGGAGGCTGAGGCGGACGGATCACAAGGTCAGGAGTTCGAGACCAGCCAACATGGTGAAACCCCGTTTCTATTAAAAATACAAAAAAATTGCCAGCAGTGGTGGCGCACGCCTGTAATCCCAGCTACTCAGAAGGCTGGGTTCAATCACTTGAACCCAGGAGGCAGAGGTTGCGGTGAGCGGAGATCACGCCATTGCACCCCAGCCTGGGTGACAGTGCAAGACTGTCTCAAAAACAAAAATAAAAACAAAAAAACAAAAAAAATTTGGCAAATCCCTTAAGCAATCTGGACTTTGTTTTCATCAGCTAAGAAATGAAAGGATTAGCCTTGATAATTGTGAAGGGTGGTGCTTGCTTGTTACTTCCATAGTTTTATTATTTGATTTGGAGTTATGAGTGTATGTGTGTGTGTGTTTTCTCTACAGCCATACACACTGCTGCTATGGATATGCTGGGAGGACCTGGTATCGAAAGCCAGTGTAGAAAAGTTGATATCATTGCAGATGCAGCATATTCCATTTTCCAAAAGCCAAAAAGTTTTACTGGCAACTTTGTCATTGATGAAAATATCTTAAAAGAAGAAGGAATAGAAAATTTTGACGTTTATGCAATTAAACCAGGTAATGCTTTTATAGTTTTTAAAAGTAGTGATACGTTTTTCCATATTTTCTGCAATGAACATATCTGTTTTTTGTGTGTGTTTGTGTGATTGTAAAATGAATGTGTTCTTTTAAAAGCTGTCTTCCCAATGAAGGAAGAAAACCCATACCAACACAACTTAAAAAAAAAGATGAATGAAAAATAGAGGTGAGTTGAGGGCTTTTGAAGTGATATATATATATATATATATAAGCACAGAAAGTCAGATCAGTTACTAGCCACTTCTAAATCTCGAAATAAGAAATGAAAATTATTTTTTAAAGTTGGTCTTAAAATCACAGAGTAAAGATTTTGTTCAAGAATATGTGGTAACAGATGGTACAGTAGTGGGTTATGTATTTATTTATTTATTTGAGAAAGGGTCTCACTCTGTCACCCAGGTTGGAGTGTAGTGGCGCAATCTCAGCTCACTGCAACCTCTACCTCCCAGGCTCAAGCAATCCTTCCACCTCAGCCTCTAGAGTAGCTGGGACTATAGGCATGTGCCACCACACCTGGTTAATTTTTGTATTTGTAGATGTGGGGTTTCACCATGTTGCCCAGGCTGGTCTTGAACTCCTGAGCTCAAGTGATCTGCCTGCCTTGGCCTCCTAAAGTGTTAGGATTACAGGCGTGAGCCACTGCACCTGGCACAGTAATGAATTTTTTTGTTTAAAATAATTTATGATTGTGGACTCTCTAAATATTTGTCTCTTAAGCGCAGTCTCTTAGAGTAGCTTAATGACAGATGGTGTAGATGAGTGGGCAGGCTCTGTCTCATGGACAGTAAAGTGATCTGAGAAGCTTCTAGAAAGCCCTCTTGTTAAGTAACTCTCCCTCTCTGAAATTGGGGATGATAATGATAATAATGGATTTTTACCATATAGAATATGATGTATTCTAATATAGCCATACATAGGAGTTATATTTATTTGCGCTAAAGTATATTTTAAATATTATTCATTAAACTGAGCTTCTAAATGACACAAACCACGTTTATATTTGTATCATCCCTGCTCATCTCTGCAGTTCAAACTAAAGTAAATAGCGGATTATAGTTTTACAAAGCACTCTTATATGCATTATCTATTTAGCCTGCATAACAATTCTGTACGGAAAGTAATGCTTAGTGATTAAGAACACGAAATTTGGGAGAAGACAACCCAGCTTCATATTGCAGCTCTGCTGCTCACTGCTATGCAGCTTTGAGCATGTCACCCAGTTTGTCTGTCTCAGCCTCAATTTCCATATTGGTAAACTTAAGAGAATGATACATTTCATACAAGATTTTTGTAAAGGCTAAATGTGATAATGTATAATGTGTTTGGCACAGTGCCCAGCATATAGTACACTCAGAATATTTAGTAGTTAATATTTACAAGTGGAAAAACAGGCTCAGAGAGATTGAGCCTTTGCCTAAGAGCAGATGGCTAATAGGTGGCAGAACCTGACCAGATTCAGGTCTTCCGGGTCCTGGTACCCAGGAATATAATTATTACCTTAGGTTTTAAAGACACAGTGTAATTGTGCGCAAGTTTTAAAATTTTATTTAAATTAAAAATCCTATTAAGTATTGAGAACTTAAAATGACCAGATACTATGATATTAGGATATAACAAAGATGAATTCATTCCTGCCCTCCAGAAGTTTGCTTAAACTTCTGAAAAAGAGAGAGAGAGAGGCAGGAGACCGAGGCAGGAGGCTCATTTGAGCCCAGAAGTTTGAGACCAGCCTGGGCAAAACAGCAAGACCCCATGTCAAAAAAAAAAAGAGAGAAAAGAAAAAGAGAACAATTGAGATTGTTAACATCTCACTGTACTACAGTTTTGAAGGCTTTGTGGCCTTTAAATCTTCTAGTGTGCACATGTCTTGGAGTTATCAGTGTAATTAAAACAGTTAACCTATTTGCTAACCACAACCATTAGCTGAAAATAAGACCCAGTGGAGGCTGTGTGCAGTGGCTCACACCTGTAATCCCAGCACTTTGGGAGGCCAAGGCCAGTGGATCGCTTGAGCCAAGGAGTTCAAGACCATACTGGGCAACATGGCAAAACCCCATCTCTACAAAAAATAAAAATGAGTGTTCAGGCACGGTGGCTCACGCCCATAATCCCAGCACATTGGGAGGCTGAGGTGGGTGGATATCCTAGGTCAGGAGTTTGAGACCAGCCTGACCAATATGGTGAAACTCTATCTCTACTAAAAATATGAAAAGTAGCCAGGCATAGTGATGGGCACCTGTAATCCCAGCTACTTGGGAGGCTGAAGCAGGAGGATTGCTTGAACCTGGGAGGCAGAGGGTGCCATGAGCTGAGATCGTGCCACTGCACTCAAGCCTGGGTGACAGAGCGAGACTCCGTCTCAAAAAATAAATAAATAAATAAATAATAAATAAATAAATAAAAATTAGCTGGATATGGTGGCTTGCACCTGTGGTCCCTGTTACTTGGGAGGCTGAGGGAGGAGGATCACTTGAGCCCAGGAGGTGGAGGTTGCAGTGAGCCAAGATCATATCACTGCACTCCAGCCTGGGTGACAGTGAGACCCTGTGTCAATAATAATAATAATAACCCAGTGGAATAGGATGGAATAGGATAGCTTAGTGTTCATGATGATGGAGTGAGAGGAAGAGGGAAAGAGAGAAGAGACCCAAGTGCACTAATGCTGAGAAGAAAGTCCTTCTTAAGAAGGGGCCCTCTGCTTTTAGGACGGCAGGTAAGAAATAAGTCCTGACAACTTCGGAAGAATGTGGGCCAGAAGAGCAGTGTAGGATGAGAAGGGCAGAGGTTCCTGGGAGAGCAGGTAAAGGCTTTACAGAACAGGTGATCTTTTGGGGATTAAATCTTGAAGATAAAATTTATCAGAGGAGAGAAAGATAACTGAATTATGAGAAAATTAATTTAATGAAGATCAGGTCATTCGACAGTTCTCACAGAGGCCTTTTCTTTTGCACCAGAAAGATTTTTAATAAAATAGATATGTTTATTAAACAGATGTTAAAATCTTACTATGTTGTAGTTACATTAACCTAATGGTTTGGGGTCAATTTTTCAGGTCATCCTTTGCAACCAGATTTCTTCTTAGATGAATACCCAGAAGCAGTTAGCAAGAAAGTGGAATCAACTGGTAAGATCTAGACTATATTTTATGTTAGAAAATATAAATCCTAACTTATGTATTTCTTCCAAAATATGGAATTGATCCTATAACAGTGACATTTCTGCCTTCTGTTTTTAAACTGTTTTGTACTTTAAACTAAACAAGTAATGTGAGATCTCAGTTAATTCTAGTAAAGAAGGTTGTTTTGTTCATCTACCAGTAAGAAGTTTTAATAAGGCTGGGCACAGTGGCTCATACCTGTAATCCCAGCACTTTGGGAGGCTGAGGCGAATGGATCACTTGAGTCCAGGAGTTTGCGACGAGCTTGGGCAACATGGCGAAACCCCGTCTCTACAAAAAAAATACAAAAAAAAAATACGTTGGGCGTGGTGGCACGAGACTGTAGTCCCAGCTACTCAGGAGGCTGAGGTGGGAGGATCACCTGATCCCGGGAAGTTGAAGTTTCAGTGAGCCGTGATCGTGCCACTGCACTCTAGCCTGGGTGACAGAGCAAGACCCTGTCTCAAAAAAAAAAAAAAAAAAAAAAAAAAGAAGAAGTTATTAATATATTCTTTGCGTTTGGTTAAAAACAAGTCTGAAAAAACTTTTTTTTAGGTTTTATTTATTTTCTTTTGCACTGTCTTTAGGTATTTCATGTTGATATGTTATTTTGAGGAAAAGTGTGTCATATATCAAATACATCTAACACCATTTCCACAGTTTGTGTTATGTGACTATTTTATGAAAGAAATCAACTTCAAAGGAGGTTTGGGTTTTACTTTGTTTTGTTTCTGTAATTCATAAACAATAGTGCCCTTGAATTGGTCCAGAGTTTACATTTTAGACTTTGTGTTCTGACATTTTGCCAGTGGCTTACTTGAAGAAACACTTTAATGAATACCTGTGGGAAGAATTTCTCTCATGGTTTACTAATAAGAATGGCTGTGCTTCTTCTGGGCCCTTACCTTATTTTTATCTTATAGATGCTATGACTCTCATCGATTTTTTTTTTTAGAAGTCTGATAGAAAATGTAGGGATGAATTTCCTTGATACCTTTAGCAAATCTGTGGCACCTTACTGCAATGCATTTTAGAGCCAAACCTTATTTCCAGCTTTCTTTTATTTATTCTTTATTATTTATCTTTTCTTTTTCCAGATTTTTATGGTAATTTAAAAAAATTACTTAGGTAATAAAAAGGACTTTTTTGTATTACAGACAATTTAAAACAATAGAAAGGAAAATAGTTACTCATAATCCTACTACCCAGAGTATTAAAACCAGGAAAAACAAGACTGTCAGTCTGTTTCTCAAAAGGCCTCTTACAGAATGGTGGAAAATACCTAGAGAGCTTATCAAACTCTAGAAGAGTCTGGTCTTCAAGTTAGTTAAGTCCCAAACTCCGATTTTTGCCCAACGCCCTAAGGTTGGATCTGTCTTTTAGAAGAAGGCATGCATGAACTGAGATCATTTAAACTCCAAATTTTAAATAAGAACCACTTATTGATCATGTATGTTCTTTTTGTTTATTCAACAAATATTTACTGGGCACCTCCTATGTGCCAAACACTGTGCTAAGTACTTTACATGCATTGTCCTGTTTAATACCATTAATCCCCAAGACAGATACTCCCCTCATTTTACAGCTGCAATTGCACAGCCAGCAGGTGGCAGAACCAAGATTTAAACTCATATTTCTCTGATTTCAAAGCCCATGTCTTTAACCAGTAAACTTAAATGGCTTTCCTAACACTTGAATACTTAGTCTTTTAAATTTTAGCATATTCTTAGTCTGGGCAACATGGTGAGACCCTGTCTCTACAAAAAAATAAAAAAAATTAGCTGGCCATGGTGGCACATGCCTGTAGTCTCAGCTACTCAGGAGACTGAAGCAGGAGGATCCCTTGAGCTCAAGAGTTTGAGGCTGCAGTGAGCTATGATTGAGCTACAGCACTCCAGCCTGGGCAACAGAGCAAGACCCTGTCTCAAATAAATACGTAAATTAGCACATTCTTTCCCCTGATAATCCAGTTTATTAATTTATAACAAAGAGTTGCCATCTCATAGGTTAAACATGTAGGTGCTTGATCAGCACATTCTCTTCCTTTGGATATAATTGTGCATGAAACAGAATCATAGTCAGAAGGTCATTTCATGACCATGGAATCAGAACAAGGGAGTTAGATAGGTAGAGTGTAAAATCAGTGTTTACTGGCATCAGGCTTTGATAGGGATAACTTTGCCTATAGCCATCTCCACATAAGCAATGCTCTTACCCTTAAGGTTAGAAGACTCAAATTCCTTTGGCTAACTTCCCTCACCTAATGCTGCAGGAGCATTTACTTCTGTAGCTCTCTTTTTTTGATTCTGTGTGGTTCAGTCAATAGCAATTTTACCTGACCTTTTCTGTAGATATATTAATATACTCATATAGATAGTAGCCTGGGCTATAACTTACCTCTTTCAGTTTATTTCTTATGTCCTCTCATAGTTCAGCTCTTTGAGAACCATGTGTATCCCTTGTTTCCAAAGGGGGAGAGGTTCACCTTTCTATTGCACCAACAACTTATAATAACCCCTGTTACCATTTCATTATACCTTTTCCAGTATTCGTCGTGTGTATGTTAGCTCTTATATATGTAATTATTGTAGACAATGGACCTAGTTTTAAATTGATGGGTTTTTTTTTTCTTCCCATCTTAAAAGCAATATCAACCAGGCATAGTGGCTCACGCCTGTAGTCCCAGCACTTTGGGAGGCTGAGGTGGGAGGATCGCTTGAGCCCAGGAGTTCAAGACTAGTCTGGGCAACATGGCAAAACTTTGTCTCTACAAAAAGTACAAAAATTAGCTGGGTGTGATGGTGCATGCCTGTAGTCCCAGCTACTTGGGAGGCTGAAGTGGGAGGATCACTTGAGTTCAGGAGTTTGAGGTTGTAATGAGCTATGATCAAGCCATTAAACTCCAGCCTGGGTGAGAGAGTGAGACCCCTGTCTCAAAAAACAAACAAACGAAAATGCAATACCATTATTTCTTCATTGATTCCCCCCACCCCTACTCTCCACTGGAACACAGGGAGCCCACTCAGTCTTGTTTTTTTTTTTTTTTTTTTTGACTTCCAGCTTATTTTTGTTTTTATTTTTTATTTGGTTTAGAGACTGGGTCTCACCCCGTTGCCCAAGCTGGAGTGCAGTGGCTCGATCATAGCCCACTGCAGCCCTCAAAGTCCTGGACTCAAACAATCCTCTCACCTCAGCCTCACCAATAGCTGGGACTAGAGGTGCATGCCACCACGTCCAGCTAATTTTTAAATTTTTTGTAAAGAGGGGGTCTTGTTATATTGCCCAGGCTGGTCTCAAACTCCTGGCCTCAAACAATCATCCTGCCTCGGCCTCCCAAAGTGCTGGGATTACAGGCATGAGCTATGGCGCTGGGCCTATTTTCCTTCAGTTACAGTTTTAATTGCTTCTGTTGCAGTTGTTCTGGATTCTCAGAAACACTTATTCTTACCTTGGCTCCCCTTTCCCTTTCCCTGTAGTTAGCACCATTTCTCACTGGTTCTGGCTTTCTCTTCTGTATTCTGGAGACCTTGTTAAGTTTGTCCTCTGTATTAAAAAGGACAGTCTGATAAGATGTTCTATAGCTTAGTTTCTGTTCCATATTGTCTCAAATGGTTAATTTGCTATGGTGCTCACTTCCTTTTTCATTTTATCCTATTGTCTTTTCATCACAGCCGGTTATATATAACTTTCTGTCCCTGTTTCATATAGTTTTTTTTTTTAAGGCTTTATTTATTTATTTTTTTGAGACAGAGTCTCTATCACCCTGGCTGGAATGCAGTGGCATGATCTTGGCTCACTGCAACCTCCACCGCCCAGGTTAAAGCAATTCTCCTTCCTCAGCCTCCCTAGTAGCTGGGATTACATGGGTGTGCCACCATGCCCGGCTAATTTTGTATTTTTAGTAGAGATGGGGTTTCGCCACATTAGCCAGTCTGGTCTCAAACTTCTGACCTTGGGTGATCCACCCACCTTGGCCTCCCAAAGTGCTGGGATTACAGGCATGAGCCACTGTGCCTGGCCAAAGCTTTATTTTTTTTTATAGCATAAAGTTTTAGATTCACAGCAAAACTGAGAAGGTACAGAAATATCATATATCCCACACATGCATTACTTCCTTCCTTAGCAGCATCCTCTACCAGAGTGGTACATTTGTTAGAATTGATGAATCTGTATTGACACATCATAATGATATAGTTTTCGTGTGGAAGAATTCTTGTAGGTTTCATGGTAAATTAGTTTTAGATATTTGCTCTTCAGAATAGCCTCCATTGCCTGTGGCACATTATTTTTTTCATAGGCATCAGGTTATTTTTTTTTTCTGTTAATTCTTCCTCATATTAGGAGATATCTCTAGAGCTAGTGTAGTCAAAGGCAGGAATGTGTAGGTTGCTTTTGGCTCCCTTCCCTGTCTATATGGAGGAATTCCTTTTTCTGAGCTGTAGTTTCAGATGTGGCACCTGTTGGGCAAATAGCTCAGGCCAGTGTGCAAGGCTGACATGTGACCTTCCTTTACTTCCTCTGTTTAAAACTACTCTCCAGGCCTGGCTCAGTGGCTAATGCCTGTAATCCCAGCACTTTGGGAGGCTGTGGTGGGAGGATTGCCCGAGGCCAGGAGTTCGAGATGAGCCTGGGCAATGTAGCAATAGCAAGATCCCATTTCTACAAAAAATTTTTAACAATAGCCAGGCGTGGTGGTATGTACCTGTGGTCTCAGGTACTTGGGAGGCTGAGGCGGGAGGATCACTTGAGCCCAGGAGTTCAAGCTTGCAGCAAGCTGTGATTGTGCCATTGCACTCCAGCCTGGGTGACAGAGGGAGACCCTATCTCAAAAACAACATGAAACACAACAAAAACACAAAAACTACTCTCTCCTGGAATGCCCTGCTGCCACGGTTCTTCCCCTCCCCATCCTTGTCAGCCATGCCTTGGGGCATGTACTTCCCAGGATGCTCCACTGCAGGACTCCCCTACTGTCTGCTTATCTTATTTGGGAGCTACAAGCTTTGGAACTGGATTTGAAAGATGAGGATGAGGAATCACATTGAGTGTGTCTTGAAAAGTAGCATGTGTAAAACAGAGAGACAGCTTCTGATCTTAGTTGGTACAAGCCCAGAGTCTGATCCAGCGCGAGCCTCTCTTCTTTGTTCGGGTGGGCAGAGGTATTCTTTGAGATCTTTCATGAGGGAAAGCACAGGAGACCTGTCTTTCTGGGGCTGACTCCATGTACCTTAGAGCTGCTGAACCTCTCTTCCTAGATTCAGACAATAGATTGTGTATCAGTCTAGGTGATATTCAGTATTTCCCCTTTTGTGTGTGTGTGCATTTTTATATTTATTCAGTGTGAAGTTAGGAGAGCCTGTGTCAGGGACTACCAGCCATATGTCATCTTCTTTTGTGTACTGGAATTCTATAAATATTTCTTTCCCATTCTGGCTTACATATTTGTAGTCTGATGGCTGCACCTTTAAAATCTATCACAGGTTTTTTTTGTCTCCTGAAGTTTTTTTTTCTCTTGTGCAAACTCATCATGTTTACGTCTCAATAATCCAGGTGATAAATTATGCAGTTTATCTCTTGGCAAATGTCTTTCAGGGATAAACTAAAGTTTTTGCTGCAATCTCCTTGGCACCTCATATGTAGATGATATATCTTGACTAATATACAAATCACCTGAAGTAGTTACCCACAAGGAAGGGAGGGGTTCCAGCAGTTATTTATGTGACAGACTCAGTTCTCTCTGGTGTAACTGCTAAAACGAAACACATGACCTGCCTTTGGAAACATGAAGGAAGCCTGTGTCATTGCTGCCCTTGCTTTAGCAGCCTCTGCTTGGTCAACTTCTGGTGAGTTTCACATCTCAGCACTGTGTTCAGCTTTTATGTTGGCTATATAAAAAATCAAATTGCTAAACATAGAAGGAAATGTGGAGGAAATATTTATTACTCAGTGGATAAAATTGCAGGCTCTGGAGTCAGACTGCCTGGATTTAATCTTGAATTGCATTTGTTTTTATTAAACAAATTGAAATGCTTTCTGGAACAAGCCAAGTTAAAAATAAAAAGGGGAAAATTAACTTTTGTATGTTCTGTATCTGGTCACCATCATGAGTTTTTTGTTGTTGTTTTTAAAGACATCTAATAGTTTTTGAGAGAGCGTGAGTACTCATTGAAAGCATAGACTTTGGAGTAAGACAGATCTGGGTTCAAATCCGGTGCCCGCCACTTATATTTATCATTTTGGGCATATCACTTCAGCTCTCTGAAACAGTTTTGTCACCTCTTACTTTCCTTGTGTAATTATTGTGAGGAATAAGAGTGATGGTACATCATATTGTACATTTGATGCAGGAAGCTCCCTGTAACTATTGGTTGCTGTAGTTATTATTATCTTAAATTTTCTACATGGTAAAACTTCTTGTCTGCATATAATAATGTCTTTCAAGGATGATTTCTGGCATATATTTTAATACACTGACTTGAACTTCCAGGAGGTTCATTAAAACTATTTTATTTTAATTATCCTTATTTTATTCTTAATTTTAATGAGAAAATCTTCAGATTTTACCATAAGTAAGGTGTTAACATTTGTATAAGATGGACATTTTTTTAATCAGAGAAGTTAGATTGGTATCTATTTTTAGTGTAATAAACTTGTTACATTTTAAATATGGTAAATGGGTACTTTTTCTATTCTTTCTTTCACCTCTTTCTTTCTTTCCTCCTTTCTTTCTTTCCTTCTTTCTCTCTCTTTTTATTTTTTTATTGAGACGGAGTCTTGCTCCGTTGCCCAGGCTGGAGTGCAGCGGCATTTTCTTCTTGGCTCACTGCAACGTCCGCCACCTGGGTTCAAGCGATTCTCCTGCCTCAGCCTCCTGAGTAGCTAGGATTACAGGCTTGCCACCCAGCTAATTTTTTTTTTTATTTTTTTATTTTTAGTAGAGACAGGGTTTCACTGCGTTAGCCAGGATGGTCTCGATCTCCTGACTTCATGATCCACCCGCCTTGGCCTCCCAAAAGTGCTGGGATTACAGGCATGAGCCACCACACCCAGCCTCTCTCTGTGTTCTTTTCTTTGAAGGTTTGAAATACCTACTAAGTCATTTGGGTCTTTTCTGAAGTTATTTCTTTCAAAACTTTTATTTTATTCAATTATAGGCTTTTTAAAAAATAAAAACCCAAATTATCCATTTGAAGTTTCAAAACCTGTTTGAGTTGACATGTAGTATTTCACTTACACAATTTTTTAAAGTTTTCAAACTGTTTTATCTCTTTCCTCTGTTTTTTTTTTTTTTTTTTTCTTTTAAGACAAAGTCTCACTCTGTCTCCCAGGCTGGAGCGCAGTGGCACGATCTCGGCTCACTGCAACCCCTGCCTCCCAGGTTCAAGCAATTCTCATGCCTCAGCCTCCTGAGTAGCTAGGATTACAGGTGCACGCCACCATGCCCAGCTAATTTTTGTATTTTTAGTAGAGACGGGGTTTCACCATGTTGGTCAGGCTGGTCTCAAACTCCTGACCTCAGGTGATCCACCCACCTTGGCTTCCCAAAGTGCTAGGATTACCAGCATGAGCCACCACGCCCAGCCTCTTTCCTCTGTTTTAAAAATTATTTTTCTTTTTTCTTGATTAGTTGCTGATTTTGTGTTATCTTATTTTTTCTCAAAAGCACCAGACTTTAAATTTTATTTCATTTTTAATTCTACAGCTTTTCTCTTTTCTGATTATCTTTTTAATAACAACTCGAGATATAACTTATATATACCAAAAAATTCATCATTTTAGGCCGGGTGCGGTGGCTCATGCCTGTAATTCTAGCACTTTGGGAGGCTGAGGCAGGCGGATTGTCTGAGCTCCGGTGTTCAAGACCAGCCTGGGCAACATGGCGAAATTCTGTCTCTACTAAAAATACAAAAAATTAGTCGGGTGTGGTGGTGCACATCTGTAATCCCAGCTGCCCAGGAGGTGGAGGTTGCAGTGAGCCAAAATCATGTCACTGCACTCCAGACGGGGTGACAGAGTGGAACTCAGTTTCAAAAAAAAAAAAATTCACCATTTGGAAGTGTCTAGTGATTTTTAGCATCTTCCCAGAATTGTGCAACCATCTGATTCCTTACTTTTTTTACTTTTGGTTTATTGTTTTCTCCTTTCTGCTTTCTTTGAGGTTGCTTTTGTTCCTGTTCTTACTTGTTGGGCTAATACTTTATTGTTATTTCTTTTAAAATAATGAAATAAAGTTTGTGCATTTATCCCCTTAACATAGCTTTGGCTACATCCAATCGATTTTGTTATATACTTTACTCAATTTTGATAGCATTTTAAATTAGTCTGTATAGAAAAGCTTAGTACGGGCAGGGTATAGGGGCTCACACCTGTAATCATAACACTATGGGAGACAGAGGTGGGATGATCACTTGAGGACATGAGTTCAAGACCGGCCTGGGCAACATAGCGAGACCCCCCCCCCATCTCTACCAATAGAAAAAAATTAAAACATTAAAAATTTAAAAAGACAAGTTTAATACAGAAGTATAAAAAAAGCATAGAACAGGCCAGGTGCCGTGGCTCATGCCTGTAATCCCAGCATTTTGGGAGGCTGAGGCGAGCAGATCACCTGAGGTCGGGAGTTCAAGACCAGCCTGGCCAGCATGGTGAAACCCTGTCTCTACTAAAAATACAAAATTAGTCGGGTGCAGTGGTATGTGCCTGTAATCCCAGCTATTCGGGAGGCTGAGGCACAAGAATCGCTTGAACCTGGGAGGTGGAGGTTGCAATGGGCTGAGATCATGCCACTGCACTCCAGCCTAGGTGACAGAGCAAGACTGCCTCAAAAAAAAAAAAAAAAGTATAGAACAGCTCAAAGAAAAATTTTAAAGTCACCTGTAATCCAATTATAAGTACATTTATATTTTGGCTTATTTCCTTTCAACCACTTTTTTTTGGCACATATAATTTAAAATGTATACCCAGAAATAAATATTTTACCAGTAGGTTCATATTGTTTTTTATTTTCTTAAGAAAGAAGCTTTATATATATTATGTTTAATTGCATAGACTCCCATTTAATTTAACATTACTTAATTATTGTGAATGTTTTCCATGTCTTCAAAAACAACTTTTTGAGGCCGGGTGTGGTATCTCATGTCTGTAATCCCAATCATGGGTGGCTGAGGCGGGTGGATCGTTTGAGTCTAGGAGTTCGAGACCAGCCTGGCCAACATGGTGAAACCCCGTCTCTATAAAAAATACAAAAAATTAGCTGGGCGTAGTGGCACATGCCTGTGGTCCCAGCTACTCAGGAAGCTTGAGCTCAGGAAGTTGAGGCTGCAGTGAACCTTGACTGTACCACTGCACTTCAGCCTGGGTGACAGAGTAAGCCCATCTCAAAAAACAGACCAAAAAAAATAGATAAATATTGGAATTCATAGCTCAATTTTAAAATTGGCTTCTAAATAATAATACCTTATATTAATAGTAATGTGTCTCATTCACTTACACTGGTGTACATTTGGAAAATAACTGGGAAGTGGCATTGCTCAAATAAGCATTGCAAAGGTTATAAAGTATTAGGTTATTGTCACTGAAGCATGGGGAATACCTTTTTCAAATTGAACTGGTGAAGACGAACTGTTGGCCACATTTATGTTTTCAAATTGTAGAATAAATATGTATGTGTGTATGTATTTACATATTCAGCCTTATATTGTTTAATTCAGTGTCTATTCAAAAACTGTCTTATCTAAAATAGTCTTACATTCTATCCCAGCTCTTGCTCTTTTTAAAGTAGAACCCATCACTTCTCGACTTAATTTCATGTATGTATGCATGTATATGCATTTGCATATTGTCTGTCTATACTAGTCAGTTTTCTTTTAAGTCTGCGTCTGGCTTGGTGTCATGGTAATACTGACCTCACATAATTAATTAGAAAGTGTTCCCTCCTCTTGCATTTTTTTTTTTTGGAAGAGATTTGAAGGATCGGCAGGCATATAAGAATAGATACTGTGTGATTGATTCCATTTATTTGAAGATAAACATGAGACAAAACTAATATATGGTGTTAGCAATTAGGAGGGGTTGTGGAGTGGGCTTCTGGGATACCTGTAATATCATCTTTCTTGACCTAGGTGGTGATGTTTGATCTGGATACATCTGATCACTGTTTCTGAATGTATGTTACATGTCAATAAAAAGCAGTGTCATGCTAAGTGCAAGGCAGAAGTGGATTGCCCCCAGTGCAGGCAATAAAGGGGTACACTGTAGTAAATTTTAAAACAATAATAAAACAGGCTAAAAAAATTCTTTAAGGCTTTCATCTCTAATATCTGTTCGTACTTTAACTTATAAAAGGAAAATGATTTTTTTTATTTGTGGAAACATCATAATGAAAGGCAATTTATATTCAGTATACTTTATGAATTAATAGCTTACTTTGTACTATGGAGTATCTTTATGCTGTCAATTAGATTTCATGTAATAACCTTTGAGGAATTGTATTAGACAAGATGGCTGTGTATAATTTGAGTTGAGAAACAGATTCACCTTCAGCCTAGAGCACAGATTGGCCTTGGAGTTAATTTAATTAACGAATTGTTCTTACCTGTTTCTGGGGGCAACTACTTAGCTGCCTCTATGTGATTCTAGAATGATAAATAAAGGAACAGAGAGGCCGGGCACGGTGGCTCACGCCTGCAATCCCAGCACTTTGGGAGGCCAATGTGGGTGGATCACCTGAGGTAAGGAGTTTGAGACCAGCCTGGCCAACATGGTGAAACCCTGTCTCTACTAAAAATTCAAAAATTAGCCGGGCACGGTGGTGGGCACCTGTAGTCCCACCTACTCGGGAGGCTGAAGCTGGAGAATCACTTGAACCAGGAGACGGAGGTTGCAGTGAGCCGAGATCAAGCCACTGCACTCCAGCCTGGGTGACAAAGCGAGACTGTCTCAAAAATAAATAAAGGAACAGAGACAGTATTGGGGGGCAGCATCATGATATGGGAGCAAAGCAGTCCTATGAACTGCTGTCTTCTCCCCTGGCTGATCATATGTTAAGTTGTTATAGCCAGTGGGTTAAGTGAATGCAAGTTTTAAAATGTTGCAGGTAACCTCCATTCCCGTGACCTAGTGTTTCCAGAGAGGGCAGCCTGTTAGTCAGGGGACTAACAGTTTAACCTCCCTTTTCATCTAGTGGGAGGGATAATCTGAATAAGTGAGACAGGGAGAAGAAACTGAGGTTGTGTGTCAGACCCTTCTGAGCATTCTCTCTTTCTGAGCAGGCTGTCCTCAGTTTTTTACATGATCTCTACTTAAGAGCATTTCTAACCCGTGATGGGAGGATGCAGGGTCAATCCATGGGTGAAAGGACTAGGTGAATAGATTGAATTTAGAGGTGGAGTGATTAGAAAGTACACTTGGGTGTTGATTCAAGCTACAGTCTTCAGTTTAGCTCCACCAGTTCCACAGCTGATATTTTGATTTCCATCTTTCTGATTCCAATGTCTTTTTGTTCTCATTTGGTTTTAGAACTGAGAGAAATTGACAAAGGAGTGATTGATTATCATCCCTCATACTCCAGTAGTTGTGTTTAGGTCTGTTTCTTTTATTTATTTTTTTGAGACAGGGTCTCCCTCTGTCACCAAGGCTGGAGTGCAGTAGCGTGATCTCGGCTCACTGCAGCCTCTACCTCCCAGGCTCAAGTGATCCTCTCACCTCAGCCTCCCAAGTAGCTGGGACTACAGGCACCAACCACCACGCCCAGCTAATTTTTGTATTTTTTGTAGAGACAGGGTTTCTCCATGTTGCCCAGGCTGGTCTCGAACTCCTGGGCTCAAGTGATCCACCCGCCTTGGCCTCCCAAAGTGCTGGAATTACATGCATGAGCCGCCACGCCCAGCCTTGGCCTCACAAAGTACTCAGATTATAGAAGGTTTGTTTATGATAAATATTTATAGTTTAGTAGTATTTTTTAACCTAATCTGAAAGTCAGCCTTTTATTTGGAGAGTATAAAGATTTACATTTATAGTCATAATTGATGTGTGTTTGACTGTTATTCTGTCAATTTGATTTATGCTTTTAGATGCCACTTAATGCATTTAAAGTCATTTTGGTCAAATAGGTCTAATTGGTGGCAAGTCTGTCCTGCTGATTAATTAATTCTGTGTGGGGTCCTTCACTGCCAAGCATTAAGGTCATTTGCTTCAATAATATCTTATAGGTGCTGTTCCAGAATTCAAAGAAGAGAAACTGCAGCTGCAACCAAAACCACGTTCTGGAGCTGTGGAAGAAACATTTAGAATTGTTAAGGACTCTCTCAGTGATGATGTTGTTAAAGCCACTCAAGCAATCTATCTGTTTGAACTCTCCGGTAAGGACTGCATCTGGTAATCTGAAGTTTTTATGAAACAAAATGGGGTGTTTCCTTTGGAAGAAAATCAGCGTCCAACAGTGATCCCCTGGATAGTTGGCTGCATTCAAGACCCTTACTCTTGAATGTAGACATTCAAGAACAGCAACCATAACTATTGATTTGTTTTTGTTGTTGTTGTGTCTTTGAGATGGAGTCTTTGTCACCCAGGCTGGAGAGCAATGGCATGATCATGGCTCACTTCGGCCTTGACCTCCTGGACTCAAGTAATCCTCTGACCTCAGCCTCCCAATGATTTTTATTTCTAGATTAAGATCAGTGCGTACGGACACATGTAAAGTAAAATTTTATTACAAATACTCCCAGTGTTATATAACTCTGGCATATTTGAGAGAAAATCCTGCTTAGAAGGGCATATGGATCATGACAGGTAGTATGATACAGTAATTTATCAACCATAGGCACCTTGCCATTTTTATCTTTGACATTAACCAGGTCGGTCTGACGGTAGTCAGCTTTTTTTCACTTTTTTTATTTTTAAAAATTTATAATTATTTTTTTGCAATGGAGTCTCGCTTTGTTGCCCAGGCTGGAGTGCAGTGGTGGGATCTGGGCTCACTGCAACCTCTGCCTCCTGGGTTCAAGTGATTCTCCTGCCTCAGCCTCCCAAGTAGCTGGGATTAAAGGCACCCACCACCACACATGGCTAATTTTTGTATTTTTAGTAGAGGTGGGGTTTTGCCATGTTGCCCAGGCTGGTCTCAAACTCCTAGCCTCAAGCAATCCTCCTGCCTCAGCCTCCCAAAGTGCTGAGATTGCAGGTGTGAGCCATTGTGCCCAGATGGTAGTTAGCTTTTAAAAATCTCTTAATATTGTTCTTCTCCATATAAAATTTACACGTTAATAATAGTGTAAGAACTAGCTGCCAGGGATGGTGGCGTGCAGCTGTAATCCCAGCTACTCAGGAGGCTGAGGCTGGAGGATCACTTGAGCCCAGGAGATCAAGACTGTAGTACACTGCGATCGCATCTGTGAATAACCACTGCACTCCAGCCTGGGCAACATAGTGAGACCCATCTCAAACAAATAAAAGTTAAGAAACAGATAAAATTCGTGTTAAAAAAAAAAAGGCTACCTCAGCCCCATTATACACAAACCTTTTTTATTCTTCGTCCTCTCTGCTTTATCTTAGTCCATCTTGCCTTCCTGTTCTTACTTCCTTGCCATCCTTGGAATCCATCATCCATGGCTTTAGTCACTCTCTTGCTTGTGTCCTAAACTTGCTGGACCCTTTGTGCTTATGCCATCACCTGTCAAAAGCCTAGTCCTGGCTGAATCAAACTCTCTGGCTGCTCCACAGTTGTATCCAGGTTGCAAAGTTTTGGGGGAGGAAAGCTAAAAAAAATCACACCACCTGGGTGGATCTGTACCAGTAGAAATTGACTATTGCCCCGCTTCAGCTGAGGTTTAAGCAACACTTCAGAATTCTGTGTTTTTGTGGTCAGCTTACTGCTGCATTTTCCATAGTGACTATCTTAAACTTTCTCAGTGTTCCTGAAATCTCCCATCTCTCCCTTCACCTCTTCCCTGCCAGTGTCAGCAGATAATTCCACTTGCTCTTTGACAGAGGTAATAGAAACCTACAGACAAAAATGCCTTCAGCTTCCTGCCATCAGATATCAAATCAATCATGATAGGCATCATCCTTGCCTCCTTCCCTCTTAGTAGAATGGAGCTCAGCTCTCCATCAGTGCATCTCAAGCTCTAATGTCTATACCAAGTACCTGGGATCTTCCTAAAATGCAAAATAATGATTCAGCAGGTCTGGAGTGGAGTCTGAGATTCTGCATGTCTGACAGGTAATGACAGTATTGCAGTCCATGGATCATACTTGGAAGCAAAGTTCTAGATCCCATTTTCCCTGGCCTTCTCAGGAATTTTGTGCTGTTAATTGAACCTTGTCCTCAATCTGTTCATCTTGCAGCCTCCTTCCCAATGGTATTTTAATGTTCTCAATTCTTTTCTAACTTTAAAACAGAACCCAGTGACAATAACAAACCACACAGCCCATCTTTTTTCTCCTTTTCAGAGCCAGACTTATTTTCATCTACAACTCATTCCCCTGAACACACCCTGCTGATACCATTTGTTTCCATTTCACATAATTGGTTTTCAGCAAGGTCCTTGATGACTTCCCTGTCACCAGTGGGCCTGTGTCATTCCTCCCTTGTGACCACTCTGCAGCATTTGATACTGTTGACCACACTTTCCTTCTGGAAATGCTCCTTCCCCAGTCCTTCATTGTAACCTCCTTGCTTTCCTTCCCTGCCTGTGATCACACCTTGTCAGTCTCCCTTGCTGGCTGCTTCTCCTCTATCCTTCCCTTAAGCAATGTTCTTCAGGTCACTGGCTCAGCACTCTCGACACTCTATTCCTGACACTTTCTCTAGGAAACCCCAACCATTCACGCGGCTTCAATGACCATAGGAACCGACTGATTATGTGTCCCTGTTTCTAGCTTAGCCAGACTTCATTTGACATTTTTAGTTAACTGTCACAAAGATGCCTCAGCCTGAAAACGTCCAAAACAACCATTCCCAGGAAATGGTTTTTTTGCAACCACCCATGAAATCTGCTGAGTGTCTGGCTTGCTGTGTCTCTTGGGCAGTGTCGATCCACACCCTCTCTCTGCATGCCTTGAAAAATTGTGGAAATCCCTGGGTGGCTCGTGCCTATTATCCCAGCACTTTGGAAGGCCGAGGTGGGCAGATCAACAGAGGTCAAGACCAGCTTGGCCAACATGGCAAAACCTCATCTCTACTAAAAAATATAAAAATTAGCCGGGCTTGGTGGCGCGTGCCTGTAGTCCCAGCTACTTGGGAGGCTGAGGCAGGAGAATCGCTTGAACCCCGGAGGCGGAGGTTGCGGTGAGCCCAGATCGCATCACTGCACTCCAGCTTGGGCAACAGAGCGAGACTCTGACTCAAAAAAAGAAAGAAAAAAAAATGGAGGAAATCAAGCGCTTTCTGCTCAGATCCAGGCAAGTGGATGCCGTATCTGTCAAGATCAAGAAAAATAAAGTTCACAGCAGCAGGATTATACTTTGGTTGTCACAAAGAGAAGGCAGAGAAACAAGCTGAAGCAGTCTCTGCCCCTTGGTTTGACAGTGAAGGAGCTGAGATGAACCAGACGTGCTGGTTTGAGCTGTATTAAAATTTTAAACGTTGCCTGTAATCCCAGCACTCTGGGAGGCCAATCACTTGAGCTCAGGAGTTCGAGACCAGGCTGGGTAACATAGTGAGACCCTGTCTCTACAAAAATAAAAATAAAAAATTAGCTGGATCTGGTGATGTGTGCCTATAATCCCAGCTACTTGGGAGGCTGAGATGGGAAGACAGCTTAAGCCCAGAAGGTCGAGGCTGCAGTGAGTGATGATCATGCCACTTCACTCTAGCCTAGGCAACAGAGCAAGACCCTGTCTTAAAAAATTAAAAATCAAGCAATCTGCTGTTCTTCAGTAGTCTTCTCTCACTTAAAAAACAAATCCACCCAAGCCAAGAACTAGCAGATCATTCCTATATACCCTCCCCACCTTTTCCTCTTCATATGCAGTTACCTAGTCTTATGGTTCTGCCTTGACATTCTCTCTCAAATGTACCCACTTTTCTCCATGCCTCTGCCATGGTCCCAGTCCAGGCATGCACCCTCAAGCTCCTGAACTATCCCAACACCATCCTTACTAGCCCTCTGCATCCTTTTGATTTCTCTCCATTTATTATCTACACTGCAGGTAGGGCCATACGTAAACCTTACCATATCATCTTCCTTCCATGACACATCCTGTAGGATGAAGTCATTTAATCCTTTACATGACTGGCTGTGCTCAGACCTAGACTGCCTCACAAGCTCATCCAACACCCATCTACCTTCTAGTGCCACTGTTTTTTTTTTTCAGTTCCTCACACGTGCTGCACTCTTGATTCTGGCTTTTTTGCATGTGCTGTTCCCATTGCCTGAAATACTTTCCCTCTACCCTGTCCATCTAGCTAATTCTTACTTAACTTTCAAATCTCAGCTTCAACTGAGCTTTCCTGACCCTTTTTGAAAACTTAATTTTGCATCGCAGTAAAAAATACATAACATTTTAACCACTTCTTCTTTTTTTTTTTTTTTTCTTTTGAGACGGAGTTTTGCTCTTGTTGCCCCAAGCTGGAGTGCAATGGCGCGATCTT
Organism: Homo sapiens; assembly: GCF_000001405.40. NCBI lineage: Eukaryota > Metazoa > Chordata > Mammalia > Primates > Hominidae > Homo > Homo sapiens. Next base: position 112,458,395 of record NC_000009.12, read on the forward strand.
GGCTCACTGCAACCTCTGCCCCCAAGGTTCAAACAATTCTCTTGCCTCAGCCTCCCAAGTAGCTGGGATTATAGGCACTCCCCACCACACCTGGCTAATTTTTTGTATTTTTAGTAGAAACGGGGTTTCACCATGTTGGCCAGGCTGGTCTTGAACTCCTGACCTCAGGTCATCTGCCCACCCTTGCCTCCCAAAGAGTCAGGATTACAGGTATGAGCCACCATGCTCGGCCTATTTTAACCACTTCTAAGTGTACAGCTTAGTAGCATTAAATGCATTCACATTGTTTTATAACAATCATCACCTGCCGGGCACGGTATCTCATGCCTGTAATCCCAGCACTTTGGGAGGCCGAGGTGGGCAGATCACGAGGTCAGGAGATCGAGACCATCCTGGCTAACATGGTGAGACCCCGTCTCTACTAAAAATACAAAAAATTAGCTGGGTGTGGTGGCGGGCACCTGTAGTCCCAGCTACTAGGGAGGCTGAGGCAGGAGAATAGCATGAACCCGGGAGGCGGAGCTTGCAGTGAGCCGAGATCGCGCCACTGCACTCCAGCCTGGGCGACAGAGCTAGACTCCATCTCCAAAAAAAAGAAAAGAAAAAGAAAACAAAAAACAAAAACAAAAACAAAAACAAAACAATCATCACCATCTATCTCCAGAACTTTTTCATCATTCCAAGTGAAACTCTGTACCCATTAAACAGTTAACTCCCATTCCCCATCCCCCAGTCCCTGGAAACCACTGTTCTACTTTCTGTCTTTATGAGTTTTCTTCCTCTGGTTATCTTGATTCCTTAATGTGCTCCCACATCACCCTCTACTTCCTCTTTTGTGAGTAGAACCATGGTTTTCTTTTTATTGAAGAGTCTTCAGAGCCTAGCAGAATACCTGGACGTGCTTAATAAATATTTGCTGAATTTGACTGATGGAGGTCTGGGGATTTTAACTTGGAAAACAGCATTTTGTAAGATTATTCTAATTGAAGTAATTATTAAATTTAAGAAGAACAGGGCTTCTATGACATTGATTTCTATATGTTTATCTCTCTAGGTGAAGATGGTGGCACGTGGTTTCTTGATCTGAAAAGCAAGGGTGGGAATGTCGGATATGGAGAGCCTTCTGATCAGGCAGATGTGGTGATGAGTATGACTACTGATGACTTTGTAAAAATGTTTTCAGGTGAGTTTTCCAGTTTATTAGTTTACCTTATTGTTCAGAGAAAATTTAGTTCTGACATTTTGCTTTATCCCTTCCCAAATAATCAAGACTTGTAAATGTTGGCAGCAGTGGAATCTTAGTTTTGGGAAGGCTGTTCTTACTGTTGCCTCCATTGCCACTTCTCCCTCCTCTCACAAGTGGAAGGTAGATGTCAGAATTATTTTCTTCCATTACTGAGAAGCCAGTAATATAATGTTGGGAACAGTGAGATAATTCAAAGGGACTCCTGGGTGGGCTTCATCATATTAGCTGGCCTAAGGTATTATGTTTCCAATAACACCCCAGTCACTAGAGGCACTGAACTCAGTAGCAGCAGTTCGCTTATTGGGAGTAGGGTTGTGCTTCCATCTTGCCAGCTGTTTCAATAGGAAACACATACCAGCCCTTGGCCATGGCCTAGTGACCCTGCTTTCTGGGGAGTCCTAAACCCAGAGAACCTTTTGTGTGATTTTCTATTCTGTCCATTTACCTCTAACTGTGCCAGAAAATTAAGGATAATTTTCTCTTTTCTACTCTTAGAAAACTACTCCAAATGATAAGTTAATTAACTCAAATTCTAAAAAATTAGAAGCAGCACTTGAAACTAAGCATAACATCCTGATCTAAAGAGTCTTTCATGGAGTGAATTATAAATGTTATTCAGACTTTGTTCTGTTTTAATCTTTTCTAAGCAGGAACATGGTGTATTCTGTGCCCTCTAAGTCTTTCTTTACAGTTCTAATTCAGGATGCTAATTGCCTGCATTCCATCTGAGTCAATCTGTATACGGTGTACTAATGATCAGCATTTCTTCAACTTTTCCCTTTTTTTATAGTGGTGTTAAATGTTCATATAAAAATTAGAAAATATAGGCCAGGCCTGGTGGCTCGCGCCTGGAATCCCAATGCTTTGGGAGGCCAAGGTGGGAGGATCACTTGCGCCCAGGAGTTTGAGACCAGCCTGGGCAACATGGGGAAACCCTGTCTCTACAGAAAATACAAAAATTGGTTGGGTGTGCTGGTGCGCACCTGTAGTCCCCAGCTACTCCAGTTAAGGTAGGAGGATTGCCTGAGCCCAGAGGTGAAGGCTGCAGTAAGTTGAGATAACACCACCGCACTCCAGCCTGGGCGGCAGAATGAAACCGTCTCAAAAAAAGAGAAAGTATACCTAAGAAAAAAGAAAATAAAATTATTTTTACCATACCACTGAAAGATGACCATAATATACATATGTATGATGCTAAACCATAACCAAACCAAAATATGGTTTAGCATCTATATATGTATATTATGCTCATCTTATTATGGTTTGCATAATTTGGTTTAGCATCATACATATGTATATTTGTATGTGTGTGTTAGTGTATATAAATATACATGTGTGCTTATAAAAACAGGATCATACCATTACTACTGTTTGGCAGTCTTTTTCACTTAATACATTATAACATCTTTCAATGTTTATCATTGGTTATCCCTTTAATGAATTTTTTTTTTTTGAGACGGAGTTTTGCTCTTGTTGCCCAGGCTGGAGTGCAATGGTGTTAACCTTGGTTCACTGCAACCTCTGCCTTCCGGGTTCAAGCAATTCTCCTGCCTCAGCCTCCAGAGTCGCTGGGATTACAGGTGCCCGCCACCATGCCTGGCTAATTTTTTGTACTTTTAGTAAAGACAGGGTTTCACCATATTGGCCAGGCTGGTCTCGAATTGCTGACCTCAGGTGATCCACCCGCCTTGGCCTCCCAAAGTGCTGGTATTACAAATGTGAGCCACCGCGCCCGGCCCCTTTAATGATTTTTAATAGTTTAGTGTTTCTTCAGTGTTTCAACAACTATTTCTCCATAGAGCTTAAACACAGTGCTTTGGACACATTTAATAAACGCTCAATGAATGTTTGGTGAATCGGAATCTTATAAATATTTGTTTTAACATGAAGACCATTTAAAATAAAAATGTATTGTCAACTTCTAAATGGAAATAACAGTAATTATGTATGATTTATTTATTGCATGATTGCTACAGGTTAAGCAATACTCCCAACAGTTCTTTCCAATAAAATATGTTCTCCATTTTATAGCAGTAAGTACTGAGGCTTTGAAGAATTAAATAATAAGCCCAAGGTCAGCTGATGAATGAGAAAATAGAGCAAGGATTTGAATCCAAGCTAACTCCAAAGCTTATGCTCTTCATTATTATGCTAGTCTGCCCTCCAAAGGTGAAGAAATCAAGTGACTTCTTTCTTTAATTTACATTTCACTTATGTAGCATACAGTTGAAATAATAGGCTTTCTATTGGTATCTTTCTTTGAATGTGGTCTTGGATTCACTGGATGAGGCCAGTCAGTTATATGAATTATTTAAAAAAACAATTATTCTTATCAAGTATATTTTATAGGTATGGTTTAGATCGGGAGCAAGTGAGTTTGCTTGTGCTTCTTATGTCCTTTTATTCTTACTGTTTATCCCATCTGCTTTCCTTTAAATGGGCACAATTTAGACTTTATATCCTAAGAATTCTCTTTGATGAGACCATAGCCATTTCTATGCCTAATTTATGTAGTGGATACATTATAAATACAAAAATTTAGGCCAGGCGTGGTGGTTCATTTCTGTAATCCCAGCACTTTGGGAGGCCAAGGCAGGTGGATGACTTGAGGTCAGGAGTTTGAGACCAGCCTGGCCTACAGGGCAAAACCCTGTCTCTACCAAAAATACAAAAATTAGCCGGGTGTGGTGGCACATGCCTGTAATTCCAGCTCCTCAGGAGGCTAAGGCATAAGAATCGCCTGAACCTTGAAGCGGAGGTTGCAGTGAGCTGAGATCGAGCCACCGCACTCCAGCCTGGGTGACTGACTGAGACCCTGTCTCAAAAAAAAAAAAAATTAAAGCAACTAGTAACCAACTAATCAGAATCTCTCCTTTTGGCCAATAGAGGCCACTGTATGGTGGAGCAGTATGACAGAAATAAAGTAAATTGAGCAATATTACTTTACCTGAGGAGGGGGATGTGTGTGTGTGTGTGTGTGTGTGTGTGTGTGTGTGTGTGTATAAAACATTGAGCTTACTAGCTTTTTAAAAAACTTTTGTTAAAACAGTATTGTTGAGGTCTAATTCACATGCAATAAAATTTACCATCCTAAGTATAAATGATTTTTAATAAATTTATAGTTACACAGCCATAACTACAGTCCAGTCTGAGAACATTTCATCACACTAAAAAATTCTCTCATGTCTCTTTGCAGTCGATCCTATTTCCATTCCCAAAGCCCTAGCCAGCCAAATACTAATTTGCTCTCTGTCTCTATAAATTTGCTATTTCTGGACATTTTATATATATGGAATAAAACAGTATATAGTCTTTTGCATCTAGCACCTTTTACTTAGCATAGGCTTTTGATATTCATTCATATATATGTTGTAGCTGGTATCAGTAGTTCGGTTCCTTTTTATTGCTGAATAGTATTCCATTGTATGGATATACCACATGTTGTTTATTCACTCACCAGCTGATGGACACTTGGATTGTTTCAAGTTTTTGGCTATTATGGATATTGCTGCTATGAACATTCTCATACATGTTATCAGTATGGATATTTGTTTTCATTTTTCTTGGGTAGATTTTTAAGAATGGAATTGCTAGGTCATATGGTAAGTTGATATTTAACTTTTTTTTTTTTTTTTCACTTAAAATAAAATAGAGATAGGGTCTCGCTTTGCTGCCCAGGCTGGTCTTGAACTTCTGGGCTAAAGCAATCCTCCTACCTCAGCTTTCCAAAGTCCTGGGATTACAGGCGAGAGCCACTGTACCCAGCCAATATTTAACTTTTTAAGAACCTACCAAACTATTTGCTACAGTGACTATACCATTTTTATAGTCCCATCAGCAATGTATTAAGGTTCCATTTTCTCTACCTATTCACCAACACTTGTTGTCTTTTAAAAACATTTTTTTAAAATTGCTCCTTGCAGAGCAGGGTTAACTCATAGGTAGTACACCCAGAGTTGGCTTGTTGTCTTTTTTATTATAGCCATTCTAGTGGGCATGTAGTGGTATCTCATATGTTTATTTGTGTATTTATTTATTTTTTGAGACACAGTCTTGCTCTCCTAGGCTGGAGTGCAGTGGCATGATCTCGGCTCACTGCAACCTCCACCTCCTGGGTTCAAGCAATTCTCATGTCTCAGCCTCCCAAGAAGCTGGGATTACAGGCATGCACTACCACACCTAGGTAATTTTTGTATTTTTACTAGAGACGGGGTTTCACCATGTTGGCCAGGCTGGTCTCAAACTCCTGGCCTCGAGTGATCTACCCACCTCAGCCTCCCAAAGTGCTGGGATTATAGGCATGAGCCACCGTGCCCAGCCTCGTGTGGTTTTAATTTGTATTTTCTTACTGATAATGATTTAAACATATTTTCATGTGTTTGATAGCTACTTATATTGGGTGAATTGTCTATTCAGTCTTTGCTCATTTTAAAATTGAGTTGTCAGCCAGGCATGGTGGCTCATGCCTATAATCCCAACACTTTGGGGGGCCAAAGAAAGAGGATCACTTGAGGCCAGGAGTATGAGACCAGCCTGAATAACATAGTGAGACCCTGCTTCTACACACACACAGACACACACACAGACACACACACACACACACACACACACACACACAAGTAAAATTGAGTTGTCTTTTGAATATTGTCAGATTCTTTATAAATTCTGGATGCATGTTCTTTATTGGATATGTGATTTGCAAATATTTTCTCCTAGTATGTGGTTTCTCTTTCCATTTTCTTAAAAGTATCTTCTGTATTACAAAAGTTGTTTTGTTTTGATCAAGTTTAATCTATTATTTTTTCCTGTTATCATTCATGCTTTTCCCACTAAATATTTTCTTTTTTACCGTTGTGAAATGAAATTATTGTCGTTAGTTTATTTCCAAATTGCCTGTTTCTGGTATATATAGCTATAACTAATTTTTGTGTATTGATTTTGTATCATTTGAATTAATCAGTGAAGCCATTTTGTAGCTGGGATTTTTTGTAGGAATATTTTAAATTAGTAATTCAATTTCTAGTTGTATGTCAATAGCTTTTTAAAAACAGCTTTATTGAGATATAATTCATATACCATACAGTTCACCCACTTAAAGTGTAAAATTCATCTGTTGCTTTTAAAACATTTTCGTCATCTCAAAAAGAAACCTCCCACCCATTAGCGGTCAACCTCATATCCCTCTATATCCCCACCTCTACCCCTAAACAACCACTAATCCACTTTCTGTCTCTACCTATCACCTGTCAATGTAATATCCCTCAATATCCCCACCAGCAGCCCTAAGCAACAACTAATCAACTTTCTATCTCTATGGTTTTCCCTATTCTGACTTTCGTATGAACTGAGTCATGTAATATGTGATCTTTTGTGACTGGCTTCTTTCACTTAACATAATGTTTTCAAGTTTCATCCTTGTAGTAGCATGTATTAGTATTTCATAACCTTTTAAAAAATAAAGTGAAATTCAGATAACATGCAATTAGTCATTTTATTTTTATTTTTTGAGACAGAGTCTCGCGCAGTCACCCCAGCTGGAGTGCAGTGGCGTGATCTCAGCTTACTGCAACATCTGCCTCCTGGGTTCCAGCAATTCTCTTGCCTCAGTCTCCTGGGTAGCTGGGATTACAGGAGCCCACTACCACGCCTGGCTAATTTTTGTATTTTTAGTAGAGACAGAATTTCACCATGTTGGCCAGGCTGGTCTCGAACTCCTGACCTCAGGCAATCCTCCTGCCTCGGCCTGCCAAAGTGCTGGGATTACAGGCGTGAGCCACCAGGCCCGGCCGCAATTACTCATTTTAAAGTGTACAGTTCAGTGACATTTAATATATTCACAGTGCTGTGCAACCACCCCTCCCTGGTTTCAAAACTTTTTCATCACTGCAGAGGAATACCTGTACCATATGTAAGTAAGCACTTCTCATTCTCACCTCCCCTGGCAACCACTAATCTGCTTTTTCTCTATTGATTTGCATATTCTGAATATTTTAAACAAATGGAATCATGCAATATGTGACCTTTTGCATCTGACTTATTTTATTTAGCATAATGTTTTTGAGGTTCATCCAAGCTGTAGCATGTATCAGCACCTCATTTCTTTTTCTGGCTGAATATTATTCCATTATATGGATTTACCACAATTCATTTACCTATTCATCTTTTGTTTCTGCTGTCTGGCTATTATGAATAATGCTTCGATAAACATTCATATACAAGTTTCTATGTGGCTTTATGTTTTCATTTCTCTTGGCTATCTACATGGGAGTAGAATTCTAGGTCATAATATAATTTTATGTTTAACTTCTCAAAGAATTGCCAAAAGGTTTTTCATAGTGGCTGCATCATTTACATTCCCAACGGCAATGTACAAGGATTTCTATTTTTCCATATTCTTGCACTTACCAACACTTCTTTTTTGTTATTATTTTGTTTTTTCATTATTGCCACCCTAGTGGATGTGAAATGGCATCTTATTGTTTTGATTTGCATTTCTCTAATGACAAATGATATCATACTTTTTTTATGTGCTTATGGATCAAAGGTATTTCCTTGGAGAAATGTCCCTTCAAGTCCTTTGCCATTTCAAAATTTGGTTATTTGTCTTTTATTATTCAGTTTTAAGAAATTCTGGCCAGGCGCAGTGGCTCACCTGTAATCCTAGCACTTTGGGAGGCCGAGGCGGGCAGATCACTTGAGGTCAGGACTTCGAGACCAGCCTGGCCAACATGGTGAAACCCCATCTCTACTAAAAATACAAAAATTAGCTGGGCATGGTGGCAGGTGCATGTAATCCTATCTACTCAGGAGGCTGAGGCAGGAGAATCGCTTGAACCCAGGAGGCGGAGGCTGCAGTGAGCCAAGATCACGCCATTGCACTCTAGCCTGGGTGACACAGAGACTGTCTCAAAAAAAAAAAAAAATCTTCATATATTTTCAGTTAGTTATGTTTCATCAGATACATGATTTACAAATGCTTTTTCACATTTTTTGTAGGTTGTTTTTTCACTTTCTTGATGATATATTTTGAAGCACATATGTTTTTAGTTTTGAAGTTCAACCTATTTTTTTTGATTTTTACTTCCAGTGTCATATATAAGAATCCTTTGCCAAATCAAGGTTAGGAAGCTTTATACCTATATTTTCTTCTAAGAGTTTTGAGTTTTACCTCTTACATTTAGGTTTATGATCCATTTTAAGTTAATTTTTGTAGATGGTAGGAGAGTCCAACTTCATTCTTTTGTATGTGGATATCCAGTTATCCCAGCACCATTTGTTGAATAGACTGTTCTTTCCTGTGTTAAATGGTCTTGGCACCCTTGTTGAAGATCAGTTGACTATAGATACATGGGTTTAGTTAAATCCATAGATGTATAGGTACAGTTAATTATAGAATTACCAAATAACTCACAATTTCTACTTGTAAATATATACTCAAAAGAATTGAAAACAGGCACTCGAACAAATAAATGTACATGCATATTCACAGCAGCGCTATTCACAATAGGCAAAAGACAGAAACAACCTAAATGTCCATTAAGGGATGCATGGATAAACAAAGTGTGGTATATACATATAATGAAATAGCAGTCAGCCATAAAAAGGAATGAAGTACTAATACATGCTACACCATGGGACATTATGCTAAATGAAAAAAGCCAGACACCAAAGATCACATATTGTAGAAATCCTTTTATATTAAATATCTAGAATAGGTGCATCCATAGACACAGAGAGCTGTTGGTGGTTGCCAGAGTCTGGAGGCAGGGGGAGCTGCTAATGCTGAATCCCTGAGGGTTTCATTTTGGGATGATGAAAATGGTTGAAACTAGATAGATACCACGTGTTGCGTGGTGGTACACAACATTGTACCTGGACTTAAATGCCACTAAATTGTTTCTCTTCCTTTTCTTATAAGGGCACTAATCCCATCATTCCGGCTCCATCCTCATGATTTCACCTAAACCAAATTATTTTCCCAAGGCCCCACTTCCTGAGACCATCACACTGAGGGCAAGAGCTTCAAGATATGAAGTTTGTGGGGAATGCCAACATTCAGTCCATGACACTAAGCAAAGTCTTCCTGTACTCTTCCCACAGCTTCTTGATGCAGTTTTCTACGTTGTCAAATGTATCAGCTTGTGTCAGTCCACTTTTTCCCCGGAGCCCTTTGTCTTCATGTTATAATCTAGACCTGAAGCTCATTAAGCCTGCTACACAGCTGTTGTCCTAGAAATTTAACTCTCTCCTGCACTGAATCTCCTGTTTCCTGGATCCCATGTCTTCTTTCTTCCTTTACATCTTCAATTTGGTGGCACACATTGTCCAGTAGTTTCATGAGAAAGGATACATTAGAGATAATTTTTGTGTGTATCTGAAACTACTATTATTCTACCAACTCTCTTGATTGTTTGTCTGGGTAGAGATTTCCAGGTTGCAATTCATTTTCCCTCAGAATTTTGAAGCCATTGCTTTATCATCTTAAGATTATCGTTGAGAATTTGATGTTGTTCGTCTTAATCTTTTCTATCTACCCCTGTCCTTTCTGAAAGTTTTTGAAATCAGAGACATATTTCTCTGTGGTAGTCTGATATTTCACAGTGATAAAAGGTAAATGTCATTTTCCCAGCCCCTTGAAAAGTTCTTATATTATTTCTTTGATAGTTCTCTCAGTTTTCTCTCTTCTGACTTTCTGGAGAAAAAGATCATCTGATTTAATCACTCATTTCTCCTATTACACATATATTTGTATAATTCTTTTCACCTTCTAGGAGATCGACTCACCTTCTTTTTCCTACCTTTCTATTGCATTTTAATTTTGTTGACTAAAATTTTACTTTCTAAGAGCTCATCTTGTTTTCTGATGGTTTTTCTTCCTCCTCCTCAATCCAACCCATCCCCTCTCCTTCCCTGGCATCACTGCCTTTCCCCCTTTCCCTTTTTCTCCTCTCTCCCTCTCCTTCATCCCCTCTTCTTCTCCTCTCTCCTTCCTGTGCTCCTCCTCTTCCCTCTTTCTCCACCTGCATCCTGTTCCCCATCCCTTGCTGTATTATTTTCTTTTATCTCTGAGGGCAGAGATTGTGGAATTTTTAATTTGTTCTCCATTTACTCTACTTTAGTTATCTTTTGTCTGAGCCAGCATTCTGTTTCCTCCAAGTTGCTCTTATCTGTGTTTTGGTTTTGGTTATATTTGATGTCCATTCATCTCTATGGGCAAGGCTCTGCAAAGCTCATTGGAAGATGTGTGTGAGTGGGGTGGGTGGAATGGTAGGCTTCACTGTAGAATAACAGAGCATGATCCAGTTGATTTAGCTGAAGGACACCCAGATGTCTGTATCTGTGTTTTTGGACGGGCTGTTCTGTTCCTTCCAGAATAAAGATCTTTCAGTATCCTCCATGTAAATAAAAGTTACCCCTTCATTTATTATTTGTAAGTATTGGGATTTTAACATCACACTGTCTTAAAGTAGGACACAGCTCAGTTTATTCATTAAAATAAAAGAGTTGGACTTGATCCTTTCTACCTATAATAACTCCATGAGGCTTTGCTATAACCTCTATTTAGAATAATTTAAAGGCATTTAATAGCTTAATATAATATATATATAATATATTAACTCACACACTTTCTCTGCAAAGAACCTGTGTGGGGCACAGGGGTGGGGAGGGTGGCTACTAAGCTACTAATAAACCAAACACATATTGTGCCTTCTAGAAGATATGTCATCTATATCAATTAGCATAATGTAAGACAGAAAATCATAAATGAGGCTGGGCCAGATGGCTCACATCTGTAATCTCAGCACTCTGGGAGGCAGGTGGATCACTTGAGACCAGCCTGGGCAACATGGCAAAACCCCATCTCTATAAAAAATTAGCCCTGCATGGTGTTGCTTGCCTGTAGTCCAGCTACTCAGGAGGCTGAGGTGGGAGGTTCAGATGAGCCTGGGAAGTCAAGGCTGCAGTAAGCCATGTACTCCACTGTACATGTACTCCAGCCTGGGAGACAGAGTGAGACCTTGTCTCAAAAAAAAAAAAAAAAAAAAAAAGGAAAAAAAGTCATAAATGAAAGGCAGACATACCTGGCTTTAAATTGCAGCACTGCCTCATACAAGCTGTGTGACCTTGAGCAAGCCAAAATCCTTTTTGAGTCTGTTTCCTCATTAATTCCACTATGTGATAGACCCCGTACTGACACTGGAATAAGAGTAGCAGATAACAAATGTACTTCTCTCCATGGAGCTCATATTTATTACATGTTGTTATTAGGTACAATTCTATTTTAATGCTTACATTTTTTTATACCCTGGCATTTCTGTGGTTAAAGTAATGCTAACACATATTTTGTGTCCATACACTATACTTTTAATGATCATTTCTTAAGACTATTTTGTTCATTTACACCATTTGGTTTTTTGAACTTGAAATGTCAAAAGTTTAATGAACTATCGTAAGTTGGAAAATTAACTAAAATAGACAGTATTTGTTTACCAGAATTCATTTGAGGGCCGTGTATCCTTTAGTGTATAAAAATCTTTTTGGTGTAAAAACATTTGCTATAATCTTTTGCTGATTGTTGTTTTTATGCTAGCTCTTAATAGGATATTGTTAACATCTAAGTCTAGGAATTGGGATTCCCAAGATACTGATATAAAATGCTGTAACAGAAATTTCTATGCTTCTGAGGTTTATAGAACTCAAGGAGATTCTTTTTACAATGCGTGTTCTTAAAGCAATATATCCCTAAGGGCACTAATGGTTGCTTTTCCCTCTCTCATTTTCTCATTTTAGGGAAACTAAAACCAACAATGGCATTCATGTCAGGGAAATTGAAGATTAAAGGTAACATGGCCCTAGCAATCAAATTGGAGAAGCTAATGAATCAGATGAATGCCAGACTGTGAAGGAAAATATAAAAAAAAAGTCGACTGCTATGCTCAAAAAGTAAAAAAAGCTCAACAGTTAAAATCTAATGTTTGTTTTCTTTCCTGTTATATTATAAGGATATGCACGTTTGTTCTGGAAAAGATAGAATTTGTCTCTAAAAGACTTGAAATTGTAATTAAAATGGCAAGCTAATCAAACATAAGCTTCATTAAGTGGGATTCTAAGACAGTCTGTGTTTTTATATTTCAAGGGTTTAACCCTTTGAGCCTTACATCTCATTCACTGTCTTTCTCCAAGAAAAGTATTTTGGGCGGACAGTCAGATCAAGCAGTAAAATTAGCTCTTTCAAATCTTCTTGTCATGTAAAATGAAGCTAGTCTGTTTTAAAATTTTTAGTTTTGGATTGTATACTAATGAAAATCTTAATGATGTTTTTGATTTTTATATACTTATTTTAAAGAAAATCTTATATAGTACATTTTACAAAAATTATAAAAAATGAATTAGTACTGGCGAGGACTAAATGAAACAATAATTTTTCATTTTGATAACTAGCTTTCCAGGTGGACTTAGCCATAGGAAAATATTACTAATGTAATTTAACAAATTGCTGCATGTATTCCATTTAAAAATATGTTTAAATTGTCCTAAAACAAAATAATTTTCTCCCTAGGAGTATGCATTTGGCTACAGTGTTTTGAAACAGAAACCTTAGAATAGGTCATTGGTATGGGCTGAACTGTGTATCCCCCAATTCATTTGTTGAGGTCCTAACTCCCATTTCTTTTGAATGTGACTGTTCGGAGATGAGGCCTTTAAAGAGGTGACTTAAGTTCAAAGGAGGCTGTTAGTCTAATCCAACATGGTGTCCTTTGGACATAAGAGATACCAGCAATGTGTGCACAGAACAAAGACCAGGAGAGGACACAGTGAGAAGGCAGTTATCTGCAAGCAAAGAGAGAGGCTTCAGAAGAAACAAAATCACCAGCACCTTGATCTTTGACTTCTAATCTCCAGAATAGTGAGAAATAAATTTCTGTTGTTAAGCCGTCCACTGTGGGAGGCCGACGCAGGAGGATTGCTTGAGGCCAGGAGTTCAAGGCCAGCCTGGACAACATAGTAAGACCCTATCTCTACCCCCCTAATAAATTAATTTAAAAAGCCCCCCAATCTGTGGTATTTTATTATGGCAGCCCTAGCAAGCTAATACAGTGGTTTGAGAGGCTGGGAGGGTTGAGGGGAAGATAAACTTTTAAAAAGCTCTTATCTTTCATTTCAATCAGTTAAAAATACTTGCTCAGTGTAACAATTTTGCTTCTCAGCTTCCACTCTAATATTGTTGTGCCATTAAGCAATTTAGCTAATCCTGACATTTCTTAGATTCATAATGTTAGGAGCATTTAATCTGTATTTTACAAGTTAGGAAGCAGAGGATCAGAGATGGGAAAGGACTAGCCCAAGGCCAACATTAACAAGCCCTCTAACAAAAACTTTACAATACATTTATGTTGAATGGAACTCCAAGATCTCACCTCTCCATCCAGGAATGGAGTCCATGTAATCAAAGTGAACTTAAAAATAGGACAGTTTCAACAAGTCAGGAGATTCACAGCAACTGATCAAAGGGAGTCCAGTCAACGTGAGCAAGCGTGATTATGATGAGGAAGCCCCCTCTGCTTTAATCCACACAAGGAACGTAACCTGAAGTAACCTGATGTTAACCAATCTGCTGTGTCTACTATGCTGTTTCCTTGTTCCTGCTAGTGCTGCTTTACAAATGCAGACCATTCTATCATACCTGGCGGGGCTTCTGTTTTATTTTGTAGGCTGGATGCTACCCAGTTCATGAATCGCTAATAAAAGCCAATTAGATCTTTACATAATTTGTTGAGATTTTATTCTTTGACATTCTTAAAGGTTTGGGAAAATTAGAGGTAGAACATACCGTGAGGCAGCAATCTCTGGGTTCTGGTCATTAAAATATGAATTTGCTAATTATACCTATCCCAACAGGGGGATTGAGTCAAGGGACCTTGCCCTTTTCTGGACTGACCTGCTTGATTATTGCCCTAAGTGATTGTTAGTTAGGTTGCCCATTGGAATCTCTGCCTTCTGGCTTTAAAAATTTTTCCAGATTGGAGTAAATTGAGCTGACTGGTTTTGAGCTTTGTAATGTTAGGGGACCAGCAATGAGTTCCTCTGATCCATCCAATCATTAGTAGATTAAATCTTTGTTTTAAACCCATCACAGTCCACTATTCATCCCTTTTTAAAATAACCATTTAAAAATTTTCTACCCTGAATTGCATTTTGAAAGGGATGGTTCCTAGGTAACACAAGGTAGAAAATTTACATCTCAAAGGCAGAGAACTTACATTTCAGGCCTAAATATTGTTATTTGCCAAGACAGAAAGTTGATGCTAAGAAGCCCAGTTCAGACAAAATGGTTGAAGGTGAGTTTATTTGGACTAATGCTCTCACCTATTGTAAGAATTTCTACTGATTTTCCTTTATAGATACACGTTTTTACAAAGAGTTTCAAAATAACTGGCTAAATACCAGAAACGCAAATTTTGGAGACTGATTTAATTCAATAGGCGGTCTTTTCAACTTAGCTTCTGTTTCTTAACTAGATTACTGAGTTCAGGGCAGAGCCCATTAGCAAATAGAGCAGACAAAGGGTTTCCTATTTCTGGATGCAGATGGATAGTTCTGAAAATGCAAATCTGCTTCACCCAAGGGCCTAATTTTTATAAATATTACCTAGCTTTCTTTTTCCCTTTGGAGTAAAACAGTAACTAAGTGAAAAGATTGGCAGATTCAATTTTCTTATAAACTAGTTGCTTAAACTTTTCATTTGCCTTCTACATGAGCTCTTTTAAAGAGACAAACATTTTTGAAATCTTTTTAGAAGCTTTTGCACATCAATAGGTATCCCTAGGAGGGCCTGATTCAGAAGCCCTCATTTTTAAACTCAATTCTTAGATGAACAGTCTTATTCATCTGGAATGTTCCACATAATGGTCATCATAATTCTAATTTATCTTTAGTAAGATTTCACCATTTTTGTAAGTATTTGCAGCTTCTAGGCCCTAACACATGTAAAAGGTAAACATAGCCAGAAGGTGAAATACACAGTTCTTTAAAAATTTAAGGATGCTGGCCAGGCGAGGTGGCTCACACCTGTAATCCCAGCACTTTGGGAGGCTGAGGTCGGAGGCCAGGAGTTTGAGACCAGCCTAGCCAACATGGTGAAACCCCGTCTCTACTAAAAATACAAAAATTAGATGGGTGTGGCAGTGTGGCCTTTAATCCAGCTACCCAGGAGGCTGAGGTGCGAGAATTGTTTGAGCCCAGGAGGTGGAGGTTGCATTGAGCTGAGACTGCGCCACTGCACTCCAGCCTGGACAACAGAGTGAGATGCTGTCTTAAAAATAAAAAAAAAGAATTAAGGATGCCATTTTTAAGTTGAATCTTGAGTCTCTCAGAGTCAAGATAAAAGTCTGAGTGAAACGCCATGAGGTTGGGTCACTGTGTTTGCTATCTATCTACCTATCTATCTATCTATCTATCTATCATCATCTATCTTATCATCATCTATCTTTATCTATCTATCTATCTATCTATCTATCTATCTATCTATCTATTTTTGTCCAGGTTTCCTGGCTTGTAATTCCCATAGCCCTTGTTACAAGCTTTTGTTACAATGTTGGGTGTTAGGCCTTGCAGGCAGGCCTCAGGAAACAGAATCTCTCTGACCTTCTCTTGCCTTCCTTTCACTTCCGCAAGGCAGAACTGTGGGTCATATAAACCCTTATTCCAGAGAGGGTCCTGCTCCATATGCTGGGGGAAAGAATGCCAACTTAATGAAGCATCCATAAAAACCCAAGAGGACTGGGTTCCAAGAGCTTCTGGATAGCTGAACACATGGAGGGTCCTGGAGGGTGACACACCCCGGGAGGACTGGAGAGCTCTGTGCCCCTTCCCCAATACTGTGCCCTATGCATCTCTTCATATGTTATCCTTTATGATTTTCTTTGCAATAAACTGGTAAACGTGTTTCCCTGAGTTCTGTGAGCTGCACCAGCAAATTAATCAAACCCCAAGTGGAGGTTGTGGGAACCCCAACTTGAAGCCAGTTGGTCAGAATTTCCAGACACCCAGAGTTACAACTGGTGTCTGGGAGGTGGGGCAGTTTTGGGGACTGAGCCCCTCGACCTGTGGCATCTAACACTATCTACCTGGAGACAGTAGATAGTGGGCAACATGGTGAGACCCACTATCTCCAAGTAGATAGTGTCAGAATAAAACTGGAGGACACCTACTTGGTGTCCACTGCTTAGCGTGTGGGAAAAACTCTCACACATTTGGTCACAGAAGTCTTCTTATGTGTTGATGATTGTTGTTATGTTAGTATGAGAGCAGAGGAAAAATGGTTTAGAGTTTTTTCCCAAAACAGTCATGTAATGCTATCATAGTATACCTCAGTGCATAGATGTTTTATTTTTTCTGCCACTCATTCTAGAGTGCAGTGGCATGCTCATAGCTCACTGCAGCCTTGAATTCCTGGGCTCAAGGTCTTAGCTTTCCAAGTCTCAGCTTTCCTGGGCTCCTGCCTCAGCTTTCCAAGTAGCTGGGATTACAGGCACATACCACCATGCCTGGCTTTGTTTGTTTTTTGTGTGGACAAGGTCTCACTTTGTTGCCCAGGCTGGTCTCAAACTCCTGGCTTCACGCAATCCTCCCACCTCAGCCTCCCAAAGTGCTGGGATTATAGGTGTGAGCCACCATGCCCAGCCTAAATAATTTTTTAAATTCCAGTTTTTAATTATTCTTTGTTAGGATACAGAAATGCTTTGTGTCCTGCAATACTGTTAAATCTCCTTATTAGTTTTAGCAGCTTTTTTTGTAAATCCCTTAGGATTTTCTATGTATGTGATTGTTATCTGCAAATAAAGGCAGTTTTATTTCTTCTTTTCCACTCTGTGTGCCTTATTTTTTTTTTCTTGTCATATTGCACTGTTAGACCCACAGTATAGTGGTGAATATTGGTGGTGAAAATGGATATCCTAGCCTTGTTCTTAGTCTTAGGGGGAAAACACTGTGTTTTTTCACCATTAACTATGATAGTTGTAGGGCGGTTTTTTTGTAGATGCACATTATCAGGCTGATTGTTGTTTATCTGCTGAGTATTCTTAATCATATATGATTGCTGAATTTTGTCAAATGCTATTTCTATTATCTATTGAGATGATTAGGTTATTCTCCTTTATTCTATTAATATGGTCAATTAAAATGATTTTTTAAAATTACTTTTACTTTTTTTAGAGATGGGCTCTTGCTGTTACCCAGGCTGGTCTCAAACTCTTGGTCTCCAGCAATCCTCCTGCTTTGGCCTCTCAAAGTGCTGGAATGACAGGTGTGAACCACTTTGCCTAGTCTAAAATTATTTTTTAAGTTAAAAATATTTATTGTGCTGTTTTCCCCAACCCATGTTTGTTGAAGCCAAATGTACTTAAATAGAGACAAATAGCTGTATCTAGGGGAATGATGGCAGTTTAGGAAGTATCAGGCTTCACTCCCAGCCAACAGAAAAGTTCAACTAGAAACTATCCACAGGCCAGAAAATCCTTTTGTAAACCCCAATACTTGGAAACAAGTTTGAGACACACATGGTCCACAGAACGGAATGAAATCTGAATTAGAAGGATAAGGAGGACAGTCTCCCCCCCGCCCCCCCCCCCCCCCGCTTTTTAATAGACTGTGTCTCACTATGTTGCCCAAGGAAGAATGGTCTTATTCCAACTGTGGCACCCCTTTCCCTCCAAGTCAGCACAATGCCAGACAGAAAAGATTCTCCTGGCCCACAGTTTCTACTAGGGGAAAACAGAAATTGAAATAGTCATCTAGCTTCCCTAGCATTCTGAGATGTTTCCCAGGCAGCCCACTGTGGTTTCCCCTACCTACCCTTGGGGAAATGGCACCACTACACGACTCAGGGCCAGGTAGAAACAATGAGAGGAGGCAGAGGTCATAGTAACCAGCACATGGATCTTGGTAATACCTCTACGTTTCTGCCAGCTGTGGCACCAGATTAGAGATACCAGCCAGTCTCAAAGCCCACCCACAAAGCTGAGCTGGTCACCTTCAGAAGCATGGTGGGAATTTCAAGCTAGCTTGAGTCCCTAGATAGCTAGTCTCTGTGCCCAGCCTCGGAGCCCACCCCAACAATCCTACTCAAGCAAGGAAACTCCTGCCTCCATGCACTGAGAGAAGGAGCTAGACCAGCTTGACCCAGGAAGTCAAATGAAGATCTACTCAGCCCTCAGCCAAAAATCCCAGCTAACAATCTACCTAGGCAGGAAGACTCCCACCTCCGAACGTTTAAGAAATGCAAAGGGGCCAGACTGGCTTGACCTGAGAGGTCAAACAACCACTCAACTCAGCTAAAAGCCTACCCCACAGTTCCACCCTGACAGGGAGGCAATCCTCAATTGTGCTTTTTTTTTTTTTTTGAGATGGAATTTCGCTCTTGTCACCCAGGCTGGAGTGAAATGACACGGTCTCACCTCACTGCAACCTCTGCCTCCCGGGTTCAAGCAATTCTCCTGCCCCAGCCTCCCGAGCAGCTGGGATTACAGGAGACTGCCATCACGCCCAGCTAATTTTTGTATTTTTAGTAGAGACAGGGTTTCTCCATGTTGGCCAGGCTGGTCTCGAACTCCTGACCTTGTGACCCACCCACGCCTTGGCCTCCCAAAGTGCTGGGATTACAGGCGTGAGCCACCGCGCCCAGCCTCAACTGTGCAATTCTAAGGAGCATAGCTTATGATTCCACTTGTCCCAAGCAATGACTCCACCTAACTTCCAACCCCAGCCCGCAGCCTTGCCTAACTGCAGATCCCAAATATCAGAATTGCTTGGCTAGGGAATATATCCTGTGACTAACCTGACCAAAAGCCATCACAGTACCCAGCCAGCAGCTCTACACAATATCAGAGCAAAGGCAGTAGCCCAGTCAACTAGAGAAATCACAACAAGCTCTGCCTGTCTGGGGTCATTCCAGCTTATCTGGGAGCTGGCCCTTCCAGAATCAGAGGCTAAATAGAGAAGGTCTATTCCTGCCAAAGAACACCTGCAAAAGCCAGAAGAGGGGGCGGTCTTCTTCTTCTTTTTTTTTTTTTTTTTGAGATGGAGTCTCTCTCTGTTGCCCAGGCTGGAGTGCAGTGGCACAATCTCGGCTCACTGCAAGCTCCACCTCCCAGGTTCACGCCATTCTCCTGCCTCAGCCTCCCGAGTAGATGGGACTACAGGTGCCCACCACCACGCCTGGCTAATTTTTTGTATTTTTAGTAGAGATGGGATTTCACCATGTTAGCCAGGACGGTCTCGATCTCCTGACCTCGTGATCTGCCTGCCTTGGCCTCCCAAAGTGCTGGGATTACAGGCGTAAGCCACCATGCCCGGCCAGGGGTGGTCTTAAATGCTCAGACAACAATGCAAGGACACAAAGATTGCAAAGAATCAGTGAATCACTTCCAAAAGACAATAATAAAGCTTCAATAATGGGCCCCAAAGAAATGGAGATCTAGGAAATGACAAAGAATTCAGAATAATAAAGAAGTTCAGTAAACTATAAGAATATATGGATAGAAAATTTAATGAGATTTGGAAAACAATACACAAGAAATTTGAGAAAGAAATAGAGACAATAAAAAAGAAAATTCTAGAGATGAAGAATACAATGACTGAATGGAAAAATTAAGTAGAAGGCTTCGATAGCAGACTCGATCAAGCAGAAGAATAGATCAGTGAGCTGGAAACAGAACATTTGAAATTATCCAGTCGGAGAAGCAAGAAGACAAAAGAATAAAAAAGAATGAAGAAAGCCTGTAGGAATTTTGGGACACCATCCAGAGACTAAACCTTTGCTCAACAGAAATTTTAGAAAGAGTCAAAGAGCCAGAAAGCATATTTAAAGAAATAACAGGCCAGACACGGTGGCTCACGCCTGTAATCCCAGCACTTTGGGAGGCTGAGGTAGGTAGATCACTTGAGGTAAGGAGTTTCAGACCAGCCTGACCAACATGGAGAAACCCTATCTCTACTGAAAATACAAAATTAGCCGGGCATGGTGGTGCATGCCTGTAATCCCAGCTACTCGGGAGGTTGGGGCAGGAGAATTGCTTGAACTCGGGAGGCGGAGGTTGTGGTGAGCTGAGACTGTGCCATTGCATTCCAGTCTGGGCAACAAGAATGAAAACTCCATCTCAAAAAATAATAATAATAATAAAAATAAATAAATAAATAATAAATGAAACTTCCTTAAACTGGGGATAGACACCAACAAGCAGTATAGGAAGTACAGAGTTTTCCAATCAAAGAGGAATACAACCCAAAGAGGAGTATATCAAGACACATAATAATCAAACTACCAAAAATCAAAGACAGAAAATTTTGAGAGCAGCAAGAGATAAGAAACATACCACATACAAAGGGGTGCTAATGTAACTACCAGCAAAGTTTTCAGAAATTTTCAGAAATCCTGCAGGCCAGTGGGATGACATTCAAAGTGGTGAAGGAAAAAACCTGCCAAAAAATAATACTTTATGCAGCAAAGCTGTCTTTCAGAAATGGGGGAGAAATAAAAACCTTCCCAGAAAAACAAAAGCTAAGGGAGTTTATCACCATTAGGCCTGCCTTGCAGGAATTGCTTAAGGGAATTCTTTAAACTGAAACCAAATACCTGTATCTAGTCAACATAATGGTATATAACTAGTAGGATGCTATGGTCTGAATGTCTGTGTTCCCCTAAAGTTTATATGTTGAAATCCTAATCCCAAGGTGATGGTATTAGAAGGTGCAGCCTCTAGGAGATGATTAGGTCATGCAGATATAAATAGGTAATATGACCTCATGAATGGAATGGTGCCCTTATAAAAGAGGCCCAGGAAAGCTCCCTTGCTCTTTCTGCCACTGGAGATTACAGGGAAAAGATGGTCTTCTATGAAGAAGTGGGCCTCCACCAGACACCAAATCTGCCTGTACACCAATCTTGGAATCCTAGCTCCCAGAACTGTGGAAATCAATTTCTGTTGTTCATAATCCACTCAATTTATTATATTTTGTTACAGTAGCCTGAGCATACTACGACATGCGATCAGATTTCTTTTTTTTTTTTTTTTTTTTTTTGAGATGGAAGTCTCCCTCTGTTGCCAAGGCTGGAGTACAGTGGCACGATATCCACTCACTGCAACCGCCACCACCCGGGTTCAAGCCATTCTCCTGCCTCAGCCTCCCGAGTAGCTGGGATTACAGGCATCCGCTTCCACGCCCAGCTAATTTTTGTATTTTTAGTACAGACGGGGTTTCACCATCTTGGCCAGGCTGGTCTTGAACTCCTGACCTCGTGATCCACCCACCTTGGCCTCCCAAAGTGCTGGGATTACAGGTATGAGCCACCGTGCCCGGCCAACATGGGACGAGATTTTAAACTTTACAGCACACAAATCTCTTATTTTAGACTTTTTATCCTCCTTATGATATTCTTTTCCAGGCAATTGTTTCTAAATTCTGAGATGTTTAAGTCAATATAAAGATGGTAAAGATTCTTGACAAACCAAATACTATAATAATTACTGACCGGGCACTGTGGCTCACGCCTGTAATCCCAGCATTTTGGGAGGCCGAGGCGGGCGGATCACGAGGTCAGGAGATTGACACCATCCTGGCTAATACAGTGAAACCCCATCTCTACTAAAAATACAAAAAATTAGCCAGGCATGGTGGCACGAGCCTGTAATCCCAGCTATTCAGGAGGCTGAGGCAGGGGAATCGCCTGAACCTGGGAGGCAGAGGTTGCAGTGAGCCGAGATTGTGCCACTGCACTCCAGCCTGGGTAACAGAGCGAGACTCCGTCTCAAAAAAAAAAAATTATTATTATTATTTTACATAAGAAGAAACAATGCAATGATTGATTTTTGAGTGAAAAGTTAACTTTATATTTCTAGGAAAAATCCCATTTAGTCATATTGTATTACTTATATATTGGTGGATTCAATTTTGTATTTGTGTCCATTTGCCATATTGGGGCTGTAGTTTTTGTTGTTTATTTGTTTGTTTGTTTGTTTGTTTTTGAGATGGAGTCTCGCTCTGTCACCCAGGCTGGAGTGCAGTGGCTCGACCTCACCTCACTGCAAGCTCCACCTCCCGGGTTCACGCCATTCTCCTGCCTCAGCTTCCCGAGTAGCTGGGCCTACAGGCGCCCACCACCACACCTAGCTAATTTTTTGTATTTTTAGTAGAGACGGGGTTTCACCGTGTTAGCCAGGATGGTCTCGATTTCCTCCCACCTCAACCTCTCGATGACCTAGGACCACCAGCACACACCACCATGCTTGGCTAATATTTTTATTTAGTAGAGGCGAGGTCTCACTATGTTGCCCAGGATGGTCTCCAACTCCTGGGCTCAAGCGATTCACACACCTTGGCCTCCCAAAGCACTGAGATTACAGGTATGAACCACATGCCTGGCAATGATTTTTTACAAAATACTTTATGTTTTCCTTTATTTTCTTACTTATTTTTTTTTTGGGCGGCTGGGGGAGGGTCTGTTTTCTGTTTTACTTGATTTCTACTATCTTCATTATTTGTTTTCTTCTACTTTGTGTTTAATATGTCCTTTCTTGTAGCTTCTGAAGATTAAAACTTAGTTCATTCTCTTGGGCCCTCTTTTTCTTATGATACAAACTTTTAAGCCATAAATTTCACTTTTAGAACTGCCTTAGCATTTTCCCACAAACATTTGATACATTGTGTAATTTTTCATTCTTCGAGAGATTTTCCTACTTTCCTTCTGAGTTCTTCTTTAATCAATGAGGACTATAGAAACATGTTTAATTTTCAAATATTCAGAGTTTCCAGATATTGATCTATAATTGATTTCAAATTTAGCTTTACAGTGGGTTAGAAAAATATACTCTGTGACTTCAATCATTTTAAATTTTTTGAGACTTGTTTTATAGCTAATTATATGGCCTTTTTTAGTGAACATTATATATGCACTTAAAAGGAACATCTAGGCTGGGCATGGTGGCTCACGCCTGTAATCCCAACACTTTGGGAGGCCAAGGTGAGAGAATCACTTGAGCCCAGGAGTTCAAGACCAGCCTGAGCAATATAGTGAGACCACATCTCTACAAAAAAAAAAAAAAAAAAATTAAAAATCAGCGGGGTATGGCCGGGCGCGGTGGCTCACACCTGTAATCCCAGCACTTTTGGAGGCCAAGGCAGGTGGATCACAAGGTCAAGAGATCGAGACCATCCTGGCCAACATGATGAAACCCCGTCTTTACTAAAAATACAAAAATCAGCTGGGCGTCATGCCGCATGCCTATAGTCTCAGCTACTTGGGAGGCTGAGGCAGGAGAATCGCTTGAACCCGGGAGGCGGAGGTTGCAGTGAGCTGAGATTGCACCACTGCACTCCAGCCTGGCGACAGAGTGAGACTCCACCTCAGAAAAACAAAAAAAGAAAGAAAAGAAAAATTAGCTGGGTATGACGGCACCCACCTGTAGTCCCTGCTACTCAGGAGGCTGATGTGGGAAGATCGCTTAAATGTGGAGGTCAAGGCTGCAGTGTGCTATGATCCACTTTACTCTAGCCTGGGTGACAGAGTGAGACTGTCTCAAAATAAATAAATAAAAATAATGAAAGAAAGGAGCTTGTATTCTGCAATTGTTGGGAGAAATGTTCTAACGTATCATTTTGTTTTAATGCCTCTTTTTGCTTCTGCTTGAAAGTCTTATCTTCCTCATCCGTCTCCTTGGCCTGCTTCTTGGGCTGTTTTAGGGGGTTCTTCTTGCTGCACATGGCACCTGTGCCCCTTCCTCAGACTCTGCCCTCTATTGGACTCCTTTTTCCTTTTTTTTTTTGAGACACAGTCTTGCTCTGTCACCCAAGCTGGAGTACAGTGGCACAAACACAGCTTACTGCGGCCTTGACCCTCCTGGGACCAACTGATTCTCCCACATCAGCCTTCCAAGTACCTGGGACTACAGATGTGTGCCACCCCACCCGGCTAATTTTTTGATTTTTTTTGTAGCGACAGGGTCTCACTTTGTTGCCCAGGCTGGTCCCAAACACCTGGGCTCAAGCAATCCTCCCACCTTGGCCTCCCAAAGTGCTGAGATGATGGGCGTGAGCCACCATGCCTGGCCTACGATTTGTATTTCATGCTTCCTTTTTGAAACAGTTTTATTGAGAAATAACTTACATACCATACAGTTCACCCATTAAAACGTACAATTCAGTAGCTGTTAGTATAATCAGAGTTTCATAAACATCATCCAATTTTACAATATTTTCATCACCCCAAAAAGAAACTTTACTCCTTAGTAGTTACCTCACATTTCCACCAAAACCTCTCAGCCCTAGGGAACTACTAGTCTACTTTCTTTCCCTATTGATTTGTATATTCTAGACACTTCATATAAATGGAATCATATAATATATGACCCTTTGTGACTGGCTCCTTTCCCATAGCTTTGTAAACTTTTCCAGGTTTATCCATGTTGAAGCATGTACCAGTGTCATAAATTTTTTAATATAGTTGCTGCTCTGGCATTCATTTTTAGGCCTGGCCTAAGTCTTTTGAAACCCAGTTGTATACCCAACCCCCTGCTGTCACCTTTGGCCTTGTTAAAACTTACCCTCCTGGCCAGGTGTGGTGGCTCACACCTGTAATTCCACACTTTGGGAGGCCAAGGTGGGAGGATCACTTGAGCTCAGGAGTTCAAGACCAGCCTGGCCAAATATGGTGAAACCTTGCCTCTACTAAAAATACAAAAATTAGATGGGAAGGATGGCGTGTGCCTGTAATCCCAGCTACTCGAGAGGCTGAGGCATGAGAATCGCTTGAATCTGGGAGGCAGAGGAGGCTGCAGTGAGCTGAGATCATGCCACTGCACTCCAGCCCGGGCAACACAGCAAGACTCTGTCTCAAGAAACAAAACAAAACAAACTTCCCCTCCCAGTGTCGTTGAGATATAGCCCACTTGTTCATCTTATAGACTCCCAAACGCAACACATCCCTCAGCTGACCATGAAAAAACCTAATGGTTGACTGAGGGCTGTAATCCCAACACTTTGGGAGGGTGCGGCAGGAGGACTGTTTGAGGCCAGGAGTTTGAGACCACCCTGGGTAACACAGTGAGACCCCTGTCTCTACAAAAAGAAAAAAAAATTAGCTGGGCGTAGTGGCCCACATCTCTAGTCCCAGCTACTCAAGAGGCTGAGGCATGAGGATCGACTGAGGCAGGGAGGTAGAGGATGCAGTGAGCTGAAATCACGCCACTGCACTCCAGCCTAGGCAACAGAGGGAGACCTTGTCTCAAAACAAAACAGAACAAAACAAAAACCTAATGGTTAACACCAGAGTCTTGGAAATAAGTTCCTCTCCTTTGTGCATGTGTTTTTTAAGGGCATAATGCCTATAGACCTAATAAAAGCATAATCTCACAGGTCTCCTTTCTTCTCTCTTTCTCCTCTACTCCTCCTGAGTAGCTGGAACTAGAGATGTGGGCCACCATGCCCAGCTAATTTTTTTTTCTTTTTGTAGAGACGAGGGTCTCACTATGCTACCCAAGGTGGTCTCAAACTCCTGGCCTCAAGCAATCCTCCTGCCGCACCCTCCCAAAGTGCCGGGATTATGGCCCTCAGCCAACCCACTAGGTTTACTGTGATTGCTTTCTCTAGGATCTTCGTTTTTCAAGTCCTAGCTGCCTTAATAGACCTGACTCCAAATTTTGTATCTCCAGGCCAGTAAGACTGCCGGTAAGCTCTAGGGTGCTTCTTTCTGACTTCTACACTCCTAGACACAAATCAACAATGCCCTGAGAAGGAAAAGCGGCTGAGAATGCAGGACTCACTTCAGAGTATTTCTCTTCTTCCTGGGGGGCTCGTGGACTCTCAAGCCTTGGATGACAGGGTTGCTCTCCAATTGTTTTAAACAGACTTATTTATTTTTTTAAACAGCTTTCATCGTTCTCAGTGGCAGAGTTAGTTTGTTCAACAAGGTACCTCATCATGGTTGGATGCCTGCATCATTAAAAAAATTCATTGTAGTGAAATATCCTTTAAACAAATAAAATTAGATTTGTTTTGAAGTTGATTGTGGCAAAAACAATTTAAAATTTACCTTTGTAACTACTTTTAAGTGTACAGTTCGGTGGTGTTATATTTACATTATTGTGTAACATCTCTAGAAATTTTTCATCTTGCAAAATTGAAACTCTGTACCCAGTAAACATTATATCACCATTTTCCCCTCCCTCTACCCTCTAGCAACCACTATTCTACCGTCTTGTTTCCACAAGTTTGACATAATCCCACAGTTTACATACCTCTACATAGTTCATATAGGTCAAATCATAACAGTATTTGTCCTTTTGTGACTGGTTTATTGCACTTGGCACAACATCCTCAAGGTTCATCTATGTTGTAGCCTGTGATAAGATTTCCTTCCTTTTTAAGGCTGAATAATATTCCATTATATGTATATATCACATTTTCATTCATCTCTTCATCTGTTGATGAACATTTGGGCTGCTTCAACCTCTTGGCTATTGTGAATAGTGCTGCAATGAACATGAATGTGCAAATATCTCTTCGATATCCTGCTTTCAATTCTTTTGGATATTTACCCAGAAGTGGGATTGCTGGATCATATGGTAGCTCTAGTTTTAGTTTTTTGAGGAACTTCCCCACTGTTTTGCATAGTGGTGGTACCATCTACATTCCTATCAGCATTGCATAAGAGTTCCAATTTCTCCACAAGATCCCATCTTTAGAATATGCAGCAATTAACTAGGGGGTTTTCATTTTTGGTCTTTTTTGTTTGTACAAACATTATTGTGTCAACATTTACACAGATTTTAAATTTCAGCCTAGACCTGGAAGAGTGTTGATAGAGGAAGGTGTTAAGAACATCAACCGGAATCAGCTCTAGAGATGGAGAGGGGTTGGCAGAAGCTACCTAAAAGAGAACATGCTTGATGTGGTAATGAAGTTACCTGCTTGGATTCTGGACGACCCTGGATATTTTCTCCTTTGCTAAGAAGTTAGCTTCTTTCTCTCCCTCAAAAATATTCTTCTCTTCCCTTACCTACTCCAAGGGTACAAGTGACTGGGGTATGCCTGTCACAGATGAGGTGAGGCCAAGATGTGGGCACTACGTAAGGCCTGACAGATATGGTGTAAATGTTATTTATTACCATGATTACTGTTTTGGAGATGGTCAGTGCTGTAAATAGAAAGGGAGTTAAGAGCAGACTCTGAAGCCAGACTGTCCGGAATGAATCCAGGCTCCTCTAGCTACTATCTATGTGATGTTGAAAAAATTTCTTAATTTCTCTGTGCCTCAGTTTCCTTATCATAAAATGGCAATGTTAATAGCACCCACTATGTAGAGTTCTTAGGATTAAATAAATTAATATTCGCTAAGTACTCAGTGCAAACTGTGGGCACACAGCAAGTACTACGAAAGTGTTAGGTAAAATAAAGGTGGACCAAGCCTGGTAGCACCTAGCAAGTCCAGCTTCATCTTTGCTGTGCTGAGTCGTGTAGGTGGTGTTCTTGTGTCTCTGGTTTGCTGGAGGACCTAGTTTTAGTGTATTTTAGGTATCATTAAGCATCCCCGCTCCCTCGATGGGATAGGGGTGTGTGTGTTACAGGTGGTTGTTGGGCACCTTCACGGGGCAGCGGTGACTATGGGCTGTACGTAGTATCTCGGTAGAAAGTGTTAATGCACATCCCTGGGCGGAGAGGTAACTCTACTCAATGCGTTATAAGGGAAATCACACACCTCACGGATGGTGTAGGTTCTGTCTGCTCCTTGCGTTTCAGTGGAGGTGCACAGAGCTCCGGGGGGCATCGGGGACCGCGGGCCCAGGACGTGTAGTAGGGAGCAGTGCTGTACACTTCCTCGGACCATAGCGGGGACGGCGGGTTCCACACCTGTCGGGGCA
This sequence comes from Homo sapiens, assembly GCF_000001405.40. NCBI lineage: Eukaryota > Metazoa > Chordata > Mammalia > Primates > Hominidae > Homo > Homo sapiens. Next base: position 112,486,553 of record NC_000009.12, read on the forward strand.
GTAGGGACTGAGCTCGTGCGCGCGGAGGATGGATTGCTCCAACCTCTCGGTCCAGCGCGCCGGCCGCCGCGTGCGAACGTGTGTGCGGCAGGAGGCTCGATCTACACCTCCTCGGGGCAGCAACGACTGCGAGCTCGGTGCGTGCCGTAGGAGGTGTCGTTACACACTTCCTGTGGGTCTCGCCGACCACGGCGCGTTTCCGGTGCCGGCTGGAGCCCGGGGTCCGAGCCCCCGCCCCGCTCGCCGGCCCCGCCCCGGCCCGCCCGCGCCCCGCCCCCTGCCCGCCCGCCGCGCTCCGAGCCGGGCGCGCGGAGCTCGGGGCGCACGGAGCGGCGCGCGGCGGTCGGCCGAGCCAGGCTGGCGCCCCCGCCCCCCGCCCCGCTCCTCGGTCCGCCGCCCGCCGGGCGCCTTCCCCGCTCCACTTACCTTTGGTGCCCGGCCCTCTGGCCGCTCTCCTCCCGCCCTCGCGCCCCTTCGGCCCGTCCCGTCCAGCCCGGGCTGCCCGGCTCTCGCAGGCCCCCCCGCGCCGACCGCGTTCCTATGGACAGACGCACAGACACCTGCAGGTGGGTGAGAGCCCGCGCGCGGGGCGGGGACGAGTGCGCCGACGCCGCGACCCAGGCGGGGAGCCCCTTTGTGTGGGGGGCGGCCGCGCCGGGGTCGACTCTGCTTCCCCGTCAGCGGCCGCGCGGTGACCCGGCTGAACCTTCCTTTTGTCTCCTCTCGGGGGAGCGAGGCCGGAGCGAGGGCAGGGACCCGGGCGGCCGCTCGTCGGCAGCGCCGGGCTTGGGGGTGCGAGGCGCAGAGACCCCCGGTGGCGGCTCCGGTCCGCCTGCCCCGGGCCGCCCCGCCGCCCGGCAGCTCGGGTCTCAGCGGCGGCTGCAGGCGCAGTGCGTGGGGCTGGCGCCCCCGCTCCTGCTCTTGGGTCTGTCGGAGGTGGGAAGGAGGGCGGGAAGGAGGAGGAAAAGGTCTGTCCTCTTAGTTTCCAAGTCTTGAGATGCTTATGGAGAAAGAGAGGTGGTTCAGGGCTCTGCCCCACTAGTTTTCCTCCTCGGGTGGCTCGCCGAGGTGCGTTTGGGGCGTGTGTGAAGGAACGTGCATGGCTTCGCTCCCTTATTTATTGTTTCTAACGGAGGAGGGCTTTCTCCAAAAGGCTCTTCCGCCCCCCCACCCCCATCTGAGGCTGCGCACAGTGATTTGTGTTTGTTATCAAATATATCGAGAAATGTATTCCCCTGGGTAGGAGGAGGTTGGACTGAACAACGTCAAACCAAAATCAAAGAATGTTTTTGGTTCCTTCAAGTCTTTTTTTTTCTTTAAGGTTTTAGATTGGGACTTTAAAAAAAATGAACGTGGCTGTGATTTTTACAATTATATGTATTTAGTGTGTGTGCGTGTGTGTGTGTGTGTGTGTGTGTGTGTTTTGAAGTTTAGGAGTAAAGTTTTGTTTTTTCCCGAACTCGTTAGGATTCGCAAGACGGAATCCTCTCCCGACGAAATAAACAGCTAACAAGCCAGTCAGGTAGTGACAGCTTCCATGGTGGAGGTTAAATTGGAGTGCAATAAACAATGATCTAGCTTTCCCTTCAGGCTGAAGCCTTTATTTCTGCTGATTTAAGATATGAGATCTTTCCCTACCCATGAGACCATGAATGTCAGAATTGAGTTTCCCCTCTAGGATTGTGCCTTTACTATTTTATTCCACGTATATAACCCAACGATTGGGTTGTGCATGGATATGGATACAGTGTTTTGAAAAATACTGTAGGGTGATGTTTCTGAATTGTCTTATTTGATTAGCTAGCTAAGTTTCTTCATGAACGGTTGCTGTGTATTGTAGATACTCAAATAATAAATGAGGTTGAATAAGCACCCAGAAAATTAATTTTACAGATTCAGATTTTTAATACGCAGGTATGGATTTATGCCTGTATCAATCTCAATCTACTGCTCCGTTCTGGAAACTCTTTTTTGCCCACCCTGTGAGAATTTATATTGACAAAGTTAAGTCTGACAGTTACCCAGGAGATTAAAAAAACGAAGAAGCAGTTTTGGGGGCCATGCATACAATTATATGGACAGTCATATGTAAAAAATAGAGGTTTTCCTAAAAAAACAAAAAGCATTATCATCTAAACTTGAAGGAAAAACGTGGAAAATTATGTATTTAAATTTTCATTAAGGTTTGAAAATTAGTAAACAGTGTACAATTTAATGCACTTTTTTAAAGACAAACTGATTTTTGTCATTATAAAAAGTTTAGTATGCTTAAAATAGTGCTTTTTTCTAGGAGAAAAATTTATCTAGATTCTTGTCCCAGTTAAACAGATTAATATTATTGCATGCCTAATTTTGTAAATGCCTGGAGCGTAGATTTGTACACACATTACTTAAAACCTAGCAGTGATCAAGCCAATCCTTTTTAGTTGATAAAATTTTACTAGTTTCTGCTTTGACTTCCAGTCTGCATTAGGTAAATGAATTTAAATTCTGCACAGAAGCACAGCTCAGTATGTGGCTCTGGTAGGCCCTTGACTAGCGTTCCTTGTCCCTCTCCATTCCTAGTAATAGCCCAAAGAGAAGAGGTATTGAAATTTGATCAGGCTTTATCGTGAATCCAGGAATGGAGTTCTAGACCACTCTCAGAATTTCAGCACTTAGATATACGTACTCTTCCTTAGCTCTTTAAAATATTTAAAAAAGATAAGCTAACGATTGAATTGCTTGTTTATATATTTACAAGGCTGTCAGTGGTAGTGATAAGATTTAACAAAGAGTCACTGTGTAGCTAAGCATCGAGTGTGGCCTGTACTGAGAATTGTTTTGGCAAAGTTGTAGTTGTGCCTGTTTTCTGAGATCATCAATGTAGTCTTTATGTGGGCTGGCTGAAAGATAACACCTAGTTTTGTTTATGTTTTTGTGTTTTTTTTTTTTTGACTGATAGGTAGATAAGAATTTTTTGTTTTTTGTGTAATTAGCAATAATATTTTAGTGTGATCAGAAGCATTCCAGAGAACCTTACATATTTTCAGCTGATTTCCTTTCTGGTAAGTTGGTGTTGAGGAAAGCATATAAATTATTTTTCATTTTTCATGTTTGAAATTTTTTTCATTTATTTTGACAAATAAGTGCTGCTTCCAGAAAATTTGAATTTGTGTAAAACTGGATTTTTAAATATAGCTGACATTTACCACCTTCTCTTTTTAAAACAACATTAAGCCGTCCACAGTTAAATTTGATAGGCTTTAAAATCCATGGACTTTTCTAGCATTTTCCTGTTTATTGGTTATCAATGTAGTATCATTACAAGAAGCCTAAAATGGCCACTTTATGTTAACTGGAATGCTCAAATGACTAGTGTTTTCATTAGCAATAAATGGAAAGCTGAAAAGTAACAATTTTATTCTTTGTAATAGATCTGTGACTTTCAAGTCTTTCTTTTTGACATTTTTTTGTAGCCTGGTGGGGAAGCAGGTCCGGCTGTGAGAGGTGTGGACAGTGACCTCTCATTCCAGCTTTTATCATCATCCTGCATTGTTTAACAACAGCACCAACACCATGCTGCTTGCTGAAAATGCAGATTTCATTCTTGGATTAATATTCTGGTACCAGATGTATGAGGCTGGCTCTAAAGAAGCTTTTTCTCTTAAGTACTGTCAAAAATAGAGAAGCTGAAGATTGGAGAGAAGCCATTTATTTTGAACAGTTTATTTTCTGACAGTTTGTGTTTGTAAAGAAACCTGCTCATAATATTTACTTAAGAGATCTACATAGTTGCCTGAGGAAGCCCCACAGGTTTCTTTTTTTCCTTTAAAAAAAGTTTCCATTGAGCTTAACTCTTACGTGATACTTCTTGACTTTGCTTCTGATTAGTTGATTTATGGACTTTATTTACTAGCATGATTGGAGAATTCTTTTGCTAGACTGAAATTGCACTCTGCCTGTGCTCTGGTCCGTTTCCTAGGTAACAAATGCACTGCATAGATTCCATAATGAGGACTGTGGTTGGCTAGTTACTGTGTAAATTCTGTTGTTTGGTAAAGCTTAGTCTCAAATTCAAATAAAGGTCAAGAAACGAAAAGTACTGAAAATGCAAATTTTTGAATTTTATTTTGTATCCAATGCCAACAAAGTTTAATAGGCTTTTCTGGAGAAAGGCAAATTATGCAGCCGTATTCAAGTTTGTTTTGCAAAGTCTTACACTTAAACAGTTGGAGAGCTTTTTCACCGTTAGTGTTCATAGTGGTAATGCTAATGGCTCTAGTGACAAAGAAGATGTATTTCAGAAACATGTTATTACACTTGAAAATAATATGGAAAGCAAAGAATCTTGGTCTAGGACAACAGTGATATTCTTATACTGAAAGGAAGTAACATTATGTATCAAAAGAAATTATACAACTTTGATGTGAGATATAACATTATGTTTTTTAGAGACACAGTCGCACTCTGTCACCCACGCTGGAATACAGTGGTGCAACCATAGCTTACTGCCTCTTCAAACTCCTGGGCCCAAAGGATCACATCTCAACCTCCCAAGTAGCTGGGACTACAGGCACGTGCCATCACACTTAGCTAATTTTTCTTATTTTTTGTAGCGATGGGGTCTTGCGGTGTTGCCCAGGCTGGTCTTGAACTCCTGGACTCAAATGATCTTCCTGCCTTGGCCTCCCAAAGTGCTAGGATTATAGGTGTGAACCACCACGTCCAGCCATAACTTTAAAAAAGTTTAAGAAGACGTTAAAACGTTGAAGCAATATTTAAAAACATTAAAAATCTTACCATAAAATGCTGAATTTCTACTCTAGCTTTTTTTCTTCTCTGCATGAACTTTGGCCAACCTAGCACCAGGGAGTAGCTCCCCCCTTGGTTGCTGCAAGTTAGAGAATAGCTTTCTCCTTCACCTTACTCTCCTCTGGAAATCTATGGCCTCTTTAGCTCCAGAGATAGGACAAAAAGTAATATGTATGGAATGGCTAGTAATTATTAGCTGGTTTTTTTTTTTGTTTTTTTTGTTTTTTTTTTCCTTAAGAAACCTGCAAAGAACCAAAATTCCATTAAAACCTACTGGAAATATATTTTCACTTGATGCCTGAAAATGTTTTTTGTTTGTTAATCATCAAGGATTTCATTAGCTGAACTTAACATACACATAACTCTTTTTAATTCTAAATAATTATCCAAAGTTGCTTCCATTGCTTTCCCTTGCTTCTCTGGATTGTTTTTAGATGATTCATTTACTCTTTGGTTAACTTTCATTTCATGCATAGGATACTTCTTGGTTGGCTTCTCTTTTTATTCTTGGTTTTCTTCAAAACTGATACTGCTTTAACCTTTTCTGTCCTTTTTTAATTGCAAATATTCTGTCCCTTCAGTTTTTTCTTATATTTTCCTCTGGAAATACTTATTATTTTAAAAATATTTTCCTTGCATGATTTAAGGCATAATCACCATATATCAAAAGCTCTATCCTTTTTTCTGTTATAGGACTTCATATTTCTGGGACGGAGTTGACAATATGTGTGAATTCTTAACCAGCTAGGACTACTTCCTCTTCTCAGCTTGTATTAATTTGTTAGGGCTGCCATAACAAAGAATCACAGATTGGTTGTCTTAAACAACAAAAATTTATTTTCTGACAATTCTGGAGGCTAGAAGTATAAGCTCAAAGTGTTGGCAGGGTTAGGTTCTTCTAAGGCCCCTCTCTTGGCTGATGGATGGCTGTCTTCCTAAGGTGGCTTCACTTGGTCTTCCCTCTGTGTATGTGTGTGTCCTAATTTCCTCTTAAGAACATCACTTACATTGGATTAGGGCACACACATATGACTTCATTTTACCTTAATTACCTCTATTCCAGGCCTTACTTCCCCTATAAGTCACATTCTGAGGTACCAGGGTTTAGGATGTGAACAGATGAATTTGAGAGGAATACAGTTCAGCCTATAACACAGTCCATCCCTCTACCTACTGCCTTTCATGCATGTATACCTACCTACCTACATATGTACATACATACCTCACTCCACATGTGGGATTTTGTTGGCAATTTTTCACTTGAATCCCAGGCCCCAATACATAGCAATATGATCAACTCTATATATAGTCATTAAAAATAAAGTAGCTAAAGGCTTTTTGTTTTTCACTCTTCATATTCATTGTTTTTAAATGCTTTATTTTTAATGACTTAAAGTACAAAATCCTTTTTTTGTTTGTTTGAGACAGGATCTTTTTCTGTTGCCCAGGATGGAGCGCACTAACGTGATCACAGCTCACTGCAGCCTCGACCTCCTGAGCTCAAGCAGTCCTCTCACCTCAGCCTTCTGAGTAGCTGGGATCACAGGTGCACACCCAGAGCCCAGCTCACTTTTTTTTTTTTTTTTTTTTGTAGAGATGAGGCCTGTGTGTCCCAGATTGGTCTTGAACTCCTGGGCTCATGATATCCTCCTATCTGGGCCTCCCAAAGTGCTGGGATTACAGGCCTGAGCCACTGTGCCTGGCCAAAATTCTTAATAGTTGTTTTGGAATACTGGAGAATATTATTGTGGCCAAATTCAGTGGAAGTGCTAATGCTGTTATTTTCTTCTGAGTTCTGAGGACTTGTTTCTTTTAGTGCTTTTTTTTTTTCAGCTATTGGTCTTGCTGCTCTCATGGTAAGTTATGCACTATTTGTTCTTTTCACGCATGTCTGATGATTCCTGAATCTAATATCTAGTCGGGGCTTTTCTCCTGAAATCCACATCTTTGTGTCCTACTACGACTGGATATATTCACTTAATTTTCCACAAGCATTTCACATTCAACATGCCCCAGACTTATTGTCCTCTTCACATCTGTGTCTTTTCTTTTATTCCTTAGCTCAGTGAGTTGGTACCACCTTCCATCCATTTTCCCAGTCCAGAAATTTAGGAGTTATCTCTGATTCCTTCTTTATTCTTAATCCCATTTTCCATACATAATCAAGCCCCTGGGTCAGTCAGTTCTTGCTGCCCAAGATTTCTCAATTCTGTCTGTTTGCCATATGTGAATCATATGCTACTGTGTTACCTTTGCATTAGTCTTAGTTTTTCATTTAAATATATTCAGTGTGCAACAGAAGTCCTTACGGTAAAGCTTCTGTAATCATCTAGTAGTCTGAAGTTCATTGAATTCTTGTAGTGGCTCATGTGAAATGTATCCCTTGCTTTTCATATTTAACACTGTTTATCTGTGGCTTTTATAGTTCAAGGTCACTTTGACTGAATAAAAATACTTGACTCACATTTTTTTTCCCCTCAACTATCTTTAAAAATGTTACTCTCTTGCAGGAGTTGGCAAACTTTTTCTGTAAAAGACTGAATAATAATTATCTTAGGTTTTATGGATCACTGGTTTCCCTCACAATTACTTAACTGTGCCATTGCATTGCAAAAGCAGCTATAGATAGTGTGTAAATGAACTAGCCTGACTGTTCCAATAAAACTTAATTTACAGAACCAGGCAGTGGGCTGGATTTGGTCCATAGGCCTTAGTTTGCTGAGTCATATTCTATTCTGGTAAAATGTGTTGTTGTCAAACTGTAATACCAATATGATTTTCTTTCTTTAATTTTATCTTTTTGCCTAGATACCCAAGGGCTTTTTCTTCATATTTAAAGCCAATAATTTTACTAGAATGTCTGTTGACCATTCCCTGTTAATTCTCCTAGATACACAGTGTTTTTTATTACATTGGCTCAAGTGTTTTTTCATATTTTCATCAATTATAGTTTTTTAGTAATGTGTTCCATTGTTTTCATTTTCTCTCTTTGGGGCCTCCTATTATATGTATGTTGGATCTTCTTATGTCTATACCTTAGTATTATTTTTTCTTATTTTTTATATTTGCTCTATTTTTATGTTTTTTTCTATTTTATGCTTTAGTGTGTTCAATGTATTTTTCATGGTATCTATCGCTTTTTTTTTTTGACAGTCTCTGTCACCCAGGCTGGAATGCAGTGGCACCATCATGGTTTACAGCAGTGTCAACGTCTCTGGCCTCAGGTGATCCTCCCAGTTTAGCCCCAAGTAGCTGGGACTACAGATGTGCATCACCATGCCCTACTAATTTTTGTGTTTTTTGTAGAGACAGGGTTTCACCATGTCACCCAGGCTGGTCTCAAACTCATGGGCTCAAATGATCCACCTGCCTCAGCCTCCCAAAGTGCTGGGATTACAGGTGTGAGCCACCGTATCTGGTGGTACCTATCTATTAAGTTTAGTGTTCTTTTTAGTTTTCACTTCCTTTCTGAGTTTTTTCTTTCCTGTTCTGTCATGAACTTTGTCATTTCTTATTGTACATCCTCTTGTTATCTGGCAAGATTCATTTTTTAGTTTTTCAATTTCTGATGTATGCTGTTCTTCCATAGCTTCTATCATTTAAAAATTTTTTCCCCTTTTTTCATTTTTTTTTCTTTTTGAGACAGGGCCTTTCTCTGTCATTCAAGGCTCAAGGGATTCACCCACCTCAGCTTCCCAAGTAGCTAGGACTGTGGATGTGTGCCACCACTACCAGCTGAATTTTTTTTTTTTAAAGACAGGTTTCACTTTGTTGCCCAGGCTGGTCTTGAATTCTTGGGCTTGTGATCCTCCTGCCTTGGTCTCCCAAAGTGCTGAGATTACAGGCATGAGGCACTGTGCCTGGCTATTTTCTTAATTCCTCTTATTCCTTTTGAAATATGTTACAGTTCTCATCTTTTTTTCTTACTGTGCTTTTTAATTGTTCTCTCTTGGTCATATTTAAATTAGATGGACTTACCTGTACTTTTGGAGAAGGTTTCTGTGATGGAGATGGAAATTGATAAATACAGTTTTCCTGGTTTTATAGTTTGAAGATTTCCTCCTTTGTTGCTTATCTGAAGTATTTTAAAAATATGGCCACTCAATTAAAATAAAAATGAGGTACCATTGTACACTCACTAGAATGGCTAAATGAGAAAGATGAAAAATACCAAGTATGAGGATGTAGGATAGCTGAAATTCTCCTGCACTGCTATTCAAAGTGTAAATTGGAATGGAAATGTAAAGTGGTACAGCAATTTGGAAAGCTGTATGGCCATATCTACTAAAACTGGACATATGCTGCAAATCCTGTGACTCATTAGTTCTACTGTAAGATCCATACTCACCCAAATATATGGACTAGAATGCTCATAGCACATTTGTCATTGCTCCAAACTGAAATCTGTTGAAATGGCCATCAGTCATTGTTGTTCCCTTCCGCAGTGAGTCTGACTTTGGCTTTGTAACTTGCTCTGGCTAGTTGGACATTAGCAAGCATTATGCAACAGAAGCTTGATAAGCGCTTACATACTCTGGGGAATAATGCCCTGAGACCACTATATAAGGACGTCCTGGAGTAGGAGAGGTTACTTGGAAGAGAATCGTGGTGCCCAGCCAATGACCAGTACTTACTGACAAACTTGAGTGAGGCCATCTTTGACCTTATAGTTTAGCTGACCTTCCTTCCAGCTAAAAGTAGCCATGTGAACAAGTCCAGGTAAAGCCAGAGGAGGAACTACCCAGAAAACATAGAATTGTGAGAAATAAGAAATTGTTGTTTTAAGCCACTAAATTTTTAGGTGATTTGTTATACAGCAATATTAAACTGACTCAGATTGAATAAATACATCATGGTATATTTACACAATGGAATACTGTAGATCGATGAGAATGATAAACAGTCTACAGCTGCATGCAGTAGTATGTATGAATCTCACAGACATATGTTGAGCTAAAGAAGCCAGACAGAGCAGAGTTTATACTGTATGCCTGCATGTATAGAAAGTCCTCAAACAGGCAGAATCATTCTGTTCTGTTAGAAGCCAGAATAGGGGCTACCCTTGGGAGAGTATTGATGAGAATAGAGAAAGTAGAGGCTTCTGGGCTGCTGGAAAGTTTCTGTTTCTTGAACTGGTTGCTGGTTACATAAGTGGGTTCTGTTTGTGAAATTGTGAAATATCAGCAAGTTCACTTATTGCTGCCTTTTTCCGAGTGTATGTTTCAACATAAAGGAAAAAATGTGGCTTCTTGATGTGACCTCCTCTCTGATGTTCTCTGAGATTAACCTCCTCTGGGTATCTCTTTCCTTTATTCCCACTCCTGCCTCTTTGTTTGATTTGGATTCTAGTCCACGGTGTTCTTCCTAAAGCCTCTTAGGTTCTTGTGGTCTCGCGTTCTCCCCCAGAAGCTCAGAAACTTTACTGGTTGTTCTTAGATACAATTTCACTTAAAAAAGATCCTCTCTTTTTGATGGTAATTTCTTCTTTCCCAGCTCTTAGAATCACCAGAACTCTCTTTTTTCTCCCTTCATCTGACCAGTTGCTTATTCTGTGTAGGTTCTGTTTTTTGGGCATTTTAGCCCTGCCTACTTATCTGTTGTCCATAGGACTGTCCTATCACCTGATATTGTTGAATATTTTGTCTTTTGTTATTGTCCACCTATTTTGTTATCCTCCCATCTCTGGGTGTTTTTATTTTTCCTGTGCAGATAATTGTAGATTCACTTACAGTTGTAAGATATAATACAGAGAGGTTCTTTGCATGCTTTGCTCAGCTTTCCCCAGTGGTAACATATTGCAAAATTATATTTATAATATTACAACCAGGATATTGACTATTTATGGGCTGAGTAGTGTCCCTGCAAATTCATATGTTGAAGCCCCAACCCTCCAGTACCTTAATGTAACTGTATTTAGAAGCTAGGGCATTTAAAAAGGTGATTAAGTTAGGATAAGATTGTTGGAGTGGGCCCTAATATAATCCAGTCTGGTGTCCTTATAAGAGGAAATGTGGACACAAAAAGAGACATTAGGGACATGCACATAGGGGAAAAAACTCTGTGAAGGAAACAGCAAGGAGGAGGCCATCTGCAAGCCAAGGAGAGAGGCTTCGAAAGAAACCAAGCCTGCCAACACTTTGATCTTAGAATTCTAGCCTCCAGAATTGTCAGAAAATAAACTTCTGTTGTTTCAGGCACCCAGTCTGTAGTATTTTATTATGGCAGCCCTAGCAAATGAATCCACTGACATTGATAAAATCCACCACTCTTATTCAGATTTCCAGTTTCAGTGGTACTCACTTGTGTATGTGCTAGGTTCAATACAGTTTTTTTTTTAATTCTCCAATTTAAAACTTAATTAAAAAGTAAACTTTAATGTTGAAAATGCAAACTTGGGGAGGTTCAATACAGTTTTATCACCTTTTTAGGTTTCTGTTTCTACCAGCCTCTCCACTGCTCCCCCAACCATTTCTAACATATTTGTATGATTAGATTTGAGGAGAGTCCAAAACTCAGCATCTATTGTCTTGCTTGCTTAGGAGTCCTTTATTTATTTTTAAGTAGTTTTTTTGTTGTTGTTGTTATGTTAGAAGACTTATTTTCCCTATTGATCAAAGGGGACAAATACCTCATTAGGCAAGAAAGAGTAAGATATGCAATAATCTGATTAGTAATAGCTTTTCCAGTGTATCTGATTTATAGTGATAAGCCAACATATATTTGTTGCAGGGAGTTTAATTCTTCTCTAAGTGACTAAGGTTGTTAACATTTTCATGACAGTTCTGGCACAGTTATTGACTTTGTTTATCTGACATCTTCTGAAAACAAGGAGTTCTACATTAGTGAATTTACCATATAACTAAAGTTTATCTCCTGGAGAAAACTTAAGATTAAAATCATTTTTAGTGAAGATGTTCTTTAAACATAGCTTAAGGAAAGGTGGCGGTTCAGTTGTTTTTAGAAACCTACCAAAGGAATCCTTTTCTAGCATCTGGATGAACCCAAGCAGATATGGAGAAATTTTCAAGATTTTTCTTTTCCCTCCCTGGAAAATTTGCTTAAGTTTTTCAGCTCTGAAGTTTTACAATAAATTTAGACCAGTTTACTACAGCCAATTCAAGGAAGGATCAATCAACCCAACTTAAAATCCATAAAATTCACGGCTTTACCAAAATCTTGTTTAAACAGCCTTTGAAGATTCTTTTAAAGTTTTTTTATGTTGATATAACTTCCATAAAATGCATAATCTTATGTGTAGAGTGGAGTGATTTTTCCCCCTTTTATTTTTAGTTGAGATGGAATGATTCTACGTGTTTTTGGGATACAGAGTAATATTTCAATATGTGTATACAACGTATAATGATCAAATCAGGGTAATTAGGACACCCATCCTTGTGTTGGGAACATTCAAAATCCTCTCTTCTGGCCTTTTGAAAATATGCAATAAATAATAGTTAACCATATTCATCCTACAGTACTGCAGAATACCAGAGCTCATTCCTATCTAGCTGTAATTTTGTATCTGTTGACTAACCTCTATCCATCCCTCTCCCTTTACTCTTCCCAGCCTCTAACACACACAGTTCTACTCTCTACTTCCATGAGCTCAAAAATTTATCTCCTACATATGAGTGAGAACATGTGGCATTTATTTTTCTGTGCCTGACTTATTTTGCTTAGCATGATGTCCTCCAGGCTTATCCATGTTGTGGCAAATGGTGGGATTTCTTTCCTTTTTATGGATAAATAGTATTCCATTGTGTATATACACCACATTTTCTTTATCCATGCATCGGTTGATGGACATTTGGTTTGATTACATGTCTTGGCTATTGTGAAAGTACTACAATAAACATGGTGGTGGAGATAATCTCTTTGATACACTGATTTCTTTGATACACTGGTTTTCTTTTCTTTGGATAAATACTCAGCAGTGGGATTGCTGGATTAGTATTGTAGTTCTGTTTTTAGTTTTTTGAGAATCTTCTATATGGTTTTCTATAATAAATAGCCTTTGAAGATTTCCATGAAATTTTAGCTGAAGGTGCTCCCATTCTACCTTCACAGCATTTTAAGGAATGTTCTGCTTTAAAAGTTGTGGGTCATATGATAATGTAGTCTTAGAAATATTTTCCTTTTGAATTTTGTTAATGAGTATGAATATATTCATTGAAAAGCATATATTCATAATATTCTGCCTATGATAATATTTTGCTTATGAGTATATTTGGAATATGAATATCTTCTTGATATGTATATAGTTTTACATTGTTTTTTGGCCAACTGCTTTCTGGTAGATAAAAGTCTTAACACAAACTATATTTCCTATCTACATTTTTTTCTTTTTTTTTTTTTTTTTTGAGACAGAGTTTCGCTCTGTCATCCAGGCTAGAGTGCAGTGGTGTGATCTCAGCTTACTGCAAGCTCCGCCTCCCAGGTTCGTGCCATTCTCCTGCCTCAGCCTCCCGAGTAGCTGGGACTACAGGCGCCCACCACCACGCCCGGCTAATTTTTTGTATATTTAGTAGAGATGGGGTTTCACCGTGTTAGCCAGGATGGTCTCTATCTCCTGACCTCGTGATCCACCCACCTCGGCCTCCCAAAATGTTGGGATTACAGGCGTGAGCCACTGCGCCCGGCCTCCTATCTACATTTTTCTAATGATATGTTTATATACTGGGTTAAGGTATAAAATCTGCACTTTCCATTAATGAAGTGATTGCCTCAGAAGTTTAGGGGTTTTCCTATTAAAATTATTATTATTATTATTTTTGAGACAGTGTCTCGCTCTGTCGCCGAGCCTGGAGTGCAGTGGTGCGAACTCAGCTCACTGCAACCTTCACCTCCTGGTTCCAGCGATTCTTGTGCCTCAGCCTCCCGAGTAGCTGGGATTACAGGTGTGTGCCACCATGCCCAGCTAATTTTTGAATTTTTAGTAGAGATGGGGTTTCGCCATGTTGGCCAGGCTGGTCTCGAACTCCTGACTTCAAGTGATCTGCCCGCCTTGGCCTCCCAAAGTGCTGGGATTACAGGCAAAACACCACGCCTGGCTTTACAAATTAGTTTTGGTGTCAAAATTTATCCTATTGATTAACCTTAATATCATTAATTTTTTTTTTTTTTTTTAGAGATAAGGTGTCACTATGTTGCCCAGGCTGGTCTCGAACACCTGGGCTTGAGCAATCCTCCTGCCTTGGCCTCCCAAAGTGCTGGGATTATAGGCATGAGCCACCGTGGTCAGCCTAGTATCATTTTTATTTGATGCTTTCCTGTTAATCATCAAATAGATATTTTATAGTTACTTTATTTAGTCATCTAAGAACATACTGTTGGCCTGAGAAATAAACAAGTCCTTGCACATTACATAATAAACAATATTCTTATTGAATATAAAAGAATGTAGTTCTGTATAATATTTTTGAGAAAAACGACGCACTGATAAAAAGGTTAGTTGGTTTGGCCATGTGAAAGTTTAAACTTGGTTGGGTTCGGTGGTTCATACCTGTAATCCCAGTATTTTGGAAGGCTGAGGCAGGAGGATTGCTTGATCCCAGGAATTTCAAGATCAGCCTGGGCCACATAGGGAGACCCCCATCGCTACAAAAAAAAAAAAAATTAGCCCGGCATGGTTGCATGCACCTGTGGTCCTGGCTACTTGGGAGGCTGAGGTGGGAGGCTGAAGTGGGAGGATCTCTTGAGCCTAGGAGGGTTGAGGCTGCAGTGAACTGTGATCATTCCACTGTACTCCAGTCTGGGTGACAGTGCCAAACCTTGTCTCCAAAACAAACAAACTCAAAAAACTTTTTTTTTTCAACAAAATAATGAGATTAAAAAGGAAGGAGCACACTTTGGGAGGCTGAGGTGAGAGGATTGTTTGAGATCAAGAGTTTGAGACCAGCCTGGGCAACAAAGCAAGACCCTTGTCTTTACAAAAAAAAAAGAGAAAATTAATCAGGCATGATGGCTCATGCCTGTAGTCCCAGCTGCTTGGGAGACTGAAATGGAAGGATCACTTGAGCCCAGGAGTTCAAGGCCATGGTGAGCTATAATGGCGCCGCTGCATTCTAGACTCGGCAACAAAGCGAGATCCTGTCTCTTGAAAAAAAACAAAATGAAACCAAGTTGAGAAGTGAGAACGCTGCCAAGAGGGCAGCCAACCAGGGCTGCAATGGAGAATAACAAGGAAGGCCTCTTTCAATCAAGTCTTCAATTGGTCTTAGAAGAAAATCTTCCCTTTCAGATTTAAAAAATAAAGAGGAGCCAACACCTTGCAGAGCTGGTAGCCAAGCATTTCGGGCAGAGAAAACTGTGGCGTAGAGAGACGGGAAGGGCATGAGGTCACACAGCAGACTGCACAGAAGAGCCAAGATTCGAAACCCTAATGCTAGACCCCAGCTCCCATCTATGACTTCTAATAACTGTTCATTAGTGGGTCCAGCATGGGGGCTCACATGGAGCAGACCCTACTAAAAATCACTCTTTCTTGAAAAAACAAAAAGAAAATACTTGCAGCAATATGATAGACAAAGAGTTGATGTCTTTGTGACATTGTATTGTTTTGTTTTCACAATTTACAAAAAAATAATAAAACCCTAATAAATAATAGATAAAACGTAGAGCAATTTATAGAAGAGAAATGTTCAGCCTCCATGATAATCACACACAAAATACTATGGCAATCCAGAAGCTTTTTTTAAATACTATCAAATTAGCAAAAGTATGAAGTGAAATAATACCCATTTCTGGTGAGTAGAAAGGAGGAGGGGAGGAAGTTATTCTCATATGTATTGCTGATGGGAATATGACATCTTTGTTTTCTTATAAAACTTTGAAGTATAGTATACTTACAAAAGATGAACATATCAATATGTATAGTTGATTAACTGTTACAAATTGAATACATGTGACTAGTACTCAGATAATAAACAAGACATTATTTATTCCTTGTGCTTCTCCCAGTATATCTAACACAATTCTTCTGAAACAAAATAAATATCCTGACAGATTGCTGAGTCATGGCTCATGCCATGCTTTAATGCTGAGCTTTAATGTTTTTAAACATTAAATGTGTTTAAAACTCATAAATGCTGAGTTTAATGTGTTTAAAGTCATGCTGAGCTTTAATGTGTTCTCCAAAGTAATTGTATCAGTTTATACTTGCACTGGCACCAGCCCTGTGTAAATGTTCCAGTTGCCCTGCTTTCCATGATTATCACTTTGAAAAGCAATGTGTCAATATATTAAGAGCCATAAATATATTTATACCAATTTATCTAGTAATTCTAATTGAAAAGATAGAGATACATGCACAAAAACATTCAATGAAGCAGTCTAAATTTTGTCTGGTGCAACCCCACACCGTTTGTTGTCTGTGGTTGCTTTTGTGCTGCATTGGCAGAATTGAGTAGTTACGATAGAGATCTTGCAAAGCAGAAAATATTTACTATCTGACTTACTCCAGGAAAAGTTTGCTGACCCCTGCATTAGAGCATTATTTAGAATACTAAAAGATTGGCAGTGACCGATATGTCCATCAGTAGGGGAATTATTGGCTAAATCCTTGATAAAACTGGATCTAGCCATTTACAATGATGATTATAGAGACTGTTTAACCAACAAATATCTAATGGGTATTCACCATGTGTTAGGTACTTTTCTAGATGCTAGGAAATCAGTAAAAACAAAGTACTTGCCCTCATAGAGCTTAAATTTTAGTAGTGGAGGTAGAGAAGAAACAAAATAAATAAGTAAAATAACATGTAAGGGATAAGTGCTAAGAAGGAAGAAAAAAAGCAGGAAAGGGGGATATGAAATATTTCAGGGTAAGGTCTTGACATTTTAGATTAGGGTTGCCAAGGAATATCTCACAGAGAAAGTGACTTTTGAGTAAGCACTTAAAATGAATGAGAGGGCTTGACATTCAGGTATCTGGAGGAAGAGCATTTGAGGCAAAGGGAACGGCAAGCACAAAGGGTCAGTTGGAAATGTGCCCTGATATGTTCTAGGAACAAGAATTTCAAGAGCTGGCTGGTCGCGGTGGCTCACTCCTTTAATCCCAGCACTTTGGCAGGCCGGGGTGGGAGGACTGCTTAAGCCCATAAGTTTGAGACCAGCTGGGAAACAATACTCCTTCTCTACAAAAAATAAAAAAAATTAGCCAAGTGTGGTCGTGCATACCTGTAGTCCCAGCTACTAGGGAGGCTGAGGCTGCAATGAGCTGTGTTCATACCACTGTACTCCAGCCTGGGCAACAGAGCGAGACCCTGTCTCAAAAAAAAAAAAAAAAAAAAGGTCAAGGGCTCCGCTAGAGTGAAGGAGGGGAGAGCTGCAAGGAAAAAGAGTTGCAAGAGTTTGGACAGATAATGCTGGTGGTAGTGGGTAGGGTAGATCATGTAGAACCTTCTGGCAAAATGAAAAATCCCTATTAAAAATTGTTCAAGTAGGAAATAGAATGATTTTTCTCCCTTCCATTTTCCCTCCTTCCCTGATCATGACTGTCATGCAAAGCTATGCATAAGGAAAAGATTGGAAGGAAATACCCTAAAATGCTAACAGTGTTAATGTGCTGGGGTTATAAATTATATATATATATATATATATTTGCCATGCTTTCTATAATTTGGCTATATTTTATAATAAGCATAATTAAAAACGAAGTATTTTGCATATTTCTGTCTTTTAATACCTTAGAAATCAAGTACTTTAGATCTTTCTCAAGTTGATTGTAACCTGGCTTTATTGATGGTGGGCAACAGTGTCTTAAATCATCTAAGGAGTTGTTGGTTTTTTAATTATGTATTAATCTTTCAGGGTTTGAACCAGAAGGAACTGTAGAGATTATCTTTTTTTTTTTTTTTGGAGACAGAGTCTCACTCAATCACCCAGGCTGGAGTGCAGTGGTGCGATCTCGGCTCACGGCAACCTCCACCTCCTGGGCTTAAGCAATTCTCATGCCTCAGCCTCCCGAGTAGCTGGAATTACAGGTGCGTGCCACACTACCCCCAGCTAATTTTTGTATTTTGAGTAGAGACGGGATTTCGCCATGTTGGCCAGGCGGGTCTCGAATTCCTGACCTCAAGTGATCCACCGGCCTCGGCCTCCCGAAGTGCTGGAATTGCAGGCGTGAGCCACCATGCCCTGCCAAGATTAACTATTTTTAATCCCCTTATTTTACAGATGGGGAAATGATCTGGAGGAGTGAAGGAACTCTGGCTTCTAGTTCCTTTCATTGTATGTTTCATCCCCATTTAATCTGAGGTTATCCAGCACTGGAGTGATTTTTGTGATTCATAATTTACCTAATCTTATCATAAAGATAAGATTATGACAAGAAAATCTTTGAAAATGATGAAATCTGAGTCTGTTTTGTCCAAATTTTCTCAGTGCCAAAACCACTATAGCAAATATGATGCCAATAATGAAGTTTTTTATGTATGTATGTGTGTCTATATGTATATATGTGTAGATGTATATACATTTTTTATTTATACAAATTTATGAGGTACATGTAAAATTTTGTTAACATGTGTATAATGCGTAGTGATCAAGTCAGGGTATTTAGCATGTCTATTGCTGGAGTACAATACATTTTTGTTGAAGATAGTCACCCTACTCTGCCATCTAACGTTGAATTTATTCCTTCTATCTTACTCTATGTGTACCCTTTAAATCGGTTATCTTCATCCTCCCCTTGGTCCCCTCACTCAACTTTCCCAGTCTCTGTTATCTGTCTTTCCATTCTCTACCTCCATGTGGTCAAGTTTTTTAGCTTCCATGTATAAGAATATGTGATACTTGTTTTTTTGTGCCTGGCTTTATTTCACTTAAGATAATGACTTCCAGTTTCATCCATGTTACTGAAAATGACCTGATTTTATTCTTCCAATAATGAGTTCTTTAGGCTAGCACCCTGGTTAAGACTAGACTTTGGACTCAGACTGCCTGGCTTTGAATCCTGTTTCTGGCCCTTATTAGTACATAACTTCTCAGTGCTTTAGTTTCCGCGTTTATAAAATGAGTATAATACTAAGTATATAGCCCATGGGGTTGTCGTGAGGATTAGGTAAATTCGTGTGAGTAGAGTGCCAGGCACATAGGTTATATTATTACTGAGGCTTAAATATCTAGAAGAGAGTATATTTGAACGCTAGATAGCAAAGAAAATTAAGCTTAACAAATCCTTGAATTGTATGGTGTGAAGTCTATATGTCTCTATTTTGACTTTGCAGGCAATGTAGTAATTTATTAAGAACATTTTAAAACTAATAACTTTAATTAGCATAGTGGTTTCAAATTGTATGTTGTTGTAGCACCTCACAGATGGTTATCAAATTTTGTTGAAAAGGATGTTTACTTTCATTTCATTCAGAGAAATACTGTGATTTAGGTAAATGGCCTGAGTGGTCAGGTGATGAAAGGTGGGACAGGATGCCTGATGAAAGGCAAAGCACGGGATCCAGGCAGCTGTAGGAAAGATTGCTTGTTTACTGGAGCAGACAGGAACTTTGCTTTGTGAGTGTATAGGTCAGGGCAATAAAAAGTTCGACTTAAGCTGACAAACAGCAGTGAGGGGGGATCAAACAGAGAACGATGCGTATGTATCCCTTTCCTTTGAAATGTGTCACCAAATTCTAGCATTTGAGTGTCCCTTAGTATCAAAGAGACAGAAGACCGCTGAACTCATATAATGGATATAATTAAGAATGAACAAATTGTGTTTCTATAAAGTAATTTTTGAACTATAGGGTAAAGCTTTTGGTAAAATCTGAAGTATGGAGAAAAATGAAATTTATAGAGTACTGTGGCAATTTGTAAAAACAAATGTTAGAGGCCAGGCGCGGTGGCTCACACCTGTAATCCCAGCACTTTGGGAGGCCGAAGCAGGCGGATCACAAGGTCAGGAGATCGAGACCATTCTGGCTAACACGGTGAAACCCCGTCTCTACTAAAAATACAAAAAATTAGCTGGGCGTGTTGGCGGGCGCCTGTAGTCCCAGCTTCTCGGGAGGCTGAGACAGGAGAATGGCATGAACCTGGGAGGCAGAGCTTGCAGTGAGCCGAGATCACGCCACTACACTCTAGCCTGGGTGACAGAGCGAGACTCTGTTTCAAAACAAAACAAAACAAAAAACAAATGTTAGAATGTTTTTTCTTCATGGTAATTAAGGATAATTTTATATGTGTAGTGTGTCCTGATGTGTTACGTGTTTATACATGTTTGTGACTACCTGGGTACTTGGGGGTTGCACAAGGTTCCGTTACTTTTTTTACTGGGAAAAATATGGCCTCTTTTTGCAGTGCTGATATTATTTTCTTTAGTATTAAAATTTCAGAAGTTTTTGCTTGCTCAAGCTACTGCTTTTTTTTTTTTCTTGTAAACACAGCTGGATAAATGCAGATAGAGTCTGCAGTGTTTCTGCCACACTAGCTTTATTAGAAAGTTTTTGCCTTTTTTTGCCGGATCATGGGTTGTGATTTAGGGTTTCTGTGGGCACATTAATTCTGAATAGAACCTGAGATTGTGCTTAACTAGAAGTGTGGTAGTTTTGGTAGTGAGTTCATAACAGGACCCAGGTACTTACATACTCAGTGGTCATTGCTATTGTAGCAATTGTGGTATTTAATTCAACTTGAAGGTCACTTGGAATATTTCTAGGCCATTACATTAGACCTCTGAGAAAAATTTTTTAAGTGCTTCAATATTTATGATTTAGTTAATAGTTAAGCTAAGGACTTTTAGAAGTATTTGTGGGTAGAGGGAAGGAGGCCATACATTTACAGAGACCCTGATAAAGCATGAAATTGTGACACTGAATTTGCCTTTCTTTCCCAACTCCCTGCTGATGCACTAAGCTCTGGTCCAAGGGGTGGCATATGACTCTCAAATAGCCCCTGTATCCTTTGCTAGTCACTCTTTTCAGGGCTTAGGTTGATATATCATATGCATATAAGAATGTTTAGAAAAGATGTGTGGAACTGACTGAGTATTTTAGGTTTTGTTTTTTGTTTTTGTTTCTTTTTAAGAGACAAGTTTTCAGTCTAATCCAGGGTGGAGTGCAGTGGTGTGATCACTGCTCACTGTAACCTTGAACTCCTGGGCTCAAGTTATTCTTTTGCCTTAGTCTCCTGAGTAGCTACCATTATAGGCATGTGCCACTATATCTGGTTAATTTTTTATTTTTTTATAGAGATAGGGCCTCACAATATTGCTCAGGCTGGTTTTGAATTCCTGGCCTCAAGTGATCCTCTTGACTTGGACTCCCAAAGTGCTGGGATTACAGGCCCTGAGCGACTCACTGTGCCTGGCCAGTTTGATTCTTTCGAATGGGAATTTTTGTTTTGTGTGACATCAATCAAACATCTATACCTATAAGATCAAAGTATAACCCTAAAATGCTGTATCTGTTTTTCTTTCTCTCTCTCTCTTTCTTTCTTTCTTTCTTTTTCTTTCTCTTTCTTTCTTTTTTTTGAGAGATGAGGTTTCACTATATTTCCTAGGCTGGTCTTGACTTCCTGGGCTCAAGCAGTCCTCCTGCCTCAGCCTCCCGAAGTGCTGAGATTATAAGTGAGATTCTATCTTTTAGCCTTATGTGGTAATTCTAAATATTTTTGTGGGTTTTTGACCCCTTTGAGAATTGGATAAAATCTTTGGACTCCTTTCTTATTAAATACATATCTATATATACAACCTATAATTTTGTATACATTTTAGGAAATATGTGGACTCTTGGTGGACTATGCAAACAATCTCTGTTTTGTGTATTTACATTTTAGCATATGACTTTCTTTTAAGAATAGAAACCTTAAAGGCTTGAAAAGGATTAGGAGACTGAGCTTCGGAGCTTCCAGGGAAAATTTACTTTTTTGAGAGAGGAGAGATTAACATGCTATTTTTCCATCAGAAATCCATTTAACTTGCTTTTTCAGATAAATACACTACTAGTATGCATCTAGTTAAATCATTCTTCTGCACCGTAGGTTATGAAAAAATAGTGTCTTACTGGTGTATTCACAAAGGCAGTCTAGAAAGGAAAAATTAAAAAGCTTAAATTCTCATTCTATTTCTAAGGGAATAAAGAGGGAGAATTCATTATGTCAAGCATTACAAATAAGCATATATTAAAGCAGCTACATACGATGATGGCACATTGTTGGAACACCCTAAGAAAGATAATTTGCATGGAAGATGATTATTCAATAGGGCTTTAATTTACAAGAAACATTCCACCATTTAATTGAGCCCTTTTGCACACACTGCTTTGCTTCAATAGATTGCATTTGCTCCCTGCATATGTACAATGCCAGAAGGATGGTTAAAATCAGATTCAGCCTAGCTAGGAGGTGAAACAACAGCTGAAAGTCATGTTGTAAAAATATGCATTATTAAACATCTGAGGATTATTTTTGAAATCGGTTTTCTGTTGCCTGGTTTGTACCATAAAGCTGATTGTGTAATTTTTTTTTCTAATAAGATTTTTATAAGATTATTTGGCCCTGCTGACCACTAGTTAAACTATGTGGTTCAATTTAAAATTTTTTCACTTTTATAGGCCATTCACTAATATAGTACTTTTGCAAAATGAGCAAACATAGCCTGCATTTATAGTCATTTCAGAAAGAAAATTATTTGATAAAGAAGATACTAAAACATTTCAACAAATAGCTGACTTGTGATTAAAATGCCTCGAAAGATAACATATGGTAAAAAATTTTAAAAAGAGCAATGTAGATACATTTAATGTTTTTTTTTTTGTCAGTGTTAGAATAGTGTATGGAGAAAGCTTATCACAGAGAAGTTCTATCCTTGAGACATTTAAAATAAGCATCGTTGTAAGAAGGCAAGCCAGGCCCATTCTTTTTTTTTTTTTTTTTTTTGAGACGGAGTCTTGCTGTGTCGCCTAGGCTGTAGTGTGCAATGGCACGATCTTGGCTCACTGCATCCTCCCCCAGGTTCAAGCGATTCTCCTGCCCCAGCCTCCCAAGTAGCTGGGATTACAGGTGTGTGCCACCATGCCCGGCTAATTTTTGTATTTTTAATAGAGGTGGGGTTTCACCATGTTGGTCAGGCTCATCTCGAACTCCTGACCTCAGGTGATCCACCCTCCTCGGCCTCCCGCCAGGCCCATTCTTAATGGGGGAAACACTGAAGGTGTCCAAATGAGGAAACACTGAAGGCCTGCAGGTTAAGTCAGGAGCAAGATGAGGACATTCATTATCACCATTGTTTGGGAGGTGCAAGTCAGTGTAGTAAGTAAGGTAAGGCAAAAAGGATTATGGATGTTGAAAAGGAAGCCATACATTTATCACCATTTCCAGGAATAGTGATACAGTAGAGGAAAAGAACATTCCTGAGAATAAGATGAAAGTTTGAAGTGGAAGAAAGAGAGGTTGAAACATTTTCTGTTTGGTGCCCTCTGTGTTTTTGGTGAATGAAGGCTTTTTGCTGAAAGTGGAGGGGATGAGGGTGAAATTGGGCAACTAAGAAGAATAGGAAGAAAAGTTATGGAGAAGCCACTGTGATGAAAAATTATGTGGAATAGCTCCAAGAGCTCGAGGGTGAATTAACATGAAGACACTGGGGAGTCAGTCAACAGAGGTGGTTTGTGTGTGTCAGGTGGCATCTGGATTCTCTGAGCATAAGTGGTTCATTACCTTTGTGGGCAGCTTAATAACCATCTGAGTGCTAAAGGAAGTGGTGCAGCCCCTTCCACACAAATTTGCTCCTAAGATCTTTGCACAAGATCCTGGAGTTGGAGACCTTGTAAGATCAGTTATAAGTAAGGTAAGGGAGAAAGGAAAGGTGAAACTGTTTGGGAGAAGCTGGTGTGGTATTTTTATAGTGGGCAGATCTGTCAGTGGGACGTCTCTGATTGTGTGCAAAAAGGCCTGGATGGTAATTCCTACTTCCTAGGGTGGTTGTGAAGATTAAGTGAATCAGATGTCATAGTGAGCATGAACTGCTTCCCCACAGCACCCTGCATATAGTCAACTCTCAGTAGATACCTGCTTGAAAAGCGAAAGCAAAAATCTCTGGGAGCCCAATTCTTCCAGATATTTAAGCAGTCTTGATTCCCACACATCCTCTCAATCTTCAGCATGTTTAAAATTTCTCTTTACACTGATCCTGGCACCTGTGCTTTCAGATCTGCCTTTGCATCTTAAGAAATCTCTGCTTGAGCCTGCCACTCCTGGTCCCTGTTTCCCTCTTTTCTTTTACGGGTTTCTCAGATAAATGGGTTACATATACTGTCTCTTCTGTTTTCATTAAATCGCTTTAATTCCAAAGAATTCTGCTGCTTATACCTCTCTTCTACTCAAATTCTCCATGTAGCTAAACATAGAAAATGGACACATAAACAACAAAATGTACTGTCAGGTGATAATAAATGCCATGGAGAAAAGCAGTTCGGTGTAGGGGGCATAGGGAGTGCCAGGCATGTGTAGGGGAGGTTTGCTAATTTTTGTACAGTAGTCTCAGAGAGCTTTTCTAATAAGGAGACACTTATGCAGATCTAAAGGTTGTGAAGAAGCAAATTGTGTAACTATATGGGGAGAACAGCATTCCAGGCAGCCAGTATAAAATCCCTGAGGTGGGGACAATGTTGGTGCATTTGCAAAAAAGCAAGGAAGATTTTTACAGATAGAACAGAGTGATCAAGCAGGGGATGGTGTGTCAAGAGAGGTAGGCAGGTAGAGGTAGATGTGGCACTGAGAGCATGTGGAAATTATCTGCTGCTTGCTTCTGTTTCCTCAGCAAGAGGGAGGATGGGGCAAAAGGAATTGGAGATTTGAAGAGATGTTCAGTTAGGAAAGTGGGAGAGTAAATATGGATTTGAGCAAAGTGTGATCCTTGGACCAGCAGCACCAGTATCATCTGAGAATGTGTTAGAAATGCACATTCTTGGGATCCATCCCAGACAGACATACTGAATCAGAAACTCTGGGGGTGAGGGCGGACAGTCTGTATTTTAACAAGCTATTCTGATGTACAGAAAAGTTTGAGAGTCACTGGATTAGGGAGATGAGTATAATGCACTAAGGATCCATCCGAGCTTAGTGGTCTTAAATTTGATGTGAAAGCAGTCAGTAGATTGTGTTGAAGCAAAAAAGGGTTGAGAGAAGTGAATGTGTACAAAGGATTATTTTAAATGATATACCATAAAATCTAAGCTACATAAAGAAGTGAGGAGAGGGCATCAAAATTTGTGGGATATAGCTAAAGTAGTACTTTGGGGAAAACTATAGCAAATAAACTCAATGACCTCAGGTTTTACCTTATGAAATTAGAATACTAAACAAACAGCAAATGACACCAAAGAAAGTAGAAGAAATATCAGAGCATAAATCAGTGAAATAGAATAGAAAATAAATAAAACCAAAAGCTGGTTCTTTGAGAAGCTTAATTAAAAAAATTTTAAAAATAGAAATATCTAGCCAGACTGATCGAAAATTAGGAGGAGATATACAGATTACCAATATTAGGACTGAGAGAGGTAATATCAATGTGAATTCTACAGATATTAAAAGGATAATAAGAGACTTATGGTCAACCTTATGCAGGTAAATTTGACAACTTATATAAAATGGATAAATTTAATGAACAGCACAAACCACCTAATCTCACTCAGGAAGAAATAGAAACCTGAGCAGTCCTGTATCTGTTATAGAAATTGAATTTGTAGTTGAAAACCTTCCCACAAAGGAAACTGCAGACACAGATGGCTTTGCTATGGAATTCTACCAGACATTTAGGGAAGACATAGTATTAATTATATTCTAACTCTTCTAGGAAATTAAAGAGGAGAGAATACTTCCCTTCTGATTCTATAGTATAGGCACCATAACCAGGCAAGCATATTACAAGTAAAAGTACAGACCAATATTTCTCATAAACATGGCTCTAAAAATACCTGACAAAATTTTAGCGAATGATCCAGCAATTCATAAGAAGAAAAACACATCATAACCAAGTAGGTTTATGGAATGCAAGCTTAACATTCAAAACTCAGGAAAACAGTTTATTATATTAACAGGCTAAAAAAGAAAACCATATGATCATTTGATTGCTGTAAATGAAAAAAAAATTTGAAAAAATCAAACATTTATTCCTGATTAAAAAAAAAACTCTTAGCAAACTGTGGAATAAAAGAGATCTTTTCAACCTGATAAAGGCATGTGTGAAACACCTACAGCTAACTTCATGTTTAATAATTTAAGACTGAATGCTCTCAATTCAGATGACTCTGTCTCATCCATTCGTTCAGGAAATGTCACTGAGCACGTAGCATGTAAGTCAGGCAATAGACTGAACGGGGGAGACATAATAATGGCCGGGCAAGATAAGGTCCTTGGCTACCTGGAGCTTAGAGTCTAGCAGGGGAGACAAGTTACTGGCAAATTCTACCAGAGTGATGAGTGCAATGACAGGAAAGCACGGGGGACTTGAGGTGCAGAGGAAGACACCAGAGCAGTCAGGGATAGGTGTTTTTTTTGTTTTGATTTGTTTTTTTGAGACAGAGCCTCACTCCGTCATCCAGGCTGGATTGCAGTGGCACGATCTTGGCTCACTGCAACTTCTGCCTTCCAGATTCAAGTGATTCTCCTGCCTCAGCCTCCTGAGTAGCTGGGATTACAGGCGCCCGCCACCATGCCCAGCTAATTTTTTTTTTTTTTTTTTGAGATGGAGTCTTGCTCTGTCACCCAGGCTGGAGTGCAGTGGCGCGATCTCGGCTCACTGCAACCTCTGCCTCCTGGGTTTAAGCGATTCTCCTGCTTCAGCCTCCAGAGTAGCTGGGATTACAGGCACACGCCACCATGCCCAGCTAATTTTTGTATTTTTAGTAGAGACGGGGTTTCACCATGTTGGCCAGGCTGGTCTGGAACTCCTGACCTCAGGTGATCCACCCACCTCAGCCTCCTAAAGTGCTGGGATTACAGGCGTGAGCCACTGCGCCCGGCCAGGGATAGGTGTCTTGCATTTAGCAAGTGAGACAAGAGTAGGCCAGATTGGGAAGACTTTTCTCAGCAGAGGGAACAGCCATGCAGAGGCTCAGGGGAGAGCGAGCCAAGATGCTGAGGTGCTTTCCCCTGTTGAAAGCCTGGCTTGAAGGGTCGAAGGCGCCGCGGGCTGGGGTCGGTGGCCGCGGCTGGTGGTTGGCGCGGCTGCGCTGCGGCCCGGGGCAGTGCGGAGCCGGGACAGTCGCGGCGCTGACGCCCGCGGGCCCCAGCTGCAGATACGAAGCGGAGCCGCTGCCGCGACCGACCGCAGCCGCCGCCGCCCGACCGCCGGGAGGATGGAGTTCAGCGGGCAGCGGAGCTGTCTCAGTCTTTGCCGCCGCGCCGGCGAGCGCCGCCCGGGAGGCAGCGGCTGGAGGAGCGGACGGGCCCCGCGGGGCCCGAGGGCAAGGAGCAGCCGCCTGCCTTGGCCTCCCAAAGTGCCGAGATTGCAGCCTCTGCCCGGCTGCCACCCCGTCTGGGAAGTGAGGAGTGTCTCTGCCTGGCCGCCCATCGTCTGGGATGTGAGGAGCCCCTCTGCCTGGCTGCCCAGTCTGGAAAGTGAGGAGCGTCTCCGCCCGGCCGCCATCCCATCTAGGAAGTGAGGAGCGCCTCTTCCCAGCCGCGATCACATCTAGGAAGTGAGGAGCGTCTCTGCCCGGCCGCCCATCGTCTGAGATGTGGGGAGCGCCTCTGCCCCGCCGCCCCATCTGGGATGTGAGGAGCGCCTCTGCCCGGCCGAGACCCCGTCTGGGAGGTGAGGAGCGTCTCTGCCCGGCCGCCCCGTCTGAGAAGTGAGGAGACCCTCTGCCTGGCAACCACCCCGTCTGAGAAGTGAGGAGCCCCTCCGCCCGGCAGCTGCCCCGTCTGAGAAGTGAGGAGCCTCTCCGCCCGGCAGCCACCCCATCTGGGAAGTGAGGAGCGTCTCCGCCCGGCAGCCACCCCGTCCGGGAGGGAGGTGGGGGGGGGTCAGCCCCCCGCCCGGCCAGCCGCCCCATCCGGGAGGGAGGTGGGGGGTCGGCCCCCCCGCCCGGCCAGCCGTGCCATCCGGGAGGGAGGTGGGGGGGTCAGCCCCCCGCCTGGCCAGCCGTGCCGTCCGGGAGGGAGGTGGGGGGGTCAGCCCCCCGCCCGGCCAGCCGCCCCGTCCGGGAGGTGAGGGGCGCCTCTGCCCGGCCGCCCCTACTGGGAAGTGAGGAGCCCCTCAGCCCGGCCAGCCACCCCGTCCGGGAGGGAGATGGGGGGGGGTCAGCCCCCCCACCCGGCCAGCCGCCCCGTCCGGGAGGGAGGTAGGGGGGTCAGCCCCCCACCTGGCCAGCCGCCCCGTCCGGGAGGGAGGTGGGGGGGTCAGCTCTCCGCCCGGCCAGCCGCCCCGTCTGGGAGGTGAGGGGCGCCTCTGCCCAGCCGCCCCTACTGGGAAGTGAGGAGCCCCTCTGCCCGGCCAGCCGCCCCATCCGGGAGGGAGGTGGGGGGGTCAGCCCCCCGCCCGGCCAGCCGCCCCGTCCGGGAGGGAGGTGGGGGGGGGTCAGCCCCCCCGCCCAGCCAGCCGCCCTGTCCGGGAGGTGAGGGGCGCCTCTGCCCGGCCGCCCCTACTGGGAAGTGAGGAGCCCCTCTGCCCGGCCAGCCGCCCCGTCCGGGAGGGAGGTGGGGGGGTCGGCCCCCCGCCCGGCCAGCCGCCCCGTCCGGGAGGGAGGTGGGGGGGTCGGCCCCCCGCCCGGCCAGCCGCCCCGTCCGGGAGGGAGGTGGGGGGGGGTCGGCCCCCCCGCCCGGCCAGCCGCCCCTTCCGGGAGGTGAGGGGCGCCTCTGCCCGGCCGCCCCTACTGGGAAGTGAGGAGCCCCTCTGCCCGGCCAGCCGCCCCGTCCGGGAGGAAGGTGGGGGGGTCAGCCCCCCACCCGGCCAGCCGCCCTGTCCGGGAGGGAGGTGGGGGGGTCAGCCCCCCTGCCCGGCCAGCCGCCCCGTCCGGGAGGTGAGGGGCGCCTCTGCCCGGCCGCCCCTACTGGGAAGTGAGGAGCCCCTCTGCCCGGCCACCGCCCCGTCTGGGAGGTGTGCCCAACAGCTCATTGAGAACGGGCCAGGATGACAATGGCGGCTTTGCGGAATAGAAAGGCGGGAAAGGTGGGGAAAAGATTGAGAAATCGGATGGTTGCCGTGTCTGTGTAGAAAGAAATAGACATGGGAGACTTTTCATTTTGTTCTGCACTAAGAAAAATTCCTCTGCCTTGGGATCCTGTTGATCTGTGACCTTACCCCCAACCCTGTGCTCTCTGAAACATGTGCTGTGTCCACTCAGGGTTAAATGGATTAAGGGCGGTGCAAGATGTGCTTTGTTAAACAGATGCTTGAAGGCAGCATGCTCGTTAAGAGTCATCACCAATCCCTAATCTCAAGTAATCAGGGACACAAACACTGCGGAAGGCCGCAGGGTCCTCTGCCTAGGAAAACCAGAGACCTTTGTTCACTTGTTTATCTGCTGACCTTCCCTCCACTATTGTCCCATGACCCTGCCAAATCCCCCTCTGTGAGAAACACCCAAGAATTATCAATAAAAAAATAAATTAAAAAAAAAAAAAAAAAAAGACTGAATGCTTTTCCTTAAGATCAAGAACATTCAGCTTTGTGCTGGAGTTTCTAGACAGTGAAATAAAGGAAGATAAAGGAAAAGAATTCAGACTGAGGGAAAAAAATTCAGGCTAGAAAGGAAGAAGTACAACTGTCTGTCTGTATTCACTGACAAAATGATTGTCTATGTAGCAAATCTTGTGGGATCTGCAGAAGAAATACTAGAAATTCTAGAACTAATTAATCAATTTTGGAAGGTTGCAGGATGAAATTCAATTCATAGAAGTTAATTGTTCTAGCACTTTGAGAGGCCAAGGCAGGAGGATCACTTGAGCCTAGGAGCTGGAGACAAGCCTGGGCAACACAGTGAGACCTCATCTCTTAAAAAAAAAAAAGTCAGTTGTATTTCTATATATTAGCAACAAGCAATTGAACATTGACATTTAAAAATACCATTTGTAATAGCATCAAAAACATTAACTATTTAGCGATAAAGCTAATAAAATACATGTAAGATCTGTACACTAAAAACTGTAAGACATTGCTGATATAAATTTAAAAGGCTTAAATAAGTCGAGATATACTGTTTTTATGGTTCAGAAGATGCAATATTGTTAAGATTGATAGTTTTCCTCAACTTGATCTGTAGTTTCATTGCAATCTCAGTTAATATTTCAGCAAAGTTTTTAGTAGAAATTGACAAACTGATTATAAAGCTCTTATAGAAATGCTAAGGACTTAGAGCAAAACACATTTAAAAGAGAATAAAGTTTTAGGACTTACATTTCCTGGCTTCATGACTTATTATAAAGTCACAGTAATCAAGACAGTGTGCTACTGGTATAAGAATTGTTGTTAAAGAAAAAACCTTAGACAAATTAAATTTAACAGAATTTAATTGATTAAAGAATGATTTACCAATTGGGCAGTACCTCTGAACCAGAACAGTTTCACAGAGGCTCCAGTGCAGCCATGTGGTGGAAGATTTATGGACAGAAAAAGGAGAGTGATGTACAGAAAACAGAAGTGTGAGGTATGGAAACAGTTGATTGGTTACAACTCCGTGTTTGCCTTATTTGAAAACAATTTGAAAAGTTGGTTGCCTTTGATTGGCTGAAACTCAGTGATTGGTATAAGAGTGTGTTACAGTCTGTTTACACATCGAGTTAGGTTACACTTCTCTATGTAGGAAGAAACCTTTAGACTGAACTTCAAATATGGAAGGAGGCAGCTTCCATATTTAATATATTAATTCCATATATTAATTATTATTCCATATATTAATTTAACAGAATAAATAAATCAGTAGAACATCATAGAGAGTCCAGAAATAGACTCACAGACGTATCTGGCCAGTTGATATTTGACAAAGGTGACAAGGTATTCAGTGGAAAAAGGATAATCTTTTCAACAAATGGTGCTTGAAGAATTGTATGTCTATATGCAAAAAGTGAATTTCATTTTATTTTTGAAAAATTTTTTTTCAATAAACCTTTTGCACTTCTAAAAAGTGAACTTCAGTCTATACCGTGTACCATATATAAAAGTTAAAACGGATGATAGGATTAATATAAAACCTAATATTGTAAAATTTCTGGAATAAAACGTTGGAGAAAATCTTTGTGACCTTGGATTATGCAATGATTTCTTAGAGATGACACCAGCAAAATTTCATAACAGTAAAATTTGATCAATTGGACTTTAGAAAATTTAAGAATTTCTGCTCTTCAGAAGATACTATTAAGAGAATAAAAATACAAACCACTGGGAGAAAATATTTTGCAAATTATACAACAAAAGATTTGTATCTAGACTTTACACAGAACTCTTAAAACTCTGTACTAAAAAAGCAAGGAGCCAAGATAAAAAAGATGGGCAAAAGATTTGAACAGACCCAAGAAGATATACAGATGACAAGTAAGCACACGATAAGATGTTCGATGTCATTGAAATGCAAATCAAACCAGAGTGAATTACATCTCTATTAGAATGGCTAGAATTAAAAAGTCTGACCAGGTGTTGGCTAGGATATTAAGTAACTACAATTCTTATACACTGCTGGTGGAAATGTAAAATGGTACAGCTACTTTGGCAAACAATTTTTGCCCTTTCAAAAAGTTAAAAACATACACTTCCCACCTGACCTTAAGTGTTTGCCCAATAGAAAGGAAAGCAGCTGGGAGCGGTGCCACATGCAAGCTGTCCCAGCTACTTGGGAGGCTGAGCCAGGAGGATCACTTGAGCCCAGGAATATAAGGCTGCAGTGAGAGACCTTGACTCTTAAAAAATTGAAAAGGTTTGAAGGACTAAGTTGAAGGCTAATTAAAAAAAGAAAAAGGAAAGCATGTATATGTATGAAGACTTGTATGTACATGAGTGTTCATAGCAACCTTATTTGTAAAGCTGGAAACAATCCAAATATCTATTAGCAAGTGAATGGATAAAATAATTGTGGCATATACATACAAGGGCATATCTCTCAGCAATAAAAAGAATGAACTATTGATACACCCAACAATATAGATTAATCTCAAAATACTTATGTTGGGTGAAAGAAGCCAGGTCAAAAAACAGATACCATATGATTCTATTTATTTGAAATTCTAGAAAATGCAAACTAATTTGTAGAGATGGAAAACAGATGAGTGTTTGCCTTAAGAGTGGTTGTGAGATTGGGAGGGTGGAAGGGAGGAATTAGATGCTCTAAAGGAAACATTTTGGAGTGATGTGTATGTTCGTTTTTTCTAATCATGGTGATGGTTTCATGGCTATTTATTACATGTCAAAACTTATCAAATTGTACATTTAAAATATGTGCAATTCATTGTATTTCAATTATATTCCAATAAAGGCATTTTTTAAAAAGTAAAATAGGAAAGAACAGTATGACAAAAGGTAGCCAAGTTTGGACATATAACAGTTCACTAAGCAGATGCTGGTAGAAACCAAATAAACATTTGGGGAGCTAAAGAAAAAAAAAAAAGCTAACATTATTGACTGGTTTTTGGAACCAAATTCATTCTTTGCTATTTTTAGTTCGTGTTTTTTTAGAGACAGGGTCTCAACTCTGTTGCTCAGGCTGGAGTGCAGTGGCACAATCCTAGCTCAGTGCGGCCTTGAACTCCTGGGCTCAAGCAATTTTCCTGTTTCAGCCTCCCAAGTAGCTGGTACTATAGGCAGGCACCACCATGCCTAGCTAATTTTTAAATTTATTATTATTATTTTTTTAAGAGACAAGGTCTCACTATGTTACCCAGGTTGGTCTTGAACTCCTGAGCTCAAGCAGTACTCCCACCCTTGGCCTTCCAAAGTGTTAGGATTACAGACATGAGCCATCATGCCCAGACTAGCTCATGATTTCTCTGTGGATTGCTCTATGAAACATGTGTTTTTACTAATATGTGCTATTATCATACTTATATGAGCTTGAAGACAAATTGGATGTTTCTTTATGATGTCTGAACTTATGCTCATAGCTTTTCAAACTGTTTTCAGGGTCCGATTGGAAGTTTTATGATGTAGTTTTTACATGATGGTTATCACCAGAGCATCACAGGCACCAAGTATTTAAATATAATTTTACAGTAACAAAAGCTTTATCGAAAACATAGGTGACTTTCAGGCTTTTAGGAATTCGTTGTTTTGAATTATCCTTGTGTCTCTTCTGAACATTAATTTACCTAGGTTTGCCTTCCTTAGTGCTTGGTACATAAGTGCCCAGTGATTACAGAACTAATAATTATAGTGTAAGAGAGGCAAAATAGGCATGCTGATTAGGAAAACAAATCCCAAATCCTTCAGTTCTTTGAGGCTTTTCCAGCAGATACATATGATTGCTGCAAATCATAACAGTGAGAAATGCTGATGTACCTTTTGGAGTTCAAAGACATTTTTGTACCAACTTGTTTCTGATAAAACAATCAGTAACTATATGGTATTAATTGAACCCCAGTAGATTATATTCATGTAATTGTTGTATTATTATAGCATTTAATTAGTATTTCAGTAAGTGCTGATATAAATACATCAGCTTGTCTCTTGTTCCTAATTATACAATATTGCAGGAAGTGGACTAGTATAATAAAAGAGGGGCTTCGGTCCCCTTGGTGATATGTCATCTTAATTAAGATCAAGGAGTTCTTAAGTTTTGTGTGTATGGGAAAATGGCAAAGTGAAAGCAGTTCTTTGTCATTTTACACTGGGCTTGATGGATTAAATTGGTTAGTAGTAAGGAGATGGCAAATTAATTTGTTTTTGCATTTCCAAAACACTTAAGATGGAAAATAGAAAAGATAGAGGTAGATGGACATGCTATCTGCATATTACTGCTAACGAAATCTAATTCAGTCTTTAGCACTGGCTTTGAGTAGAAGCACTACCTTCAGTTGTAGATAAGACAATGAATGTGGTATAGTCTCAAATAACTAGAGGCCAAATGAAATTGATATATTGCATTAGTTCTGCATTATTTATCATGTCTGATAAAGCAACAGCATATGCTTGATGCTTTTACCATCATCTACATGATACTCTATATTACTCCAAGTGAGTGACTATATTGGTCCTAGGTTAACTTTCACAGTAAGAGCTGTGGTATTCTGTATAAATTAATATCCCCAAACTTAAACTATAGATAGGAGAGTGGCAGAAGAAGCAGAAGCACTGATTGAAAAGGAAGTGAAGAAACAGAGAAATGAACAGGGTGTTGAAACTGAGAAATCAATGAATTTTTCACAGTAATTATACACTGTAAGTGATTCTAAAAGAGGAAATCCAGACCATCAAGAAAATACTGAATACAAATAAATGTTAATTTTTAGTTCCCAATAAGAACAAAGTCAAAATACAAAGAATAAAAATGGAAGCTAGAAATACTGATGTCCTGAGTTTTCCTTCTAGGAATCCTTTTTAGACCATCTGTGGTTTGAATCAAGACAGCATATGTTGGTCCTTTTCAACATATGAAACATATCCCCAGCACCTGGCATGCAGTACGTGGAAGTTAGGCGGTGCTAAATAAATGATTTCTTTAAATCTTTTTTTTCTTCATGATGTAATGTGTGCCATCTCCTTCTTTGTTTTGTTTTCTATTTCTTTAATTTCTCCTTTACATTATAAGCCTTTTCTTCTTGTTTCTTTTGTCGTGTTTTAAACTTGTTGGGTTTAATATTTAAACAATATTTTTCAATTAAAAAAATTTTCTAATAAAGGCATGTAAGACAATCCGTCTTCCTGGGTTCTTTGCTTTGCCTGTTTTCCTTAGGTTTTAATGTGTCAGTTTCTTGTATTTCTAAATAGCCTATGTTGTTGTTGTTGTTGTTGTTGTTTAAAGAGATAGGTCTTGCTCTGTTGCCCAGGCTGGAGTGCAGTGGTGCAATCATAGCTCACTGTAACTGCAAACTCTTTGGGCTTAAGTGATTCTCCCACTTCAGCCTCTTAAGGAGTAGCTGGGACCACAGGTGTGTGCCACTATGCCCGGCTAATTTTTTAAATTTTTTGTAGAGACAGGTTCTCACTCTGTTGCCCAGTTTGGTCTCAAACTCCTGAATTCAAGTGACCCTCCCACGTTGGCCTCCCAAAGAGCTAGAATTACAGGCGTGAGCTACCATGCCAGGCCCTCTGAATAGTCTATATTAATTAGAATAATATTTTTTAAAGATTTTCTCTTAGATTATCATGTTAATTTTTAGTTTTATTGCATTTCAGTCATAAATATGGCCTATATGATTTTTGCACTTTGGAATTTTGAGATTTTCTTTGTGGCATATTGCATGATAACTTTTGAGAAATGTTCTGCAGGCACTGGAAAAGAATATATATTCTGTATTTGAAAAAATACATATTCAGGTTTAATTGTTATTCTGATTTTTATATCTGTCTTGAATTTTTCTTCTAATTTAGTTTTTTAAAAAAATCAATAGGATACATTCTCTTGTTATCCCCATTGTTAAAGTGCATTAGACTGATTACTGTGTGCCCTTATATGCCCTTAAATGAAATGTCTTTATTTTTCTCCACACACTTGAATAATCATTGCTGGGCATAGAATTCTGGTTTTAAATAACTTTATTTATTTATTTATTTATTTATTTTGAGACGAGTTTCGCTCTTGTTACCCAGGCTGGAGTGCAGTGGTGCAATCTTGGCTCACTGCAACCTCCGCCTCCCAGGTTCAAGCAATTCCCCTGCCTCAGCCTCCCGAGTAGCTGGGATTACAGGCATGTGCCACCATGCCCAGCTAATTTTCTATTTTTAGTAGAGACGAGGTTTCTCCTTGTTGGTCAGGCTGGTCTCGAACTCCCGACCTCAGGTGATTCACCCGCCTCGGCCTCCCAAAGTGCTGGGATTATAGGCGTGAGCCACCGTGCCCAGCCACTTAAAGAACTTTTTCCTAAGAAACTGTAGACCACCTTTGCTATCCTCTAGTATTTCATGCTTCAGATAAGGGATCTTACTCTTTTTTAGTGCTTTATGCCTAATACTCCAGCAATAGTCACCCAGGTTTCACCTTGTCCTGTTTAATATCTCTTCCACCTCTAAGTAGCTCTGGGCCTGCTTTCCTTTCACCTGAGTCACATTTTATATCTGTCCAGTCACTGTGCTGTATAGATCTACCTGGTGTATACGCCTAGCCTGGGTCTTTGTTGGGGCCATGATTCTCTCCTCCTTGGTTTCATTCCAAGGATGTGATTGGCTTGATATATGTGATCATTCTCATTGCTTGCTTTGACCTTGGGTCCTGACCCTCATTGACCCAGTTGGGACCAATTACCTTACTTTCACTTACCATATCTACTTATTTATGGCTCCATCCTTGGTTATAGTCAAAAAGCTCAGCCCCTTTACCCAGCCCTGAGACTAAAGCTGGGCAAGATGAATGTTCTAAAGTCCTAGTTGAGAAGGTCTCAGCTCAGTCCCCAGTGGGTCCTTGGAACAGCCCAGGATACCAGAGCAGGTGCTCATTCCCATTGTGTCGACCCTAACATCTGACATCTACCTCTTGGGTTACAGCAGGTGAAGTAGAAATTTGAATCCACATGGCCCAGATTGCTTTTAGAATGGATAGTGGGAGTACTCTCAAGTTAACAGGTGTAGGTAGCTTGAATTATCAAGATACAGGGCTATGCGATGACAACTGGGCAATGTCATTTCTACCCACAGCACAGCTAGATACCATCATAGCACTCATCCTCACAGCCACCCCTCAGAAATGGATTTCTTGTTTGCACTTATG
Source organism: Homo sapiens (assembly GCF_000001405.40). Taxonomy (NCBI): domain Eukaryota; kingdom Metazoa; phylum Chordata; class Mammalia; order Primates; family Hominidae; genus Homo; species Homo sapiens. The sequence goes on from NC_000009.12 coordinate 112,523,131, forward strand.
ATTCCTTATTTGAGAAGTGGTATTACATTCAAATGCTAGGGATTGAGGGTGGTTCCATTAGGATGCTGAGATTTTTCAGTTACCTGGAAATTGGTTGTGTTCATTTTAAAGTACTAACCAGCCAGCCTGGGCAACATGGTGAAACCCTTCCTCTACAAAAAAATACAAAAATTAGCCGGGCGTGGTGATGTACACCTGTAGTCCCAGCTACTTGTGGGGCTGAGGTGAAAGGATTGCTTGAACCTGGGAGGTCAAGGCTGCAGTGAACCGAGATCGTGCCACTGCACTCCAGCCTGAGTGACAAAGTGTCTTATTAAATAAATAAATAAATAAATAAAGCACCAACCGGTAGATATGTGGTTTTAGATTTGTCCTGGATTAAATGAAATTTAAACCATTTATCAGATCTGGTCTCTGGCCTAGAATTTCCTCACCTTGTTTTATGCTTTTGAAAGTCCTGGGAAGAATAATCCTGAATTGGACTCAGATCTCTTGCTTTTACTCTTTGACTTCATGGGTGGATAGACACTGTTTCGATGGGGAGTTATGTTCTCAGAAGTTACCACATGTATCAAATATGCCCCAAGTAGAGAATATACATAATATGCAAACCCCAGAAATGGTTTAAGACAGGACTCAAGTATGAGTTGATAACTGAGGGAACACTTAGGTTTGTAGGTGATGAAGCACAATTGCAGACTGCATTGTGGAGATTTTGAGTTATTCTTACTTTGGGGCCATAGTTTCCCATTCCCCTGACTCTCCCTGCTTACTCTCTCCACCTCCACATATACAAAAGGCTTTAGTGGCTCTTCTAGCCAACTAATATACCCCTTCTAGTCGAGTTTCTAAAGAATGGTGTGTATGTGTGCATGCACCCCTCATCCCATCCTATTTCCTTTTGATTTCAACTATTTTTTTAAACGTTAACCATTTCCCATCTATATCTCCACATACCCAGAAGCCAACAAAATGCCACCAGTGGCACAGACGTTAAGAGTTCTGAGGGATCAATACAGTTCTGAAAGAGATTTGTGTGTGCGTGAGATTTGAGAAGGGGTTCTAGTTATGGTGCTGTTGAAATAAAATGTGGATGGATCCAAGGCCCAACCAAGGACATGTGAAAACTGAGAAAACCAAAGCATGGGCTGTAGAACTGGACTGTAGGAATTGACTCTCTTTTGTGTATTGAACAGCCATTTACAAATTCATGGCTTTGGCGTGCTCCGCGCTTGAAGGGGGTCTAGTTTAGTGACCGGTTTCAGTTTATGCTATACCTCGGAAAATATGGAGCGACTGTGACTGAGAAAGCGGCCTTAAAAAAATTGTAGTAAAATACATATAACATAAAATTTACTATCCTAACCATTTTAAAGTATGCAATTCAGTGGCATTAAGTTCATTCACATTGTTGTGCTACCATAGGCTGCTTTCTTTTATGATGCTCTAGAAAAGTGAGAATTCTTCTTTCCTGACTAGTGCAGTGTTATCCAGAGATCTTTCTGTAGTGATGGGAATGTTCTCCTTCTGCACCTTCCAGTGTAATAGCCACTAGCCATCTGGCTCTTAAGCAGTTGGAATGTGGCTTCGTAAGGAACTGAATTTTTAATTATATTTAATTTTAATTATTTTAAATTTAGCCACTGTAGAAGAGGATTAGCAAGTCTTTAATGACCCTAGTGCAGCCCTGGAATCCTGGGGTTGCTGGTTCACAGCGCCCTGATGCTTCCAAAGGAGTCAAGGCTTATCACTATGGTAAACTAGGGTTGCATTTTCTCACAGAAATGATAATATAATTCTGGTTGGCTGTGTTATCTGGGAATATTCTATACTTCTGCTCAGCAGAATAGGCTCAGTGAGATTCTTTTGAGTGGCCTGAGAACCTAATATCATTTTATATAGAACATTGTCTTTATGATAAGATTTTCATTTGTATCTAAACCAGTTGATTTACCATCTTTGGACCTCCATCTCCTTGTATAGACTTGCCATGTGTTTCATTTCCCCAGAATTCCCTCCACAGGAGATTATAACACATTGTATTTAAGGCTTAGTACATGTTGACTCTTTAATTGTTGTGTCAGAGATGGTTGCATCAATGAACGTTTAGGTAGGTGTTCTGTGTAGGGATTAATGAGAGAATGTTTTTACTCTGCTGGCTCTGAGTTGACATTTAACATTTCATCTTCTCCTTTGCTGTGATTTCTCAGTCACCCTTACCCATCCTCTCAGGACCATAAACACTAGAAATACATTCTCTCCTGGAATCTATAGCACTTGACCTGCCTATAAGCATACAAATCTTGGGAAAATGAGAATATCCTGCAGTTTTCATTTATTCATAATGGTATGTTCCCAGTAATGGGGAAGTAGACTGATTCTGGGGACCACCAGTGGTCTGTTCATTGCTTGAATAATTTTGCTATTCCTAATGATGCCATTACTCCTGCTTTATCGGTGTTTATTGCTGCAATTATTCATATATAAAAATAATTTTGTCTAGTACCTATTATATGAAGGGAAATCTATTACTTAGTTCTTTTTTATGTAATTTTCTAGTCCTCATAGAATTTCATAATTTTACTTTCTCTGAATGAGAAAAGCCACATTGTGTCCTTGATTATTGTTACTGTTTTGCATACTTATTACATTGCATAACCAAAATATGAACAGACCCGCAATTTACTGAATCTGGGTGAGCATAGAAGAGGAGGAATAGGACAAAGGGATTCAGGGGCTTTTAGGGTTCTTGGAAGTGAAAGAAGTTGGAAAGCTTCATTTATATTCTTTCTTCTTCTTCTTCTTCTTCTTCTTCTTCTTCTTCTTCTTCTTCTTCTTCTTCTTCTTCTTCTTCTTCTTCTTCTTCTTCTTTTTTTTTTTAAAGAGATGGGGTCTCACTTTCTTGGCCAGGCTAGGCTCAAAATCCTGGGCTCAAGTGATCCTCCCATCTCAGCCTCCCAAAGTGCTGGGATTACAAGCATGAACCACCATACCCGGCCTTTATGTTCTTTATTCTGATATATTTCCATTGATGAATTCTCCCATTCCAATCATTGACTGTCAGTGGTCTTAGTGTCTCTCTTAGTCCGTTTGTGCTGCTATAACAGAATACCTTGAAACTGGGTAATTTTTTTTTTTCTTGAGACAGATTCTTGCTCTGTTGCCCAGACTGAAGTGCAGTGGCACTGTCTCGGCACACTGCACTCTCCACCTCCTGGGTTCAAGCAATTCCCATGCCTCAGCCTCTCAAGTAGCTGGGATTACAGGTGTGCACCACCACGCCCAGCTAATTTTTGTATTTTTAGTGGAGATGGGGCTTTGGCCAGGCTGGTCTCAAACCCCTGGCCTCAAGTGATCCACCCGCCTCAGCCTCCCAAAATGCTAGGATTACAGATGTGAACCACCTTGCCCAGCCGAGACTGGGCACTTTATAATTAACAGAAGTTTATTTGCTCACAGTTCTGGAGGCTGGGAAGTCAATATCAAGATGCTAGCATCTGGTAAGGACCTTCTTGCTGTGTTATCACATGTCAGAAGGCAAGATGGTAAGAGAGAGCAAGATGGGGATAAACATGATTTTTAAATAACAGCACCAATCACACCCATGAAGGTGGAACCCGCATGGCCTAGTCAGCTCTTAAAGGTCCCAGCTGTTAATACTGTTACACTAGCAATTAAACTTCAACATGAGTTTTGGAGGGGACAGACATTCAAACCATAGCAGTATCTCTATTTATCTAAGTTGTTTTTAGGGTTTTAAGAAAGAAATCCTCTCTGGACAGCTCCGGGAGGTACTGAACAAGTTGAAGTTACTGCTTCTACAGCCTGGGAGGTGTTTATGATGAACCTATTTTAGCACTAATGTTGATTATACCAACTTATCATCTTAACTTTCGAGTAGATAATATTGTTTGGGCACTAAGACACATTTGTACTTTTATACTGACTGTTCTCTTTGCCAGGAATTTTCTTTTTCTTTAGAGATAGGGTTACTCTGTCACACAATTACTCAGTGTTTGCAGTGACTTTATAAAACATATTTACCATAAATCACAAGAATCAACTGTGCATACAGACTACCTTAGTACAAAGAAAGAAATATACACAGAAAGGATACTGTAGTGGAGAGTAATTGGTAGTGGTAGGAGAGAGACCTTTTCAAAATCCTTTTGAAAGGATTTTAGTTGAGATCCATGGAACAAACAGGAGAAAGAGCATTTTTGTAGGCATGAGGAATGGCTCTAAAACAGGAAGGAGCTTGATATTTTTAAGGAATTGAAAGAAAAGCAACGTGGCTGGAGGAAAGTAACACAGGATGAAGTTGAAGAAGAAAGCAGGAATGTGATTGTTTTGTCTTTTGGAGACCACACTAAGGAGTGTAGCTTTGGAATATGTAATGGGAAGCCACTGGATGGTTTTAAACTGGGAATAGGATGATTATGTTTCAAAACATAATATTCTCTGTGCTGGGGGGAATTGTTTGAAGGGGTCAAGCGGTAAAATGGAAAAATGAGTTAAGAGGCTGGGCGTGGTGGCTCACTCACTCCTGTAATCCCAGCACTTTGGGAGACTGAGGCGGGCAGATCTCTTGAGCCCAGGAGTTCAAGACCAGCCTGGACAACGTGGTGAAACCCCATCTCTACAAAAAATACAAAAATTAGCCCGGCATGGTGGTGCGTGCCTGTGGTCCCAGCTACTGGCGAGGCCGAGGTGGAAGGATCACTTGAACCTGGGAAGCGGAGGTTTCAGTGAGTGGAGATTGTGCCACTGTACTCCAGCCTGGGTGACTGAGTGAGACCCTTTCTCAAAAAAAAAAAAAAAAGAAAAAGAAAATGAGTTAAAAGGCCTGGCCATTCAATACTCAGTAGTTGCCAAATCTGCCGATATTATCTTCTAAACAGTTGTCAGCTCTATCTCCTCCTCACTGTTTGATTAATAATTCACCTTCTTTGCATGATTTGTTCCCACAACCTTATACTTGATCATTCTGCCTAATCCCTGCCCCCATGTCTCCAGAGAGATGTGATCAATCAAAGTCACCCATCTTACCATATCCACCTCATTGTTCCTCTAAAAAGCCTCCAACTTGATGGTCTGGTGCCTCCTTGCCATTCAAGCACCAGTTGTCACTATGCTTTGCCCTGCACTTAGTGTCCCACGTGACAGAATGTTTCTGCATCCCCCTCCACCTCAGTCATTTGGGGCCTATTTGCCTTTCTTTGCTCAGGAATCCTTTGCCACCTACCACCCTGTGCAGGGTTAAGTATTCCTGGCATGCTCTCATGATACCCAAAGCCTGTACCTCATACTTAACCATTTTGTATCATTGTCATCTGTATATCAGCCAGGCTCTCACCTTCCTCCCTCACAATTGGAGTGTTTATTTCATATGCATGTATTTATTTATTTAGAGACAAAGTCTTGCTCTGTTGTCCAGGCTGAAGTGCAGTGGCATGATCTTGGCTCACTGCAACCTCTGCCTCCTGGGTTCAAGCGATTCTCCTGCCTCAGCCTCCCAAGTAGCTGGGATAGGCACCCGTCACCACGACTGGCTAATTTTTGTATTTTTCGTAGAGATGGGGTTTCACTGTGTTGGCCAGGCTGGTCTCGAAGTCCTGACTTAGGTGATCCGCCCACCTCAGCCTCCTAAGGTGCTGGGATCACAGGTGTGAGCTACCGCACTCGGCCTGTTTTTATTTGTTTTTGAGTCCCCAGCATTCAGCATAGTTTCTGGATTATGGTAAAGATATAATCAGTGTTTGTAGAATGGGTTGTTTTGTGAATGTTTGCTAATTTCTTGACCAGTATTAGGTGAAACTTTTCCTTTAGAACTTTTTTTTTGTACATGGAATTATACAAATAAAGGAATAATGCAGAATTATAGAAATAAAACCAGTTTTACAAAGCATATATGCACATTTATTCTTTCCAAAAATATTTATTGAATTGCCAGGAGGTGGTCTAACAATGGAGTGTAAGGGAGTGAACAAAACAATTCCCTGCCTTCTTTTATTTAGATGTGTCTGTGTTTATATTATCTACCTATATCTACATGTCTATTTTAATCTAGTACATATATAATACATATTGTATATAGGCTTTAATTTCTAGAATAGTTTTAGAGTTACAGAAAAGTTGCAGAAATAGTTCAGAGAGTTCCCATATCTTACATTTGTGTGGTACATCTGTTATAATTAATGAACCGATATTGACACATTATTATTAGCTGAAGTCCATACTTTATTTGAATTTCCTTAGTTTTTATTTAGGGTCCTTTTTCTGTCCAGGACCCCATCCACAATACCACGTTACATTTAGTCATCATGCCACCTTAGGATCCTCTGAGCTGTGGCAGTTTTTCAGACTTTCTTTGTTTTTGATGACCTTGACAAGTTTAAGACATACTGGTGAGGTATTCTAGAGAATGTAAGACATTTGGGTTACAATTTGGGTTTGTATATTTTTCTCATAGGTTAACTGGGGATTATGTGTTCTTAGGATTAAGGCCACAGAGGTAAAATACCATCCTTACCACATCATATCAATGCTACATGCTATCAACATGAATTATTACTGTTGATGCCTTGAACCCTTGTCTGAGGTAGTGTTTGTCAGGCTTAAAAGTACTCTTTTCCCTACCTAATTTACTTTTTGGGAGGAAGTCACTGTTTGCAGCTCACACTGAAGGGACCAGAAGTTAGACTCCTCTTACTTTTTTTTTTTCTTTTTTTGAGACAGAGTCTCACTCTGTCGCCCAGGCTGGAGTGCAGTGGTGCTATCTCGGCTCACTGCAAGCTCTGCCTCCTGGGTTCACACCATTCTCCTGCCTCAGCCTCCTGAGTAGCTGGGACTATAGGCGCCCGCCACCACGCCCAGCTAATTTTTTGTTTTTTTAGTGGAGACAGGGTTTCACCGTGTTAGCCAGGATGGTCTCGATCTCCTGACCTCGTGATCCACCCGCCTTGGCCTCCCAAAGTGCTGGGATTACAGGCGTGAGCCACCACATCCGGCCTAGACTCCACTTTCTTGAGAAGGCAATATTGACATAAATTATTTGGCATTCTTCTGTAGAGTGGTCTGTTCTCTCCCATTTATTTATTTATATCAATATGAATTCTTATTTATTTTATACTTTGGATTAGAACCCATACTACTTTGTTGCTCAAATTGCTCTAGCTTTAGCTGCTGGGAGCTCTTTGAACTGACTCCTGTGTCCCTTTGTTGTGCTCCCATCAGTTCGTTTTCTGAACATTTTCTTATTTTCTGGTACTATTAGGTGCTCAAGTATCTATTTTTGAAAATATAAATAATTTTGCCTCTGATTTTCTACAGAATTTGAAAATACTTTGATGTGCTTATATGAGTTTGGACTGTTGAACAGATTACATTTTTTCATTATTGGATTGGTTTTATTTTTTGTAGTGATTTATATAGCTACTTCTCATAGGTGAAAATATATAGGGTTACAGATTTTCTCTGAATGAATATTGTATTTATGACCACAGTTTTATACTTTCAATTTTTTAAAATATAACTTTTACTTCGCAAATCATATTAGAGAATTTTTACATTTCTCTGGCTTTCAGAGACATTTATGGTTGCCAGTAGCTGAACGGATATCATTATGCTGGAAGTGTTTCAGTGATTATATATTCTGAGTGGTAAGATTGCTTAGTCTAAAAAAAGGACTCCACAATATTTGGCTTTTGGTTGTAATTACCAGTCATGCTTGCCAGAAATTAAGTTTAGCTTTTAGAAGCCTAGAATTCTTAATATGTTTGTCTCTAACTAAATATTTCAGAGACTGTTATGAAACTGTCAGTAATTCCATTATATATTTTATGTTCAGCTTATTCTGAGTTACAGCTGATGAAATGACATATAGCATGTGATTGCGCAACAACATAGAAAATGCTTAAGATAACAAGATGGAAATAGTAATTTTTAGTCTAATTACAATTTTGTTTAAAAGGAAATGTCAGGCGCTGTGGCTCACGCCTGTAATCCCAGGACTTTGGGAGGCCGAGGCAGGCGTATCACCTGAGGTTGGGAGTTCGAGACCAGCTTGACCAACATGGAGAAACCCCATCTCTACTAAAAATACAAAATTAGCCAGGCGTGGTGGCGCATGCCTGTAATCCCAGCTACTCAGCAGGCTGAGGCAGGAGAATCACTTGAACCCGGGAGGCAGAGGTTGTGGTGAGACGAGATCACGCCATTGCACTCCAGCCTGGGCAACAAGAGTAAACTCCATCTCAAAAAAATAAAAAATAAATAAATAAAAGGAAACCAACTGTGATCCTAATAAGTACGAATAAAAGACTAGAGGGAAAAATACCACAGTGTTAACAGAGACTATCTATTAAGTCATATGACACTGCTTTTCTGTTATTTTCCAATTATAAATAAAAATAAATTGGCTTGTGTTACTTGTTTAATAAGGAAAATGGAGACTTTTTTACAATGTAGAAAAGGAAGCTAAATTGTTTATTCCATTTTAGATACTGAAGGTTAAAAGGTCTTTTGAAGACATAGTCCATAATTCAGGTTGTTTTTCTTCACTGATGAACTAGTGAACCGGTTCCTATTTTGATAATTACAACCCTTTAAAGTTTACAGAATTGTTCATGTATCTTATTTCGTATTTTAAAAAATCTGTATCAGTTGGATTTTCACTTTATCCACACGAATGGATCAAAGTCCAAAGGTTAACGCTCATGTTGATGTATTGAAACCATGACTTCATTAATGTCTGATCAACTGGAGCAGAGTTGGAGACCGAGGACCCTAAAGCTCTTGGAGCAAAGCTTGTGCACTGGAACTGCTGCTGCCATGGCTGGGGTTGCTGTCAGACCTCAATTTGAGGGACCGCTTCACATTCCTCTCATAGGAGACTGATGACCTCAATAGATACCTTGGGGAGCCTGTTTGGATTAAAAATACCTAACACTGTCTAGCTGCTTCTAATTTTTTTTAGCTTCTGGTGGTGAGGGGGAGGTGAATTGAGTTCATGATTCAGGCTTGGAAGTTGCAGAGTAGCTTTTGTAGGCTGATGTCTGTGGGTGTCCTCTGGATGGGTCATATATGGAAGATTATAGTTTACAAAAGATATATTCCAGTCTTCAAATAATTTGCAAGAGTAGCACAATGAAAGGGAGATGCATTTTAAATCTTTTATTAAATCTTTTATTTTTTAAGTAAAATAAATGATACTTTTCTTTTCAGTTTAACATTTAGAGATACATTCAAAGGGACTTCTTTTTGTCCTTAAACCAGAGGAAAACTCTTTTTTTCTATTATGGCCCTTATCCCTAGGGTAGTGGCCAGTGCCCTGCCTCTTTCCTTTCTATCACTAGGAAATATCATTGCATGCAAGAGAATAGGGACTGGAGTGATCCTTTCTTTGACTGTTTCCTGGAGGGAGACTGTTGTAATAGAAGGTTCTGATGTGTGTATAAAACAGTAGTGGGATTACCACAGCACTGGTAGTCCAGCTCTGGAGTTAGGATTGCAACATCAAAAACTGGGCCAGCATTCAAGTCGTCTCATTTCATGGTGTTACTGGGATTAGTTCCTCCAGTTTGTTAGTGTACTGCTGTGTGTGGTATAAGCTAGTGTACCTTTCAGCAGACTGCCCATGAATTCTTCATAATGGGATTTAGCAGTACACTAAGATGATATTCAAGAACTGTACTCAATGGTAATGCCTCTTTTCTTAATAATGGCTCTCAAATAGCCCTTGAAAATCAGTGCAACAAAACTTGGCCATCTGTTTACAAAACTTTCCAAATTGAAAAATAATAATCTACCATATAATAAAGCATTTTAATATGAATTTTAAATGTATATTTTTTTTTCAGATACCTGATTATAAAATATTCAGGTAGTACAGCAAAAATGAAAGCTCTTCAATAATCTTACCTTCCTCCCCCCAAATTTAAGTATACCCTTCCAGATTTATAAAATATGTGTGTATCTATGTATAATCTGCATTTTCACTCAATAGTATGTCCACTTTCCACCATTTTAAGTAATGCGTCAGTGAGTATTCTTATATATATAAAGTCTCTAATTTTTTAAGGGATGTATTAATCTGTTCTCATGCTGCTGTGAAGGAGTACCTCGAACTGGGTAATTTATAAAGAAAAGAGGTTTGGCCAGGCACGGTGGCTCACTTCCAAAGTGCTGTAATCCGAAGCACTTTGGAAGGCCGAGGCAGGTGGATCATGAGGTCAGGAGATCGAGACCACCCTGGCTAACACGGTGAAACCCCACTCTACTAAAAATACAAAGAAAAAAAAAATAGCCAGGCGTGGTGGTGGGTGCTGTAGTCCCAGCTACTCAGGAGGCGGAGGCAGTAGAATGGCGTGAACCCGGGAGACGGAGCTTGCAGTGAGCCAAGATCGCGCCACCACACTCCAGCCTGGGCGACACAGCGAGACTCCATCCCAAAAAAAAAAAAAAAAAAAAAAAAAGAAAAGAGGTTTAATTGACTCACAGTTTCCCATTGCTGGGGAGACCTCAGGAAACTTAAAATCATGGTGGAAGGCACCTTTTCACAGGGTGGCAGGAGATAGAATGAGTGCAGGCGGGGGAAATGGCAGACATTTGTAAAATCATCAGATCTTGTGAGACTCATTCACTATCATGAGAACAGCATGGGGGAAACAGCCCCCGTAATCCAATTACCTCTTCCTGGTTCTGCCCTTGACACGTGGGGATTGTGGGGACTATGGGGATTACAATTCAAGCTGAGATTTTGGGTGGGGACACAGCCAAACCATATCAATGGATGACTTCCTGAAAGAATTGCTGGGTCTGTGAGTATACATACTGTAAAATATGTGCAAGAGAGACAGTAGAACATAGCTGCTAAGTACAGAGCCTTGGAGTCATTGGCTTGAGTTTGAAGCCTGGCCTCACCATTTCCTAGCTCTGTAACCTTAGGCAAGTTACTTAACCTCTTTGTGCCTTCATTTCCTCATCTGTAAAGTGGGGAATAGCAGAAGTACCTGTGTCATGACATAGAGCTTGGACTTGTGCCTAGCTCATAGTAAGAGATTATTATACATGTCTCAAGATTACTGTTCAGAAAGCTGCATATCCATGCGTATATCTTGTCACCAAAGGAGCCTAGCGTCTAGCAGAGGCATGTCAGAATGAAAGGACCAACAGTGGATGAGATGGCCTTCCACTGCTCATTTTTGCCATCAGCACTGATTATTATTGCACGTTTTAGTATCATTCTAGTCAGCCAAAAAATGATGTCAGGGTATATTAATTTGCATTTTTAATTAGTAAGATTGTGTATTTTCAAATACATTTTGTGAGCATTCGTTGATGTTTTTTCCTACTGTGAAATACTTGTTTGTATCTTTTGCCAGTATTTATATTGGGATATTCATCTTTTTCTTTTTTCTTTTTTTTTTTGAGATGGAGTTTCGTTCTTATTGCCCAGGTTGGAGTGTGGTGGCATAATCTTGGCTCACTGCAACCTCCGCCTCCCGGGTTCAAGCGATTCTCCTGCCTCACCCTCTTGAGTAACTGGGATTATGGCATCCACCACCATGCCCAGGTAATTTTTTATATTTTTATTAGAGATGGGGTTTCTCCATGTTGGCCGAGCTGGTCTCAAACTCCTGACCTCAGGTGATCTGCCCGCCTCGGCCTCCCAAAGTGCTGGGATTACAGGCGTGAGCCACTGTGCCCGGCCAATCTTTTTCTTATTGATTTATGAAAATTCTGTATATTTTAAGGAGACAACCTCTTGAAAAATTACTCAAATATTTTCCCAGGGTTCTTTTATTTTGTTTATGTCTCTTGACTTTGTTGTGTGTTAATTTTTTTAATTGACAAATAAAAATTGTATATATTTATGGTGTACAACATGATGTTTTGATACATGTATGCATTGTAGAAAGGATAAATTAAACTAAGTAACATCTCTATTACCTTACACATTTATTTTTTATGGTTGGAACACTTAAAATCTCTCGGCAGTTTTCAAGTGTACGATATAAACTATAGTGACAATATTGTACAATAAAGCTCTTGAACTTATTCCTCCTGTCTGACTGAAATTTTATATCCTTTGACCACCATTTTTTCAGTCATCCCACTGCACAGCCTCTGGTAACCACTGTTCCACTTTCTGCTTCTGTGAGTTCAACTTTTTTAGATTCCACATGTAAGTGAGACCATGTGGTATTTGTCTTTTTGTGCCTGTCTTCTTTTAACTAGCATAATGTTTATAAGATTCGTCCATGTTGTCACAAATGATAGGATTTCTTTTTTTTAAGGCTTATTAGCAGTCCATTGTATAAATATACCATTTTTTTTTTATTCATTCATCTGTTGATGCACACTTAGGCTGCTTCCATGTCTTGGCTGTTGTGGATAATGCTGCAGTGAACATGGGGGTGCAGTATCTCTGACATACTGATTTCATTTCCTTTGGATATATGCCCAGAAGTAGAATTGCTGGATCATATGGGAGTTCTATTTTTAATATTTTTTCATACTCTTTTCCATAATGGCTATACCAATTTGCATTTTCACTAACAGTGTACAAGGGTTCTCTTTTTTTTTCCCCACAACCTAAACAACACTTGCTGTCTTTCATCCTTTTTGATGTAGCTTTTTTTTTAACAGGCATGAGATATTATCTCCTAGTGGTTTTAATTTGCACTTTCCTGATGATTAGTGATGTTGAACACTTTTTTTCATCTACCTGTTGGCCATTTGTGACTTGGTTGTGATTTTTACTGTTGAGGAATTGTCAACATTGTTTTAGTCAGTTCTGACTTTTTCTTCATGGCTCTGGTGGATTGTGTCATATTGTCATACATAAGGAGAAAAGAATTTATGAATGTGATGAACATAATGGAATGTGGCTCCCTTCCTTCCATTCTCATCTCCGCTCTGTTAATTGACCTCTGGGTTCAATGAGTGGCTAATGTAACTGAAGTCCCTGGCTCTCTACTGGAAGTGAATGTAAAAGAAACTGGCACTGGACTTTCTTTCCCATGAACATTTTAGAGACCAAGCCACAGAGTGAAGACCAGGAAATTGTGGATCTTTGGATAAGCTTAGTCTCAATATTTTTTTATTTTTAGAAACAGTACAAGACCCTTTCTCAAATAAATAAATAAAACTTATATGGGTAAACAAAAGGCCAAGAACAGTGAAGGCAATCTTGAAGAACAAAGTTAGAGGAGTTAGGATTTAGCCTATAGAATACTCAGCAGACTTTTTCAATAAAAGACAAGATATCAAATATTTTAGACTTTGCAGGCTACGTGGCTTGCAGGCTATAATTTGCTGAACCCTGCTCTATAGGGTGTCCAAATTTCTTGTTAAGTTGTATAATTAAAAAGGGGTGTGCAAGGATGGGTAAATAGACCAATAGTACAGAAAGTCCAGAAACAGACCCACACATCTATGTCTTACCAATAAATGGTGCAAGTCAATTAGATATTCATATGGGAAAAAAATAAATGGATACTACTTGGGCGTGGTGGTGCATGTCTGTAGTCCCAGCTACTTGGGAGGCTGAGGTGAGGATTGCTTGAGCCCAAGAGTTTGAGGCCATAGTGAGCTATGATTGAGCCACTGCGCTCCAGCCTGGGCAACAGAGCAAGACCCTGTCTCCTGAAACAAAACAGAACAAAAAACCCAATCTTGTATCATACACTAAAATAAATTCCAAGTAGAATTTTAGATCCAAATGTTGAAGATAAAAAATAATAATAAAGATTTAAGAAGCTAACATGCCTACCTTGGGAGCAGGAACAAATATCTCAAATAAGAACAAGAAATGGTCATCATCAAGGAAAAGTTTATAAATTGGACTACTTTAATATTAGAGACTCTATTAAAAGTTATCAGTAAGAAGAGTGAAAAGCAAGAAGACACAAAGTGGGACAAGGTATTTCCTCCCCTCCCCTCCCCTCCCCTCTTCTCCTCTCTTCTCTTTTCTTTTCTTTCTTTTTTTTTGACAGAGTCTCCCTTTGTCGCCCAGGCTGGAGTGCAGTGGTGCAATCTTGGCTCCCTGGAACCTCTGCCTTCCAGGTTCAAGTGATTCTCCCGCCTCAGCCTCCCGAGTAACTGGAACTACAGGCACAAGCCACCACACCCGATTAATTTTTTATATGTTTAGTAGAGGCGGAGTTTCACCATGTTGACTGAGCTGGTTTTGAACTCCTGAGCTCAAATGATCCGCCTGCCTCCCAAAGTGCTGGGATTACAGGCGTGAGCCACTGCGCTGGGCCAGGACAAGATATTTCACAAATATAACTAATAAAGCGTTCATATCTAGAATCTTTAAGGAGTTTCTATAAATCAGTAAGGCTAAGATAGACAACCAAATAGAAAATATGCTCTCAAAAGATATCTAATTGACCAGTAAGATGCTTAACATCATTAGTCATCAGGAAAATGAAAATTAAAACCTCAGTAGGATACTATTACTGTACACCTGCCAGCATGGCTAAAATTCAAAATCTGATGATATGCAAGGTTGACAAAGATATGGAGCAACAGGAGTGCTCTTACATGCTGGTGGAAATAGGAATTAGTGTGATAACCACTTAGGAAAATTCTTTGGCAGTTATTTCAGTTATCTATCGCTGTATCCAGGCCACTCTCAAAGTTGGGGAAATAATTGGCATCCTGTTTTCAGATAATATTTAGAGCAGGGAAAATGAAACTATTATTTGAATGGAGAAATTTAGGAAAATTTTCACATTAACAAAAGAAAAAAGTTGGAAAGAATGGCAGTTTGACTAGCCCAACACAAATAGAGGGAAGAAGAGGAAACATTATACAATAATAAAAGTAAGGGGAAGGAATAAGATCATTGTATCAATTATTAGGCTAAATGTGAGCAGACTGAATTTTGCCATTAAAAAGGGCATGTCAGGTTGCACGGGTGGCTCACACCCGTAATCCCAGCTCTATGGGAGGCCAAGGCAGGAGGGTATCTTGAGCCCAGGAGTTCGAGACTAGCCTGGGCAACATGGGGAAACCCCATCTCTACAAAAAATAAAAAATAAAAATAAATAAAAATAGCCAGGAGTGATAGCATGCATCTGTAGTCCCAGCTACTCTGGAGGCTGAGGTGGATTGCTTGAGGATTGCTTGAGTCCAGGAGGTCGAGGCTGCAGTGAGCCTTGGTTGTGCCGCTGTACTCCAGCTTGGGTGACAAAGCAAGACCCTGTCTCAAAAAAAAGAAAGAAAGAAAAAAAAGATGTGTCAGACTGAACTAAATAAACCTCTGGAGAATAATGTTTATAAGCACTTCTCAAAGCAAAATGAGTAGGTGAAAATAAAGCAGAAATGAAAGAGCAGGAAAATAGTGAAAAACAAAAACAAATTTCCTCAAAGCAGAACAGCATTAGACAAAGTGGATTTCAGGTTAGAGGCACTAAATGAGGTAAAGACAGACATTATATACTGATAAGGGGCACAATTTATGATCATGTATGAACCAAATAGCATCAAGTATCATATCAGGCAAAAACATAAAACAAAAACTATTAGTAATATAAGGTGAACTTGGTAAAAGTTCAGCTATTGTGAGGCATTTCAGTATATCCTTAAGAGTATTGAATCTAGAGGAACTGAATAATCAGTAATGATAACAGTACTATATTAATATATTATCTGAGATTTATTGGGTGCTTACTGTGTGCCAGGCACTCTTCTAAGTGTTTTACAGTATTAAATCATTGATCCTCACAAAAAACTTATGATACTCAACAAAAAGGCATTTTTCCAGTGAAGATATGCAAATGGTCAATAAGCACCTAAAAAGATGTTCAGCAGCATCAGTCATAGGGAAATGCAAATCAAAACCACAATGAAGTACCACTTCACACCCACTGGGGTGGCTGTAATAAAAAGATGGACAATAACAAGTGTTGACAAGGATGTAGAGAAATTGGAACTCTCATACATCACTAGTAGAAGTTTAAAATTATGCAACTGCTTTGGAAAACAGTCTAGCATTTCCTGAAATGGTTAAACATAGAGTTACCATATGACACAGCAGTTCAGCTCCTAGGTTTATACCTGAGACTATTGGAAACATTTGTCCACATAAAAACTTGTGTGTGAATTCTCATAGTAGCATTATTGATAACAGAAGGTAGAAACAACCCAGATGTCTATCAGCTGATGAAGGGATTAATGAAATGTGGTTTCTCCACACAATGGAATATTATTTGGACATAAAAAGGATACATGCTACCATATGGGTTAACCTTGAAAACATTATGCTAAGTGAAAGAATCAAGTTATAAAAGACTACATATTTCATTTTCATGAAATGGGTAGCATAGACCAGTCTGTAGAGACTCAGTGTAGATGAGTGGTTGTTATGATTTAGAGTGGGGTTGGGAGGGGGTAATTAGGTATAAATGCTAATGGGCAGGAGGTTTCTTTTTAGGGTCATGAAGATGTTCTAAAATTGATTGTGATTCTAAAGTCAGATTTGCACAGCCTATGAATTTATAAAAAACCATTGAATTGTACTTAAAAGTATATATATATATTTTTTTTGCGGGGGTGGGGGTTGGGTGCATGGAGTCTCCCTCTGTCACCGAGGCTGGAGTGCAGTGGCACGATCTTGGCTCACTGTAACCTCTGCGTCCAGGGTTCAAGTGATTCTCCTGCCTCAACCTCCTGAGTAGCTGGGATTACAAGCATGCCCCACCATGCCTGGCTAATTTTTTCTATTTTTTGAGTGACGGGGTTTCACCATGTTGGCCAGGTTGGTCTTGAACTCCTGACCTCAAATGATTCACCTGCCTCAGCTTCCCAAAGTACTAGGATTACAGGCCTGAGCCACCGTGCTGGGCTGTAAATACATATATTTATGATATGTGAAATATGTTTTAATGAAGTTGTTATTGAAAACAAATTACGATTATGTTAATTGACTTTAAAGGAGTTCTCCAAGGTACATTTCAATAAGGAAAGCAATATGCATTATTTTGTAAAATAGTGACATATGAGCATGGAATAAATATGGAAGGATATATGATAGGTTGCCAGTTTGGGTTATCAAGATAGGAGGGTGCTGATATGGGGAAAGAGGGATTCGAGGGGAAGGAGGTAGCAATGAAATTTAGGAAAAGAAAACAACCTGTATTTAAATAGAAAGCCATGATGTGTCGTATCTCTAATTTACTTTCAAATGATTCAACAAGACAGCATGTATGCATACATAATTACATATATACACATATGTATGCACACATATAGATGGATAGATAAAGCAAAGATGGCCAAATGTAACAATTGTTGACTCTATGTGGGGGTTATATGGATAGTTATTTTACTAGTCTGTCAAATTTTATCTGTGTTTGATAGTAATAAAAAATCGGGGGTAAAAACTCCACCAGAATGTTTTCTGTGATCACATTATTGTAATATTTAAAATATTTACATATTTAAAAATTTTAGTAACACTTAATAAGCAGAAAAATGCCTTAAACATTTCAAAATCATGAAATTATTTTTCTAGTCCTTTTGCTTTTGTTTAAGTTAAATTTCTAGGCTGTTTGGAATTTCTTTTTCTTTCCTTTTTGTTTTTTTTTTTGAGACGGGGTGTCATTCTGTCACCCAGGCTGGAAGTGCAGTGGCACAATTATGGCTCACTGTAGCCTCGACTTCCCGGGATTAGGTGATTCTCCCATCTCAGCCTCCTGAGTAGCTAGGGCTACAGGTTGCCACCACACCTGGATAATTTTTTTTTATTTTTTATTTTTTGTAGAGACAGAGTTAATTGTGTTGCCTGGGCTGGTCTTGAACTCCTGGCTCAAGCGGTTGGCCCACCCCCACCTCCTAACATACTGGGATTACAGGGGTGAGTCACCGAGCCTGGCCTGGAGTTTCATAATCTATGTTTATTAATTTTGATGTGGTTTCTTTTTGATCCATTACTTTTTTTCTAGGTAAACAGTGGTATCATCTGGAGGTAATGCTGGTTTTATGATTCCTTTCCAATATTTTTGGCTTATTGCATAGGTTAGAATATCTGGAACAATTTTGAATGATGATGGGAGTAAGCGTCCTTGTTTTAAATTTTTAATGGCAGTCTTGTTTCAGTTTCAAAGTTTTATGTTTTTTGATAAATATTATTGATTGGGTTAAGGACATTTTCATCTAACATTAAAATAGTTGAGTGAAACAGAGTATCCAAATCAGAAAATTAAATGAAAAAAAAAAAAAATTAAGAAAAGCAATCCTAAAATGTAGAGCAAAAATAATACCCAAAGGTAGAGGGTGATAATCAGCCCACAGGACTGATAGAAGTTCTTACATTCAGGCAAAAACCCTGTTAGTCCTAGATGTATACCAAATCAGTATGTTAGAATAAAACAACAAAGACTGGGTATGGCAGCTCACGCCTGTAATCCCAGCACTTTGGGAGGCTGAGGTGGGCAGATCACCAGAGGTCAGGAGTTCGAGACCAGCCCGTCCAACATGGTGAAACCCTGTCTCTACTGAAAATACAAGAAAAAATAGTTGGGCATGGTGGTGGGTGCCTGTAATCCCAGCTACTCGGGAGGCTGAGGATTCAATTGCTTGAACCCGGGAGGCAGAGGTTGCAGTGAACCGAAATTGCACCAATGCATTCCATCCTTGGTGACAGAGTGAGCCTCCGTCTCAAAAAAAAAAGAATAAAACAACAAAAACAGATGTTACAGAGCCTGTGAGATCTGAGAAATACTGGGACATCACTGGCATGTGCCCAAAAGAGTTTCACTGAATAAATCTTGGGGCCGATGTGTGTTGGAGATAAGAGCTCTTCTACAAGGAAGTATGCCTATTTGCCAAAAATAAGCAAATATATTTTTCTTAGCACTGCTTTAAGGAACGTTCGTTTTGTTAAAGGTTAAAATTACTAGATGGGTTAGTTGCCTTGCAAGTATACTTTTGTGGAATGAATATGAGTGTACTCTTAATAAATCTATTGATATTTGTCATATTTTAAACTGAGTTCATATTTCCCAATATGGTCAAGAGTACAGACCATGAATATGAAAATATGCTGATGAAAATATGAATATGTTCTTAATGATATATTGATCTTTATTAAATTTTAAACCAGGTTTAAAATGTCCCAATATGGTCAAGAACATAGCTCATGAATATGAATATAAACTTATGGAAATGTTCATGAATATATTCATGTTCATTAATTTTAAACTGTATTAAAAAGTTTTCCCAATAGGGTAAAGAAGAATATATTCATGAATATATTCATAAAGAGGATATATTCATGAATATAATCATTATAAAGAAAATATTCACATTTATTGAATATTTTCACAAAGAATATATTCATATGAAGACTAAACTACTCTACAACTCTTTGCATTTTACAAATTAGTTTTTAAAATCCTGCTATGAAGCAGAGTGTAAATCATTCTACTAAAATTTCACTGAAATCTTCGAAAAGTGAAAAAGTATAAATTTGGTATCTTCAGTGAATTGATCTATTTATGAATTGGCTCCTAGTGAATAGTTCTTGGCAAATTAATTTAGAGCCCTCTCTCTCTGCATGAGATGAACCATTATTTATTACTGCATCTGCCCTGGGAAAACCAAGACAAAAAGAGGGGGATATTGAAAACAGCTGGGCTGAGTGTTCAGAACAGACTGATTAATAACACTAAAGAAATAAAGGTTCTTGTTAGAAGGAAGGCCTGCAAGCCACTGCATGAGATTTAAGGACCACAGGTGCTCAGGCTGGTGAGACTGGTATGGCAGGCAGTATTTTGGGGCTGAAGAGTTTAGTGTAGTTACCATGTGCAAAATGATACAAGTTTAAGTTTACTCATAATAGAAACTGGAAAATTACATGGCTTGCTTCGGGAGTTCCTCACTTCATTTTGTTTTGGTATTTCAGAAAAGAAATTCTGAGGCTTTAGACAGTTTGCTACTCACAGATCTCATAAATCAAGCATTCTTCATGACCTGGATCTATCTTGAGCAGATCAAAGCTCTGAGCAGCTTGAATAGTGCTCACCCAGAGGCTTACTGCCAGTAACAACCCAAATTTCTTAGCCTATTTGTTTTTGTTGTTGTTGTTTGTTTGTTTGTTTGTTTGTTTTAAAGCAGCAGTAAAACACATTGTGGGTGCACATTTTTTGGAAAAACCAGAAGTTCAAATATTAGTAAAATATTTGGACTTAACATTTTATGGGCACTCAGAAGTAACCATCAACTTCACATGTATCTCTGAGCAAAATATTAACCACTAATAACCATTAGTAAATGGATGCTGAGTGGGCCAGATCTTGCTGACACCTTGGTTATATGGTGTTTTGTGTGGGATATTAGTTTTCTGAGGTTTGTACAAAGGAATTTGTAAAATGCTTAATTTTATCATTAACTTTACCACTTTACCATTGAGCTTCTGAGCTTCTTTTTTTTTTTTTTTTTTTTTTGAGACCCAGTTTTGCTCTTGTTGCCCAGGCTAGAGTGCAGTGGCATGATCTCGGCTCACCTCAACCTCCACCTCCCAGGTTCAAGTGATTCTCCTGCCTCAGCCTTCCTGAGTAGCTGGGATTACAGGCATGCGCCACCATGCCTGTCTAATTTTGTATTTTTAGTAGAGATAGGGTTTCTCCGTGTTGGTCAGGCTGGTCTCGAACTTCCGACCTCAGATGATCCACCCGCCTCGGCCTCCCACAGTTCTGAGCTTCTTAAAGTCAATACCCATGTCCAATTTATATTTGCTGTGCTATTGCATCTAGCACAATTTATTGTGTGTAGAAGATGCCTAAAGTTTGTTTTTAATGAATACATATATGAAATGTCTGTCATGGAACTATCTATTTTCCTTTTATTTGTATTGCTATTTTGCCCATTAACTAAAGGATATGGATGGTAAGCCTTGTCTATGTCTCTATTGTCTTAGTAAAGATGCCCTTTTTTCTTGTATATCCAACCTTTGTGCACTAAAATCCTCTTTCCCCACAGCTTCACAGAATACTAGATTCATTGTTTAGCCCTTTTCTTATCTGTAGCCTTCTTTACTGTAAAGTGGAGGGAAAATGTTTAGTGATTTGAAAAGTTTCAAAATTTTTCTGTACTATTAGACTTGAATGAATGTCAGATCTGAGAGGGCCCTGCGAGACCACTATTCAATCCTTTTGTTTTACTCATGAAAAACTCAGAGTTCTAATTGCTTTCGCACTATAACTCATGCCATGCTATTTTGTAATTGCTTAGTTGTTGGCATTTCTAGCTAGACTTTAAATTCAGTGGGAATAGGGACCACATCTATCTTATTTAATGCTGTATTTCTGACACAGCACAGTGCTTAGAAGAGAATAGGTGTTCAGTTAATGGTTCAGTTATGAATAAATAAATAAATAAATAAGTCAGGATTGGTGAAGGGACTTGCTCAAAGTCATGTGACTATTTAGGGGGCAGCCCCCAGTTGCTGAATCTGTTAAGCACATTAAAAGTCAGAGCTCTGTAATCTACTCTGCCATCCTGGAGAGAGTCAAGGTCAGTGGAAATGACTAATTTTTCTTAAGTGTGTTTGTTAAGCTCTGCAACTTATACATTTCCACATGTTGGCTTTCAGTATACCGGAGACTGCTATATAGGAAAGCAGCTGACCAAGGAAATGTAGAGGATGTGCTGCCATTATTTTTGCCTTGGAGGCTTTTTCAAGAGACACTTCTACTTTTCAAAGCAGTGAAACTTCATCTTAGGAAAAGAAATTTTCCCCAGCTACAATCTAATTTTTAATCTTTTTTTTTTAATTTTAACTTTCCACACTATACCATCATATTAATCTTATTTTTAAATGTATTGTTTCTGAAATCCTGAGTGCCCCAGCGATCAAAAACTCTGCTTAGGATTCAGTTCATTAATGTGAGGGCTCAGACTCTTAAGGTACTTATAAAACCTCAAGGACTATTGATACTGGTCATTTGTGAATTCAAACAGAAACTTCCAGAATCATCATGACCTTTTAAAGTTTCATCCTTAGTTTTTCTGGTCTACCGTTGACCTCCATTAATGATCCCAAATCTGCTTGTTTTGCAGAAAATAAAATGTGTACGTGGTCACAGAAACGGTTGTTACCTGATGATCTTTAAGATCTTGGAGTATAATACTGTGGGTCATTGATGTCTTTTACTGTTAAGTTCCCCATCAGTACCTATATTCACCTTTTGACTGCATGGTAAATTGCTTTGCTTATGTATGAACTTAGGTACTTGTAATGAAGTCAGAATTTAAACCATATTGAGGGAGAATGGGAAAAAGAATAAGACTGGAAAGGAAGAAACTGTCAAGTCAGGGTTTGGCTTTTCTTGTTATATGCCATTCTATTAAAATATGTATATTTTTGTACTTTTTTTGAACATATGAAATGATCATATTTTACTTGACATTTATCACTTATTTAGCAGCAGAAAAATACATGTAAATGGAAATGCTATCATCCCTTTGAAACATGTCTTTTTAACACTTAGGATTCGTGCTATTTGCCAGGAGGGAGTTTTTCTACTTACAGAGCATCTGGGAGATGAATTGGAAAGGCAGACTTCTGGTCTGGTTAGCACTTTTGTTGTTTTTTATTTTCTTTTTGGGTCCCATATTCATGAAAGATTTGTCTTAGCATTTTTAGATAAATATTTCTTTAGTGATACACAGGTTTCTTTGTTTTTTTTTTTTTTTTTTTTTAGTGAATTTCAAAGAATAATGGCTGCCATTCTTGGATCTTGGCCTTTATTGATTTGGATATTATTGATGTATGAAATACATAAACTTGTCAGATGCTTTGTGAGTCTCTCCTGATCTTAAGGCATTTTAGAGCATCTAGTAGTAGAGTGTCCTTGAGTTAGCTAAATTTATACTTATTTTGAGGCTGGCAAATTTGTGTAATATTGATGACCTAGAAATGAGATAGGAGTTCTGCAGGACTGGTTTCACATGATACAGGTCATAAAGACCCCACTGAGAAAACAGGATGAGGTAAAGAATCTGGCCAAAACCCGCCAAAACCAAGATGCCAATGAAAGTGACCTCTGGTTGTCCTCACTGCTCATTATATGCTAATTATAATACATTAGCATACTAGAGGAAACCCCCACTAGCACTCTGACAGTTTACAGTCATCATGGCAATGTAGGGAAGCTACCATATATGGTCTGATGGGGGAGGAACCCTCAGTTCCAAGAATTCCCTGCCCCTTTCCTAGAAAACTTATGAATAATTCACCCCTTGTTTAGCATATGATTAAGAAAAACCATAAAAATAGCCAACTAGCAGCCATCACAGCTGCTCTTCCTATGCAGCTGCCACTCTTTTATTCCTTTGCCTTTTTTTTTTGAGACAGAGTCTCACTCTGTTGCCCAGGCTGGAGTGCAGTGCTTTCTTAATAAACTTGCTTTCACTTTACTCTGTCTGCTGGCTCTTGAATTCCTTCCTGTGTGAAGCCATGAACCCATGTGGCCTCCCAAACTGAACTCCAATTTTGAGGTTTGCCCTGTAGAAAGGAATATAGTTTGAATTGAACAAATATTATGATTGTTGTATATTACATGCTTCTGCTGTACTGAATTTTATGTTTCTCAGAGTTCTATGTCCTCTCTTACCTGGAATACTCTCACTCTCTCTGCCCTGTGTAATTTAATCATGGTTATCCTTCAAGTATGAACTCGTCTTTTCTCTAGGAAGCACTCCTTGACTCGTTGGGAACTAGGTTAGCTACTGCCTCTCTGTGCTCCTTGACACCCTGAGCTTTCCTACCAGAGTTGTAAACCAGAAATAAGAAATATGTATATATATATATTTTTTGAGACAGTCCCGTCTGCTGCCCAAGCTGGGGTGTGGTGGTGTGATCTGCAACCTACGCCTCCTGGGTTCAAGCGATTCTCCTGCCTCAGCCTCCCAAGTAGCTGGGACCACAGGCGCATGCCACCACTCCCTGGCTTGGCGCGGTAGCTCACTCCTGTAATCCCAGCATTTTGGGAGGCCGAGGCGGGTAGATCACCTGCGACCAGGAGTTTGTGACCAGCCTGGCCAACATGGCGAAACCCCATCTCTACTAAAAATACCAAAAAATTAGCTGGGAGTGGGGTGCGTGCCTGTGGTCCCAGCTACTCAGGAGGCTGAGGCCTGAGAATCACTTGAATCCAAGAGATGGAGGTTGCAGTGAGCCACAGTTGTGCCACTGCACCACAGCCTGGGTGACAGAGCAAGACTCTGTCTCAAAAAAAAAAAAAAAAAAAAAAAATTCTAAGTCTCCCCAACTAACTGAACGGACCCCTTTTCTGGGACAAGGGCATTCCAAAGTTAACCTGAAAAACTAGTTCGGGCCATGATGCGGGGTTGGGGAGTCAGACATGCTTCATTATACCCTCCTTCCTTTGGAGTTCAGACACAATTGGCCAGCATTAACATTAAAATAGAGACCTTAAGACTGACAAAACAGACTCTTTGTAGCAGTAAGATACCAACACGACAGAAGGCGCTGAAAGAAATTGAAGTATTTTACCCCAAAATATATTTCTTTGACATATTTTGAAATGACCCTGCGAAGCTGTCTCTTGTGGGGAAAATCTACATTCTGTAGAAAATTCCTTCCCTTTCCAGATCTTTCCCTGGTCCAGGAGAGAATTAACTTAACAGTCTCTGGCACCTTTTTAAGTCTGATTAAGAAACATTTACAATCTATTCTCTCTGAAGCCTGCTGCCTGGAGGATTTATCTGCATTATAAAAACCTTGGGCTTCAGGACCTCTTATCTTAACCCAGATACTTTTTTCTTTCTGTTGATTCCAGGTCTGTAGATAATAGCTTAACCCTTTCAACCAATTGCCAGTCAGAAAATCTTTTTTTTTTTTTTTTTTTTTTTTTTTGGAGACAAGGTCTTGCCCTTTCTCCCAGGCTGGAGTGGCATCATCTTGGCTCACTGCAGCCTCAACCTCCTGGGCTCAAGCAATCCTCCCACCTCAGTCCCCCAAGTAGGTGGGACTACAGGCAAGCGCCACCACACCCAGCTAATTTTTTTGTTGAGATAAGTTTCACTGTGTTGCCAGGCTGGTCTTGAACTCCTGAGCTCTGGCAGTCTGCCCACCTTGGCCTCCCAAAGTGTTACAGGTGTTAGCCACTGCGCCCGGCCATTCAGAAAATCTTTGAATCCACCTATGACCTGGAAGCACCCTCTTCGAGGTGTTCTGCCTTTCTGGACCAAATCAGTATACATATTACATGTATTGGTTGGTGTCTTATGCCTCCCTAAAATGTATGAAACCAGGCTGTAGCCTGACCACCTTGGGTACATGTTCTTAGGATCTCCTGGGGCTGTGTCATGTGCCATGGTCACTCATATTTGGCTCAGAATAAATCTCTCCAAATATTTTCCATAGTTTGACCCTTTGTGTCATCATATCCAAATCAGGCTATATTGTTGTTACTTGTTTTGTTTAGATTTTGAGCTACTAGATTGTAAGCTCTGCGAGGACAAGCAATGTATCTTTAAGGTAACATTGACTCTTTGGTGCCTTGGCATAGTATTTGCTACATAGTAGTCTTAATGTTTTTGGAATAAATGAATAATTTCAGCATCTTGTTTTTCCAAATATTTCTCAGCATTGCTATGGGCTGAATATAATCATATTTAGAGATAAGGTCCTTAAAAAGGTAATTTATGTTAAAATGAGGTCTTTAGGCTGGCCTCTGATCAATATGACCGGTGTCCTTATAAGAAGTAGAAATTTGGATAGAGATTTGTACAGGCACAGAGGGAAGACCATGTGAAGACACCAGAAGAAGACAGTCATCTAGGAACTAAGGAGAGAGGCCTTGGGATAACCCAGTCCTGCTGACAGCTTGGTCTCGGACCTTTAGCATTCAGAACTGTGAAAAAATAACTTCCTGTTGCTTAAGGAATCCTGTCTGTGGTATTTTGTTATGGCAGCTCTAGCAAGCTATATAAACATAATAGCAAATATCTGGATGACTAGATTATATAGTGTTTAGTTTTCTGACATGTCAAGAAAAATATTTCATTCAAGATGGTAACGACATATGCACCTTTATATTGCTTGACAGATAATATAAACTCAGTAATGGCATTGTGGAAAAGGACTGTAACAAACATGTTTCCATATCCTCATTTCTCTTTCTCAATAAAGTTCAGATTATTTCCCTTGGGTTTTATAACTCTCCGTACTATTACAAATTATTTTTCATAACTTGTATCTTGCTACTTCCCTTAGCCTATTCTAGTCTCAAGGAAATGAAAGTGTTTGCTGTTTTCTGTATATCCTTAACTTCCCACTTTCTTGTCTTCACTCATTGTTTATGGACTTTCAACACTGCTTTGTTCTATTCATTTAGTTAGTCCACAAGTATTTATTGATGCCTCAGTGTGTGCTGGAAACTGGGCTAGGAGCTGAAAGTATAATGATTAATAAAACCATAAGCCTTCTGCTGAAGGAGCTAATACTCTGGTAGGGGTAGACATTTAAATAGGGTAACATAGGGCTCCAGGGAAGCAATGGACCAAGCCTTCGGTGGGGCGAGGGGAAGAGCTGCAGAAATGAGTCTAAGTCAGTGGTTCTCAAATGGGGATGAAAAGGGAGGAAGCATTTAACAATGTCTGGAGACATTTTTGGTTGTCACGACTTGGAGGTGGGTGTATGCTACTGGCATCTAGTGGGTAGAGATGCTGCAAAGCATATTACAGTGCACAAGATGGTCTCCCACAACAAATAATTATCTAGCTCACAAAGTTGATAGTGCTGAGGTTGAGAAATCCTGCTGTAAATCAAGTTGTAAAATTTGAGTAGGAAGGTGTTTTGCCAGCCAAAGAATGGCAGCATTTGCAAAGATCTACTAGAGTTGAGTTACCATGATTTGGCTAACTGGACTGAGTTTAATGTGGCTGGAGCTCAATGTTTGAATGGGAAGGAATTAGGCTTGAGAGGTAAGCCTGGCAATGTTCAGAGTTAGAGGCCTCAGAGCCGTGTTGATAATTTGGGATGTCTTCTCTTTGGCTGTTTGGAGCCTTTGATGGAGAGTTTGAGGTAAATCTGTTGATAAGTAACTAGTAACCATTCTGAGTGTATCTGCAGACACTAATGGTAAAGCACTATGGCTGAGAATAACTATTCTAGCAAGTCTGAACTCTGGGTTACCCATCTAGTGAGGATCACTGATGAATCTATGTAAGGGAGGATAACTGCTATGGTTTGAATGTGTCCCCTACAGATTCTGTTACTGAAGGGGCATTTAAAGTGAACCCACTTGAAGTAGGGATACAAATTTTATCATAGAGAGTGAGGGAACTTGACTGGGGCTTTGTGTTGGGGTCCTCAAGACCACCTCAGGCTGTGATTCACTAAAAGGACTCACAGAACTCAGAAAGCTGTTTATGCTCACAGTTATTGTTACTACAGCGAAAGAATACAGATTAAAATCAGTGCAGGGAAAAGGCAGACGGATGAAGTCCTGGAGAACCAGGAGTCAGATTCCAGGTAGGCCCTCCCAGTTGAATCACATGAGGAATGTCTCCCAACGACAATGCATGACAAAACATGTGAAGTATTACCAACCAGGGAAGCTCACCCAACCCAGGTGTCCAGGGTTTTTATTTGTCAGTCATGTAAACTTGTATCACCTGTGTGAACCTATCACCTGTGTGAACCTGTGCGACTGACCTTAGTTACTCAGTCTCCAGCTCCTCAGAGGTCAGACAGGTACAGTGTGGCTCAAGGCTACCAGCAAAATACTCTTATGAGGAAGATATTCCACAAACTTAAGAGTTTCTCTCTCAGGAGCCTGTCATGGGTCAGTCCTCCTTTCTTTGAATGAATGGGGTTTGAGCAACCTTGGCCTGATGAATTAACACTTTACTGCATAGTTGTTTTTTTTTTTTTTTTAAGTTAGGGAGGTTATAGTTTTGTCTTTCCCTGTTTTACTATGAGTTTTTAAAAATTGTGTAAAATATATATAATATAAAAGATGTTAATTTTAACTGTACAGTTCAGTAGCATTAAATGCATTCACATGTTATATAACTATCACTGTCATCCATCTCCAGAACTTTTTCATCATCCCCAAACTGAAAATTTGATGTGTTATTAAAAAATAGCTCCCCATTCCCTGATCCACCAGCTCCAGGTAACCACTGTTGTACTTCCTGTCTCTTTGAATTAGGCTGCCCCAGGCACCTCATATGTAAGTGGAATCATACGGGATTTGTCTTTTTAACTAGCTTCTTGCACTTAGTATAATGTCTTTTAAGTTTCATCCATGTTGTTAGCCAGTATCAGAATTTTATTCCTATTTAATGCTGATATAGCACAGGCTTTAATTTGAAAACATAAACTGAAGATGGTAAAAAGTATTTTTTAAAAATCTTATATTCAACAAAAGTTACATAATTGAAACTGTGCTAATCCTTAAAATGTAAAAGAAGTGACTTGAGTACTCATTTTAGGGACATAGTTTTTCTGACAAAATTATATAAGAACATAATACAGTATCCTTTACCAGGTCAAGAAGAGAGGGATGTTTTTGCAGAAATGTCCCTTGGCTTCTCTAGTTTTCCCAGGGGCCTCTCTCAGTTCTTAGAGAGTTAATTCATTCTCTTTTGAAGTACCTGTTGTATCATCCTTGAGAATTCTCCACAGTTGCTGTCTGATCTAATTGTATCTGGTCTAACTCTGCCAGACGTTCCTTTGTTAAAATGGCTTTGCATGTGATTAAAGCAGTTCTCTAGCATTGTTAAGTGACTGACTTGTTCAAATCCTGCATCTTTGGTGGTTTATAGTTCCAGTTTATGTTCATCCTACTTGTATAGTCTCATGTTTCCAGCATCTAAAAATCAGAGTGACATAAACAGGTTCCCAGAAGTAGATACTAGGTGGGTAGTTTGAATGGGGACTGGTCAGCTCATTGGTGAATATTTTTGTGTGTGACAGCTTTTGCCTCATCATTATAGGGTCATAGTTAATGAACATCTGGACCACGAGGATCCCTGTAGTTTTATTTGTGAGAGTATTGAGTGTTTGCTTAACAATCTGTTAGAGAATTTAGTTCACTTACATGTCCAGGGCCCAAAGTGAGTAAATGTTCCTCACAGAAACCTCTGGAACATGCTTCTTTAAGTTGCCATAATTTAAACTCTCAAAGTTGGGTGGACTGACAGAGGATTAAGAGTCTTTGGTTTTAAACCTTTACCATTCTTATTTCTAATGCTCAGTCAGCTTACACCGTGTTCATAGTAATCCACTCTCAGTGTTCACAGGCCTAATGTGTTAACTATAAATAGAAAAGTAGACTGCCAGCCTGTGGGAACCAGGCCTGTGCCAGGGAGGGTCATTATAAGAGGCAGTCACTCTTCACTTGAGAGGTTTAAAAACTGAAAATGGTGGATATTTTTTCCTCACATCCTCGTGAAACAGTGATGCTTAATGTTCAAATATGTTATAACACAGGATGATTAGCAAGAAATCATCAACATAGTGAATTTGGGATTACTCACTTAAAAACAAGGAAAACGCTCCTCTTTCCCTCTCCAGTGCCTTAGTCAGATATTCTGGGGTTGCATGTGTAGGGTGGAACATTGGCTACAGCTCAGGAAGCGAGAGGGAGGAGATATCCATTCATGATCATCTTCAACAACTCTTAGCTCCAAGTTGGCATGCAGCTGTGTACAATTCAAGTCGGCATGGAGCTGTGTACCATTCAAGTTGGCATGGAGCTGTATGCCATTTCTTTGGAGTAGTGCAGCACATCATCCCTTTATGATGGGGAAGAGCGGGGAGCACTGAGCCTGGTGCGCGCACAGGGTTCAGGAATGTCACTTGAGAGATGGCATTGGTTAGTAGTACTCACCCCGGGTTAGATCACTTTGGTTTGAATCCTGATTCCTTCCCCCATCCTCTGCCCTCCCCTCCACACCCTTTTCCTTTCCTTTCCTTTCTTCTCCTCTCCTTGTCCTCTCCTCTCCTCCCCTCCCCTCCCCTCTGCTCCCCTCCCCTGCCCTCTCCCCTCTCCCCTCTCCCCTCCCCTTCTTTTCCTACTTTTAGACAGGGTCTCACTCTGTCACCCAGGCCAGAGTGCAGTGGTATGATCGTTGGCTCACTGTAGCCTTGACTTCCCAGACTCAAGCATTCCTCCTGGCTTCAGCCTCCCAAGTAGCTGGGACTACAGCTCATCTAGCTAATTTTTTTGTTTTGTAGAGATGAGGTTTTGCTGTGTTGCCCAGGCTGGTCTTGATCAAACTCCTGGGCTCAAGCCATCCTCCTGCTTCAGTGTGCTGGGATTTCAGGTGTGAGCCACCGCACCTGGCCCTGGTTCCCTTATTTACTAGCTTTTTGACATTGGACACATTTCTTAAACTTTCCAACTCAGTTTTATCTGTAAAATGGAGATAATAATAGTACTGCCTTATAAAGGTCAATGTGTTAATATTTCTGATGTGCTTAGAATAGAGCTTGGAACAACATAGTAAGTGCTACATTACACTGTGTACTGTTATCTTTATTGTTAATTTCTCAGGGGAGCCTTTGAAGACATTTCTAAATAGGTCAAATCTCTGCTTTATAAGATCTAATGACGTCACTTATCACACAGTGTTGATAATGAGTACCAGTAACTAGGTTTATTTGTTTCATTATGGGATTAATCAGATACTTTCTACATAAATGAGAGTAAGAACCATGTTTATTTTTTGTGCACATTGTTCACAAGGCCTGATAAGTGTTCAAGAAATATTTATTGAATGAATAAATATTTTCATAGTTATAAAGTAGTTCAGCAATAAGATATAATTTCACCTCTAAAACTAGCAAAGATTGAAAAAAATAATGCCATCATACCTAGGCAGAGAGGTAGGAAATAGATGGTATCATGTACTGTAAGTAGGATCAGTCTGCAGCAGAGCCTAGCTTAAAGGCAGTTTGACCAAAAGAACTACAGAAATTTCTTCTTTTGATTCTATGTCTCAGCATTTATCAAAATGACATAGAGGTATGTAAAAAACCGTGAATATAAAAAGATGTTCATGAAGGCACTTACATTAGTTAATAATTAGAACAGGCTGGGTGCGGTGGCTCACGTCTGTAATCCCAACACTTTGGGAGGCCGAGGCGGGCGGATCACGAGGTCAGGAGTTTGAGACCAGCCTGACTAACATGGTGAAACCCCATCTCTACTAAAAATACAAAAATCAGCCGGGCATGGTGGTGTGCGCCTGTAATCCCAGCTACTCATGAGACTGAGGCAGGAGAATCGCTTGAACCCGGGAGGCAGAGGTTGCAGTGAGCTGAGATCGTGCCACTGCACTCCAGCCTGGGCGACAGAATGAGTGAGACTCCATCTCAATAATAATAATAATAATTAGAATAGAGCTAAACAAAATGTCCAAAAGTAAAGGATTGGTTAATTATAATATATCCATCATTAAAAATTATGTAGAACCATGGTTCTCAAATGCACATTCTTATATTGGCTACAAACACTAGATAAAAACACAGATTCCCAAACCCAACCTCTTGGTCGGTGACTCAGAATCTCTGTGGTTTAGCTAAGAAACAGGTCCTGTATTTTCTAACAAGAATCCTAGGTGATTCCACTGCACAGCCTGATTTGGAAGAACCCTGGGCAGTTTCATTGCACAGCCTGATTTGGAAGAACCCTAGATGATTTCACTGTACAGCCTGATTTGGAGCCACTGTTACAGTGTGTGCATTGGCTCCTAGTCAGCTGAGCCCAGGGGTCTTAAAACCAAATGAAATGACAACTAAGAAAAAAGAGTTAAAATCTGTGAGGACTCTGGAAAACAAGAAAGGAGGACTTCAGAAGAACTAAAAACAAAAATACTGCAAGAAGGGAAAAAGATTGAATCAGATTCTGACGACACAGAAAGGTAATTAGTGCTGAGCACCTAACACAAGTCAAAGAAAAGTCTTCTCCCCTAACTTTATCCTCCCAGAAAAATTAGTGGGTGAGTTCTTCCAAAAGGAACATAGACTGTCCCCAAACTGGAGCAGCAAGGCCTGGTTTGGAGGTGGTAGGCGTGGTTGCTTGTTCCATCTCCTGGGCACAGAGCATCTGTCTTAGAGCTTACCTCCAGGCAATATTTTGAAGGAGTGTCTCATTAAGAGTGAGTGTCATTTATAGTTTTAGTTGCCATGGACATTCCTGAGATCCCATGAGCAGAGGCCAGGCAAGTGGGAGAGTTGAGAAACAAGTAAGACAGACATTGCACTATACAGAGTGGGTGATCATGGTGTTCACCCTCCTGCCTTGATAAATGCCTCTTGGAAACCAAGTGCCTCAGCTCCTTTCTGCTGCTGTAACAAAATATCTGAGACTGGGTAATTTATAAAGAACAGAAATTTATTTCTCATATCTCTAGAGGCTGGAAAGTCCAAGATCAAGATTCCAGCAGGTTCATTGCCTTCTGCTCCATGGATGGCATCTTCTCGTCTTCTCACAGTATGCTCACAGTATGCTCGCATGGCAGAAGGGGCAGAAAAGGGACAGACGCTGTGCGCTCGAATAGCAGAAGGACCTAAGCTAGTTTCCTCCAGCTCTTTTGTAAGGCACTAATCTATTCATAAGAGTGGAACCCTCATGACTTAATCACTTTTTAAAAGCCTTCACTTCTTGACCCGGTGCGGTGGCTCACGCCTGTAATCCTAGCACTTTGGGAGGCCAAGGCGGGCAGATCACTTGAGGTCAGGAGTTTAAGACCAGCCTGGCCAACATGGTAAAACCCCGTCTCTACTAAAAATACAAAAATTAGCTGGTCCTGGTGACACGTGCCTATAATCCCAGCTACTTTGGAGGTTGAGGCAGGAGAATCACTTGAAAACCTGGGAGACAGAGATTGCAGTGAGCCAAGATCGCACCATTGCACACTCCAGCCTGGGGGACAAGAGTGAAACTCTGTCTCCAAAAAAAAAGCTTCACTTCTTAAAACCGCAATGGGGATTAGTTTCAACGTGAATTTTGGAGGGGATACATTCAAACCATAGCACCAAGTGAAGTTTAAAATACTGCATGACATCTTGCATCTTCCTTAAGTAGACCTCAGCTGGCTGTCAATTTCTGTCCCTGTTACCTGCAAGGTTGACTCAGCTTTCGGTTTCTCTCTACCACGCCTCCATACCCAGGGCAAAGTCTGCTGCCTGCACACAGGTAGCTACTGGCTGAGTTCTTTGAAGGGCACTGGGGTTCGGTTTGAAAGTTTTGCTACCAAATACACATGCCCTTTCATATTCACATCACTCCTACTTAATTCACAAGCTTTGCTCTCCACTTTTGTTGTAAATTGTATATAGTACAGCCCTCTCTTCACTTAGACTTCTTTGTAAAAATTATAATTTTTTGTAGAGATAGGGTCTTACTGTGTTGCCCAGGCTGTTCTCCACCTCCTGTCCTCAAGCAATCTTCCTGTCTCAGCCTCCCAAAGTGCTGGAATTACAGGCGTGAGCCACTGAGTCCAGCCCACTTAGGTTTCTTTAGTGAACTAGGCAAAAGATTGTACAGGCTTTCTGAGTCAGTTTGATTGCAATGAAAACGATGCATACTTGTTGAAAGATTTTAATCTAGGGAGTGTTGCAGTTGGATTGTTGACCCCTCCCCTCTCTGAATCATTGCTATGCTTAATGTAATCCTGAATGGGCAGGAGTGCCCTCTGTTCTTGTCAGATTGGGCTGGGGGTAGTGGGGCAGGGAGACACAATGCTAAGTAGAAGGTTGAGCGTACAGGTGGACAGAACAGGTGGGTAGACATATTTCAGATCACAGTATTCATGAGAACCCAGTTGCTTTTGTTCCTTCAGTATTCATTCAGTGTTTTGTTTTTGTTTTTGTTTTTTGAGACAGAGTGGCCCAATCATGGCTCACTGCAGCCTCAACCTCCCAGGCTCAAGTGATCCTCCCACCTCACCCTCCCGAGTAGCTGGGACTAACGGCACGTACCACCACACAAGGCTAATTTTTCCAGTCTTTTGTAGAGACAGGGTCTCACTCTATTACCTAGGCTGGCCTTGAATACCCAGGCTTAAGCAGTCCTCCCTGGTTGGCCTGCTAAAGTGTTGGAATTACAGGAACCACCACACCCAGCCCCATTCAGTGTTTCTTGAATGCCTTCTGTGTGTTAGGCTTTGTTCAAGGTGCTAAAGACAGTGCTGGGCAAAATTTCTACCCTCCTATAGCCTGCATTCAGGACTTAGAGAAGGATCACAGAGCACAAAGATGCCTGGCCCTGGCACACATCTGTCCAGCCCCTAAGCAGTGTATTTGTGTAATGATCTCTCAAATCCTAAAAAATATTTAGAAATCTAATTCTGGGATTCAGGCCTCAGCAGCCAGGAAGATGTCTCTGCCAGCTACTGAGATATTAATTAGGGAAACATTAGGGTATATATCTCAGCTAACCAGATTCACAGAGGTGGATGAAAGCATCATCTCATGAGACAGTACCATGAGAAAAGGAATGCCAGGACCACTGATGAACCTAGTTTTAAGGTCAAAGCAAGGGCGATGAGCCAGTGACAGAAACTGAGAAGTAGCTGTAGGAATCTGAGGTAGGTCAACGCTGAGAAATCTGTAAATGTAACTTACGACATGAAAAACAAAAATATCATATTTATACTTGACCAAATACTTGATAAAATTCAACAGCTTTTCCAACTAAGAAAGACAGAAAACATTTTTAACATAGTATAAGAAAATGTTATAGGAATAAATACCTAATATCATATTTAATATGATATGGCATACTGGACACTTTGCATAAAAGTTAGGAGTTAGAGGCTGGGCGCAGTGGCTCATGCCTGTAATCCCAGCACTTTGGGAGGCCGAGGCGGGTGGATCACGAGGTCAGGAGATCGAGACCATCCTGGCCAACATGGTGAAACCCCGTCTCTACTAAAATACAAAAAATTAGCCGGGCATCGTGGTGCGCGCCTGTAGTCCCAGCTACTCAGGAGGCTGAGGCAGGGGAATCGCTTGAACCCGGGAGGCGGAAATTACAGTGAACCGAGATCGCGCCACTGCACTCCAGCCTGGAGACAGAGCGAGACTCTGTCTCAAAAAAAAAAAGTTAGCAATTAGAAAACAATTTTGAAAAATAAGAATAATGAGAAGGGGTTTGCCTTCTTGAATTTAAAGTATTCAGCTACAGTAATTTTAAATGGTGTAGTATTAATTGTAAAATAGATAAGTAGATTGAGTCAGAATATACATTCTAGAACTATATGGGAAGAGATAAGGACATTTTTGTGCTTTTGCAAAGGGACCATAATACCAAATTAAAACCGTGTCAATTTTTAAATTCTTTTGCATTTCTCAGGAAAATGACCTCTCTACTTCTTTGAATATTTTCTAGAATGAGTGGTATGGCCCCAAATTGGGAGGCTTAGTCCTGTTACCAGTGACCTGAAATTCAAGTCATCTTGATGTCTGTTAAGCCTATTTCAGAGTTTCTAAAATATTTCATTTTATGAATAAAAATAGGTTACTCACATTCCCAACATTGTCACTGACTCACCATCTCTCATCTGGAACAATTATACCACTTTCAGCACTCACCATCCACATACCTAAAAATAAGAGTCAGAATGGAGGGGCTATTAAAATGATATACACCGTAGCTTCAGATCTCATTCCCATGAGCAAATATTTCACAGTGATAAGAAAGACCTGTCCTCCCTTCCTAAGAGCTAGTGAAGATATAAGAATTAATTTGTATATTATATAACACTTTGGGTACAACACTTTGGGTACAAAGTATTATATAATATTAACTTATTACCACATTTAAAATGCTAATTTAAGGTTCACCCACTCTGCACAAAGAAAATACATGCCTGCATGTTTCATCTTTTTCTACACCCTTCAGAAGTGTAGCAGCAATGCAAATCAGAAGCTTTGTAAAACATAGTAGTTTTGAAAACCAGCGACCAGGGATGAGTTCTTGGAATTGAACCAGCCCTGCAGGTTCTTCTACGTAGACATGTGAAGGATGTGTTGGAGTCAAGGGTGACTTGCAGGATTTGGGCTTCAGCATTTGAAGGGATGGTAATGCCATTTACTGAGATATTAATTTGTATATTAATTGTCTGATAACCAGATCCACAGGGGTGAAGGAGAGCCTCATCTAGTGAGACTATGAGAAGAAAACACACTGATAAACTTTGGTTTTAAAGGTCAAAATAGAGTGATGTGCTCTAGCAAAGGAAACCAAGAATAGCAGAATAAGGAAAGGCAGTATCATGGAAGCTAAGGGAAGAGAGGGTTTCAAGTGAGGCAGAGAACAGCTCTGATTGCTGCTGAGAAGCCAAGAGAAGAGGACTGAGGAGTGCCAATGGAATGTCTTGATATAGAGGTTATTGGTGACCTTGGCCAGGGCAGTTCCAGTGGAGTCTGGGGAGGCACATGTATTTCACTTTGTTCTCTGAAATCTGGGATCAGCCCACCTATAGTTTATTTACCAAGGTGAGGCTGTATTTTCAAGCATCGGGGACAGATTCTTTGTTATGAGACACTGTTACTCTGTTAAGCCTTGGACAATTCCATCAGGAGAATGAGGCTATGTTAAAGGCAATTAAAAATGTTAAACATCACTCACTCTGAGACAGAATTTTCAGATTTTCTATTTACTATACTTCTTTGAGTGGGCTGTAAAGTATGAATCATGTCAAATCTCGCCCATTGATGAGAAAACCACTTTAAAATGTGATGGAATAATATTGCTAGTCATCACATGGGGAACAATTTTAGTGAGTGGAATGCCATTGCAATTCATTTTAATCCTTTTCTGATAGTGTATACTAAAAACCTACTTAGTATAAATTATATAAATTAAAAAACATGAATGATTGGGAAAGTTCTTAAGAATTTTGAGGTATTTATAAGTATTTTAGGTAGCTGCACTGATTTTTTTTTTTTGAGACAGTGTCTTACTATGTTGCCTAGGCTGGTCTTGAACTCTAGGCCTCAAGCAATCCTTCTGCCTTGGCCTGGCCTGCACTGATATTTTTGAAGCTGCTTTTTTTTTCTTTTTCTTTTTTTTTCTTTTTTTGAAGAGATAGGGTCTTGCTGCGTCATCCAGGGTGGAGTGCAGTGGTATGATCATAGTGCACTATAACCTCAAACTCCTAGGCATAAGCAGTCGTCCTCCCTCAGCCTCTCGAGTAGCTAGGACTACAGGTTCATGCCACTGCCTCTGGCTAATTTTTTAAATGTTTTATAGAGAAAGGGTCTCCAGCTGGTCTCAAACTCTTGGCCTCAAGTGATCCTACAGCATTGGCCTCCCAAAGTGCTGAGATGACAGGCATGAGCCACCACACCTGGCCTTGCATTTTTGATATAGTATCAGTATCAAATTATTGACTAAGATCAAGGTGTTTGTTTTCCACGACCGTAGAAATTATATTACAAATTATTTTAAAAATTAATTTTCTTGGCAAAGGTATAACTAGTTTGCGTCACATAACTGTATTTCAAGTTAGGACTTAAACTGGATCAGTTTCTCAAAGAGCTGGTGAGCAGCATTTGTTAGGAGATGGGTAGGTGAAGTATGGTAGAAGTGGTTAGGGTAAGAATTACTTTAGATCATGGCATCTATTATCCTGAGTCTGTGGGATGCTAGAATATTGCAAGGTAGTTGCTAAGGGTGGATAACTTTTGATAGGTATCATGGAAGACTTCCAGAATCTTTCTTAGGACTTTTGGTTGTGCTTTTCCTTCTGACTGGAAAAACCTTTTCTCTCTGTCTGTCCCCTCCCTTCTTCATCTGTGAATTCTTGCTAATTCTTCAGCAATTAACTTAAATACCACTTTCTCAGAGAAGCTTACACTGAAAATGGAACAGGTTTTTATGGTTTTATGCTCTCTTAGCACTCAGTGTATTGTCTTTGCAATTTTTTTTTTTTTTTTGAGATGGAGTCTTGCTCTGTTGCCCAGGCTGGAGTGCAGTGGTGTGATCTTGGCTCACTGCAAGCTCCGCCTCCCAGGTTGACGCCATTCTCCTGCCTCAGCCTCCCGAGTAGCTGGGACTACAGGCACCCACCACCACACCCGGCTAATTTTTTGTATTTTTAGTAGAGACGGGGTTTCACCGTGTTAGCCAGGATGGTCTCAGTCTCCTGACCTCGCGATCTGCCTGCCTCGGCCTCCCAAAGTGCTGGGATTACAGGCGTGAGCCACCCCACCTGGCCTGTCTTTGCAAAATTCTTAATAGAACTGCAGCAAAATTATTTCTTGTATCATTAGTTCTTTGTTTCTTCCTGCCTTGCCACCATGAGTTCCATGTGAGCACAGTTCATGACTGTTATTAATGGCAGTATCCCCAGTGCCTAGTGGCCCACTGTCATACAATATTTATTGAATAGAAATGCTACTGAAAAGCCCATATGATTTCTCTTAAAAGAAACTCGGGCTGGGTGCAGTGGCTCACCCCTGTAATCCCAGCACTCTGGGAGGCTGAGGCGGGCATATCACCTGAGGTCAGGAATTTGAGACCAGCCTGGCCAACATAGTGGAACCCTGTCTCTACTAAAAATACAAAAATTAGCCAGGCATGGTGGTGGGCACCTGTAACCCCAGTTACTCAGAAGGCTGAGGCAGGAGAATCACTTGAACCCAGCATGCAGAGGCTGCAGTGAGCCGAGATCGTGCCATTGCACTGCAGCCTGGGCAACAGAGTGACACTCTGTCTCAAACAAACAAACAAACAAACAAAAAAACTCTGGGATTGATGGATTGATGGTTCAGAGAGCTGCAGAATAGATCATATAGTTGGTCTAAGGGCCTGTTTGCATGGCTCCCAGAGACGGAGATGTCTGGGTAAATGAGCCTTGTTTTATAATGTTGCTTTAAATTTAGGAGTGACTTGAGTCTAAGAAGTCAGAATGTTAAATGAGAACCTCATTTGTGCCTGAGTGCACTGTGCTGTATTGTATATGTTCGCTGTCTGGGCCTCACTTTGTGAGTGTATTGCACTATATTGTGTATTATTCTCTGTAGTTACATGGTAGACCACCAAAATGGGGGGAAAGCCCCTAATTTCAGGTGAGCAATTATGAAGTGATTATTTTTTTCACATTTTATAGATATAAATTCATTTAATTCTCATAATAACACTGTGAAGTCAGTATTCTTATCATTTTACAGATAAGGAAACTAAGGGACCGAGAGGTAAAATAACTTGCCCAAGGTCACATAGCTAGCAAGTGGCCAGAACTAGGATTTAAACCCAGGCCATCTGGCAGTGGAGTCCAGGCTCTTCACCCCTGCACTGTCCCAGCTCACATGAGTTGTATCTCACACACACCCAGAAGAGCCTGTGGGCAGAACTTCTTAAGTTTTATGCATATCAGTTTGGGTTTAGGGCAGGGCAGTTGAGATTCTAGAAAGCCTAATGTGATCCTCACCTATTCAGAATACTTGGAACTTCTGCCACCGAGGCCCTTTGAAGAGACCCAGAAGCTTTTATCTGCGTTGGTCAGTGGAGAATGTTGCTGATTCTCTGCTTTGTACTTGAATGGTCTGACTTCCTTCTGTATTCATTCTTCTGTAAACAAGGTTTATAGGTAATCTGAAACATACTGTTGACATCTGTCAAAATTGATTGTATGTCTTTTCCTTCTTTTTTGTTTTTGTTTTAGGGGAAGTAGAAGTTATGTCAGGATTTTTTTTTTTTTTCCTTTTTGTGGAGATGGAGTCTTGCTATGTCATCTAGGCTGTTCTCAAACTCCTGGGCTCAGGCGGTCCTCCCACCTTGGTCTTCCAAAGTGCTGAGATTACAGGCATGAGCCACCTAGCCTTTATGAATGTGTTTTAAATCACAGTTTAAGCTCAAACATTTAATTCCCTTTCATCTTAACTTTCTGTCTCTCTCTCTCTCTTTCTCTCTCTCTCTCTGTCTCTGTCTCTCTCTCTCTCTCTCTCTATATATATATATAAATTTTTTTTAATTGAGACAAATTTTCACAGTGTTGCCCAGGCTGGTCTTGAACTCCTGGGCTCAAGTGATCCTCCCACCTTGGCCTCCCAAAGTATTGGGATTATAGGTGTGAGCCTGTAATATTTTCTTATCTCTATAATAAAGTCTGAAGTCTTTAACGTGACTTGCAAGACCTTCGTGATTGGAATTGCATCAAACCTATAGATAAATTTGGGAATAATTGCAAACCTAATGATTTTGACTCTTCCAATCCACTAATACGGTATATCTTTCTGTTTATTTAGGTCATGTTTAATTTCTGTTAGCATTGTTTTGTTGTTTTTAGTATAGAAGTCTTGGGCATCTTTTGTAAGAATTATTCCTTGGCATATATTTTGGCACTACTATAAGTAGAATTTCTTTAAATATAATTTTTAAATATTTTACTGCTAGTATGTAGAAAATAATTGAGCTCTTAATATTAATCTTGTATCCTTTACTTTGCTAAATTCAATTATGAGTTCTGGCAGTGCTTTGTGAATTCTCGGTGATTTCTGCATAAACAGCCATGTTATTTACATATATTATAGGATCAGTTTTACTTCTTTTGTTCCAATTTTTCTGCCTTTTCTCCTCCCTCCTCACCCCCGACTATATTATTTCAGTGCTAGGACCTCTAGTACAATGTTGAATAAGAGTGATACAGGTGGGCATTTTTGCCTTATTCCTAATCTTAAAAGGAAATAGTTGTCTTTTACATTAAATATATTAGCTGTAGATTTTGTACAGATGCTCTTTATCAGTTTGAGGGAATTCCCTACCATTATTAGTTTGCTAAGAGTTTTTATCATAAAGGGGTACTGAATTTTGTCAAATGCTTTTTTCTGCATCTATTGAAATAATTGAGTGGTTTTTCTCCTGTAGACTGCTACTATGTTGAATTACATTTGCTCACGTTTTGTAAAGGATTTTTACATCAATACTCATGAGGAATATTGATCTATAATTGTCTTTATTATATTGGCTTTGTCAGGTTTTGGTTTTAAAAGTTATGCTGGCGTCCTCAAACAAGTTGAAGGAAGTGCTTTCTCTTCCCCCTATATTTTTGAAAATATTTGCATAATTTTTGTGTTATTTCTTCCTTGAATATTTGATAGAATTTACCAGTGAAACCACCTGAGCCTTCTTTTTGGAGAAGTTTTTTTAAGTCAATTTCTTTTGTAGGCATATAGTTACTTAGGTTTTCTGTTTCTTTTTGTGTCAATTTTGTCATGCATCAGCAGTAGAGATCTAGTGGCATTAAAACACAGCAACAACAAACTCTAAAAGGTTCAGAACCTTGTAAACAGAGAGACTACAAGGATTTTTGGGTAGATTGTTGTGACTGAAGTCAGGTGGAAGCTAACTAGGGACTCACTGTTATTTCGTTATTAATTAATTTTGTCATCTTTTGAAAAAGTGACATAATCCTTTCATACCTTTTTTTTCTGTAAAGAAATTTTTCTCAAACTTTTGAAAGAAAAAGTATTTTCATGGACCTTTGTGACTAGTGCTGGCTTAAATAGTTTTTATTATAATGCTACTTAAATGTATGTAAACATAAAATTTATAGTTCTGATACAGCTATAAATCAAAATGTACTTACAAATTCAACTTAAATCTATCAAACCAGATAATATCAAATTAACAACATTAATTTATAGGGAACCAGACTTGAGACAGTATCTTCCTACTATTGTAATACCAGTGGCCATGTAATATAAATAAGAGCATGGGCTCTAGAGTAAGACTTAAGTTCAGATATTGGCTCTGCCATTTACTTTGTGCAAGTGACTTATTTATTTCTAAAATGAGGATAATTAATTTAGTCAAATTAGAATTATTGATAATAATTAGGATTCTTGGTGTGATGAGTCATAACAGTGCTTGGCAAATAAGAATTGTCTAAAAAATATTAGCTTTAGTTGCAATTATTGTTGTATTATTGTTCTACTGAAACCTAATGATTAATTTTGAGTTTAATGGTAGAAAGGCTGATTCGATATTTAATGTGCTTCTGATTTTGGCTTTCATAATATAAATGCTAATACATAGATTGTCTACTTGCCTAAGTTCATAGCATTGCTAACATAGTGTATTATACTTAACCTAAACTCCACCAGCTAGAACTCCTTGAATTTCAAGGTTTTTTGTTTTTTGTTTTTGTAGAAACGGGGTGTTACCACCTTGCCTAGGCTGGTCTCAAACCCCTGGGCTCAAACAATCCTCCTTCTTTGGCCTCCCAAAGTGCTGGGATTACAGGCATGAGCCACTGCACCTGGCCTGAATTTCAGTTTTTAATCAAGTGTCACTTGATAACTCTGTAAGTGTCTTATCCAATCATTGCCCATGTCAGATATGGGGAAGTGCCACCTGAAGTTATTTTTTAATTCTTGAAAATGTAGAAGCAGCATTGTTTTTCAGCATAGAGATTATCATTGACTGCTGATGGCAATCAGTAGATTTTAAAAACTTTATTCTCAGAATTTAAAAAATACCTTGATTGTCTTATTGTTGATTTCAATTTGTATGAAACTTACAATATATTGAAGTAGAGTGATAACTATTCTTTTGACTCAATATATTTAATTGCCTTAATATATCAGCTAATTATTCTCTCAAAACTACTAGTCAACATGGTTGCCAGGTTGAAATATATTGATAGTAATTCTGGAAAAATATTTTCATTTTATGGTACTCAAAGTTTAAGAGCCTCTCCATGAGATTGGCGATGGATTTAAGAATATAATAAAAGCAACTTAATGTTTACTACCTTTTGATTATTTATTTATTTATTTATTTGAGACGGAGTCTCGCTCTGTCGCCCAGGCTGGAGTGCAGTGGCGCGATCTCAGCTCACTGCAAGCTCCGCCTCCCAGGTTCACATTATTCTCCTGCCTCAGCCTCCCCAGTAGTTGGGACTACAGGCGCCCACAACCACGCCCAGCTAATTTTTTGTATTTTTAGTAGAGACGGGGTTTCACCATGTTAGCCAGGATGGTCTTGATCTCCTGACCTCGTGATCTGCCCGTCTTGGCCTCCCAAAGTGCTGGGATTACAGGCATGAGCCACCGTGCCTAGCCTATCTTTTGATTCTAAAGATTAGTGAATATTAATAAAATTAAATGTATAATATTTAATAAAATTTATAATTTTATCCACCTGGTCTTTTATTTTCACTTTAGCATTTTGTTATTATAGCTATGAGGGCCTTCAGCAAAGGTACTATTTTACTATTGTATAGTAGCTTCTACCTGGTTAATAGGTTCTTTAGAGTTCTCCCCGCCTTTACAATTTGGTGCCTTGATTCTGCCACATTTTTACATTTTTAAACTGTTCCAACATCTTCATCCAAATATTGTGCCATAAATTCATGCCTGTAGTCCCAGCTACTCTGGAGGCTAAGGCAGGATAATTGCTTGAGCCTGGGTGTTCAAGAACACAGTGAACTGCATTTCAGCCTGGGCAGCAGAGCGAGACCCTGCCTCAAAAAAATACTGTGCTGTAATGTATATGATTTTCTGTGAACATGTAGTATTTATTTCAACTCCTTTTCTTTTCTCATTGCCCTACAACACTTAAAAGTAGTATATTACTCCACCATCACATTATGTTATTTTTATGATGTCAAATCAGGAGGACTTTTGTTTTAAAATTATTAGTGCAAAAGAGAAATGTTTTATTTATATGTGCTAAGATGAATACAGCATGAACAGGTTTTCTAACAAATTGGAAGTTGAGTGATGTCACTTAAGGTGATTATGGGCCCTAATGTGAGGCAAAGGGGTGTTTAAATTACATGGCAGTACATGGATATATGATTATTTCGATGATTAATAATATGCTCATATTAATTATTTTTTATTATGATAAAAATGAAAAGTGGTAAAAACATTATGACATAGAATTAAGGACCTTCCAAGAATTTATTTGTGGAATCTCTAATCTGAGTAACAGTTATACTGGAGTATGGTGCAGAATAAGTGAAGGATTATACTCTAAGGTGTCAAAAACCAGGGAGGAATGTATTATTTTGTGTGTATTAATTAGTAATTGAGTTCAGCTATATATAACAACTCCCCAGCTCCCTAAGACAGGGTGAAACAAAACAAAACAAACAAAAATAAGAAAAAACTCCAACAACAGTGGCTTAAACAAGATCAAGAGTATATCTTTCCCTTATAAATAATAAGGATCCCTGAAGCAGGCAGTTCAGAGCTGATGTTGTGGCTCAAGGGCGTCACCAGGGAACCAAGCTCCTTCCTGATGTTCTCTGCCATTCTTAAGTTCTTCTTTATGCTCCCAGGAGGCCTCTGTAGTTCCAGTCATCCTATCTTTTTCCACTTGGAAAGAAAGGGAAAGAACTAAGGGGAAAAGGTAAAAACCAGATGAATCTGTGTTTCAAGAGCTTTCCCAAAACCCCACCCAGTGACTTCCATTTAGGAGCTGATCATAATCCAGAAAGAAACAACCACGAGCACCATACTCCCGAATAAAAATCCCTAAAGTCTAAAATCCTGAAAATCAATCCTGAAAGATCAAAATCCCGAAAATACAGGCCAGGTATGGTGGCTGACACCTGTAATCCCAGCACTTTGGGAGGCCGAGGTGGGTGGATCACGAGGTCAGGAGATTGAGACCATCCTGGCTAACATGGTGAAACCCCATCACTACTGAAAATACAAAAAGTTAGCCGGGCATGATGGCAGGTGCCTGTAGTCCCAGCTACTTGGGAGGCTGAGGCAGGAGAATGGCGTGAATCTGTGAGGCGGAGGTTGCAGTGAGCAGAGATTGTGCCACTGTACAATCCAGCCTGGGCGACAGA
This sequence comes from Homo sapiens, assembly GCF_000001405.40. Classification (NCBI taxonomy): domain Eukaryota; kingdom Metazoa; phylum Chordata; class Mammalia; order Primates; family Hominidae; genus Homo; species Homo sapiens. The sequence goes on from NC_000009.12 coordinate 112,567,945, forward strand.
GCGAGAATCCATCTCAAAAAAAAAAAAAAAAAAAAAAAAATCCCGAAAATACAATTCTGGAAAAAAATTAAAGGATACTTATTTTACATTTTTAAAAATTTTTATTTTTATTTGAGAAACATAAAAACACAGCAGAACACTTCATAGGTCACTTTATAAAATAAAATAGGCAATATTAGCATACAAATTTTTGCAAACGGAAACACTCAGGTATACTAATGACAGTTTCATGGGTATAACAGTTATGAGCAGATGAACCATATTCAGGAAGAAATAGCTTTTACAACTGAGGTCATCTGAAATACTGTGACAGACAACCTCAGTCTTTTGATGACATCCATCAAAACCGTGATGGGTCATCACTGCATATGCAGTCCAAAGAGCTACTAAGATCTTGAGAAATTTTATTTTTCACAAATGCAGATGTATGAAAAGGATATCTCTTCATTTATTAAGGACATTTCAGTGCTTTTATGTACACAGACAGTGCTTACACACAGTCAACATTGTGGTAATGTACCTTTTTGGAGTCAAATTTGCAAAAAGTACATAAAATAAATTAGAACTCTGTAAGTCTTCCCGATGTTTATACCTCCAGTTTTGGAAATGATAAGATGAAATACATAGCATAGCACATTGTAAGATAAATAGTGCTTGGCCCAGCATGGTGGCTCAAGCCTGAAATCCCAGCACTTTGGGAGGCTGAGGTAGATCGCTTGAGCTCAGGACTTCAAGACCAGCCTGGACAACATGGCAAAACCCCATCTCTACAAACAAAAAATTTAATATAAAAATGAGCCAGGTGTGGTGGTGCGCACCTGTGGTCCCAGCTGCTAGGGAGGCTGAGGTGGGAGGGTTACCGGAGCCCAGGGGGCAGAGGTTACAGTGAGCTGTGATCTCACCACTGCACTCCAGCCTGGGCAACACAGCAAGACCTTGTCTCAAAAAAAAAAAAAAAAAAATAGAGCTGCCAATTTAAGAATAGGAAAACTAAAAAAAAAAAAAAAAAAAAAAAAAAAAAAATTGACATATGACAATGTGTGTTACAGGGATATATTATGGCAGTTGCATGGAGGTAGTCTGTAAGAACTGGCCGACTTTCATGATCATTAACTGTATTTTGAAGTGTTGCATCTTGATGAATAGCTGCTTTTTGTCTTTTCGGACATGGCTCTCGTTGGAGAATATGTTCACATTCCTTCTATATGTGGTACTGTTCTTTTTGAAATTCTTGTATGATTCCATATACAACAACATGAGCATTGCCTATTAAATTTCCCCGTTTTCTGTGCCATGCTTCTGTATTGTGAGTAGGTGGAAATTCATTCTACATGTACTCATACAGAGACCACAAATTTGGCAGAAGCAATACTGGTGATGAAACAGCAACACCATTGCATTAAGTGTCTTCTTATCCTATTGTGCACATAATTATTTTTGAACTAGTCAGTACATTGCTGGCTTCTTCAGGCAATATGGCTTTAATTCATTAAAAGCTTCTGGAATGTCATCTTGCTGAAAGGAATGCCAGTGCAGGCAAATGACGCTTTTAACTGAAGTTTGTATCATTGCCATATCATTGTAGCCAATCAGCTCATCTGAATTTCCTGCCAAATGCATTAGGCTGAATGGGAAACACAAACTTTATTGGTAACACTTTGAAATTCCTTTTAGAATTCTTTTTTTTTTTTTTTGAGACAAGTTTTGCTCTTGTCACCCAGGCTGGTGTGCAATGGCATGATCTTAGCTCACTGCAACCTCCGCCTCCCGGGTTCAAATGATTTTCCCGCCTCAGCCTCCCGAGTAGCTGGGATCACAGGTGTGCGCCTCCATGCCTGACTAATTTTTTTTGTATTTTTAGTAGAAACAGGATTTCACCACATTGGCCAGGCTGGTCTCAAATTCGTGACCTCAAGTGATCCACCCACTTCGGCTCCTCAAAGTGCTGGGATTACAGGTGTGAGCCACTGCACCTGGCCCAAATAAGCATTTATTAAGTGTTTTACTTTTTCTTGTCATTAATACATAATTGAGTGGATAAGTTCTAGAATTTTCAGATCTAACAGGGACATGAATTGTATATAGTTGATAAACAGTGGGAATGATTTTGAAAGTGCAGTTTATTAGCTAACGTGAAGCATGTGCTAGTTCTTCTGTGTTAGATTTAGTGGTAAATATAAGAAATCTGTCTTTGACAGTCAAATAACTAATCAAGAATAGTTCACCATTTAATGTTGTTTGTTTGTTTTTTAACATTGAAGAACCTCAGTATCAACAAGTATCTTTGGTTCAGAAGGTCACTGAGCTTGTTGAATTCTTTTTATTTTCTGCTGGAGGGCGTTTTTTGAATGGAAGCATGGTGCTATACGTGAAGGGGCAGAAGTCTTACATGATTGAATAATTTGGCCGGGGAGATTTCTTGCACTTTTGGCCTGTGTTTTCTGTGATCTTTGAAACACTTGCTGCACTTGTATTTGGAGGGTGGTTGTGGTCTACAGATTTTGTAAGTATATGCTATCCATCTGAAAGTCTGCTTGTTGCTTGGCTGCTGCAGTTAAGCAATTTTCTGCTTGTGCAGCACCAATAATAATTAGCTTTTAAACTTTTATCTTTCACCATTTAGTAACCTTGTATATTTAACTTATCACAGCCCTTTTGCAAGGGAACATTTCGTAGTCTCTTCTGTTGTGTTGTAAGGAATACAGTAAGAAGGAATGATACTTGGCTTTGCCAGTACCAAATCTGTATTAGTCAAGATTCTCCAGAGAGACAGAACTAATAGAATATGCATATATACATGAGAGGGCATTTATTAGGGGAATTGGCTCATGCGATTATGTGGCTGAGAAGTCTTACAACAGGCTGTCTGCTAGCTGGAAACCCTGGGATGCTGGTATAGTGGTTCAGTCCAAATCCAAAGGCCTCAGAACCAGGGAAGCTAATGATGTGACTCTCAGCCTGAGGCTGAAAGGCCGGGACCTGGGAACTGCTGGCGTAAGTCCCAGAGTCCAAAGGCTGGAGGCCTCCAGTTCTGATGTCCAAGGCAGCGAAAAAGAAGCCTATGCTAGCTCTCAGAGAGAGAACAATTCACCTTCTGTATTTGTTCTGTCTGGGGCCCCAGCTGATTAGATGGTGCCCGCCAATATTCAGGCGAGATCTTCACATAATCCACTCAGACTCACACACTAATCTCTCCTGGAAACAGCCTTACAGACACACCCCCAAATAATGCTTTACTAGGTTTCTAAGTCTTCCTTAATCCAGTCAAATTGACACCTGAATTTAAGTCCACAAGTTCACCCCATGTCAGTTTATCACTCATATGCATTTCCTTAAACCATACTTAATTTCCAAATAAAGACAATAACAAGGTAATAGTTCCACCTAACATGATGTAGCTATCCTATGATTGTGATTTTGGGGATGTTAGACTTTAGGGATTTTGATCTTTCGGGATTTCAACATTTGGAACTATGGCGTTCAGAATTTTGTCTTTCAGGATTATGATGCGAACCCCTTCCATTTACGTGTCCTTGGCCATGACTGTGTCATAGGGCCACCCTTGCTCCAGGGGAAGCTGGGAAAAATATTTTAGTGAGCACATTGCTGCCTTAACAAATTTGGACTCTCTGTGAGGAGTAAGAGAGAATGGACACTGGGTAGGCAAAATAGCAGTCTCTGCCACACCAATTAAATATTAATAGCTATGTTAAGTTCAAAACAGACTGGGGTGCAGTAGCTCATGCCTGTAATCCCTGAGCTTTGGGAGGCTGAGACAGGAGAATTGCTTGAGCCCAGTTCAAGACCAGCTTGGGCAACCTAGGGACACCCCTAGGTTAAAAAATAAAAAATAAATAAATAAATAAAAACAAAAAATAAAAATAAAAATAAAAAATAAAAAGAAATAAAATAAAAAAAGTTCAGAACAAACACACAAACCAATCTATGTCTTTTTTTTTTTTTTTTAACATTTCTACTTTAACCAAAGTTACATGAAAGGAACATAAATAAGTCTAAATTTCTAGAGTATGAAGGAAATGTAAGATCACGTAGTCCTGGCATTGTAGGCTTAGAGATAATTAGTGCCTTGTCTGAGACCACAGGAGCAGTTCCAGGCTTGGGATTTCACGTTCCTGACTCCCACGCCAGTCAATGTTCTTTCCGTTTACATGGCTGCTTCATGAACTCTGGGAGCTCATCTGTCACTCTTCTGCGTATACAGGGTGGCTGGGTTTGGGTTACACTATCCGGGAGAAAACTGTCTAATCCCTTGAATGATTACAATAAAAGTGATCTGAGGAAAATTTATGTGTCTGACTTGAGAGAGTCTTATACGTTCACTTTGTAAGTGTTGATGGTGCTGGCAGTATGTAAACATTCATTCATTCTTCATTCATTTATTCGACAACGACTGCATACTAGACAATAGGTTATAATGTCCCAAGAACAGGACCATGCCTTTTGAATTTCCATATCCCCAAGTAGGTCCTCACTGATGAGTGAATAATTAAGTCATAGTTTCTGCCTTCAGGAAATTATTAGGTCTGAGAGACAGACAAGCAAATCAATGATAACAGTACAGCAAAGGCAAATCCCTTGAGATGATACAGGCATGGGTGAAGGGAAGCTAAATAAATCTCTGAGGCAGAAAGGGGGTCTGGAAAGATGCCAATAGGAAGTAGCCGCAGGTTCAGTTTTGAAGAGGCTGGCCAGGTGAGGAAAGAGAAGGGCAGCATATCAAGCCAAAGAATCAGATTCTCACCAGTAGGGGGTTTAGAGAAGAGGGGACCACAAGAAGTGTGGGAAGAGGCCATGGTCGTAGGAAATGAGGCTTGAGAGGTGGCCGTGGCCACATCAACAGAGACCTTAATAGTATGTTAAAGGATTTGAACTTACCTAACCTCCCTGACAGGGCGCCATGGAGTCAGGGCAGGGAATGGCTCAGGTGTCTGTCCACTTTGGTGTAACCACCTGACATTGTGGTTAGACCATGGTGCCTGACTGCAGAGCACCAGCGGGGCACCTCTTGTCACCCACAGCTGCAGATAGCCAGGGCCGACAAAATCACACATAAAGATTCCTGTGCCTCCCTGACCAGTGCTCCCAGGACCCCCCTCTTGGCAGAGCCTTACTAACCTTTCCAGCCCCTTGCAGACTCCACATGTCCCCTTTCACTTTCCTACCCATCATGTTGTCCTCACTCCTCAGGGACTCCTAACAAGGGCTTCTTTTTGTCTCCTGCCTAATAAGGAATGATTTGCTTCTATTTGATAGTTGGTTATGCTTGGCTTTATGAGACCCTCAGATGGTAGAAAACACCAGACATACTTTGTAACCTCTAATGGTGGGATGAAAGGCAATATTTCAGGAATTGCAGACAGCCAGGAGACAGGAAGCCTGGTCCTAAGAGTGGTTAGAGCAGGGCCTCCCGCTTCCCCATCCTTGCTTCTTTGGTCTACAGCCTTCCCCTCCAGCAGGTCTCCTCCCAGTCTGTTCTCCCTTCTCTGCTTTTCTTTCCCACTTCTCAAATCGAGCCCCTCATCCTCTCCTTGGACTCCCAGTTGCATTGTCTTCTGGTGCCCAGTAGAGGACTGGCTTGCTCTCTCTGACCTCCGTCCTAAGATGGATCTAAACCTCCTTTGTTGGCTCTGCCTCTAGTAGTAAAGTTTCTGATGACAAAGGGTGTCATTGGAGCTGCATCCTCTTGGTTAATGCAAGTAATAGACACAATTTTATTATTGAGGGACCATCTGAACCTCTCTGTCAGTGACTTTGGAAGTAAAATGTACCATGGAAAAGCTCATTTCTTTATTGCTTGTTTCTCTTTTTCTTTCTCTCCTTTCTTTCCCCCCTTAGGCAGGAATTATTATAACAATAAAGAAAAGTAACAAAATTTTTCTCCAAATCCCACAACCATCAGTCATCAGCTGTTTTTACTTTTCCTGGTATTCTCTTCCAGTCCCTGCTCATCTACAGCGACCTTAACTAGATTCAGTTTTGAAGTGCGTTTTTTTTTTATGCCAAATGATCATATTTGGAACAAACTGAAGTAATTGAGCTATAGGATTATCTTGGGTAATAATGGCTTCTTCTTTTGATTATTTCCCTTTAGGAGTGACACTGCTGATCCTGTAACATGGAGGATTGTCTTCATACCTCATCTGAGAATCTGTCCAAATTGGTCAGCTGGGCCCATAGCCATGGGACTATTTGCAGCCTCATTCCAAACCTGAAACACTTGCTTTCTGAAGGTTCCCATGGGAACCTGACAGCAATGTGGGGCTGTAGTGCTGGCCATGCTTATCACTGGCCACTAACAGCTACTTGCAGAGCTGGGTCCCAAGAGAGGGTCTGTTTCCAGGATAACAGAAGTTTTAACTCTGATAGTCCCAGTATAATCGGGGTGCCCTCTGAGACACAGACTAGCCCTGTTGAAAGGTACCCTGGGAGACCAGTGAAAGCAAAGCTAGACTGTAACCGGACCAGAGACTCTTGTGACTTCTCCTACTGTAGTGAGCCCTCTGAACTGGATGAAACTGTTGAAGAATATGAAGATGAGAACACCCTGTTTGACATGGTTTGTGAGTCTTCTGTTACAGATGAGGATAGTGACTTTGAACCCCAAACCCAAAGGCCTCAAAGCATTGCTCGCAAAAGACCTGGGGTAGTCCCATCTTCCCTCCATTCAAGCTCCCAGACGCAGATGGTTGACGAATGCAGCAATGATGTCATCATCAAGAAAATCAAACAAGAAATCCCCGAAGATTATTACATTGTGGCAAATGCAGAACTGACAGGAGGAGTAGATGGACCAGCCCTGTCCTTGACACAGATGGCAAAACCCAAGCCTCAGACTCACGCTGGTCCCTCCTGTGTAGGGTCTGCTAAACTGATTCCCCATGTCACATCTGCCATCAGCACGGAGCTAGACCCACACGGTATGTCTGCATCCCCCTCTGTGATCTCCAGACCAATTGTCCAGAAGACTGCTAGGGTATCTCTGGCTTCACCAAACAGAGGACCCCCTGGTACACATGGCACCAACCAACAGGTGGCCATGCAAATGCCTGTGAGCACATCCCATCCTAACAAACAGATCAGTATCCCCTTGTCTGCCCTGCAGCTGCCTGGACAGGATGAGCAAGTTGCCTCTGAAGAGTTCCTGTCCCATCTGCCCAGCCAGGTCTCCTCCTGTGAGGTAGCCCTTTCTCCCTCAGTTAACACAGAGCCAGAAGTGAGCTCCAGTCAGCAGCAGCCCCCAGTCGCTCCAGCCATAACCACTGAGGCCACAGCACAGTGCATACCAGGTATGGCACATGAGGCGACAGTGAGTCCCTCATCCACGCACGCCAGAATTCTGCGCCGTCAGCACTTCTAAAACCATTCACTCAGTTTGCTAGAATTCAGTCCTTTGTTAGTCATAGAAAGATAGAAACAATGACTGTGTTACATCCAGGTGATACTATACAGGAAATTCATAAGAATTATGGCCATATCTAGTTGACGTACCTTAGGGCTGAGAGGACAGCTGTAAGATTGTTCTGTTGATATTGCAGCGTTAGATTTAAGGTTGATACCTGTCAGCTGAATTTTTATATAGTAAAGTTATTTTTGAAAGTTTTAAAAATATGCTTCTCCATCAGTAGCAAGGTGTTTAGTTGCTGTTTGAAGCCAAAATAATGTTGGGTAAGGCATATCATGACAATAGACCTAATGCTTTTCGTATTATTTATTTGACTGAGCCAACTTGACGTTGCTATTCATTTTAGTTGCTCTGGTAGTTAATAAGTATTTTAAAAAGCAATGTACATTTCTAAAAGAGGTATTTGATCTTTTCTCTTAAAATTTAAAAGAATATGGAAACTTGCATTTCTGGAATCTGTGAGCCAATGGGAATGGATTGAGAGGAGAATGAAATAATTGTACGAGGCCCCTGCACCTGTAATTCTAACGTTCTAATGTTCTTTAATTCTGACATTCAATGTTTATTTAATCTGGGCCATTAGTATATAAAGGGGTTGGATCTCATGCTTTGGCTTCATGACTCAATTCTAGTAGGCTAGAATAGAAACGTGGACAAGGATGAACAAATGTGCAGAAATCTGTGGCATGTTTTAGTTTATTTCAGCCCTTCTCAAAAACGTCGTGTATTTTGGGAAAAGCTTCCTAGAAACCTGAGGCCCCTGTGCCTTCATCCTGAAACGTCCTTGGATTAAGTTGCTTTACAAACTTCTTTTTTCCAATTTTAGTATCAACTTTAAGATTCCCAAAGAAGACCTTTCATTTATGATTTTTTTGAAGACATAGTCATGGTGTTATTAAGAAGATATTCACTGAAAATATTTATATCCTGATTGAAGATTATGCTTTTCAGTTTATTCACTTTTATCTTTTTTTAAATAATAGTTTTATTGAGATACAGTTCACATATAAAATTCACTCTTTTAAAGTGTACAGTTCAGTGGGTTTTGGTGTATTCATAGAGTTGTACAACTATCGCTATTATCTAATTTCAGAATATTTTCATCACCCCAAAAAGAAATCCCATACCCATTAACAGTCACTTTTTCCCTCCTCTTAGTTCCTGGCAACTGCTAATCTGCTTTCTGTCTATGGATTTTCCTATTCTATATGTTTCATATACATGGAATCATATATTATGTGGTCTTTTGTGACCACCCTCTTACACTTAGCATTATGTTTTCAAGGTTAATCCATGTTGTAGCGTTTCTTTCCTTTTTATTGCCAAATAATATTTTGTTGTATGACTATACCATATTTTATTTTTCCTTTCATCAGTTGATGGACATTGGGGTTGTGTTCATATTTTGGCTATTATGAATACTGCTGCTGTGAACATTTGTGAACAGGTTTTTGTGTGGGTGTGTATGTTTATCTTGCTTGGGTAACTACCTAGGAGTGGAATTGCTGGGTCCTGTGGTAACTTTGTATTTAACTTTTTGAGGAGCTGTCAAACTGTTTTCCCAAGCAGCTCCATCATTGTACAGCCTCACTAGTAATCTATAAAGGTTCTTACTGCTCCACATTGTCACCAACACTTGTTATTTTTCATGTTTAAAAAAATAATAAATATCCTATTGGGTGTGTGAAGTAGTATCTTATTGGGGTTTTGATTTGCATTACCCTAATGACTAATGGTACTGAGATTTTTTTCATGTGCTTGTTAGCCATTTGTATATTTTCTTTTGAGAAATATCTACTCAAATCTTTTGGCCATTTTAAAATTGCCTTCTTATTGGTGAGTTTTTGGAGTTCTTTATGTGTGCTGAATATGAGATCCTTATCAGGTATATAATTGGCAAGTATTTTCTCCCATCCCATGGATTGTCTTTTTCTTTCTTTCTTTTAAAAAATATTTTAATGAATTATACTTTGATCATTGAATAACAATGTGGTCCTTGACTAATCTCATCATGAGACAAAATGTTATCTTTATTAGGCTGGTGAAAGTCTTTGTTCTAGGAAATCTGACTCTTGATATATGTAGGATATAAGTAGCACCTTTTCACTTAAATGGTTATGAACCTAGTTCTAGTTTATTTATTTATTTGAACTCTCCTGCCCCCCTTTTTTTTTTTTCATTTAAATAGGGTAGAATTCAGAAATGTATTTTGCAAAGTGGTCCAGTGTACCCAGTTTGGTGAGAGTATTAGTTGTGTTGCATACCTTTTCACTAATCCCTGCAAAGCAAGATGCAAGACTTTTCTGCATCTGCCTTGTGGATAGTAAATGAGGCACTGAGGCGCTTTGCTAAACCATATATGAATATATTACTGTCTCATTATTTTGGGAAAGAAATTCAGCCTATTTGAAAAAAAAAAAACGAATCCATTTATTATTGTGTGTATTACATTCTCTTAGGTTTTTTTCTTCCCTCATGGAAATTGCACTTCTTATATTAGCTATGAAAAGCTGGCATGGCCAAAGAGAGCACAGAATATATACTGTCATAAATTGTGATTTGGCTTTATTCTCAGAGGAGGATTAGTTTGGCTTGGAGGTAAACCTTTAAGAAAAACACTATGAAGACTGGTCATGACGATTTTCCAAGGATGGTCCTCATATTTTGATCCATTGTTCTCGGGAAGGGTATCATATTGCTAAGATGTCATTAGCTTTAGAGATATACTGTTTGAACTGGAAACAGCAGTGGGACAAATAAAAATCAGACTCATATTTTTCTTTTGAGTGAACTGTATAAAGTTAACATAAAATTTACTTTTTACTTTAGTACCTAACTAGATTCTGTGTTCTAAAGTTTTAGTTATGTGTTTGTGTTTGCATGTTTATTTATAGTAGATAATCTTTCTAAACATAGATTTTAAAAAATTTAGAATCTAGCACACCCAGATGTATGTGAATGACTTGGTTACGGATGGACCTTACACAGTTAATATGTAAAGCGTACTTGGGACTAAGCAAAGAAGACAGGTTCTGAAAGCTAAGTCAGGTTCTTTTAAAATGGATGCTCTGTACTGAGTCTTTATCAGATCATTGCAGAAATACTGCGTATCTTTAGATAATATTTTTAAAATAAATAATTTGACAAATGACTATTGAGTCAGCCAGAAACAAAGAGAAATTGTTCCATTTTGTTTGGTTTTACTGTTGCCATTTAAATTTGATTCCCATAGTGGAAAATCATCCCTACTTCTGTTCAGAGCTGAACTCATAAAATTATAAAATGTTAATCAAGGTATAGATAAAATCATTAATTTTCATGTCAATCCTGCCATACTGCTCAATCCAAATCTTAGCAAACAATGAGTAAAGAGGGCATCTATTATTAGAAGAATTATTGACTACCTACTAGTAGCTTGGATTCCATTAATTTTTGAGGTTTTATGTAAATTTGGGGCATTTGTCATAATGACATTTAAATCTCTATCGCATCATGAGTTAGGGTTTTATGTGTATATTATATTTCTTCAATATACTTACATACACATAGCTTCTTTTATGATTTTGTGTAAGGATCCCTTTTATTAATCAGCTTTTTTCCCAGTTCTGTGGTATAAGCAATCCATTTTTGCCTATCAGATTTGTATGTATATATATTTTTTCTTTTAAAAAAATTTATTTATCTTTTTCTAATAGATTCATATGGGTTCTGGATATATTAGAAATAGTAACTCATAATCTCTCATGTATATTGGAAATACATTTCCCAAGTAGCTCATAGTCTCTCACGTATATTGGAAATACATTTCCCACTTTACCATTAGCTTTTAATTTTGTTGATGACCTTTTTTAAGGTGTGAATTTTCTTAATTTTTATGAAGGCAATTCTTTCAACATCTATCAGTCAATCAATCTTTTCTGTCTTTGGTATTTTGCTTAGGAAGTCCTTTCCATACATTGGGATCACATAAATATTTCTCTGTATTTCCCTCTTATTCTTTTATGGTTTTCTTTCTCTCTCCTCTCCTCTCCCTTTCTTTTTTTGACATTTGACTTTACAGTTAGAATACCTTTTGGGGTAGAACCTCATGTTACTATTTTTGCAGGTAGTCAGGTGTCTCAGCTTCATTTGTTGAATAATTCTCATTCTCCGCTGAATTGATTCAGATACCACATTTTTGTTTATTATTGGGTCTCTTTCTTGTTTTCAGTTCTGTTTTTATTGATCTCTTTATTTTTTCTTCTGATTTTTACTGTTTGAGTATTTATTTGTATAAATTTATGGTGATTGTATTTTATACAAAAAATGCATTCAGAAAGAAATGTAGTCTAAGTCATTTAATATGCTTTTTGAAAAATTACTCATGTAAAATTGAGTTCAGTGAGCTTTTAAAAATTGATTAAGGTATGTATTACTGCCAGTTATTTGATCTGTGTTGACATAATAGATAATGGTTTCTCTTGTCAGAAGCAAAAAATCTGAGTTGAAATAAGTTAAAGGAGAGAATTGACTGCCTTATAGTCCAAGGACAGATTTTCAAACCAGCTTTCACTCAGGCTCAGACAGCATCAAGTTTCCCTCTTGCCATTTGCCACCTTGCCTTCCTCCCTATTAGATTCACCTGTTATACTTGACCCCTGCGTGGACCCAAGATGGTTGTGCTGCTGGTTTCTTGTCTAGCAGTAGACAGAACCTGTGTCACAGCATTCCCAGTCACCCCTAAATCACGCATAGGGGGATCAGGCCCCCACCCTGGAAATGGTATTGAGACCAAGCCTACACAAACTACATAGCTGAGTGTGAGCGTGGGGTGGAAGTATTCTTCCAAGAACATTCTAGGTATGATTCTTGAGAGGGGCAGTAAACCAGAGATTCCTACTACTGTTTATGGGAGGTTTGTTTTGTTTTCTTTTGAGCATTTAGTTTTTTTTATGTGGGCAGATAAGAAGAGTTGTTACGTGTTTTATTTAAAGGCAGTGTATATTGGAAAAGTGTTCTAAGTGTGGAAATATGTATAAATATGTGTGCTTGTGTATACATACATATATATGTATATATATATACATAGACACATATTTTATATATTTCTTTATTCCATGAGAAATATATGCCTCTTCTTACAAGAAGAAACAAGACTAACTGGGCACAGTGGCTCATGCCTGTAATCCCAACACTTTGGGAGGCCAAGGCGAGTGGATCACCTGAGGTCAGGAGTTCAAGACCAGCCTGGCCAACATGGTGAAACCCCATCTCTTCTGAAAATACAAAAATTAGCCCAGCGTGGTGGCAGGCGCCTGTAGTCCCAGCTATTCGGCAGGCTGAGGCAGGAGAATTGCCTGAACCCCAGAGGCAGAGGTTACAGTGAGCCAAGATTGTGCCACTGCACTCCAGCCTGGGCTCCAGAGCGAGACTCCATCTCAAAAAAAAAAAACACAAAGAAAGAAACAAGACTAAAATTTATTTTCTTAGCCATTTCTTAACCTTTTCCTGTAGTTTCCTGAAGGAAGAGCTGAGTTATAATTTTTGAAAAATAAGAGAGACAAAGTAAAAATTCAGCTTTTTATTTTTGCCATCATTTTCTTCCTTATCACAAACCGGGTACACATCTGAAGATTGATATGGCAGGCAGCTCTGGGCTGAGAGAGTGGAGCCTGGCCACCCGGAGCTTAGAGTCTGATGTGTTTATTTATTTTTATTTTTTTCTCAGATCTCTTAGAGATGAATAGAATCAGATGTATTTGAGTTTATTCCTTACTCTGCCTCCTGCTGGCCTTGTGACCTTAGCTACGTCATTTCACTTCTCTGAAACTCAGTTCCCTCATTTGTAAAGTAATGATAATGTCTGCCTGTCAGGGTTATTGTGAGGACCAAATGCAAAAATATAGGTAAAGCACTAAAGAGAGTACCTGACATATGATAAACATTCAATAAATGGATAATAGCCGCCTTTATTAATATTTTTATTTTCATCATCATCATCATTAGATTGTGCTCAATACTCTGTGAGAAGTGAAGTAGATTCTGGTTTCATGTAGTTACACCCATTTGTCTACTAAAATATGGTCCGTGGACCAGTATCACCACCAGCATTACCTGGGAGCACATTAGAAATGCAGAGTTTCAGGAGGCCGCGAGGAAAGACCAAAAATGCTGTGTCTGCCCAGCCTCCCCCAAGCCCTCAGTGCCCAGGGCCAGATCTGGGTGCAGGAGCGGAGATTAATAGGAAAGTCTAGAGCCTTATTTCCCTCACTCATCCAGGAAGTGAACCTTGGAACTGATCTTTGGGGGCATTCTTTCCCAGATATAGGAAGTCATACACTAAAGGGGAAGGGAAGGAACATTGAACCCTGCTCACAGGCCTGATACCTTTCAACACTAGTTATCCCATTTAACCTCTGTCACAATCCTGTTAGGAACTGGAGAGCTGAGATCTCAGAGAATGTGCAGCCACCCAAGAACACCACCAAGGTGAGGTGAAGGGACTCACTGGAAGCCTTGGTTTTCTTGGTCACGTCTGAGATCAGACCAGACTCAACTCTTCCCTGACATGCTAGTCCTGGGGGATGCATTCAGCCCACCTCTTGTTGCCACCTTTCCCCACTGTCAGAGCCACATACCCATGAATGCAAACTCACTGCAGTTGAGCAGCCCTATTACCTCATTAGGGAAGCTTCACCGCTTCAGCGCTGGGAAGGCATAGGCACTGGTTTCAAGTCTACAGACAGTATCAGGCTTAGGAAAGGAAAGGCGTGACAGTCACACTGTCACATTTTTTGCTCATTTACTTGAGTAGTAAAGAGTTGGGATAGCACAACGGGTGACTGTAGTCAATAATAACTTAATTGTACATTTTTAAATGACTAGAGAAGTATAATTGGATTGTCTGTAACAAAGGATAAATGCTTGAGGGGCTGAATACCCCATTCTCCATGATGTGATTATTACACATTTGCATGCCTGTATCAAAATATCTCATGTAACCCATAAATATATACACCTACTATGTACCCACAAAAATTAAAAATTAAAAAAATTTTTAAAGAAACAGTTGTTAGGCCAAGGGACCAAGAGAAAGCAGAGAGAGTGGAATATGAATGGCCGTAAGAGTGACTTGTTCTCACCTGCTCGATGATTCAGCAGCTCAGGGAAACATAGACATCTCTGAAGACCTAAGCTATGTCTCAGGACACTTTCAGGTCTTACTCGCCATCCACACGTGGGATCTAGAGGACAAAGGACTATATTAGGCAAGTGACAACTCAGCCCTCTAATCCTTTAGAGGATCAGATAGAGTGGCATAATCCAAAGAACAGCTCTTATTTCAACTAAAGGGAGGAGAAACAGCAATAGCCCTGAAAAAAAAAAAAAACAGACAAAAAAACCGAATCCATAACCAAAGATGACAGCTTCTGTTCAGTACCCACTAGTTCTGTGGAATGAGTTCCCATGCTTCCTATGAAGGGCGGAGGGAAGGATTCAGTGACATGGACATGGCTGTCACTGAAGCAGCACATACAATTCTCTGGCATTGACAGGGGCTTGTTACATGTTTATTGAATGAATCTCTCTGAAAAGAAAACAAATGCAGAATCTCAGGCTCCACAAAATCAGAATCTGCATTTAAAAAGATCTCCAGGTGATTTTGTATGCGCATTAGAGCTTGAGAAGCAGTGATCTAGGAAATTCAGGTTACAGCCTACATTGTCATTTCATCTGGCCACCCAGTAATGTTGAGCACTCTTCCTATCTATGTGAGAGAATTCCCTCCTTTGTGCATGTGTACCTCCCCATAGGAGAAGCCAGAAACTTGCTTTCCAGGTTTACATTTCAGCAAGGGCAGTCCTGTGACCTTAGGCTTTGCCAGTCAAATGCATCCACATCAGACTGGGGGAGCACAGAGATGCAAATTAAAACAACAAGATACTATCTTACTCCCATTAGAAAGGCAAAAAGTATTAATTTTAAGTATTCCAAGTGTTATTGAAGGTATGAGAAAATGGGGACATGCTGGTGGAAATATAAATTGGTACAACTACTTTGGAGAGCAATTTACAATATCAAAGTTTAAAGTGTGCGTATCATACAACCTTGGAATTCAATTTTTAAATGCCTGTCTTAGACTTTCTCATAGTATATAAAAGGAGATATGTACAGGGGTCTACAGTGCAACTTCTTGATAACAGGAGAAAAAAATCAGTTAACCTTAGTGTCTATCAATAGGGAAATAGATAAATATATTGTGATATATTTTTCAGTGAAATAGATGAATCAGCCAGATGTACATTTATTGTGTATAAATCTTGGAAGACAAAGTTGCAGAATATTATTATATATTAGAGTAATACCATACCTGTTTAAAGCACATGAACATTACGATGTAGTGTGTGTTACACAGACACACACACTTAATTAAACATGGACTGGAAGGAGACACCCCAGATACACAGTAGTGGTTTTCTTCGAGGAGGGGGTAATGGAAACAGGTACATGGGAAGCTTAAACTGTATCTATAATTTTTTAAAATACGTATGTAATATATATAGCAAAATGTGAACATTTATTAAATCTGAGTGGTGGGCACTCAGCACTCTGGAAGGCTGAGGTGGGAGGATCACTTGAGCCCGGGAGTTTAAGGCTGCAGTGAGCTATGATTGTGCCACTGCACGCCAGCCTGAACAACAGCAAGACCCAGTCTCTTAAAAAAAAAAATCTGAGTGATGGGAACATGAGTTTATGTTAACAGGAGGCAACCTTAGCACAATGCTTCAGGGTTGAACTTTACACACAACAGCCTGGATTCATATCCCAGCCCTGCCCCCTTCTTTTCTGGGTGACTGTGGCAAGTTACTTAACCTTTCTGTGGCTTAGTTTTCTCATCTGTAAGATAAAGATGCTAATAAAGCAATTCTATAGGGTTGATATATATATAGATTAAGTTGAGCTATACAAAGCCCTCTGGTTCATGGTAAACATACTCTAGCTGGTATTCCGTATACTTTTTTGGATGTTTAAAAATGTGATTACTTTTAAAAATAGATCATGAAGCATAAATAAAATTGATTGTGGAATATTTACGAAGGCATTGTAACATTATTGCTGTTACCGAATGTGGAGTATTTTTGTTAGAAAGCAAAAGTTACTACTACTGTCTTCTAGTATATTTGTTTATGGACAAGGAATTTGAGAATTATCCTCACAAATTTTAACACTATGGGTTTTCTCCTTATGATTGTGATGGGATGCTGTCATGGGAAAGTTTTTTTAAAGTTCTTCTGTTGGAATAAATAAAAAACACAAAAATAAAATGTCTGTTATCTATGCAGTACTTTTATTCGAGGATCAACATTGCCTGAGTTCCACAAAGTGAGAGGTTATTTCCTTTATTTTACTGATGGAAATGACACACAAAGAAGGTAGATGGTTTGGTTGAAGTTATGACGGGTGAGAGGGAACCTGGCCCCCTCCTTGTGAACCGAGAGGGACAGGGTTGGCGACCAGCATGCACCATGCTCCCCGCCCCGCCTTTGCCTGCATTGGTACAGGAGTAGTCTAAACTGCCGACTGCTTCCCCTTCCTCTCCTTTTATGTCACATCATGCCCATCACTTATCCAAAGTCGAGACTGCTAGGTTATATCCTAAAGAGGTCATTTATTTTTAAAATTAGAATCAAAAAGGACCTAGAGTTTAACAGAAGGATTGACTGAGGATCAGGGAGACATGTCTCTTAGTCTTTTTTCTATTAAGTATCTGCACAAGTCACTTACACTTCAGTTTATCAGACCTGTTTTTAGGATCAACTTTGTGACAAGCACTGTGCTAGACTGGTGGAGATAAAAAGAAGAATATTAAATTTCCTGCCTCAAGGATATCATTGTTTATAAAAGAAGCAGACAAACCAACAACTTCAACTTCAAGTGTATAAGGAGGTGTATAAAATATAGCTGAAGATTTATGAAGAGTGGTTGACTCAGCCTCAGGGAACACATGGAAGTATATTTCAGGTAGAAGGAATAACGTGAGCAAAGATGTTAGAGAAGCAAGGAGTTGACTGTAGCTTGAGAATATATCTCAATGGAGCCAGGAGAGTTGCTGCTGGAAAGATGGGCTGGAAAGCCACCTGTGAAAGGCTGTGCATGTGATGTCACAGTGTCCTCCACGGGGCTCAGGGGGACACAGTTCATTATCTTAGAAGATCACGCTGATAGTATTGGGGAAGTAGAGGCTGGGACAGGAGGGCTGTTTTATAGGGTGACAGTAATCCAGGTGGGAGATGGCAGTAATGCTCACATGAGATAACAGTGAAGGCATTGGAGAGGAGGAGACAGGCAGGTGTTTCAGGAGTTAAAATACAGAACTTGGTGACCTGTGAGTGTTTGGCCTCTTAGAGTCTTTGTTGTCACACACATATTCCCTGTCCAAAGGCACAACACTATTTTAAGTAATACTGAAAGGTCTTCAGGGCACAGAGATCTGCAGTGAAGTCATATTGTTAAGTCCTCTATATGTAGGATAAAGCAGTTTGAAGAGTTTTGAAGCATGTAATGATCATCCATTCATCCAACAAATACCCATTGGAAGCCTACAAAGTGCCAAGTTCAGATTAGGTACTTTGGATACAGCAACAGAGAAAAAACATGGTTCCTGTTCTCATGCTGCCTACATTCTAATGAAAGAAAGACATCTCAAACACCCCTAGTTTAAAAACAAAACAAAACTTTTAAATATTTCCAGAACCAAGATGCTGTTAATCAAATTGTGAATGATTTTGTAAGAATAAATTGGTTGCCTTTAGATAAGACATTTATCAAGGGTGATATATGAATAACAGTGGTTAAATGAACAATTAAGCCACTGTGATAAATGAGAGGCAAATCTTTCTTAGGTGGAAATTAAAAGTGTAGAGGCTAACCCATTCCATGTCATAATTTATTCGAAACACTTTCTACTCAGCTAAAAATAACAAGCCTAGCTGTATTGAAATTGTAATATTGCTTATTTTTGTGGACTAGTGACCTTCTTTAAGAACTAAACATATAATTGTTTACTAGTATCTGAAAGGCAAAAGTAGAAAGGCAGATTGCTCTGTGTTGTACAAATGCATAATTTTCTGAGAAATTATGTTTCAATAGCTTTTTAAAATGCTTGCAAATCCTATTTTAGTATGATTTGTATTAGTATTTCACAAAAAAAAATCTTCCCAATTGGCTTTTTATTTCTTCAAGGGCATTTTCATATTATACCAATGAAATAAAAACTATATTATTTAGATGTATTTAAAGTTTGCCTGTGTATGATTAAGACTTCCAAATATGCGAAATATACCCAAATGCAGCAATCTAGCAAATAGCTGTAAACCTCAGAATATAATTTTCTTTCAGTGAATTGGATTTGACTAAGACTGCGAGGATGCCAGGAACCACTTCAGAACTGAAGAGGTGTTGACCTTTCTAGCTTGGTATCCATTCCTTGAGGTCTGAAAAGAGGAAATAATGTACAACCTCAGGTCAAACAAGTCAGTGTCAGGGCACTGAGGCCTTAGCTCCAGCATCCCATTAATTCAAATGTTATTGCCGTGTCTATTTTCATTAGCAAAGCAGCAGCCCCCTTCTCCCCACAGGTAGAGCTGCCTGACCATCTTGGGTCTCAGCAGGAGTGAGCAGAATGCAGGTGATCCGCTTCATTTTAGGTCCAGCAATAGCTTCTCTTTCAATATAGATCATATTTATGTAACTAATGGCTTGTGTCCCCAAAAAAGTGTATTAGAACCAGAAGTATTTTTATTTTATTAATATTCTTTTTTTGAGACAGTCTCACTCTGTCTCCCAGACTGGAGTGCAGTGGCGCGATCTCGACTCACTGCAACCCCCGCCTCCCAGGTTCAAGCAATTCTCATACCTCAGCCTCCTAAGTAGCTGGGATTACAGGCATGCGCCACAATGCCTGGCTAATTTTTGTATTTTAAGTAGAGACGGGGTTTCACCATGTTGGCCAGGCTGGTCTCAAACACCTGACCTCAAGTGATCCACCCGCTTTGGCCCCCCAAAGTGCTGGGATTACAGGCATGAGCTACTGCGCCTGGCCCAGAAGTATTTTTAGAGCATGGCAAAAATGAAAAAAACATGCTTTATGCCTTCAAGGCTATTTTATGCTTGCTTTAGGTAAGAACAGTGATCAGATTTATAATCAAGTAAATCTGATATAATGATTGATGCACCTTAGTTGGCTTATTGACCATTATGATACACCTATCAGTCTGCTTTTTTAGTACTGCCTTAAAATGGATAGGATTGCTTTCTTAGACCCAAAGAAAGCATTTTTATTGCCTTTTTCAATTTTCTTTATTTTTGTCATGGTAATACATATATATGGCAATCAATAAAACAGTAATATTCCTGAATAGTAACAATGTCTCACCTTGGTTTTCACCCCAATGCCAGCTCTTCAAAGGAAACTTGTTTTCAATTCTTCCAAAAATCTGAACAAATGCATATACCTCTGTTTCTTGATTTATCAACTTAATAAAATATCCATAGACTCTGCTGTGAAAGATGAGGATTTAACTCATTTTTGTTAACTTTCCAATTTGATTGTTGGGTTATTAAAATACACAATTAAGCAGTAGAAGAAGTTAAAATAATGAGAGAGGAAATAAATATATTTTCTCCACCTAAGGATGAGGATATTAGGGATATCAGTGTCCCTATTCATTCCACTGTTCTCTCCTCCCTGCTCCTGCTTCTCACAATCTTCTTATTGTCACAAGTTTGTCAATATTTTTACTCTTAATAACTAACCCTTTTCTGCTTTATCCATAGGTTGATTCTAAATATTCAGAACCACTAACACCTTTTATGTCACTTTCACAGTGTAAATATTGTTCCTAGCTATTCATATTCTAAGATTGCATTTCTTTTCATCCCGATGAGTTTCACAAGCTCTGGTGCAGTCAGAGAAGAATGTTTCTAAGGGTTGTTGGGTGGATAAATGACTTAATCCATGTAAAGGGCTTAGAACAATTTCTGGTAGAGTAAGTCTTCAATAAGCCCGTCCCAGCATTATTATTAGTACTGTATTTCATTACATCTGAAATGTCACTGACTGTAAGCAGTATTATTATTTTATGTTCCGCAAAGAAAGAAAAAAGCATGCTACCGATTAAACTATAATCCCCAGGAATTTAGAGACAAATCTCACAATTACTAAAATGTGCAGAAGTGTATCTTAGAATCAGTGAAATATATTTTTGTTTTGTTACTTTGTGTGTGTGTGTTTTCCTAAAGCTTTTGGTAGCCTTTCTTGACAAGAGAACAGTGTTCCTTCACCATATTTGTTTGGTGCCCATGAGATTCCCAAGCTGGTTTCCTGCTACAGTTTGGACTAATTGATTTACCCTAAACCTAAGTTGATCCCCCAACCCTGAGGTTTTCCCTGCGTTGATCCACTGTTCCCCTAACTTCATGTTTCTTCCTTTTTCCCCCTTGTTTTGGTGGAATCCATCAATAATTTCCCAAGAATGGATTGGTAGGAAGTAACTTTTGGAGTCCTTAAATTGCTGAAAATTTCTTTCCTCTAATATGACTAAAAAAAAAAAAATACAGGTCAGATCTCACTATGTTGCCCAGGCTGGTTTTAAACTCTTAGGTTCAAGCAGTTCTCCCACCTCAGCCTCCCAGAGCGCTAGGTTTACAGGCGTGAGCCACCGTGCCCAGCTCTCTAATATGATTGAAAGAGATCCGCAATGCTTGTTCCTTTTGCAAGGGTTATAGCTACAAAAACTCCCACATCTTTTTGAGAATTTTAATTAGAAATTTTTAAAAAGTGATCTTCTGTTATTGAGTGATCTTTTCCTTTGGTTTTTCTGTTCCTTTTCCCTCATTTTTCTGATTCTCCCAGTTTTCTTCTGATGCCTTGTCTACTTGTTTGTTCATATTTAAGAATGCAGGACAGGCTGGGCGCAGTGGCTTACGCCTGTAATCCCAGCACTTTGGGAGGCTGAGGCTGGTGGATCACCTGAGGTCAGGAGTTCAAGACCAGCCTGACCAACATGGAGAAACCCCATCTCTAGAGTACAAAATTAGCTGGGCATGGTGGCATGTGCCTGTAATCCCAGCTACTCGGGAGGCTGAGGCAGGAGAATCACTTGAACCCGGGAGGTGGAGGTTGCGGTGAGCCGAGATTGCTCCAGCCTGAGCAACAAGAGTGAAACTCTGTCTCAAAAAAAGAGAATGCAGGACAGAAATCTGGTGTGGGTTCCTGCTGCAGTTGTGTAAATAGGTTTATGTCCTACTAGGCCTGAAAGTAGGATGGGATATGTTGTGAAAAGTAGGACGGAACAAGTTGATTGGCAGGGCTGCCTTTCCAGAGCAGGTAGAGAGCTGGCACTTGGTCAGCAGGCCTCCAGTGACAGGGCTCAGATACCAGTACCCACGATAGAGGTCTTGATTCTCCCATGTGATAGGTACCATTTCCTTAGCAAAGTTCCTTCTGACTTTTTTCTGGAAAGGGGCTGGGGTAGGATAGTGGGGAGTAGGGATGTCCTGGCTGGTATAGCCATTATAAGTTTTTCATTAGTCTCCTGGATTCAGATCCACTTGTTACTGCCACCCTCTCTTACCAGTTGTCCCTGAGCCCGGAGCCTTTCCATAGTTCCAACAGATGACTGGCTTCCACCTTGGATGCAGCCCCTGCATAGTGTGATGTGGTCCCTCATACTGCCATGTGTGGTCCCCTGACCATTGGCATCACCTGGGGGCTTGCTTAAAATGCAGAATTTCAGGCCCTAGGAGACCTACTGAATCAAAATCTGCATTTTAATGAGGTCCCTGAATGATTTTATTCACTTTAAGATTTGAGAGCAGTTCAAGGCTACAGTTTCATTGCTGTGTCTTAATTTTTAACACATGCCATCAAGTCTCCTCCAAAGCTTTGTTAGAATCCTCATGAGGTGACAACTCCTGACCCATCAAGCTCCAGACACCCTTCTTTTTTTTTTTTTTTTTTGAGACGGAATGTCACTCTTGTCGCCCAGTCTGGAGTGCAATGGCGCGATCTCCGCTCACTGCAACCTCCCCCTCCCGGGTTCAAGTGATTCTCCTGCCTCAGCCTCCTGAGTAGCTGGGATTACAGGCACCTGCCACGACACCCAGCTAATTTTTGTATTTTTAGTAGAGACAGGGTTTCACTGTGTTCGCCAGACTGGTCTTAAACTCCTGACCTCAGGTGATCCACCCGCTTGGGCTCCCAAAGTGCTAGGATTACAGGCATGAGCCACAGCGCCGGGCCCAGACACCATTCTTTAACCTCTTGCTAACCATGGCAGACCTCAGAACATTTCGGGCAGTAGTTACTGAGGGTGGAGGTAGGGGCCAACGTAATGATGAAACATTGAATTTTGAAACATGTAGTTGGTCCTAGTGAATAAAGTTCAGGCATTTTCTCTTACAGCAAAATTTCATAATTGTGTATAATGTGATTGATTGATTAAGGAAGTTGATATGTCTAATGCAGATTACCATTAATTATAATTCACCTTACTGTCACCCTGACATCCAGCTTCTCTAGGAGCCTTTGGGCTTTGTGCATTATAATTTTGAAGGTGACAGGAATATCTAAGAACTCTGCTCTGTTACTCCTGGTGGTGATAAGGAAAAGAAGGGCTGTAACTCATGAGCAAAACTTAAATGCATTGAAATGCTGGATTTACTTGGTGATGGTTTAGCTTTTTTATTTTTTCGAGACAGAGTCTCGCTCTGTCGCCCAGGCTGGAGTGCTGTGGTGCCACCTCGGCTCACTGCAAGCTCTGCCTCCCGGGTTCGTGCCATTCTCCTGCCTCAGCCTCCTGAGTAGCTGGGACTACAGGTGCCCACCACCACGCCCGGCTAATTTTTTTGTATTTTTAGTAGAGACGGAGTTTCACTGTATTAGCCAGGATGGTCTCGATCTCCTGACCTCATGATCCGCCCGTCTCGGCCTCCCACAGTGCTGGGATTACAGGCGTGAGCCACCACACCTGGCTGGTTTAGCTTTTATGGCTATATACTTAAAGCAATAAAAACTACTTTTAGTATTGGAATTCATATAAGAAAAAATAATTTTGCTATTATATATTTAAAACCATAACTTCATTCCCTCTTATTTTTTATAGAAGTATTTATTTTTAATTCAATATTTGATAAGTGGATTTTTTTTTAAGGAATGTAACTGTCATGTTAGACTACATATTATTCTTAAAAAGCAGCATGAGGCCAGATGTGGTGGCTCATGCCTGTAATCCCAGCACTTTGGGATTCTGAGATTGGAGGATCGCTTGAGCCCAGGAGTTTGAGACCATTCCGGGCAACACAGAACTTGTCTCCACAAAAAAAAGAAAAGAAAATTTACAATGTGTGGTAGTGTGTGCCTGTGGTCCTAGCTTCTTTGGAGGCTGAGGTGGGAATGTTATATATAAAGTTACGGTGCCACAAAAGGAATAGCACTCGAATATAAAATTTTCTTTTTAATTCTCAGCAATGCAAGTGACTTCTATAGAAGGGTGCCCCCTTACAGATGGAGCAATGGTGATCTCACGCTTGGACAAGGGAGGGAAAGGGGTTCTTATCCCTGACGCACGTGGCCCTTGCTGCTGTGTCGTTCCTCTATTGGCTAGGGTTAGACCGCACAGGCTAAACTAATTCTGATTGGCTAATTTAAAGAGAGTGACAGGGTGAGTGGTTTGGTAGGAGTCAGGGCAGAGCAGGTAGCAGGTAACTGGAATGAGTTAGGGTGGAGCAGGTGATCGGAATGAGGGTGGAGTAGGTAATCGAAAAAGGTTGCTTTACGAGGAAGTTAAGTTTAAAAGTAGAAGACAAAGAATTGAACATACTGACATATTAATTCTTTGAAAAGAAATTTAGAACTCATATCTAACAGGGAGATTGCCTGAGCCCGGGAGGTTGAAACTGCAGTGAGCCCAGATCACACCACTGCACTCCAGCCTGGGCACCAGAGGGAGACCCTGTCTCAAAGAAAGAAGCAGTATAGCAGTTAAGCATAGAATTTAGATAAGACTGCTTGGTTTCAACACTTCTACCCATGTCACTTTGGGCAAATTACTTAAGCTTTCTGGTCCTCAGTTTCATCATTTATAAAACAAGGAAAGTCATAGTATGTTTTAATGGGTCATTGTAAGGAACAAGTTAATCAAAGTAAAGCACTTAGAGAGAAGTGCCTGATACGTAGTCAGTGATTGATAACTATTAGCTGCTGCTACCATAAGTTGGAAGTACTTTAGTAGCAATGCAGGATGGGAATTGTAGTTTTTATTTGTCATCCTGGTTCAGGATTTGAAAATAAGTAAGATAACACCTTAATAGAAGAGAGGTAGCCTGGGTAAGATAGTGCTAAAACCTAGAAAATTCCCTTTTGGCGACAAGTAATTGGATCTGAGTAGCAGCCACACTCTGAAATGGGACAGGTGGTTTTCAGGTAATGGGACAACGGAATACCATGTGGTAGAAGGAATGAGGTATGTCTATATGTACTGAATGGGCTTGTGTCAATTTTGCTACTGTTGTGCTAAAACTGTCAAAACTATGTATATAATAGCCCATTTTTATGAAAGAAAAAAAGCTGTTTGTTTTAGTACACATAGAAAAAGGTTGACAAGGATCACACTAAATAGTTTATGGTAGTTACTCCTGAAGAGTAGGAATTGAAAGAGTTTTGAGGTGGGATACTTTTTATTCTATGTACTTTTTTTTGGTTTTAATTTTTGTAATGATGTGTATTGCCTTTTAAAATTAAATTTAAATTAAAAACAAAATCTTTTTACATGACAGAAAGCAAAGGGGCTCACACATCCCTTTTTTGCACCACTCAATGTTATTGTCAGGGTTCCAGCTCTGCCACGTAGTGGAACTAAACTGCAGGTTCTGAATATACATCAGTAACCCCCTTGAATGTGAAATTCATGCAGCTTGGCCCATAACCAGTTCCCGGCCACGAACTAAAAGGCCACGGAGGGGGTCAGTGAAAGCTGAAAATTGTCTTATACAAGGTGATGGCAGATTTAACAGCAGCTGGACCACATGCCCACCTTTTAGGGGGGCTTAGATTACTGGTCTAAAAACTAACAACATTTGAAAGAATTGTTCCATAATTGGGGTGGATAAAGAGTTTATGTCTGACCAGGGATGGAGGGGTGCAGTGGGACTATATTTGTTTTTTTGTTTTTGTTTTGTTTTGTTTTTTGAGACAGGGTCTTCCTCTATCACCCAGGCTGGTCTTGAACTCCTGGCTTCAAGCAGTCCTCCCACCTTGGCCTCTGAAAGTGCTGAGTACAGGTGTGAGCCACTGAGCCCAGCCTATATTTGTAGAGTTAGTAAGTAAAACAAGTTGTCAAGATCCAGAGATGGGCAGAAACTAAGGGCTTCAGATAATTCTTGTGACAGAATACCCTCCTCAAGCACCAACTGCAAGGGAGACTTGTCTGTTTTTTGTTTTGTTTTGTTTTGTTTTGTTTTGTTTTGTTTTTTAGACAGCAGAGTCTTGCTCTGTCACCCAGGCTGGAGTCCAGTGGCATGATCATAGTTCACTACAGCCTCGAGCTCCTGGGCTCAAGCAATCCTCCCACCTCAGCCTCCTAAGCAACTAGGACTACAGGCATGCACTACCACATCTGGCTATTTTTATTGTTTTTTGTAGAGACAGGGTCTCACTACATTGCCCCAGCTGGTCTCAAACTGCTGGCTTCCAACAGTCCTTCCACCTCAGCTTCCCAAAGTGCTGGGATTACAGATGTGAACCAGTGAGCCCAGCCAAGGGAGACTTTTAAATGTAGTATAGTTGGAAAGTTCTGGAAGGTGGGAAGACAGATTTTGCTGGACAGCAGCAATTTCTGCCAAATGTTTTCCAATTTACAGAGATATAATCCATACCATAAAATACATCCTTTAAAGTGCACAATTAAAATGAAGTATACAATTCAGTGGTTTCAAGTATATTGTTGTGCTGCCATCAGCACTGTGTAATTCCTGAACATTTCATTACCCCATTGCCTCTCTTACTCCCTCCTCAGCCCCTGGGACCCCCTAGTCTATGGATTTGCCTATTCTAGACATTTTATGTAAGTGCAATTGTACAATAGGTGTACAATGTGGTTTCTTAGCATAATGTTTCAAGATATACCTGTGTTATAGTATCTATCAGTACTTCATTTCTTCTTACAGCTGAATAATATCCCTCATACACAGATACATCACACTTTGTTTATCCATTCAGGAAGTGATGGGTATTTGGGTTGTTTTCACATTTTGGCTATTATGAATAATGCTTTGCTATGAATAGTCATATACAGGCTCTTGGGTGGATAGGTTTTTCAATTATCTTGGGGATATACCTAGGAGTGAACTTGATAGGTCGTATGCTAACGATTTTAACTTTTTGATGAATTACCAATCAAATTGTTTTCCTAAGTGGTTGTGACATTTTACATTCCCACCAGTAATGTATGTGGGTCCAGTTTCTCCACATCCCTGCCAACATGTGTTGCTATCTGACTTTTGATTATAGGCATCTTAGTGGTGTGAAGTGGTACCTCATTGTGGTTTTAATTTGCATTTCTCTAACAATCTTGAGCATCTTTTTATGTGTTTCTGCTATATTTAATATAAGAGTTTTAAAACATAGGGACATCCATATATTTTCACTTAAGTTAGCAGTGATCAATATTAATATTTTCACTTTACCTGTGATACATAAATAAACCTGTTTCTGACCTCCTTCATATCTCAAAGTGATTGATAGAAGCAGAATTTTATTAATTTCCATATAAAAGGACACATAACTGTGACAATAATAGAAAAACAATTAGATACAAGATAATCCATAATGAAGTGACGAAGCTATAGCACTGAGTTATAGCACTGAGTGATAAGGCTCAATGCTCTCCAAGATAGTCACACAGTGATCCATTGCGGTGCCAGCAGAAAACATTAGATTTCCTGATTTTTATTTAATCTAAGAAATTAAGCTGGCCGGGTGCAGTGGCTCACACCTGTAATCCCAGCACTTTGGGAGGCCAAGGTGGGTGGATCACCTGAGGTCAGGAGTTCGAGACCAGCCTGGCCAACGTGGTGAAACCCCATCTCTACCAAAAACACAAAAATTAGCCGAGTGTGGTGGTGCATACCTGTAACCCCAGCTACT